>NC_000009.12:137643186-138334717 GCF_000001405.40 Homo sapiens
GTGCTCTCTATTCATGTGGGCTTGAGTTACTGTCTAGTGTCCTTTCATTTATCCTGAAGGACTCTTAGGTCTTTCAGTGATGAACTCTCTACTTTTGTTTATCTTGGAATGTTTTATTTTTCCTTTATGAAGGTAGTTTTGTGTATAAAGGTTTTTTTTTTTTTTTTTTTTTTAGACAGAGTCTCACCCTCTCGCCCAGGCTGGAGTGCAGTGGTGCCATCTCGGCTCACTGCAAGCTCTGCCTCCCAGGTTCACGCCATCCTCCTGCCTCAGCCTTCCGAGTAGCTGGGACTACAGGACTACAGGCACCTGCCATCACGCCTGGCTAATTTTTTGTATTTTTAGTAGAGACGGGGTTTCACCGTGTTAGCCAAGATGGTCTGGATCTCCTGACCTCGTGATCTGCCCACCTTGGCCTCCCAAAGTGCTGGGATTACAGGCGTGAGCCACCGCGCCCGGCCGTATAAAGGTTTTTTAGTACTCTGAGGGTATTGTCTGGCTGCACTCCATGGTTTCTGATGAGGAACCATTGCTCATCTCTCAGGACCCTCGTTCATGACACGTTGCTCCTCTGTCGCTGCTTTTGAGAGTCTCTGTCTGTGGTTTCAGCCTGATGGTGATGTGTGTAGGTGTGGAACTCTTTGCGTTTTTCTCATTTGGATTTGTTGAGCTTCTTAATTTTTTTGACTTGACTGCTGCCTTCCAGGGATTTGGGAACTTTGTGATGAGTACTTCATCTGCAGCATGCGTTGTCTTCTCACCCCTGTCTGACGTGTCATTGCGTGGTAAACAGAGCTTTGCCATACAATTGCAGTTGCAGTGTGGATTAAAGGGACAGCACTTGAGGGCCGCTCCTCCCTTCTTGTTTTGACGATGGGTGTGAGCTGTCTTGGTAAGTGGCAGTAGCAGTACGGTGACCAGGTGGCACTCGGCACGGCTGATCCCGCCGTGCATTGCGGAGCAGCACTATGGCCCACCAAGAGGCCCATACGTGGTCTCTGGGAAGCTGCTCAGCTTTCTTATGGCAGGAAAGCAGCCACGGGCAATACGTAAACAAGTGGGGGTGGTTGTGTGCTGGTAAAACTGGAAGTGTTTGGAAACTGGAATTTGAGTTTCATATCACTCTTGAAACAGTCACATACTTTTTTTTTTTTTTGAGATGGAGTCTCATTTGGTTGCCCAGGCTGGAGTGCAGTGGCGTAATTTTGGCTCACTGCAACCTCTGCCTCCCGGGTTCAAGCAATTCTCCTTCCTCAGCCTCCCGAGCAGCTGGGAGGATTACAGGCACATGCCACCACGCCCAGCTAATTTTTGTATTTTTAATAGAGACGGGGTTTCGCCATATTGGCCAGGCTGGTCTTGAACTCCTGACCTCGTGATCCACCCGCCTCGGCCTCCCAAAGTGCTGGGATTACAGGCGTGAGCCACCGGGCCCGGCCAAAAACATTCACATACTTTTTATGAGTTATGTATCTAAAAGTCTAAAAATCATGCTTAGCTTTCAGTTTGTACAGAAACAGGTGGCAGTCTGTAGTTTGCTGGCCCCTGATTGAGATCTAGTCATTGTTTCCAAAGCACCTTGTCTTTTGATGTAACATTTATTTTGTGTTTTAATTATTGGTCTTTTGGTTGTCTCAATTGCTAGATTGTAAACTCTTTGAGGTTAGGGCTCTATTTATTTATTTATTTATTATTATTTTTTTTAAGAGACAGTCTCCCTCTGTTGCCCAGGCTGGAGTGCAGTGGTGCGATCTCAGCTCACTGCAGTCTCCACCTCCCAGGTTCAAGTGATCCTCCTGCCTCAGCCTCCCAAGAAGCTGGGATTACAGGTGTGTGTCACCACGCCCGGCTAATTTTTGTATTTTTAGTAGAGACGGGGTTTCGCCATGTTGGCCAGGCTGCTCTCGAGCTCCTGGCCTCAAATGATCCGCCTGCCTCGGCCTCCCGAAGTGCTGGGATTACAGGCGTGAGCCGCCACGGCCTGCTTATTTAGCTGTATTAGTTCCCCAACCCACTGAATGTTGCCTGGCACACTTCAGGGCCTTGATAGATTGTTGTGTAACCTGATACAAAAGGAGAAAGGGCCGGAATTGGCTTGCGCCTTTATTGATT
This sequence comes from Homo sapiens, assembly GCF_000001405.40. Lineage (NCBI taxonomy): Eukaryota > Metazoa > Chordata > Mammalia > Primates > Hominidae > Homo > Homo sapiens. The sequence continues at coordinate 137,645,299 of NC_000009.12, forward strand.
TACATATGTTTTTGTGGCCCAGGGTGAATATTTTTGGAATTAACTGACTTCTCAGTGTAGACAGGAACCATTTATCCATTCATGTGTTCCTTAATTTGTTGATTTTTGTAACAAGTACTTACTGCCTTCGTGTGCCAGCTTCTGCACTGGGAGCCACATGAGAATGCACATGGCGTCTGCCTTGTACTTACAGAAGCCCTTGTGTCCTAGTTTTGAGAAAGACAAACAATTACACACTTTGGTAATTGCTATTAAAAGAGATAAACAGGGTGTGATAGAAGCAGCGAAGAGGGGCCTCCTGTAGGTGGTTAAAGGAAGGCTGTCTGTGTTTCCATCTCTGCTGCAGACTGATACACAAGTGTCTTTTTCACTCGATTCCAAATGGAATCTTAGAGAAGGGTTGGCTTTTGTACTTGCAGCGCTGAGTGGAGAGGTGGCTGTGATCTCCAGAAACGTGGCTGCAGCCCCACGTGGGCCTCAGACCCTTGAAACATGGCCATATCGAACTGAGATGTGCTATGTGAAATGCACACTAGATTTCAGAGGCTTAGTACGATAGTTCACACTCTTTTGGTACTAATTATTTTATATTGGTTACATGTTGATAATGTTTTGGATCTATACTGAGTTAAAGGCAATTTATTAAAATTAGTTACTTCTATTTTTACTTTTTTTTTTGAGACAGAGTCTTGCTCTGTTGCCCAGGCTGGAGTGCAATGGTGTGATCTCAGCTCACTGCAGCCTCTGTCTCCCGGATTCAAGCAGTTCTCCTGCCTCAGCCTCCCGCGTAGCTGGGATGACAGGTGCCCACCACCACACCCAGCTAACTTTTTGTATTTTAAATAGGGATGGGATTTCTCCATGTTGGCCAGGCTGGTCTTGATCTCCTGGCCTCAGGTGATCCGCCTGCCTCGGCCTCCCAAAGTGTTGGGATTATAGGTGTGAGCCACTGTGCCTGGCCTATTTTTACTTTTTAAATGTAGATGCTAGAAATTTAAAATGATGTCTGTGGCATTTCCTGTCTTTCTGTGGGACAGTGGTACCTGGCCTGAGGAACATTTCAAGTTTGTGCTGCGGGCAAGAATCCTGTGACCACGGGGAGAGGACGAGGGACTCATTCTCTGGACAATGGGCTGGAAAGTAAGAGGGCTGAATGGGAGCCCCGAGGAGTGCTCCCGTTTTGTGGGAGAGAGGAGCTAGTCAGCAGGTGGAAAGCAGCCTTGGCTGCCCAACCCTGGAGCCTGGGGGAGGCCCCCGAGCGTGTGGGCTGGGGTGGTCTGGGGTGGTCTGGGGGAGGCCCACGTGCATGTGGGCTGGGGTGGCCTGGGGGAGGTGTGGCGCAGTTCTGTTGTTTTCACATCTCGCAAGGCACGTGTGTTGTCATGAGCTCTGGCCGAATTGGAGGCTGGGTTTGATCCCCTCACTGCCGCAAATCTTGTAACGTTGGATGTCTTAACTGATTTTCAGCTTTAACATTATCTCCTACTGTCTTTGAAAACACGGCTATTCATGTTCAGCTTCTTCCTTACCTTTCTGTACCTTAAATTCCAGTCCCTCAGGTTTCCTTCTGCCTGTGCTGTTTCCAGTCCCCACGTGGCTGAGCCCGCTGCAGCAGGCTTTGGTCTCCACTACTCCTCAGATGCCCTTTTGGTTATGGTCACCATTGACCTAGACATTGTCATTGGTTAGTTCTCAGCCTTCGTCTTACTGGTTCTTTCACCAGCATTTGTTATCATAATTCAAGCAAAAAAAACCTGGGATTAGTTGTCTCCGTTTGGCTTCTAGAACACTGCACTCTTCTGGTTTCCTGCCGCCTCCTTCTTCCCAGTCCTGTTTGGAGGACCCGCCTCTTAAGCCTGACTTCTAAATATTGACGTGCCCGAAGTCCCAGGCTGGTCCTCGTGTTGTGTGTGTCCTTATTCCCTGAGCTATCCAGTCCTCTGTTGACCCCAGGCTCGTGCCCCAGGCTGACCTCTTTGCTGTGGCTCCAGGTTGACTCCATGTTGACTGCATGGAAAACTGATAGGCACCTTCTGCCCAGCATGAAACGCAGCTCTCTTGGTCTGCCTCTCGCCCCGCAGCGCTAGACACCATCTGTAGAATGGCATTTCCCAGGAGACGCTGTCGGCTCTACCTTTATGACACAGCTTCTGCACTCCATGGCTGTAATGGGGTCCCAGCTTCTTCTCCCTGCTTTTTGGTGGCCCCTGTGCTCTCTGCTCAGGGGCAGCAGTCTTTGCCAGGCGTTGCTGCTCTGCACGCAGACTTCCTGTGCCTTCTGGGCTCTGCTCTTGCCTTTTTTTTTTTTTTTTTTGAGATGGAGTCTTGCTTTGTCACCCAGGCTGGAGTGCAGTGGTGCAATCTTGGCTTACTGAAACCTCCGCCTCCCAGGTTCCAGTGATTCTCCTGTCTCAGCCTTCCGAGTAGCTGGCATTACACGCGTGCGCCACCATGCCCAGCTAATTTTTTTGTATTTTTAGTAGAGACGGGGTTTCACCGTGTTGCCCAGGCTGGTCTCGAACTCCTGAGCTCAGGCAATCCACCCGCCTCGGCCTCCCAAGGTGTTGGGATTACAGACGTGAGCCACCGCGCCCGGCCGCATCTGTGGACACTTGCTCTCGCTCTCTCCTGCTTTCTTTTTCTTCAGAGCATTCGTACTCTTTGCATTGACTGTATGCTGGGAAACCACTCTGCCCTTCCTTCCCCATTTGTTTGTTGACACTTTTCTCAAGGAAGAGCTTTCTTTCCCCTTTCATATTTTTTTGGCATTACTATAGAATGGCTCCTGAGGTAATGAATTTGTACTTATTAAATGTGTTAAAATCTATTTTCACCATTTGTCCTTTTGAAACTCAAATTATTCCAATATGGCCAGTGAGAGCCCTTCAAGCAATATTCTGTTTGGGACAGCAAAATCGTAAGAGACCATATTGTATAATCTTCAGCAATTAAATCTGAACACCTAGATGAAATGAACTATACCTGGAAAACCCAAAAGAGTCAATGTTAAAACACAGACAGTGAAATTCAGTAAAGGAACTGGATATAAAATTGATACATTAAGTCAGTAGCCAGCTGGGTTGTGGTGGTTCACGCCTGTAATCCCAGTACTTTGGGAGGCTGAGGTGGGAGGACTGCTTGGGCCCAGAAGTTTCAGACCAGCCTGGGCAACATAGAGAGACTCCTTCTCTCCAAAAAAAAAAAAAAAAAATAGTTGGGCATGGTGCCTCATGCCTGTGGTCCCAGCTACTTGGGAGGCTGAGGCGGGAGTGTCATCAAGAGGTTGAGGTTGCAGTGAACTGTGATCACAACACTGCACTCTAGCCAGGGCATTCGAGCACTTGGAACAGAAGACTTGAACTCTGGAAATACATTTGTTGTTCTTGGACATCATAAACATGTTAGTTCTCCCAAGTTAATGCAAAAACTTATCCTTTATGTCTGTAAAAATGCCAACAAGGAATCATTCTTAGTCCTGCCTTCCCCTCTCAAATTCAGCTGGTTCATCAGAAGATCCCATCAGCCTCATCCTCAGGGTGCATCCCGTTTCCCTGACTTCTCTCCCTATCATGGCATCACTGTTGGGCCCAAGCCACCACAGTGCCCTGCTTGGATTATAGTAGTCACCCTTTAGCTGGTCTTCCTAGTTTTTCTGCTTATGAGCTGTACCATCTTATCCATTTGCCACCCAAAAAGCCAGAGACTGATCCTGGTTGTCGTATCGTGCTTGAGCTTCATCACTGGGGAAACTGGGCATCAGTGGGTTGAGTAGTGTCTTCCCAAATTCACATTCCCCTGTGACTTCAGAAATAGTGTTCTCCCAAATTCAGATCCACCCGTGACTTCAGAAATAGTGTTCTCCCGGCTGGGTGCAGTGGCTCATGCCTGTAATCCCAGCACTTTGTGAGGCCAAGGCGGGTGGATCATGAGGTCAGGAGTTTGAGACCAGCCTGGCCAAAGAGACCAGCCTGGTCAACATGGGGAAACCCTGTCTTTACTAAAAATATAAAAATTAGTCGGATGTGGTGACGGGTGCCTGTAATCCCAGATACTGCGGAGGCCGAGGCAGGAGAATTGCTTGAACCTGGGAGGCGGAGGTGGCAGTGAGCTGAGATCGCGCCATTGCACTCCAGCCTGGGCAACAGAGCGAGACTCCGACTCAAACAAACAAACAAACAAACAAACAAACAAAAATGTCCTCCCAAATTCAGATCCACCCATGACTTGAGAATGGGGCCTAATTTGGACGTAGGATCTTTGCAGATGTAATTAATTAAGGATCTTGAGATGAAGTCGTCGTAGATTTAGGGTGGGCCCTAGATTTAGTGACTGGTGTCCATAAGAGGACACAGACTCAGGGAAGAAGCCACAGCAGCGGAGGCAGAGGTGGGAGCCAAGTGTTGCGAACCAGGGAGTGAGAAGATGGCCTACACCACCGGAGCTGGAAGAGGCAAGGAAGTGCTCTTTTCCTGGAGCCTTCAGAGGGACCACGCCCTGCCAGCAGCCGGATTTCACACTTCTGGCCTCCAGAACTGCGAAAAGATAAAAATAAATTTAGGTTGTTTTAAGTTAACCAATTTATGATACTTTGTTAAGGTAACTGCAGGAGATTAATGCTCTGGGCAAAGTGTACACGGAGTCTCTGTGTTACTTCTTACAATTGCATGTCAAGCTACAGTGGTCTCATTGTGGGACAACCTTTGAGGAACTGTGTTTTTATGGTGGCTGTGCCATCTAACATTCCTGCCAGCAGTGAATGAGGGTTCCAGTTTTTATATCGTCGCCAACACTTGTTATTTTATTTATTTATTTTTTTTTGAGACAGGGTCTCACCCTGTCACCCAGGCTGGAGTGCAGTGGTGCAGTCACAGCTCACTGCAGCCTCAAACTCCCAGGCTCAAGTGATCCTCCCGCCTTAGCCTCCTTAATAGTTAGAACTACACAGGTGTGGGCCACAATGCCAGCTAATTTAAACATTTTTTTTAGAATGGGGTTTCACCATGTTGCCCAGGCTATTCTCAAACTCCTGGGCTCAAGCGATCTGCTCACCTTGGCCTCCCAAAGTGCTGGGATTACAGATGTGTAATTACAGGTGTACCTTGCCCAGCTGTTGTTCATTTTTAAAATTATAGCCAAACTAGGGAGTGTGAAGTAGTATCTCATTGTGGTTTTGATTTGCATGTTGCTGATGACTAATGATGTTGAACGTCTTTTCATGTTCTTATTGGCCATTTGTATGTCTTCTTTGTAGAAATGCCTGTTTATATCCTTTGCCCATTTTAAATTGGGTTGTCTTTTTATTAATGAGTTACAGATGTTCTTTATATATTATAGAGGGAAGTCCCTTATCAGATATAGGACCCCCCGCTTTTTTTTTTTTTTTTTTTTGAGACAGTTGCACTCTGTTGCCTATGTTGGAGTGCAGTGGGGTGATCACAACTCACTGCAACCTTGACCTCCTGGACCCAAGTGATCCTCCCAATTCAGCCCCCCAAGTAGCCAGGGCCACAGGCACATGTCACCACACCTGGCTAATTTTTGTTTTTTAATTTTTTGTGCAGACTGTGTTGATCAGGCTGGTTGAACTCCTGGGCTCAAGCAATCTTCCCGCTGCCATATGAATATGAATATGTGCACACCCGTGGTTCCAGCTACTCAGGAGGCTGAGGTGGGAGGATCACGAGCCTGGGAGTTCGAGGCTGCGGTGAGCTGTGATTGCACCACTGCACTCCAGCCTGGGTAGGTGACAGAGTGAGACCCTATCTCAAACAAAACAAAACAAAACCACCAGTGTTGACGATGATATGGAAAAACTGGAACCCTCCCAAAGTGCCGGGATTACAGGTGTGAGCCACTGCACCCAGGCAGATGTAGGACTTGTAAATATTTTTTCCCATTTTGTGGGTTGTGTTTTCACTTTCTTGATAGTATCCTTTGAAGCACAAACATTTTTAATTTTGATAAAGTCTAATTTATCCCTTTGTTCTTTGTTGCTTGTGCCTTTTGTGTCCTATTTTAGAAACACTTTTGAAATTCAAGATTATGAAGATTTGTGCCTGTTTTCTTCTATGAGTTTTACAGTTTTAGCTCTTTTAATTAGATCTTTGATCTATTTTGAATTATAGTCACAGGCCACATAATGATGTCTCTGTCAGTGATGGACAACATATAAGATGATGGTCCAGTAAGATTATAATGGAGCTGGCCAGGTGCGGTGGCTCACGCTTGTAATCCCATCGCTGTGGGAGGGAGGCCGAGGCAGGCGGATCACTTGAGGTCAGGAATTCAAGACCAGCCTGGCTAACATGGTGAAACTCTGACTCTACCAAAAATAAAAATACAAAAAATTAGCTGGGCCTGTTGGCACACACTTATAATCCCAGCTACTTGGGAGGCTGAGGCAGGAGAAATGCTTGAACCTGGGAAGTGGAAGTTGCAGTGAGCCGAGATTGTGTCACTGCACTCCAGCCTGAGTGACAGCGAGACGCCGTCTCAAGAAAAGAAAAAAAAAGATTGTAGTGGAGCCGAAAAGTTCCTATTGCCCAGGACATGCTAAAGCTCTAGCAATAGGCATTATGTGTCCTGCTCAGGTAAACAAACCTACTCTGCTATCAGTTGTCTAAAAGTCTAGCACATACAGTTATGTGCAGTACCTAATGCTTGATAATGATAATAAACTCCTATGTTACTGGTGTATGTAGTTACTATTCTGTACTATACTTTTTTACCATTATTGTAGAGTGTACTCCTACTTATTTAAAAAAAAGTTAACTGTAAAACAGTCTCAGGCAGGCCCTTCAGGAGGAGTCTAGAAGACACTGTTACCATAGGAGATGACGGCTCCATGCATGTTAGTGCCTCTGAAGATCTTCTAGGGGACAAGATGTGGAGGTGGGAGACGGTGATACGGATGATCCTGACTCTGTGTGGGCCTTGGCTAATGTGTGTGTTTGTGTTTTAGTTAATTTTTTTTTTTGTAGAGATGAGGTCTTGCTATGTTGCCCAAGCCAGGCTGAAGTCATCCTCCTGCCTTGGCCTCCCAAAGTGCTGGGATTACAGGCGTGAGCCACAATGCCCGGCCAGTGTGTCTTAGTTTTATTTTTTTTGAGACGGAGTCTCACTCTGTCTCCCAGGCTGGAGTGCAGTGGTGCGATCTTGGCTCACTGCAACCTCTGCCTCCTTGGTTGGAGCAATTCTCCTGCCTCAGCTCCTGAGTAGCTGGGATTACAGGTGTGCACCACCACGCCCAGCTAGTTTTTTTATTTTTAGTAGAGGTGGGGTTTTGCCATGTTAGCTAGGCTGGTCTTGAACTCCTGACCTCAGGTGATCCACTCACCTTGGCCTCCCAGAGTGTTGGGATTACAGGCGTGAGCCACCGCGCCTGGCTAGTGTATCTTAGTTTTTAACAAAAAAGTGTAAGAAGTTAAACTTTTTTTTTTTTTTTGAGATGGAGTTTTGCTGTTGTTGCCCAGGCTGGAGTGCAGTGGTGCAATCTCGGCTCACCGCAACCTCCGCCTCCCAGGTTCAAGCGATTTTCCTGCCTCAGTCTCCTGAGTAGCTGGGATTACAGACACCTGCCACCACACCTGGCTAACTTTTCTGTATTTTTAGTAGAGACAAGGTTTCACCATGTTGGCCAGGCTGGTCTTGAACTCCTGACCTCAGGTGATCCATTCGCCTTGGCCTCCCAAAGTGCTGGGATTACAGGCGGGAGTCACTGTGCCTGGCCTTAGATGGTGTAGCCTACGTGTACAGTGTTTATAAAGCCTACAGTAGTGTATAGTGATGTCCTAGGCCTTCACATTCATTCACTACTCACTCACCCAGAGCAACTTCCAATTCCAGCCCTGCAAGCTCCATTCATGGTAAGTGTCCCATACAGGTGTCCCTTTTTTATTTTTTATACTGTATTTTTATTGTACCTTTTCTATGCTTAGATATATTTATATATGCAAATACTTACCATTATATTCCTGTCGCCTGCAGTATTCAACACAGTAACATGCTGCATAGGTTTGTAGCCCAGGAGCAATAGGCTCTACCCCATAGCCTCGGTGCGTAGTAGGCATCTAGGTTTGTGTGAGTACAGTCTGTGATGTTCACAGAACAGTGAAGTTGCTTAACGTTGAATTTCCCAGAAGGTATCCTCGTAGTTAAGTGATGCATGGTTGCATAAAGCACCTAAGACAGTGCTTGGCACACGGGAAGACTAAGGGCTTGATTTTCTCTTTCTTTTTTTTTTCTTTTGAGACAGAGTTTTGCTCTTGTCGCCCAGGCTGGAGTGCAGTGGTGTGATCTCAGCTCACTGCAACCTCTGCCTCCCAGTTTCAAGCGATTCTCCTGCCTCAGCCTCCCGAGTAGCTGGGATGACAGGCATGTGCCACCGTGCCCAGTTAATTTTGTATTTTTAGTAGAGATGGGGTTACTCCATGTTGCCCACGCTGGTCTTGAACTCCCGACCCTGATCCGCCTGCCTCGGCCTCCCAAAGTCCTGGGATTACAGGCGTTAGCCACTGCCCCTGGCCGATTTTCTCATTTTCACTGGTGCATAAAATAAGCAAAGTGATTTTCAACAAGTCAGACAATGCCAGTACTGGAACTTCTCCTCCTTGATGCATTTCTCAGAAGGTATCCCCATTGCTGAGAAACACTTCCCTGTGCTTTTTGTATATGGTATGAAGCAGGGGTCCATCTTCACGCTTTCGCATATGGCTCTCCCGGTGTCCTAGCACTGTTTGCTGAAAAGATTCTCCTTTTATTGAATAGTCTTCATGGCTTCATTGAAAAATTAATTGACCATAGGCTGGGCGCGGTGGCTCACGCCTGTAATCCCAGCACTTTGGGAGGCTGAGGTCAGGAGTGCGAGACCAGCTTGGCCAACATGGCGAAACCCCATCTCTACTGAAAATACAAAAATTAGCCTGATGTGGTGGTGGGTGCCTGTAGTCCCAGCTGTTCAAGAGGCTGAGGCAGAAGTATCGCTTGGACGTGGGAGATGGAGGTTGCCGTGAGCTGAGTTTACACCACTGCACTCCAGCCTGGGCGACAGAGCGAGGAGACCCCACCCCCCACCCCTTACCACCTCCCCCCCACCAAAAAAAAAAGAGAAAAATTAATTGACCATAAATATGTGAGTCTGTTTCTGAACTTTCAGTTCTCTTCCATTGATCAGATGTTGTTCCTTAGGCCAGTATCACAGTGTCTTGATGACTTTACCTTTGTTGTAAGTTTTGAAATGGAGAGGTTTGAGTCCTCCAAGTTTGTTCTTCTTTTTCCAGATTGTTTTGGCTATTCTGGGTCTCTTAAGTTTCCATATGAATTTTAGGTCATCCTGTTAGTTTCTGCACAGAAGCCAGCTGGGGCCCAGTGAGGTGGGCCAGACTGGAGAGGGTGGCTGGGGAGGCAGTACATGCCTGAAGGCTTGAGTAAAGGCTGGGCCTGCCATGCCCCAGAACATGGCATTATCTGGACAGACACCAGGAGAAGCACGTTAGAGCTGAACAGGGAAGTGAACAGTGCACATGGTTCTGAGCCCACAGGGTGGTCAGAGTTTGGGCCAGGTGGTGGGGTACAGCCAAGCTGGGATGCTGATGCCTATGGCTTAGACAGGCCAGCGTGGACAGCAGAGGTGGTGTCAAGGACCTTGGTATTCAGGGACTGCAGCAGGAAGGTACCAGGTGGTTAACTGTTTTTTCCTTTCTTTTCTTTTTTTTTTTCGAGATGGAGTCTTGCTCTTGCCACCCAGGCTGGAGTGCAATGGCATGATCTCGGCTCACTGCAACCTCCTCCTCTCAGGTTCAAAAGAGTCTCCTGCCTCAGCCTCCCAAGTAGCTGGGACTACAGGTATACGCCACTACGCTTGGCTAATTTTTGTATTTTTGTATTTTTTTATTTTTAGTAGAGACGGCATTTCACCATTTTTCGGCCAGGCTGGTCTCGAACTCCTGACCTCAGGTGGTCTGCCCGCCTCAGCCTCCCAAAGTGCTGGGATTATAGGCGTGAGCCACTGCGCCTGGCCGTTAACTATTTTCAGGCACTACACTGGCAACCTCACTGGTAGAGGCTGCTTAAAAAAGACCTCCTTACTGCCCAGCAGACCAGAACTATTGTTACCCATGAAAGGACCCAGGAATCTTACCTATGGAGTTTTCCTTAATGAGGAAGATAAAATACGTTGCATATATTAGGTGTCACTCAGTGCTGTTGAAGAATGAATGAATGAGTTCACAATAATTACCATTTACATGAAGATGCTAATAGTGTTTTTTATGCAGGGGTCCCCAAACTCCAGGCTGTGGAGTGCTGGTCAGTGGCCCATTAGGAACTGGGCCACCCAGCAGGACTTGAGCGGCAGGCTTTGAGTTGAGCATCCCTGCCTGAGTTCTGCCTCTGCCAGATCAGCAGTGGGATTAGACTCTCATAGGAGCGAGGACCCTGTTGTGAACTGCACATGCGAGTGATCTGGGTCGCGTGCTCCTTATGAGAATCTAGCGTCTGAAGATCTGAGGTGGAACAGTTTCTTCCTGAGCTACCCTCCTCACCTTTTGTCCATGGAAACATCGTCTTCCATGAAATGAGTCCCTGGTGCCAAAAAGGTTGGGGACCACTGTTTTAAAGTAATGATAAACTGAAAGATCACTGATTATCAGTGATATAAAAATGTTTTAATGCTTTATGATATATCTACTTTATGAAATACACTGCCATTCATGTGATAACTGAAGAATATGAAGACATGCTGGAATATTCAAGGGAAAAATTGTTTATATAGCTCATAACCATATAAAATGTGTACATATGGCTGGGCGCAGTGGCTCACACCTATAATCCCAGCACTTTGAGAGGCCGAGGTGGGCGGATCACCTGAGGTCAGGAGTTAGAGACCAGCCTGGCCAACATGGTGAGACCTCATCTCTACTAAAATTATAAAAATTAGCTGGGCATGGCAGCGTGCGCGTGTAATCCCAGCTACTCAGGAGGCTGAGGCAGGAGAATCACTTGAACCTGGGAGGTGGAAGTTGCAGTGAGCTGAGTTGGCACCATTGCACTCCAGCCTGGGTGACAGAGCGAGACTCCATCTCAAAAACAAAAACAAAAAACAAAAATGTATAGCTATGAAGAGACACTGGAAGGAAATGGGAGATTTTGGGTTAGAGTGATGACACTTAGATTTCGAAGTTTCCTGTTAACTATTGTCTTCCTAATCAACACAGGCTCCTGGCCCTGTGCGGATCTATCTAGAGGCACAGTGCCCATGCTGGGCTTCGCTTTCTTGACTGCCTTGTGCCCAGGCTGGGCCTGTGCTGTGGACTGGAGGCAGGGGCATATGTCCAGGGGACATGTGTACACCCAGGAGGCAGGGGGCATGAGTCCAAGGGCCGTGCTGGGCCTCTCCCTGCTTCTCACCCACAGCTGGATGCCCTTCCTTTTTTTTTTTAATTTTAATTTTAATTTTATTTTTGAGACAGCGTCTCGCTATTCCCCCAGGCTGGAGTGCAATGGTGCCATCTTGGCTCACTGCAACCTCTGTCTCCCAGGTTCAAGCGATTCTCCTGCCTCAGCCTCCCGAGTAGCTGGGATTACAGGTGTGTGCCACCACGCCTGGGTCATTTTTGTATTTTTAGTAGAGACAGGGTTTCACCATTTTGGCCAGGCTGGTCTTGAACTCTTGGCCTTAAGTGATTTGCCTGCCTCAGCCTCCCAAAGTGCTGGGATTACAGGTGTGAGCCACCGTGCCTGGCCACCCTTTTACTTTTGTCTGTTCATCCTGCAAGTGCAAGGTACCTGCTCCATGCTGTGGTCTGGGGGGTGTAGCAGTGAACAAAACAGACGGAACTTGTGTGTTATGGCCGGTGTAGACAAGGAAGGGCACATGGGCAGTGGTGTGGGGAGCGTGTGGCTGCAGTCTTGAGGAAGCAGCAGGAGCAAGGCGTGGGGCAGCCAGCTCAGCTGAAGAGGGGTGATTGTCTCATAGGCTTCTCCTAGAGGGACCACTGGGAGATTCTGAGCAGAGGAGTGGCGGAATGTGACTTCTGTTTTAACAGTGTCTTTCTCGTGGCAGTGTTGAGAGTTGGCTGCAGGGGTGCAGCAGGTGAGGTGAGAGGCTGTCGCGCTCGTTAGGATGAGAGGGTGGTGGTTTGAGTGGAAGTCGGCCTCCCAGGGTGTTGGGATTGTAGGTGGGAGCCAGTGCACCTGGTTGCTTTTTTTTTTTTTTAATAAAAATTTTTTATTTTCAATTTTTGTGGGTACATAGTAGGTGTATTTATTTATGGGGTACATGAGATGTTTTGATACAAGCATACAGTGCATAACAATCACACCAGGGTAACTGGGGTGTCCATCACCTCAAGCGTTGATCCTGTTTTACAGACCATGCAGTTCTACTCTTGTAGTTATTTTAAGATGTGCAATAGACCATTGTTGACTCTGGTCACTTTGCTGTGCTATCAAGTACTAGTTCTTACTCTATGTTTTGTGCCCATGAACCATTTCTACCCCCACTCCCCACCTCCACTCCACTGCCCTTCCCAGCCTCTGCAAACCATCCTTCTACTTTTTTTTTTTAATACTGCTTCTACAAGTGATAGCCCCTAGACGTCCTTCTACTCTACCATCTCCATCAGTTCAGTCATTTTAATTTTTAGCTCCCCCACATAGATGAGAGCATGTGAAGTTTGTCTTTCTGTGCCCAGCTGATTTCACTTAACACAGTGACCTCCAGTTCCATCCTAGTTGTGGATGATGGGATCTCATTCTGTTCATGGCTGAATACTGCCTCATTGTGCCTGTGTGCCACGTTTTACCTTCTGCTTCTTTCGTTCTCCTTCCTTCTGTCACTCGCGGCTCTTCCTATCCAGAATGGTCTTTTTCTCCATTTGGTCTCACTTTGTCACCCAGGCTGGAGTGCTGCGGCATGATCTTGTCTCACTGCAGCCTCCGCCTCCTGGGTTCAAGTGATTCTTGTGCCTCAGCCTCCTGAGTAGCTGGCATTACAGGCTGGTGCCTCCACACCCGGTTAATTGTTGTATTTTTAGTAGAGACGGGGTTTCACCATAGTGGCCTGGCTGGTGTCGAACGCCTGAGCTCAAGTGGTCCACCTGCCTCAGCCTCCCAAAATGCTGGGATTAGAAGCGTGAGCCACCGCACCCAGCGCCCAGAATGGTCTTTTTCAGACTTCAGAATTGCTTTCCCTGGTTCTTGTATCTAAGGTAGCTTCTCCTGTGTTTCTGTCCCTTTACCTTGGTTTATTTATCATCATCTGCAATTATCTTTTGTTTTTTTTTAATGGCTTTTTATAAAATTGCATAGAAAAATGAATTTTTCTTTTTTTTTGAGACAGGGTCTTGCCCTGTAGCCCAGGCTGGAGTGCAGTGGTGCGACGTTGGCTCACTGCAGCTTCAACTTCCCAGGCTCAAGCGATTTTCCCACCTCACCCTCCTGAGTAGCTGGGCCTACAGGTGCATACCACCATACCTGGCTATTTTTAAAAAATTATGTGTGTGTGTTTGTAGAAACAAGGTCTCACTGTGTTGCCCAGGCTGGTCTCAAGCTTTTGACCTCAAGGGATCCTCACACCTCAGCCTCCCAAAGTGCTGGGATTATAGGCATGAGCTACTGTGCCAGCCCAGGAACACTTCTGTGGTTGTCTTTTCTCTTGGGCTGGAGTGGAACTGCTGAACCATCGTAGACATCCTGCAAGCCCACATCCTCTTTCCTTGAGTTTGAGTCAATTGAATGTGTGTAAAACGGCATGTCATTATCATCTTATTTGGTTTTTCTTATTTTTCTTACTAATGTTGAACATCTAAATACATTATGTTTGTTGTGCCATCAAATACTAGATCTTATTCCAGGGTTTTCCTCCCAAAACATAATGTATTTTTCTTATTTTTGGTTTTTCTTCTTTTCTTATTAATGTTGAACATCTCCAATGTGGTACTTGGTTGGCTTTTCTGTGAAATGTCTATAGATGTCCTTTGCCCATTTTTTCATGCTTTGTGCTTATTATTTTGCAGTTCTTTGTATATTCTTAATTTTTTGTTGTTTCTGTGTATTATGAATATAGTCTCCTAGTTTGACAGTCCTTTTTGTATTTCTAAAATTAATTAATTAATTAATTAATTATTTTTAGAGACAGGGTCTTGCTATGTTCCCCAGGCTGGACTTGAACTCTTGGGCTCAAGCAGTCCTCCCACCTCAGCCTTTCAAGTAGCTGGGAATGAAAGTGTGTGCCGCCATGCCTGGGTCCCTTTAAAAAATTTTTTTTTTTTTTTTGGAGACAGAGTCTCTGTTGCCCAGGCTGGAGTGCAGTGGGTGCAATCATGGTTCACTGCGGCCTTGACCTCCCTTGCCTAGGTGATTGTACCACCTCAGCTTCCCGAGTAGCTGGGACCACCTACTACTGATGGTCCACCATAGTAGGCATGTACCACCACACCTGGCTAATTTTTGTATTTTTTGCAGAGATGGGGTTTCTCTATGTTGCCCAGGCTGGTCTCAAACTCGTGGGCTCAAGTGATCCGCCCACCTCGCCCTCTCAAGTGCTGGGATTACAGATGTGAGGCACTGCGCTTGGCCCCCTTTTGTATTTTAAGAGACTTTTCTTTCTCTTGCAGTCCAAAATGTATTTACCTAGATAGGTAGTGCTTAGCCGAGGTTTTGTTTTTGGCATGTAATTGACCTTTTTCTGTGATTGACCTTTTTCTTTTTTTAATGTAAATCATGTGAAGCAGGGATTCGATTTCATCTTTCTTCATGTGCCGGTGTGGTGGCTCACACCTGTAGTCCCAGCACTTTGGGAGGCTGGCAGGAGAATCGCTTGAGCTCAAGAGCTCGAGACCAGCCTGGGCAACAAAGTGAGACACCATCTCTACAAAAAATACAAATATTAGCTGGGCATAGTGGCACGTGCCTGTGGTCCTAGCTAATAAGGCTGAGGTGGGAGGATGACTTGAGCCTGGGAGGCAAGCAGAAGTTGCAGTGAGCTGAGATTGCACCACTGCCCTCTAGCCTGGGTTACAGAGCCAGACCCTGTCTCAAAAAAATTTTTTCCTCATCTTTCTTCATGTGTATAATCATTTTTCCTAGCTTTAGGTATTGAGCAAGCCCTCCTTTCTTCGTCAGCCTGTCATACCGTATCCCACAGTTCAAATGTGTGGGGGTTTCTGTTTTGTTTCTGTTTTTTTAGAGACAGGCTCTCACTCTCTTGGCCAGACTGGAGTGCAGTGGCGTTCTGGATATTTTTGGCCACTTATTCTTCAATATTAACTCTAGAATCATAAAATTTCATGAACAATCCTGTTCGGATATTAATTGGAATTGCACTGAATCTATGGATCAATTTTGTGTGAATCCACATCTTCACAATATATCTGACTATTTGTGAGCACAGTATATTTCTCTCTTCATTTAGTTTTTAAGAAATATTTCTATGAAATTTTACAATTTTTCCTGTAGAGGTCTTGCCATCTTTTGCAGGTTTCTTTCTAGATAACTGATGATTCTCTGATGCCATCGTAAGTGATGGCTTCTCTTTAATTACAGCAGCTAATTGTTTACTGCTGTTGTAGAATAACCACACAGCTGACTACTGAGTATTTAACCTTTCCTACCATCATCTTGCTAAGCTCTACTATTATTTCTAATACTTTGTAGAACATATAATAGCAGTTTTATTTCTTCCTTTCTAATCCCAGGCCTCAGATTCCTTGTCTAATTGTGCTGGTTAGGACACGATATGATGTCGAAAAGAAACAATGCTAGTGGATGTTTTTATTCTTGGTTTTGTCTATTTTTATGACTTTTTTAAATTTTTAGTTTGAAATAATTTTAGACTTACAAAAAAAGTTGCAAAAATAATACATAGAATTCCCATAGGTCCTTTTACCCAGATACCCCAAGTGTTAACATTTTACCACATTTGCTTTATCATTCTATATATCTATCCATCTCTCTAGTTTCTGTTTGCTTTTCATGATTATTCTTGATTTTAAAGGGAATGTTTCCAATATTTTCCTATTTAGGATGGTGTTTATTTTTTTAATACTTGAAAACTATTTTTTTCCTAGACTGCTCAACAGAACTATACTTTTTTATTGGAGTAAGGAAATGCTCTTCCATTCCTAATTTACTGAGTTGTAAAAATCATACTTGAGTATTGAATTTTACCCCAGGTAGTTTTTGTACATCTTTTTTTTTTTTTTTTTTGAGATGGAGTCTTGCTCTGTTGACAGGCTGGAGTGCAGTGGCGCAATCTCGGCTCACTGCAACCTCCACCGCCTGAGTTCCAGCAATTCTCCTGCCTCAGCCTCCCGAGTAGCTGGGACTACAGGTGCGCACCACCATGCCTGGCTAATTTTTGTATTTTTACTAGAGGCAGGGTTTCACCATATTGGCCAGGCCGGTCTCAAACTCCTGACTTCAGGTGATCCACCCACCTCTGCCTCCCAATTAAAGGCGTGAGCCACTGCACCCGGCTGTTTTTCTACATCTTTAAAGAAATCTATTTTTTTTCTCTTTTTTGAGATGGAGTTTCCCTCTTGTTGCCCAGGCCGGAGTGCAATGCTGCAATCTCGGCTCACTGCAGCCGCCGCCTCCTGAGTTCAAGTGATTCTGCTGCCTCAGCCTCCCAGGTAGCTGGGATTACACGCATGCGCCACCATGCCCAGCTAATTTTATATTTTTAGTAGAGACGAGGTTTCACCATGTTGGTCAGGCTGGTCTCGAACTCCTGACTTCAGGTGATCTGCCCACCTCGGCCTCCCAAAGTGCTGGGATTACAGGCATGAGCCACTGCGCCTGGCCAAGAAATCTATTAATGGGGTGAGTTACCCAACAATATCTGCTGATAGTATATATATATTTTTTACACATTGTTGAATTCAAATTGCTGATATTTTTGTTTAGATATTTTTTTTCCAGACAGGGTTTCACTCTGTCACCCAGGCTGGAGTACAGTGTTGAGATCTTGGCTCACTGCAACCTCTGCCTGTTGGGTTTAAGTGATCCTTCCACCTCAGCTTCCTGAGTAGCTGGGACTACAGGCACATGCCACAATCCCGAGCTAATTTTTGTATTTTTTGTAGAGATGGAGTCTCTCCATGTTGCCCAGGCTGGTCTTGAACTCCTGGGCTCAAGTGATCTGCTTACCATGGCCTCTCAAAGTGTTGGGATTATAATAGGTGTGAGGCATCGCACCTTGCCTAGAATTTTTCTTTTTTGAGACAGAGTCTCGCTCTGTTGCCCAGGCTGTAGTGTAGTGGCATGATCTCAGCTCACTGCAACCTCCGCCTCCCAGGTTCAAGCAACTCTCCTGCCTCAGTCTCCTGAGTAGCTGGGATTACAGATGCCTGCCACCACACTGGGCTAATTTTTTGTATTTTTAGTAGAGATGGGGTTTCACCGTGTTGGCCCGGCTGGTCTCGAACTCCTGATCTTGTGCTGGGATTACAGGCGTGAGCCACCGCGGCTGGCCTGAATTTTATTTATTTATTTATTTATTTATTTATTTATTTTTGACAGAGTCTTGCTCTGTCACCCAGGCTGGAGTGCAATGGTGCGATCTCTGCTCACTGCAGCCTCTGCCTCCTGGGTTCCAGCGATTCTCCTGCCTCACCCTCTTGGGTAGCTGGGATTACAGGTGCACGCCACCATGCCCGGCTAATTTTTGTACTTTTAGTAGATACAGGGTTTTGCCATGTTGGCCAGGCTGGTCTCGAACTCCTGACCTCAGGCGATCACCTGCCTCGGCCTCCCAAAGTGCTGGGAATACAGGTGTGAGCCACCGCGCCCAGTCCTGGCCTGGAATTTTTAACCTATATTTATTGTATAGATATCCACTCATTTTATTATCTCTTTCCTGTTCCTTTCTTTGAATTTATTTTGTTATTCATTTGTACCTTCTTTAGATGGATTTGCTGTTAGCCTGTTAATTTGGGGACTTTCTTTGAAGCTACAGCCTATGGTTCTTGTTCTGATAGTTGGCTTGAGCAGGAAGAGGCAGTAATGATGGGGTGATGTGGGCCATATGGCTGGTTAGGTGTCGATTCTTGACAAGATCCTGGTTTTTGTTGTGAGTGGTGGGTTAATGGGTGCTGACCAGGTGAAGAGCAGCATGGAGCAGTGGTAGCAGCGTCCTGTGTGCTGGAGTGGACTGCTCAGAATCCTCAGCACACTTGAGGTCCACAGAAGAAAGAAAAAGAAACATAAACTAAATAGTAAGAAAAGGTGCATATTGCAGAGTAAAAGACTTCCCATCTCCGTTTCTGCTCTCAATCTTACTTAAACATGTCACACTATTAATAATTTCTTATAATTCATTCCAAAAAGATGTTTGTGCACATACCAGCATCTTTCTGTTCTCTTACACGAGTCTTGGTATCATAGACACCCTGTTCTGTGATTTCCCATGCGAGCACACCAGCCTTTTCTTACCCTCTGCAAGGGCTTTTGGATATTCCCTTGTAGGGGAATAACAATGTCTATAACTAGCCTTCTGTGGGCGGGACTCAGATCCTCTCACCTGGAGAGAAGGTGGAATGCATGTCCTTGTTCCCTGTGATCTGGGGAACTTTTGCTAGTATATCTGTAGAGTAAGCTACACATATACCATTATTCGTATTATATGTACTGTGTATTATTACTACAAACTAAGTACTATATAGTATATGCATAATAAATTCTGCAAAAATTTATCTTACAGATTATATATTTTACAGATTATATATAAGTAAAATTATACTACCAATAGAGAATTGCTCAACCAAGAGGTATGTACTTTTTTTGTTTCAAGAGATGGAGTTCTCATTGTGTGGCCCAGGCTGGCCTTGGACTCCTGGGCTCAAGTGATCCTGCTGCCCCAGTCTCCCAAGGAGCTGGGACTACAGGTGCATGCCACTGAGCCTGGTGGTGTGTGTTTTTAAAATTTGATAACTATTGCCAAGTTGCCCCCAGAGAGATTTTATTAAATGAGAATTGCCTGTTTAGCCATACTTTTTTTTTTTTTTTTCTTTTGAGACTGAGTCGTGCTCTGTCGCTCAGGCTGGAGTGCAGTGGTGTGATCTCTGCTCACTGCAACCTCAGCCTTTCAAGTAGCTGGGATTACAGGTGCCCTCCACCACACTCGGCTAATTTTTGTATTTTTAGTAGAGACTGGGTTTCACCATGTTGGCCAGGCTGGTCTCGAACTCTGGAGCTCAGGCGATCTGCCCCCTTGGCCTCCCAAAGTGCTGGGATTACAGGCGTGAGCAACTGCGCCTGGCCCGATACTCTCATTGACAGACTTTAATTTTTTTTTTTTTGCCAGTTCAATAAGTGGAAAATGGCGTCTTTGTTGCTTTAAATGTATTTTCAGCTGCATTTGTTTTATTAGTCATATGCATTTATTTCCCTTAGTTTGCCTTCTCTGTTCTTTGTCCATATGGGGGAGGGAGCCGAGGTGGAGGGCAGGATTCTCTTGGGTTTCTGTGTGGGTTGCAGATAGGTTTGTAAATGACCACGCTCTGTTGCCTTAAGATGGATCTGTTGACATTGTGTTTTCTACATTTGAACTTGGAGTCCCATGTCTGGGTTGTTTGCTCTTGGCTGGGCGGAACCTGTGTACTTAAAGAGGAATCACTTGCATTGCTTTTCGGACATGGTGTTTTGTTGGTGCGTCTCCTCCCTGGCTGGTAAGCACAGCTTGCGGGCCTGGCTCTGTTGGACCACCCACTTTGCAACTCTTGGGCAGTCAACACTGATACTGTACTAGAAAGCGTGGGGGAGTTATAGAATAGCATTTATAGAGAAGGATTGGTGTTATTTACTTTCATGTGACCTTAAAAATAGAAAATAATATTTGTGCTTTTATTTTGCAGTTTGCCTGGAACCTGAATACACTATTTTAAAAAATATTCCCTATTTTTATAGAAAAAGGACTTCAAATATTTATTGTTTTGTATTAAGAGCTACAAACAACTTGGTCTTGATTGGAGAGCTGGCATAGGTGTATAAGGGCCTCTCCCTGTAAGAAATTTGGAGCTGGGGTGGGCATAGGAGGTGATGTTTAGGAGCAGCCTGAGTGTGGGGAGACTGCTGTGCTCGAACCTGCGTCGTGCAGGTGCGTCCTGGAGCTACTCCTTGTGGCAGAAGCATTGCCCTGAGACCCAGCCCTGGTATGCTTGGCACTGGGACAGGAGCTCCGGTGGGAGGTGCGCATTGCGAGCTGGTGTTTTCTGTTTGCTTTCCTACCCACTGTCATGTTGTGGGCTCTTGGCCCCAGAGGTAAAATGTCTCTGTGAGTTGAGTTCCTTGTGAGAGGGCTGGTCCCCAGATTCCATGTCTAGGTTTTTGTTAGTATTTTTTCAACAGAGCTAATCCTGAGAGGCCCTACGAGCAGTGATTGCTTTGTGGGATGAGCTGTGTTGATGGTTTCTGTGGAGGGACCCTTCACGTTTTAGGGTGAAAACAATAAATGTCTCGTTAAATGGTTTCCATCTGAGAACACTGATTGTTTTAAAATGGTTGTGAATGCGAGGGTTTAAGCAGCTTCCGAGGAGGCCTGGAGGTGCCTGGGCGGCCGCGTGCAGCTCTGGAATCCTGCCGCTGGGGCAGCCTCCATTTCGTGAGATGGCTCTGGAGCATGCCCAGTGCGTGGAGCTTTCAGAGGGAGCCGCCGAGCTGGGCTACTGTGATTTCTCTGCAGTTGGCCGCAGTCAACAATTGCACTAAGACAGGAGGAAAAAAGTGATGGGGTACAAGCAAGAAACGTGGTATTTGGTACTTTTTTTCTTTTGCTTAATCCCTCTTTCTTTTACATTGGTGCTTCTAGGCTGGGGCCAGGGCCTGCAGAGCAGGGACGCTTGCTGTGATGGTGGGGACACCTCCTTGTCCTCCATGCCGCTTGCCTGCCAAAATAACCCTGTTTTGCTCTCTGGTCACCCACCATGTGCACTTTCTTGGGAGTGGGATGGGAGGTCCCCTCCAACTGAGGGTACTGAGAACAGCTCAGGCCCGTTCCACATTTGCTGGTAGCAGGAGGAACTCTGACCTTTTTCAGTTATGCTGATGATAAACCAGGACTTTTTCCCTTGTTTGAACATTTATAAAGAGCGTGCTTGAACTTTTTTGCTGACTAGCAGTGTTTTCCTGTTTTATTCTCCTACCTGCCCCCATGGCAGCCTCAGTGGTGGAGGGAGTGAGGCTGGGAAGGGATGACACTGCCAGGTGAGCAGGAACCAGGGACCCTGGGACCAGAGGCCAGGCTGTGCAGGGCAAGGGCTGGCCGTGCCACGGTGCAGCTGGCTCTTTGCCATGCAGGCTGCAGAAAAGGAAATCTGTCCGCCTTGGCTGTGAGGATGGCATTGACCACTCATCAGGAGAGCTGGGAACAGAGCCTCCCCCTCGGAGCCTGTGTAGTCCCCGTCCACACGTGTGGGTTGTGTGATGATCCTGTCTGCGTGTTCATTGGGAGACTCCATTTTCCGTGGAATGGTGAGGAGGGTAGAGAGGCAGCAGAGTCTCCACTTGGATTTTCTAAGCAATTCCACAGAAAATAAGACGTTGCTCAAGCAAGTGCTGGGCACATCTTAGGGAGAGACCTAGTGAGGAGGGCTGTGTTTTAATTAATTAATTAATTGTAAATAACAGGATTAGAGCAGATTGGTTCATAGCTGCCTGTTCTAGAACCGTATTCTTCGAACAAAAGGGTGGGGGATGGTAGGCTTCTCTCCTAGCTCTGAGGAAACTCCAGCTCAGCGCACAGCATGAGGAGGACGAGGGAACAATAGGGCGTTCCTTTGTGCCTGCCCTTGAAACGCGGTGGAGGCCACTCAGTGAGCCCGGGCAGTGCCATCGCTCACGTGTCCCCAGCAGCAGTGGCGTCTGTGGGGATGCTGTGCACTGGAAATTGGCACTGTTTTGGGTAGTGGTTCTGAGAGGAACTGTTTAACCAGGTATGCAAATGTGCTGATGCAGGAATGTTTTTGAACACCTGTGATGTAAATTTTAACGGTGGTTAATGTTAGCAGCTCCACCTGGGTTAGCTCAACCCTTAGAGATTATTTGTTCTCATCTCTTTGGAGTTGAAAATGTTGTACTTTTCTAGGAGCCATTTCCCCAGGCCATGTGGAGGTCAGGTATCTGCTGGTTCTGGCCTCACTCTACTCCTCCTCCTCCTCCCCGCTCTGTGGAGAGGGTGGCTTGAAGGAGACGGGCAGCAGGTGTGTGACTGCAGTCCTGGGGCACGGGCAGAGGCTGGCATGTGGGGAAAGCAGGACCCGGGAGGCTGTAGCTTAAGTAGACATTTGTTTTTTATTTGAAGAGAATTTTAGAGATGGGGTGGTGGTGGATTTTAGCATTAGAGATTTCTGGCTTCTGCTTGAAGCACTGTGAATAGGGGACAAAAAAATAACCAAGAGGAAAAGTTCATGTAAAGTAGAAGTTTTGGTGTGTTTTCTTGAAAGGAAATTGTCTACAGTGAAAGCGTTGTATTTTTAGAGAACTCGGGGAGGAAAACGCTGTTGTGCTGCTTATCACACGGGTCTGGCCTTTTTGACATCTGAAATCTTATAGGAATTTGTCTTTTTGAGAGTGTATGCTGCTTATTTGGTTTCGTGGAATCCAGAAAAGAGCCTATCCAAATTATCTTTACCTTCAGGGTAAATTACCTTTTAGAATTGTGGCAGATGGCACATAGGACCTCTCAGAGGGACTGCACCTTGTACAAGAAGAAAAGTGAGAGGGTGTTGCAAAGGAGAGCTTCCACCTCCTTTATAGACTTTTGCAGAACAGCTTTCTTCCTTTCGACCTTGGAGAAGAGGCAGGACCAGTGGGGAGGCAGACAAGTAGGTGAAGGAAGACAAAAGGAAGAAGGGACGCACTGATCGAGAAGACAAGGAGTGCTGATGGCTTTGGGCGCCAGCTGTCTACTCCAGAGAGTCTAACTGACCTGGGACTTGCAGGATCCTGCTAGAAGAAAAATCCTTGCTTCCTTCTCCTCCTGTTTTCTTCCTCTTCCTCCATTCTCCTTCCTCTCCCTTCTATTCACCCACCCACCACTCACCCACCCACCACCTGGCACATACACCCACCCACTCATCCATCCATCCATCTACTGTCTACTATCCACCTCACCACCCACCCATCCATTTATTTACCCACCTACTCATCCATTCACCTGTCCACATCCATCTATTCACCAACCATCACATATTAATGACTTACTATATACCAGAACTACTAGTACTGAAACTTGAGTATATTTGTGGACAGAGCACCAGAAATCCAGAACATTTGTATCATCCTGAAAAGAAACCTTATACCATTAGCAGTTCCTTCCCGTGTCCCCCACTCCCCCAACCCAGTCCCTGGCAACCACTCATCTGCTTTCCTTCCCTGTCGATTTGCCTGTTCTCTGTTGTCTTTCGTGCCTGACTTCTTTCACTTAACTTAGTGTTTTCTTTTTTTTTTTTGCTGTTAATGGACAGTGCTGCCATGAACATTCATGTACGAGTTTTTGTGTGGACCTGGGTTTTCATTTCTTCGGCTATCCCGGGAATGGGATAACTGGTTCATATGGTGACTGTCTGTTTTAAGTACTGGAGTAAATGCCAAGTTGTTTTCTTTTTTTGGAGACGGAGTCTCGCTCTGTCCCCCAGGCTGGAGTGCAGTGGCGCAATCTCAGCTCACTGCAAGCTCCGCCTCCCAGGTTCTCGCCATTCTTGTGCCTCAGCCTCCAGATTAGCTGGGACCACGTGCGTGCGCCACTGACCCCCGCTAATTTTTCTATTTTTAGTACAGACGGGGTTTCACCATGTTGGGCAAGATCGTCTTGAACTCCTGATCTCAGGTGATCCGCCTGCCTAGGCCTCTCAAAGTGCTGAGATTACAGGCGTGAGCCACTGTTCCCGGCCTAGAAGTAGGTTCTTGATGTATCCTTCATGTCTCGTCTTCCCTCTCGCACCCTGCACCCTTCTCGCCCAGTGCTTACTGCTTGCTGGGTGCTGGTCTCCTGCTTAAAGAGCAGACTGAGGACCCCTGGAAAGACGCCCCCACAGCACGTGGACCCCACACCACCCAAGACGCTCCCACAGCACGTGCACTGGACTCCACCCAAGACGCCCCCCACAGCACGTGCACTCCACGACTGCACCCAAGACGCCGCCCACAGCACGTGCACTCACCTCCACCCAAGACGCCCCCCACAGCACGTGCACTGGACTCCTCCCAAGACGCCCCGCACAGCACGTGCACTCGACTCCTCCCAAGACGCCCCGCACAGCACGTGCACTCACCGACTCCACCCACTGTCTACCCAGGGCGCAGCCGCTCCAGCAGCTCTTCCCTGGCCCCTCCCCCACCTTCACTTTTTGCTCTCTTCGGAGCATTCATTGCCTTTAGTACACAGACTTGTGTCCCTATGTAAAAAAAAGCTTTGCTTTTGTTTTTTCTCTTTTTTTAAAAAAAAATTAATCTCCTTATGTTGTCCAGGCTGTTCTTGAACTCTTGGCCTTAAGTGATCCTCCCATCTGGGCCTCTCAAAGCGCTGATATTACAGGTGTGAGCCATGATGCCTGGGCCAAAAAGATTTTTTTGGAGACGGAGTCTTGCTCTGTCGCCCAGGGTGGAGTGCAATGGCGTAATCTCGGCTCTCTGCAACCTCTGCCGCCCGGGTTCAAGCAATTGTTCTGCCTCAGCCTCCCCACACAGCCTCAGCTGGGTTTACAGGTGTGTGCCATCACGCCCAGCTAATGTTTTTGTATTTTTAGTAGAGATGAGGTTTCACCTTGTTGGCCAGGCTGGTGTCTAACTCTTGGCCTCAAGTGATCCGCCTGCCTCAGCCTCCCAAAGTGCTGGGATTACAGGCGTGAGCCACCGCGCCTGGGCTGAAAAAAGCTTTTCTTGATCCTGCTTCCCACCAGCTTCACGTCAGTTCTTTGCCCTTCTTTGCGCCAAACTCCTCCAAAGATTTGTGTTTTTTTCATGGTGTGTGCATCCTCCCTCATTCTCCCTTAGATCCTTAGTCAGACCTTGCACCTCCACCCCCAGGGCAACAAAACCATCCTGGTTAAGGTTTCTGTCGGTAGCCTTCCTCCCTTGGCTAGTCCCCTCTCCTGCCCTGACCCGGTAGTGTCCTCACTTAGTCCTTGGGCCTTGCTATCCTGCCCCCTCCCCCCGGTGCTGGGTGCAGCTCAGCCTCTGGACTCTGGTGTCCTGTGCCCACGTGCGAGCTCCGTTTCCTGCTCCCTTCATGGCTTCCCATCTGCCTCCCTCCTCTTTGCCCTTCTTGCAGGTGCTTCTGCCTTCTGACTTCCTCAGTCTCCCATCTGCGCCTCTCTCTTCTGACTGGTTTCCCTGGCCACCTGTCCTTCTGGGGGCAGGTCTGCAGCATATCAGCCCAGGGAACCAGTTAGTCCTCACTGAGGCCCTGCCCCTCCTGGCTCCAGTTCCTACGGGCCTGTCTGCGCGTCTTCCTCGTGTAGCCTCCCTGGGGTCTAGCGGGGCTTAGCGCTCTCCTGGGGGCTGTGTCCAGGGGAAGGAGAAGCCAGAGCTGCCTTTCCATTCTCTGTCCGCTCGCCTTTGCCGCCGTCTTCCTTCTGGGAGGGCTTTCTCGGAGTGCAGGCTACCTTTTCTCTTTCTTGCTGCCCTACCTCCTGTGGCCACACCCTCTGGCCTGTGGGTCTTGGCTTGGCTTTGTCATCGTCCACTGTTGTGTGACTCTTGTTCCAGGGTAAGCCGCTGTGCACGTGGTTGAATGTAACAGAGGGCTGTCCCGGGCCGTGAGCTGTGTCAGAACTCTGAACCCTTCCAGGGCCACCGTGTGCTTGACTTACAGATTAGTGAGGGTGTCTTGCCTATAGTTAACTGTTTTCCCGTATAATTATTCTGTTAACCCTTTTATAGCTAATAAGTGAGCGGAAATTCTTAATTTTTTTTCATTCAGTGTAAGAAAAAAGCAGAAGGAAATATACAAAAAGTTAACTTGGTTATTTCTGAATTGTGGGATTGCCAGTGATTTTGTATGTTTTGGAATATAATAAAGTTTTTTTACAGAGAGCATGTATTAGCTTTACAGTAAGAAAAAATTAATGGAAACCCTCATTTATATGTAACAATTCATATGATTAACGCTTATCACTTAAGAAAACATATAGTAAAAACCTGAAGGGAAGATGACCCTGAAGTTAGATAATGCCCTGTCAAAACAAAGCGACCCAAAGACCCGAAGAGTTGGATCCTTTTCTTTCTTTTTTTTTTTTTTTTTTTTTCGAGACAGAGTTTCGCTCTGTCTTCCAGGCTGGGGTGCAGTTGTGTGACCTTGGCTCATTGCAACCTCTGCCTCTCGGGCTCAAGCTATTCTCCCACCACAGCCTCTCAGGTAGCTTGGACTACAGGCGTGTGCCACCATGCCCAGCTAATTTTTTGGGTATGTTTTGTAGAGATGGGGTTTTGCCGTGTTGCCCAGGCTGAGCTTGAATCCCTGAGCTCAAGCTTTCCACCAGCCTTGGCCTTCCAAAGTGCTGGGATCACAGGCATCAGCCACTGTGCCTGGGCCTGAATCCTATACTTGGAATCCTGATGAAATAAGGACCCCAACCCTGCAGTGCTGTGGTCCAGGCCTTGCCCCGACATGTGGCTGTGGAGAGGCCGTGGCCCCTTAGTCCTTGTGTTCGTGCTGCGCCCCTTCTCCCTGCACTCAGTGAAGCTCCCCCAGCACTTCCTGTCCAGCAGACATGACAGTGCAGAGACCCCAGGATTCTTCCAGGGCTCCGGCTACATACAGATGTGAAGCATTATTTACCTTTCGCTCTCATTCTGTGCTGAGTGTCAGGCACGAGATGTGTGATAGTGCCATAGAGGGCGTGCAGCAGGCGGTGTGAGCATCTGGCTCTGCTGACTGGAAAAGATAGGTGCACAAATGTAAAACCGTATCACTTTTGTTTCTTTTTTTAAAAGAATACTTCATTTTCATAAAGTGTTTTATGTTAACGCGTAGTAGGTTTATTGTTATTTGTACAGGAGGTTTTGACAAATGGTAAAACTAACTTGATGCCATTTTCATAAAGTATTTTATGTTAACATGTAGTAGGTTTATTGTTATTTGTACAGGAGGTTTTGACATAGTAACACTAACTCGGTGGCATTTTCATAAAGTAAATTTTATGTTAGCACGTAGTAGGTTTATTTTATTTGTACAGGAGGTTTTGACATGGTAACACTAACTTGGTGCCATTCTGGCAACTCGTGGACAAAATCCCTTTGGGGTACTCAGTGTGTTTAGAGTGTGACGTGGTCTTGAGAATGAAAAGTTTGGGAATTGTTGTTTTACCGTAAACCAAAGCGCCTGGCGCAGTACTGCAGTGAACTAACCAACCAACCAACCAGTTTCTGCCTCTCGTAGAGCTGACATTCTGATTGGGGATAAGTTTCACATTTTTGTGTCATATCCTTCAAAATAGTCAACTCCTTAGGTTTAATGTCTTTTTATCAACATGGAGATTTTGAATGAAATTCAGCCATGAGTGTGTGTTTGTTTTCCCATGCTATCTCAATCGTATTACAGAGCAGTGTTGTGGAAACATTTAAAAAACAATCTCTGACATGAGTAGGAATGTGGTCTTCTACCAGGAACTTTACCGATTGCAGAGAATTTATTAATATTACTACTATACCTTGTGGTTTTCTGCATGCAGGTTTAAGCCTGCATTTACACTTCTAACCACAAGGTGGTGCTTTTGTTCTAGGTCCGAAGGCTGACACCGGGCTGGATGGAGCTTGAGAACCAGTTTTATATGGGTTGCTTTTTTGCCAATTTAAGATGATTCTGCTTTGAAGTGCTTAGCAAAGAACCTTACCTTCCTTTTGCATCAGGGTTGTCTCATCTTAGAGTGACATCCTAGAGTGTGTAGGAACCTCCCAGCAGGTGTTTATTGAGCACCCCTTACTTGTGTGCTAGTCTGGGTGCCTGGTGGTGCTCAGAGCTGGCCTGGACCAAGTCCCCAGGGGTTTGTGGTCCCTCACCATTCTCGACTGCTGCTTTTATATTTGTTGTATTTCTGATAGGACCGTTGCTCACGTTGCTCTTCTGATCTGAAAAAAGAAATAGGCTTCTCATTTTTTCATGGTGTGTAAGTTCTGTACAGCCTTATTTTTATGTCTCATGTTGTTCTGAAGAGGAGATGGGTGTCCTGGGAGGCAGGGCAGCTGTGTCCAGCTGCAGTGTCCCTGGTGGCTGAGCTGAAGGCAGTGTGAAGCTCCGGCCTCGAGGATGTGCCAGGGAGTGTGTGGAGGTCATGTCTGTGTCCCTCCCTCAGACCCGCACTCCCAGCCTGTGCTTTACACCAGACAACTCCTGGCGAAACTGCGCTGCTGCCCTGCCTGGCACTGGCCCTGCCCTCAGGGAGGCTCTGGCCGGGGCTGCCAGTGTTCATCAGTGTCTTCAAAACTTGTTTCTCACATTAGAAAAATGTTAAGGCCCGTCATTTCATGGTGGTAATTGTGTGAGAGTATGTATGAATTGAAAAGATGGAAAATGACACAATTACTATGAATATAGTAAGATTAAAAAACAGCATCTGTATGTGTCAACATATTACTTAGCCTCCCGGAGCCAATACTAGCAGGACCTGAGAGTCTGTGGGTCCCTCCTAGGGCTGTACTGTTCTCTGGAGCCTGGGGGCTGAGGCCTTGATTGGGGGCAGGACAATCTGTTGTCTTGGAATAGAGCCCAGGAGGCCCAGACAAGGTGCTGACCAGCTAAAGCTGCTTTTTTCACACACTGTTTGAAATACGGTTAGTGGAGAGAGGCAGTGGGGCGATCCAGGGTGGGCAGGGAGACGTTCTAAAACACCAAGGCATTCCTCACAGGGTCTGGAGCGCAGTGAGCTTAGAAAACCAGCACCGTAACACATGCTGCCCTTTACGAGGCAGTGGTGGGGCGAGGGGGGCTGCACGTGTGACCCGCCTGCACCAGGGCCTCCTGAAGGCCAACCTCTCCATCGAGCCCTGTTCTGAGACCAAATTCCAGGTGCCGAAAGACATTAAACAGGATTGTGCTCTTCACTGGCATCTATCAAAGAGCACCAACATGATATAAATTAAAACCCACAGTAAAATCTCTCAGAATTCCGTCCCCTTTTCTGGCTCTCCCACACTCTGCAGGCTGACGGAGAATCTCACTGTTGGCCAGTGTCCCCAGATGCCCTGACTCTCGGCTCCAGCGCTCTTTCTTTGTGTTCTGTCTGGTCTAGAAGAGCAAGTCCAGGTAGCTGTGGCGCCGCCTGTGCCTTGCCTCCTGCAGTCTGCCTACGATTGCACGACTCACCTCTTGATGTGTGAGACCCGCATTTATATTTAATCATCATCTTAGAGTATATTCTTCCAGTAGTTGTAGAATACGTATTTTGTGCCCATGCTAGGTGCCCGGGTTGCAAAGGTGGATTGGGGCTCCTTTTGTAAGTGGGAGGCAGGCTTGTGTGGGTCACCACAGGGCAGCCCGTGATGAGCTGCAAGGGCCATCTGAGCCCCAAAAGCTCGCTGCATAGTTGGAGAGTCGCGGGAAGCAGGGGGAAGGGTGATGGTCTGGGCCCTACTGCTGCTGGAATTTTAAGTAGCTCAGTGTGACTGGCACATAGGATTTCTGACCTGAAAATCATTGGGCTAGGTTAGAAATCTGCAAACTTCTGTAAAGGACCAGGTATGTGGGGTGTGGGCCGCGTAAGGTCTCTGATGCATATTCTTTTTTATTTTTACAACTTAAAAAATTAAAAAAAAATTCATTCTTAGCTTGTGGGAAGTAAGAAAGCAGGCTGGGCTGGATTTGGCCCGGGGGCCGCACGCCTGGCCTAGATTGCTGTAGCTCCTTCTGTGCCTTGTCATGAAGTGTGAACTTGATTCCATGGGCAGTGGGAAGCCACTGAATTTTTAAAGAAGATGATGGTAAGGTCACAATTTTAGAAAGATAATTTTAACTGCAGAATAGATGCTAGACTGAAAAGGGGAGAGGCTGGAATTAGAAAAATGAGTTGCTAGATTATTCCTATTACCACTGACTTGAGAATAATGTGGCTTAAAATAAGGTAGCGGTGGAATTTGATGGAATATTTAGGAGGCATAGAATTTGGTGACCAATAGGGGGGTTGGTGTGAGGGAGCATGAGTAGTTCATTTTCTCTTTTACTTTTTAAATTTTATTTATTTATTTATTTTTGAGATAGAGTCTTGCTCTGTTGCCCAGGCTGGAGTGCAGTGGCGTGATCTCTGCTCACTGCAAGCTCCACCTCCCAGGTTCCCGCCATTCTCCTGCCTCAGCCTCCCGAGTAGCTGGGACTACAGGTGCCGGCCACCACGCCCGGCTAATTTTTTTTTTTTTTTTTTTTTGAGACAGAGTCTCGCTCTGTCACCAGGCTGGCTCACTGCAACCTCCACCTCCCGGGTTCAAGCGATTCTCCTGCCTCAGCCTCCTAAGTAGCTAGGATTACAGGCGTGCACCAACCACGCCCGGCTAATTTTTTTTTTTTTTTTTTTTTTTAGACGGAGTCTCGCTCTGTCGCCCAGGCTGGAGTGCAGTGGCGGGATCTCGGCTCACTGCAAGCTCCGCCTCCCGGGTTCACGCCATTCTCCCGCCTCAGCCTCCCAAGTAGCTGGGACTACAGGCGCCCGCCACTACGCCCGGCTAATTTTTTGTATTTTTAGTAGAGACGGGGTTTCACCGTTTTTAGCCGGGATGGTCTCGATCTCCTGACCTCGTGATCCGCCCGCCTCGGCCTCCCAAAGTGCTGGGATTACAGGCGTGAGCCACCGCGCCCAGCCTAATTTTTTTATTTTTAGTAGAGATGGGGTTTCACCATGTTGGCCAGGCTGGTCTTGAACTCCTGACTTCAAATGATCCACCCGCCTCGGCCTCCCAAAGTGCTGAGATTACAGGCGTGAGCCACCGCGCCCGGCCATTACGCCTGACTAATTTTTTTTGTATTTTTAGTAGAGAGAGGGTTTCACCGTGTCAGCCAGGATGGTCTTGATCTCCTGACCTCGTGATCTGCCTGCCTCGGCCCTGCAAAGTGCTGGGATTACAGGCGTGAGCCACCGCGCCCGGCCTATATTTTATTTTTTTAGACAGGGTCTCACTCTGTTGCCCAGGCTGGAGTGCAGTGGCGCGATCTCTGCTCGCTGCAACCTCCGCCTCCCGGGTTCAGGTGATCCTCCTGCCTCAGCCTCTGAAGTAGCCGGGACTACAGGTGTGTACCACCACACCCGGCTAATTTTTACATTATCTGTAGAGACGGGGTCTCCTTATGAGACAGCCAAATGCCTAGGCAGATAAAAAGGAGTCCCCGGAGAATCTCCGCCCTGCCCCCGCAAGCCTTTACGCCAAATGCTTTTGTGCAGAGGAGGGAACCTGCCCACAGGGGACTGGAGTCCGCATGAGCAGTGGGGGAAGTGGGTGGAGCCACAGGGGACTGGAGCCCACATGCGCACTGGGGGAAGTGGGTGGGGTCACGGAATTCCGCCTTCCGCAGGGGAGGAGCTTCTCTTTTCAGTTCCTGGGTGAGGGCCTGGGATTCCATCTGTGAGATGGGGGTCCTGTAAGCAGGACTCCATCCCGCTTTGCTGAGAATTTTTTTTTTTCCCTTTTTGCCCAATAAAACCTTGCTCTACTCACCCTTTAGTGTGTCCTGTCCTCATGTCTAAATTTTCCTGGTTGTGTGACAAGAACCGGATTTTAGCTGAACTAAGGAGCAAAATTCTCCAACGCTTTTGTTGCCCAGGCTGATCTTGAACACCTGGGCTCAAGCGATCTTCCCACCTCGATCTCTCAAGGTGCTGGGATCACGGACATGAGTTGTCACAGCCAGCCACTGACTGGAGTTTTTTTTTTTTAAGACAGAGTTTCGCTCTGTCGCCCAGGCTGGATTGCCGTGACGCAATCTCTGCTCATTGCAACCTCCACCTCCCAGGTTTAAACGATTCTCCTGTCTCAGTCTCCCAAGTAGCTGGGATTACAGCGTGTGGCACCATGTCTGGCTAACTTTTGTATTTTCTTGTAGAGACGGGGGTTTTGCCATGTTGCCCAGGCTGGTCTTGAACTCTTGGACTCCAGGGATCTGCCTACCTCGTCCTCCTAAAGTGCTGGGATTACAGGCGTGAGCCACCAGGACTTGCCTGACTGGACATTTTTAATTTTTTTTTTCTTTGAGATGGAGTCTCCCTCTTTCGTCCGGGCTGCTCACCGCAAGCTCTGCCTCCCGGGTTCACGCCATTCTCCTGCCTCAGCCTCCCGAGTTGGTGGGACTATAGGCGCCCGCCACCACGCCCGGCTAAGTTTTTCTATTTTTAGTAGAGACGGGGTTTCATCGTGTTAGCCAGGACTAGGCATTTTTAATGAAGGGGGTACACAGAGTCAGCCACAGTGGTGTTTATAATTGACAAAAAGAGTTGGTTGGGTAGATTGTGCTGTTACTATATAACACAACACTGTTGTGTATCTTAAAAAAATAGTATTGTCAGCCGAGCACGGTGGCTCACGCCTGTAATCCCAGCACTTTGGGAGGCGGAGGCGGGCGGATCACGAAGTCAGGAGATTGAGACCATCCTGGCTAATACGGTGAAACCCCGTCTCGACTAAAAATACAAAAAAAGAAAAAAAAAAAAGCCGGGCGTGGCGGCGGGCGCCTGTAGTCCCAGCTACTCAGGAGGCTGAGGCAGGAGAATGGCGTGAACCCGGGAGGCGGAGCTTGCAGTGAACCAAGATGGCGCCACTGCACTCCAGCCTGGGCGACAGAGCGAGACTCCGTCTCAAAAATAATAATAATAATAATAATGTTGTCAAAATCTTAATCAGGTTTAGTGGAAAAATAGATTAAAAACTAGTATATAATCCACTAATATAAAAAATCTGTAAGGGATATACTAAGATGTTTACTGTTGGTGGTAAGATTAGGGGCCATTTTTGTTTCTTGTGATTTGTTTTTTCTCTCCTGATGACACTGCTAGAGCCCCCAGCACAGTGTTTGAATGCTGTGGAAGTGGCACCTCCATGGCTTTTCCTGATCGCTGGGGGGAAGCATGAGGCCTTTCACCATAACGCTGCTGAGTAAGTTGGTAACCACAAGATTTTCGTAGATATCCTTTATCAGGTTGAACTTTTTATTGTGAAATAATTTTGTGAAATGCTTTTTCTCCCTCCGTTGTCACGATCATGTGCTTTCTGTCCGTGTCAGTTCCCTGCGTGCAGCCGTGCGTGTTCTGTCTGGTGTTCCTGTCTCGCCGCGTTGGGATAGCCTCACTCACCTGGGATGATACCTTCTGAGATCCCTAGCTGATGCCTGAAATCACAGATAGTACTGAACTCTCTATATACCAGGTTTTTTTCTTAGACACATATACCGATGGTAAAGTTTAGTTTATAAATCAGGCACAGTAAAAGTTATATGAATGTCCCCCCCCCCGCTCCCCCCGAAAAACGTATTGCACTCTACTCAGTCGGCGTCTTGTGATCTGTCTATCTGACGAGGGAGACGGCTGCCCAGCAGCTGGCAGATGGGCATTGGTTACAGGATGGACACAGGGACAGAGAAAGGACTCACATCCAGGGCAGGACTGATGGTGCAGTGCCAGAGTTAGCATGCTACTCAGAGCAGTGTGCAGCTGAAAACTGAGAATTTGTTTATTTATCTTATTTTATTTTATTTTATTTTTTTGAGATGGAGTCTGGCTCTGTCGCCCAGGCTGGAGTGCAATGGCGCGATCTCCGCTCACTGTAATCTCCGCCTCCCGGGTTCAAGTGATTCTCCTGCCTCAGCCTCCTGGGTAGCTGGGACTACAGGCACACGCCATGCCCAGCTAATTTTTGTACTTTTAATAGAGACGGGGTTTCACCATGTTGGCCAGGCTGGTCTCGAACTCCTGACTTCGTGATCTGCCCGCCTCGGCCTCCCAGAGTGCTGGGATTACAGGTGTGAGCCACTGTGCCCGACCTGAGAAATTGTTTGTTTCTGGAATTTTTCATTTAATATTTTTGGACTGTGGTTGACTGTGGGTAACTGAAACTGTGGCAAGCAAAACCACGGATCAGGGGACTGCTGCGATTGATCTTCAGGTTCAAGCAGCCTTGCACCTGGGATACATCTCGGGTGGTCCTCAGTGTGGCACCCTCTTGACATGCGGTTGCATTCATTTGCTGATGTTTTGTTAGGGGTTACTGATGTGGAGTTCCCTTTGTTTTCTGTGTAATGCTGTTCTCACAGAAGGCGCTGGGAGGTGTTTCCTCCTCTTCTTACTAATTCCTGAGCACTGATGGGGTTGAGCATTTTCCTGTATGTCTGTTGGCCATTTGGGAATGCCTGTTTAATTCATTTGCCCGTTTTTATGTTGTCTTTTTTAAAAAACTGATTTGTAGTTCTTTCCTTATAGAGTTAAGAGTAAGTAAAGCTATTGTACTTAGCCAAATACATTGGATATTTTTTTCTGTGTTTTAAAGTTTATTTATTCATTTTTACCATATAAATGTTTGAAATATTTTGGTAGTTAAATCTGTAAAGCTTTTCCTTTGTGATTTCTGACCTTGGCATTGTGCCTAGAGTCAGGAGTTCCTTGTTTCAGGGCTGTCAGGTATTTTTTCCTGCTGTTTTTGTGATTTATTGTTTTATGATTCTTTCACTCATTGATCTGCAATGCTGATGGCCTTCTCCTCCCAGTACTTAGCCAGCTGCCTCAGTGTCTCAGTGAGTGTTTGATTATTCTCCTTTCCTGCTGATGTGAAATGCCTCTACGTTGTATCTGTATCTTGTATTGTATTCCCCCTTCCTGCTGATGCGAAATGCCTCTACGTTGTATCTGTATCTTGTATTGTGTTCCTGTTTTTAGATGAAAGTCTTGTGGCTTTTTTTTAGTTGCTTATGCTATTAAAAGCATCAGGTGGGACCAGGTGCGGTGGCTCACACCCATAATCCCAGCACTCTGGGAGGCCGAGGCGAGTGGATCACTTGAGGCCAGGAGTTCAAGACCAGCCTGGCTAACATGGAGAAACCCCGTCTCTACTAAAAATACAAATTTAGCCAGGTGTGGTGGTGCACGCTTGTGATCCCAGCTACTTGGGAGGCCGAGGCATGAGAGTCACTTGAACTGGAGAGGCAGAGGTTGCAGTGGGCTGAAATTGTGCCACTGCACTCCAGCCTGGGCGACAGAGCCAGACTCTGTCTCAAAAAAACAATTATCAAGTGGGTCATAATTTGCATGGAAATAAATTATGTATAGATTTACCAGAAGGAATAGTCCATGAGAAAAGGTAGATTGTACTGTTCACGTTCTGTGTGAGATACCAGTGTTTTTCATCAGTACTGTTTGTCCATTGTGAGATGGTCCTGCACCATGTTTTCTTAGCAACCATGGCAGAAGGTAGTTGGAAATTAGATACTGCAGTCTTCCAGAGAGGCCTCAGTGTGGGGGGATGCAAAGAAGGTGCACTGTGTGCGGGGCACCACCTGTGAGACCCTAACCCCGAGCTGCTCCCCACACCACACTGGGGCCGCTGCGTGAGACTGGTGAGGCCGGACACTTGCGTGCGAGTTGCACGAAGCAGGCTTGTCACTCACAGATGAGCAGGGGACAGCAGATGCCGGGGCTCGTGGTGATCTGGCCCCCAAGGCTCAGGCAAGTGGCCAGGGTGGATGGGGTCTTGTCTGCATTATCTGTGTGTGCCCTATGTTGTACTGCAGTTGGGAGACCCCGAAAGTGCTATTTTGGGTTTTATACTCGGGGCCACCTGACCCGCTGGACTGAGTTTTAGGACACCCTGTTGTGGGAGGGACAGGAGCAAAGCCCAGGCCACTCTCAGCTGCTCCTTATCTCAGGGTGTTGCATTCCCAGCACATTGGAAAGTTTTTCTTGAGAACTGCAAGCAAGAAAGGAGGGAGAACTGGGTGGTTCAGTTCTCTGTCCCCGGGGAGCTGTCCTGCTGGGGCAGGTGATGGAATCTGCCACATTTTCAGTGTTTTTGCCGCGTGTCTGTAACCAGCATCTAAGTGTGCAGGGGTTACTTTGGAACCCTGAGAATTGTATTTAGCTCCAGGCCTCAGGATTTTGCTATAACTTTGTAGTAGCTGCATTACACATCCCACAAATTCTTTTGGCCTATAAAATATATAATTATAGATCCTGAGGAACTTGGCTTAATATATTATTGATACAAAAACAGTACAAAACTGCTTTGACTAAAATTCCTTCGTTATTTGTAGTAGCAAAATATGTTGTTTTTTCTCTCCAGCAATTCAGAATTGTCCACTGCCTTGGTATTTCTAATTTCCCTGCTTGTCCAGGTGACATCTGTTTGCTTTCCTGATACCTTCACAGGCTTCCCTTGTCCCCAGGAAGCCTCCCACGCCCGTCCACTTTCTCTCCTGTCTCCAGTTTCCCATGAGGCACAGCTGGTGCCGAGGCATCCGAGTCTCCCCTGCACCTCTGGATCGCACACACTCATTCTGCTTTTCCCTCCTGTATTTTGACCAGATCTGACTTTTGCTAAG
Organism: Homo sapiens; assembly: GCF_000001405.40. Taxonomy (NCBI): domain Eukaryota; kingdom Metazoa; phylum Chordata; class Mammalia; order Primates; family Hominidae; genus Homo; species Homo sapiens. Next base: position 137,681,795 of record NC_000009.12, read on the forward strand.
TCCATGTGCCCCTCCAGGTGTTTGTGTGGTGAGACATTGTGCTCATTCATTCCCTGGAAAGTTTGCAGTGTGTCTGGTACGTAAGCGTGAGGCGGGTCACTGATGCGGGAAGCTCTCCTCACAGTGAAACCGTCCTCGCGGTTTTTGTGTTTTTTTGTTTGTTTGTTTGTTTTTTTGAGGCAGTCTCGCTCTGTCGCCCAGGCTTGAGTGCAGTGGTGCCATCTCGGCTCACTGCAAGCTCTGCCTCCCGGATTCACACCATTCTCCTGCCTCAGCCTCCCGAGTAGCTGGGACTACAGGCGCCCCCACCACGCCCGCTCATTTTTTGTATTTTTAGTAGAGACGGGGTTTCTCCGTGTTCGTCAGGATGGTCTCAATCTCCTGACCTCATGATCCGCCCACCTCAGCCTCCCAAAGTGCTGGGATTACAAGCGTGAGCCACCGTGTCCGGCCAAAATCGTCCTCTTTAAAGCAGCCACTGGGTTTGGAATTTATTAAATACTTGAAAATCTCAAAAAGTTAAAAATGTCAGGTGAACTGTTGTTTTTTCCCCCCAGTACCAACCTTTATGTGTTATGTGAGGAAATACTGAGTTTATTATTTTTGATGGAAAATTTATGATTTCTAAGAAGTCATTTTTTGACTGAGAACTTTTATCTTTCTCAAATCTTAGCCTGAACTAGCCAAGTTCAGGCTGCTGTAGCGAGCGTCTCCCTGGCGGCCAGAGTTGCAGGGCTGTGCTAGAGTTTGCTAGCCGCTGGGATGCCTTGAGATAGAGGTGTGACCCTGGGCCTCTTCACCAGGTGGCAGAAACCAGCTTAGATCAGCTTCTGCTAAAGAGGCCACTTGTCACCTCACATGACAAGGAGCTTGGAGAGGCTTTACTTCTGTGTGCCGCCTTCCCCGTGGGCGGTGAGCTGTCCCTGGGGTCATATCCAACCCCCTGAGGATGACGGCTGCTCTGTTAGTCTCAGTGCTGCACTGAGACCCGCAGGCCCCACGGCTGGAGAGGTGGGGAAGGATGTGATTTCTGTTACTGGACAGGCAGTGCTGGGCCCCTAGGACGATGGGTCACTCCAGCCCAGCTGCGAACAGGTGCGCTGCCTGCAGGGGCTGCCCTGCACGTGCGAGTGAGTGCCCACACGCTGCACCAGTTGGAACTGAGAGTCAGGCGGAAGGGCCTGTGTGCCCTGGCCTTAACTCTGGGTTTGCAGGATTTTCGCACACCACTTTTATTTCAGTTTCTAGTTCTTTCCACAGCTAGATTCAGTTATATTAATAAGCATAAAAGCCAAAATTGTGTTTCTGTTACATGGGTTAGTTAGGTCACTGTTTGACAGGCATTCTCATTTAATAGACTTTATTAAAATCATCAGTAAAGCTGCTACTATGGGATACAAGCTCAGAGACAGAATATATTACACTTATTTGAATCTTTGTTAAAATGGCATTTGTAGACAAGAGATCAGAGTCCCTGAGGTAAAAGCGGATCTGCTATTTGGTGCTACGATAAGGCTAAATAGCAGTGAGAATTTCTGCTGGTGCCCCCAGGGAATTAATAAGGCTGGGAGGGGGAGTAAAAACTATACATAAGCCAGTGCCTTTAACATTCATGTATAACCTTCCAAACATTTAACGACTGTGTGAATATGTGAATTAATTAATAGAGATGAGGTCATGTTATGTTGCCCAGGCTGGAGTGCAGTGGCACAATCATGGCTCATTGCAGCCTCAACCTCCTGGGCTCAAGCCCAAGTAGCTGAGACTACAGGTGCACCATCATGACTGGCTATGATGTAGATTTTTTTGCTCATATTGGTTAAGGGAAAAGTGGTCGTCTAACAGTATGTGTAGTATCTCATTTATATAATATGTGTAAATTATACCTTTATCAGCGTATTTGCACAGAAAAATGTTTGGAAGGTTATACTTGAATGTTAAAGTAATTGGCTTATGCATAGTTTTTATTTTTTCCCTATTAATTTCCTTTATTTAAATTAAAAAAATTATACAATGACACGAGTTTATCTTTTCAAAATCAAATCCCATTCAAGCAGAATGTCCCTACCTACCCCCTCACTCTCCACCCCCGCAGCTTGTATTGTGATGAGTTTGATGTATATCCTTCAAGATCTTTGCCTTTAATTTTTTAGAGAGATGCTTGAACCCGTCAACAATATAATATTGCTTTGTATATATTTCATTTTTTTCCTATTAACTGTTTTTTGTTTGTTTGTTTGTTTTTTTGCTTGTTTTTTGAGACAGGGCCTCACTCTGTCACCCAGGCTGGAGTGCAGTGGTTGCAGTCACGGCTCACTGTAGCCTCGACCTCCCGGGCTCAGGTGATTCTCCCACTTCAGCCTCTTGAGTAGCTGGGACAGGAGCATGCCACCACGCCTGGCTAATTTTTGTATTTTTTGTAGAGACGAGGTTTTGCCATGTTGCCCAGGCTGGTCTCAAACTCCTGGACTCAAGCAATCTGCCCGCCTTGGCCTCCCAAAGTGCTGGGATTACAGGGGTGAGCCACTGTGCCTGGCCAACTGTTTTTAATTTGAAATAATTTCAACTGAATAGAAAAGTTGCAAGTGTGATAAATGAGATGTTTTTCTTGAGCCGTTTGAAAGTTGCCTAGATGCCCCTTCATTCCTAAATACATTAGCGTGTATTTCCTACAAAGCCATTATTTTTTGTTGTTGTTGTTTTTGATTTTGTTTTGAGATGGGGTCTTACTCTGTCACCCATGTTGGAGTGCAGTGGTGTGATCTTGGCTCACTGCAACCTCCACCTCCCAGGCTCAAGCAATCCTACTACCTTAGCCTCCCAAGTAGCTGGGACCACAGGTATGTGCCATTAGGCCCGGCTAATTTTTTCAATTTTTGGTAGAAACAGGGTTTTACCACTTTGCCCAGGCTGCTCTCGAACTCCTGAGCTCAGGCGATCTCCACCTCAGCCTCCCAACGTGCTGGGATTGTAGGCATGAGCCACCATACCCAGCGTACAAAGCCATTCTTTTACTGAATTATGATATAACTAGTCAACGTCAGGAAGTTTATATGTATGTTTAAAATATATATGTGGTATTTTGCTATGTCCTGTTTTTTTACTCCACAAGTTATTATTTTCTGATTTGAATTACTGCATATACATTGTATTTTTCCTTTTAAAGGAGTCTTTTCTAATAATTGCATTGGTCTCATAGCCACAAATTAAAGAAATTTATGATTGCATCTGTAAGGTTTGTTTGTATACCTCTAAATCTTTTTTCCCCTTGCTGGTTTTTTTATTGTGATAAAGTATACTTAACATAAATTTTACTACTTTAGCCATTTCTAAGTGTGCTATTAAGTGGCATTAAGTACCTTCACAGTGTTGCATAACAACCATTGTAACCGTCATCAGTCTGTTTCCAAAACATTTTCATCACCCCAAGCAGAAACTCTGTATCCATTAAACAGTAACTTCTCTTATCTTCCTCCTCCCAGCTCCTGGTAACCCCTGATAGACTTTTTGTCTCTGAATTTGCTTAAACCCGATATTTCATGTAAGTGGAATTATACAATATTTGTCCTTTTGTGTCTGGCTTATGTCATGTAGCATAAGGTTTTCAAGATTCACCCAGGTTGTAGCAGGTATCAGAACCCATTCCTGGATATATACTGTGTTTTGTTTATTCATTCATCTGTTAATGGGCACATGAGTTTTTTCCTATCTTCTGGCTCTTGTGAATAATGCTGCTTCGAACATGTATATGCGAGTATCTGTTTTCAGTTCTTTGGGGTATATACCTAGGAGTGGAATTGCTGGATCATGTGGTACTTCTGTGTTTAACTTCCCGAGGTCAAACTGATAAGCAGTTTTTCATGGTAGCTCCATCATTTTGTGTTTCCATTAGCAATACATGAGGGTTCAGATTTCTCTACTCCTCACCAACACTTTTTGCTGTCCATTTTGTTGATTGTAGCTATCCTAGTGGGAGCAACGTGGTATGTCATTGTGGTTTTGACTTACATTTCTGCAATGCATAATGAATGATGTTGGCCATCTTTTCATGTATTTATTGGCTGTTTGCATATCTTTGGAGAAATGTTTATTCAGATCTTTTGCCCATTTTGGAATTTGTCTTTTTATTGCGTTGTAAGATTATTCATTTATTTAGTCAGTCAGTCAGTCACGGGATCTCACTGTGTTGCCCAGGCTGGTCTCCAGCCCCTGGACTCAGGTGGCACTCCCAGTTCAGTCTCCTGAGTAGCTGGATTACAGGTGTGAGCCACTGTGCCAGGCTTGGAAGAGTTCTTTATATTTTCCAGATACTGGGCCCTTACCAGATACATGATTTGGAAGTATTTTCTCTCGTTCCTTAAGTTGTCTTTTTATTTCTTGATGGTGTCCTTTGCAGCACAGATGTTTTTAGTTTTGATGACGTCCAATTTATCTGTTTTTTCTTTGGTTGCTTGTGCTTTTGGTGTGATAATTTAAGAAATTGTTGCCTAACTCAAGGTTGTGAAGACTTACCCCTGTGTTTTCTTGTAAGAGTTTTATAGTTTTATCTCATATTTGTTTTTTTTATCTATTTTGAGGCAGTTTTAAAAATTTTTTTAATTTTTTTATTTTTTGAGGCAGGGTCTCGCTCAGTCACCTAGGCTGGAGTGCAGTGGTGCAATCACAGCTCACTCTAGCCCTGACCTCTGGGGCTCAGGCATTCCTTTCACCTCAGCCTCCTGAGTAGCTGGGACCACAGGTGTGCACCCCCATCCCCGGCTAGTTTTTGTATTTTTTGTAGAGACCAGGGTTTGCCATGTTGCCCATGCTGATCTGGAACTCCTGGCCTCAAGCTACTTGGCCTCCAAGAGTGCTGGGATTAGAGGTGTGAGCCACTGTGCCCAGCTGAGTCAATTTTTATACATGGCATGAGGTAGGGGTCCAACCTCATTCTTTCTTTTTTTTTTTTTTTTTTGAGATGGAGTCTCGCTCTGTCACCCAGGCTAGAGTGCAGTGGCGTGATCTCGGCTCGCTACAAGCTCTGCCTCCCGGGTTCATGCCATTCTCCTGCCTCAGCCTCCCGAGTAGCTGGGACTACGGGCGCCCGCCACCGCGCCCAGCTAATTTTTTGTATTTTTAGTAGAGACGGGGTTTCACCATGTAGCCAGGATGGTCTTGATCTCCTGGCCTCATGATCCACCCGCCTCGGCCTCCCAAAGTGCTGGAATTACAGGCATGAGCCACCGCGCTGGCCCCAACTTCATTCTTTTGCATGTGGTAATCCAGTTGCCCCAGCAACATAGTTGATAGGTCTTCCTTATCAAATTCATGGTCTGTTCTTGTCAAATATCGATATACTGTAAAGGTATGGGCTTATTTCTAGGTTCATAATTCAATCCCATTGATGTGTGTATCTGACTTTTTGCCAGTAACACACTGTCCTGATTATTGTAGCTGTGTATTAAATGGGAAAATGTGAGTCCTCCAGCTGTATCCTTCTTTTTCCAATTGTTTTGGCTCTCTTGACCCTCTGAATTTCCTTATGAATTTTAGGATCAGCTTATCATTTTCTGCAACAATAACAGCAGCAAAGCCAGTTGAGATTGTACTTGGGGCTGCATTGGGTCAGTTTAGGTAGAGTTTAGGTGGAGGAGTTGAGGTAGAGTTGAGGTAGAGAGTTGAGGTAGAGTTCAGGTAGAGAGTTTAGGTGGAGGAGTTTAGGTAGAGTTCAGGTAGAGTTTAGGTAGTGCTGTTGCCTGAGTGTTTGTGTTCCCCCCAAAACCAAGGTGTTAGTGTTAGCAGGGGAGGCTTTTGGGAGGTGCTTTTGTCATGAGGCAGAGTTTTCATGAATGGGATTAGTGCCTTAGAAAAGAGGCTTGGGAGAGACTCCTACCCGTCACGCGAGGACACGGCAAGAAGATGGCAGGCCATGAGCCCGGAAATGAGAGCCTGGCCACACGCTGAATTTGCCAGCACCTTGATCTTGGATTTCCGAGCCTCCAGAACTTAAACAAATAAATTTCTGTTGGGTCTGTGCCACCCACATGAAGGCAGTTTGTTATAATAGCCTGAAAGGATAAAGTCAGAGCACGTCATCGTGTCACCGTCTTCACGGTGTGGTCTCTGATCCTTCAACATGGGGCGTCTTTCTATTTAATTGAAACTTCTTTGATTTCTTTCAACTATGTTTTGTAGTTTCATTGTACAAGCTTGAACTTGTTTTGATAAATTTATTTCTTTAGTATTCTTTTTGGTTTGGAATTTTTTTTAGATGGAGTCTTACTCTGTTGCCCAGGCTGGAGTGCAGTGGCACAATCTCGGCTCACTCCAACCTCTGCCTCCTGGGTTCAAGTGATTCTTCTGCCTCAGCCTCCCAAGTAACTGGGATTACAAGCATGCGCCACCACGCCTGGCTAATTTTTGTATTTTTAGTAGAGACAGGGGTTCACCATGTTGGCCAGGCTGGTCTCGAACTCCTAACCTCTAGTGATCTGCCTGCCTCGGCCTTCCAAAGTGCTGGGATTATAAGAGTGAGCCATTGTGCCCAGCGTGGAACTGTTCTTGAAATTTCATTTTTATATTCTTCATTGGTAGTTTATATAAACTCGGTTCATTTTCATGTGTTCATCTCATACCTTGCCACGCTGCTGGACTCTTTATCCCACACTGGGCCGTGGCCGGCTGCCAGCGCTGCACCCCTCCTCCTCAGAGCACATGGAGGGCCACACTGATGCCTGTGCTTGCTGGAGGCTCTTGAAATGATCACTTGGGAAGAATAAGCATATCTGCTTTATTGTGAAGAGAAATATCAATGTAGAGCATTTGTACTGTCTAAATGAGATTTTAAAAAGGGATAGTTTTATAATATTATGGAAATACTTAGAAAATAAAATTTTAATAGATTGTCCAACCGCTATCCACTTGATTACCATCACTTAGCAGTGCGTTTTGTGTATTCTCATGCACACGTTTGTATTTGTCATGAGTGATGAGTTTGCTTCTGCGTTCTCCTCGGTTGGTGTCATATCACTGCATGGACAGCAGGTGTGTGAAGGTTTGTGTCATCCACCGAGTCTGCCCTGACTGAACTGGTCACATCCGCGGATGGCCGTGGTGACCTCTTCTGAGCTCTGATCTGCTATTGTGGATGTCTTTGTACAAGAGGAAGTGACTGTCCTGATGGGAGTGGTGAGCTGCTGCAGGAGTGACTGACAGTGACTGCTTGTTCTCCATCCCCCAGGAGTGACTGACAGTGACCGCTTGTTCTGCATCCCCCAGGAGTGACTGTGACTGCTTGTTCTCCATCCCCCAGGAGTGACTGATTGTGACTACTTGTTCTCCATTCCCCTTTTTACACTGGAAAGGATTTTATTTTCAATTACAAAAGAAGTCTCTATGTATAATCTTATTGTGGAAAAAAATCAAACATTGCAAATAAAGCTACAGTTTTCTTTGGTCAATGGATCCCACCTCCTCCTCAGAAATACATTGTATGTGAGTTTGGTATGTGTCCTTCAGGAGTATTTTTGTGCGTGTTCATAGATAATTGAGCTGTGTGCTATTGTTTTTGTGAGTATGTACTTTTTAACATTATGAAATTGCATTCTATGTGTTGGTTGACATTTTTTTCACTTTTAAAAAATTGACACGGCCGGGTGCGGTGGCTCATGCTGTTAATCCCAGCACTTTGGGAGGCGGAGGTGGGTGGATCATGAGGTCAGGAGTTCAAGACCAGCCTGGCCAACATGGTGAAACCCTGTCTCTACTAAAAATACAAAAATTAGCCGGGTGCAGTGGTGCACACCTGTAATCCCAGCTACTCAGGAGGCTGAGGCAGGAGATTGGCTTGAACCTGGGAGACAGAGGTTGCAGTGAGCTGAGATTGCGCCACTGCACTCCAGTCTGGGTGACAGAGCAAGACTCCGTCTCAAAAGAAAAAGAAAAGGACACATAACAGATGTACACATTTTTTTGGGTACCTGCGATTGTCATTTGATGTGTGAATAAAGAGCTAAGGAGGGTGAGAGAGATAAGCTGCATAGACATCTGGGAGGAAGGGGCTCCAGGTGGGAATGACTGCAGTTGTGGGGGCCAGCTCCTGGGCAGGTGCCCACCATGTTGGCTGCTGTGCCTGGCGTGGAGTAGACGCGTGGAGATGAGGCCGAGGAACTCTGGTCAGTCGTGGTGAACAGAAGCAGTGCACGCATAGGCTCTCAGAAAGAACTTGCCTCTTATTCCGAGCAAGATGGGAAGCCACTAGAATGTTTTAAACAGAGGACTGGTGCATGATCTGACTTACATTTTAATGGGATTTACTATGTTAAGACCCAAGGTGACGTGGGGAAAACTGTGAGAGATGAGATGGCAGGCAGTGTTGCTGGTGTGAGAAGTGATGGGATTTCTCATGTATTTTGAAGGCGGAGACTAGATTTGCCGATGGACGTCATGTAGAATTTGGAAGTGAGGAATGCAGGGTGACTTACTCTTGTGTATTTGCTTTTCTATTTCACAGTATTTCATAGAGCTCTTCCCATGTCAGTACATAGAGATCAACTTTATGAGCTGTTGCATAATAATCAGACAGCAGGAGGCTGAGCTTAGCGGCTCATGCTGTCATCCCAGCGCTTTGAGAGGCCGAAGTGGGAAGATTGCTTGAGCCCAGGAGTTCAAGACTGCAGTGAGCTGTGATTGCCTCACTGCACTCCCGCCTGGGTGGCAGTGAGACCCTGTCTCAAAAAAAAAAAAAAAAAAAAATTACAGACTAGATGTCGAAGAATATATCTTGTTTCTTGTTTATTTTATTTTATTTTTTTTGAGACAGAGTCTTGCTGTGTCGCCCAGGCTGGAGTGCAGTGGCGCGATCTCGGCTCACTGCAACCTCTGCCTCCCGGGTTCAAGTGATTCTCCTGCCTTAGCCTCCCAAGTAGCTGGGATTACAGGCGTGTGCCACCACACCCAGCCCTCTCCTTTAAACATTCCCGTGTTGGTGGTCATTGTGATCATCACTTGTGTATGTTGCTGTTACAAATTGCACTGCTGCTTTAAACAGCATCATATATTCTTCCACATGTACATGTCCAAGAGTGTTTCTAGATAAGCACCATGAAGTTAAGGTGCTGGGTCATACAGAGAGGACTCATTTAAACATGTTTTAAAATTATGACAACATATACATAACATAAAATTCACCATCTTAACCATTTTTAAGTATAAAGCTCAGTATTGTTAAGTATATTCACATTGTGCTGCTGTTACCACCATCCAGCTCCAGAACTTTTTCATCATTTCAAGCTGAAACTCTGTCTCCATTAAATGCCAAGTCTCCATTCCTCCCTCCCCTCAGCTCTTGGCACCCACCTTTCTATTTCCTGTCTCTAAGACTTGGACTATCTAGGGACCTTACACAAGTGGACCATACAGTATTTATCTTTTGTGCTTGGCTCATTTCTCATAGCATAATGTCCTTAAGGTTCATCTGTGTTATAGGATGTGTCTGAATTTCCTTCCTTTTTAAGGCTGAATAGTATATATGTAATTATATATATATATATAAAATATATTTTTTTTTCTTAAAATTTTTTTTTTGTAGAGACAGAGTTTCTCTGTGTTGCCTAGTCTGGTCTCGAATTCCTGAGCTCAAGTGATCTGCCCGCCTCAGCCTCCCAAAGTGCTGAGATTACAGGCTTGAGCCACCGCGCCCAGCCGTAATGTTCTGTTGTATGAATGGACTACATTTTGTTTGTCCATTAGTGGATGTCCGTTGATGGACACTTGGGTTGCTTCCACCCCTTGGCTATTGCAAGCAATGCTGTTGTGAACATGGTGTGTAAATATCTCTTTGAGACCCTGCTTTCAATTGCTAGGTCATATGGTAATTCTATTTTTGATGTGTTGAGGAACCGCCATACTGTTTCCCATAGCAACCGCACCATTTTGCATTCTCACTAGCAGCACGCAAGGGTTCCAGCTTCTCCACGTCCTTGCCAGCACTTGTAAGGGTCCATCTCTTTGATGACAGTCTCTCCTGGGTGTGAAGTGGCCTCTTGTGCTTGGTACACTTGCCTGGCTCTTGGCTCCCGCCCACATGCGAAGCGCCCTGTCTCCCCTGGGCAGGGACTGGGCCCTGTGTTTCCTGGCCCTGGTTCTCTCATTTCCTTCCTCTTTTAATAGAGGACCTTTTGAGAGTGTTCTCTTTCCCTGAAATATAAATGAAGTGCAGTTTACTAAAAATTCACAGGATATTCCTGATTGTATTGAAGTGCAAAACAGGCAGAACTAATGAGAAGGGTGATGTGTGTAAGAATTTGGAAATGGTATAGGATGAGAATCATACACAACACCAGCCAGTATCAGGCAAGGTTCCAGAACACCACTGGGGAAGGGGCTCCTTCAGCGCTGATGAAGAACGTTTACGTGCACCTGTGGATCTTTCACATGGCATGTCGTCACTAGATGGTGTTTTTCTTTTTTTTCTTTTCTTTCTTTCTTTCTTTCTTTTTTTTTTTTTTTGAGACAGAGCCTCACTCTGTTGTCCAGGCTGGAGTGCAGTGGTGTGATCTTAGCTCACTGCAACCTCCGCCTCCTGGGTTCAAGCAATTCTCCTGCCTCAGCCTCCCAAGTAGCTGGGATTGCAGGCGTGCACCACCGCGCCGGGCTAGTGTTTGTATTTTTAGTGGAAACGGGGTTTCGCTGTGTTGGCCAGGCCCGATCTCGAACTCCTGACCTCAGGTGATCCACCCACCTCAGCCTCCCAAAGTGCTGGTATTACAGACGTGAGCCACCGAGCCCGGCCTCAGATGGTGTTTTTCCATCAACTTTTTCTTTTTACTTAGAAAGGAGTTTTTAAAACCATAAAAAGTGAGAAAACTCTCTTTTAGACGTTGATATCTTCCATGTGTGGGAGGAGCTAGATGATCTGCGCGCTGGTCAGAAGCACGTTGCATGGTGTGTGTGTGTCGGACGGCAGTGAACAATGCTCAGGCGCCTGCTCCAGCCCTGGTGAAGCCATCATGCTCCAGTGCGCAGTGTCTGTTGCTGCTGGGTGTGGGAGCACCAAGGAAGAGACCTGGGCAGGAGCTGACTTCAGAGCCGGCTGAGGAGGGGTGAACACGTGCGGGCAGTGGTAGGGTGTCTTTTGGAAAAAAGGGACAATCAGAAGCCTGAGAGTCCGGGGTGGATGTGGCCACAAGGGTTGTCCTTGGAATCGGCTGGACGGCACCTCTGCCTGCCTCACCTGGGGGCTTTGGACCCTTTGGCGAATGGGCACAGCAGAGGTTTTCAGCATGGCAATAATAAGACTTTTTAGAAAGGAAAAGTGTAGTGGGTGGATGGAAAGAGCAGGTTAATTGTTAAACTCGTAGGGGAGATGGGCTGAGGGCCGGAGCCACAGCGTGGAGTTGGAGACGCACAGTGAGGCCGGGCTAAGGGGACTGGACTTGTTTTTGAACAGTTCAAGTTAGCGGGTATCTAACAAGCAGTGACTGATGTCTTCCATGTGGCAGATACTAAACACTTTAATTTTATATTTATTAAATATATTGAATAATATTAGAGCTGATAATCAATTCAGAACTTAGGCATCACCCACAGTCCTGAGTCCTGCAGCCCCCGCATAGCCTGCTGAACTGGTTTTGTAGTTAGTTGTTCCCATTTTACTGCAGAGGAAACGGGCACAGAGAGGTTAAGAAACCAAGGTTACGCATCTCATTAATGACAGAGCTGGGATTCGAATCTAGCCAGTCTATCAAGCTTTGCCTGTCACTTACCCACCACGCAGTGGTGCAGGACGCTGGCCGATACCCCCCACACAGTGGCACAGGACGCTGGCCGATACCCCCCACACAGTGGCTCAGGACGCTGGCCGATACCCCCCACACAGTGGCGCAGGACGCTGGCCGATACCCCCCACACAGTGGCTCAGGACGCTGGCCGATACCCCCCACACAGTGGCTCAGGACGCTGGCCGATACCCCCCACACAGTGGCGCAGGACGCTGGCCGATACCCCCCACACAGTGGCGCAGGACGCTGGCCGATACCCCCCACACAGTGGCTCAGGACGCTGGCCGATACCCCCCACACAGTGGCTCAGGACGCTGGCCGATACCCCCCACACAGTGGCTCAGGACGCTGGCCGATACCCCCCACACAGTGGCTCAGGACGCTGGCCGATACCCCCCACACAGTGGCGCAGGACGCTGGCCGATACCCCCCACACAGTGGCGCAGGACGCTGGCCAATACCCACCAGGCGATGGTGCTGGACGCTGGCCGATACCCCCCACACAGTGGCTCAGGACGCTGGCCGATACCCCCCACACAGTGGCTCAGGACGCTGGCCGATACCCCCACACAGTGGCGCAGGACGCTGGCCGATACCCCCACACAGGGGCGCAGGACGCTGGCCGATACCCACCAGGCAATGGTGCTGGACGCTGGCCGATACCCCCCACACAGTGGCACAGGACGCTGGCCGATACCCCCACACAGTGGCGCAGGACGCTGGCCGATACCCCCACACAGTGGCGCAGGACGCTAACCGATACCCCCCACACAGTGGCGCAGGACGCTGGCCGATACCCACCAGGCGATGGTGCTGGACTCTGGCCGATACCCCCCACACAGTGGCACAGGACACTGGCCGATACCCACCATGCGGTGGCGCAGGACGCTGGGACTGGAGGAGGCGCACAGCTGAGGCCGGCTCCGTGCCCTTCTTCCTGCCTGTGAGGCAGTCTCGTTGGTCGGCAGTCTTGTTGGTCAGCAACCTTGTGGTTTCTGATAGGTTCCATGAATTTTCATCTTAATTTGCTCCATATTAAACTCAGGGAAGGAGTAGATGTTTTCCAGTTTCACTTGGGCGGGTAGAGGCTGTAAGTCTCCACAGGGCTGTGCTCTGAGCCATGTGCCAGTCAGCAGCCCAACCATGGTGGAGACGCGCCTAGCACACAGGCAGGAGCTGTTAGCAGGAGGCTGGCGAGCAGGTGATCAGGCGCGAGGCCTCGGGGTGCCCTTGACCCGGCGAATCTCCTGGAAGGCAGGCCATCAGCTCGGCAGGCCCAGGAATTTGATGTTGCAGGTAAACCAGATTGTCAGAATTGTACTCTCGGTCTTGAAGGAGATGGTAGATAAACTAGAGCATCAGCATATTAGTGGCGGTAAGAACGGCAAGTAGCCGTTTCCAGCTTGACTGCCCTTAGAGCACATACCCTCTGACCTCACACTCACCAGTTATGTCAAGGCACCCGTTCTGGTCATGGCTACTTTTTGGTTTTGGACCTGAAAGACTCTAAACAGACAGGTTTTGGCTGATGGGAATTTGGAGTTTTTGGGGTTTTTGCAGGCAGGTGCTCACACCCTGGGCACCTGGATTACCGGCCGCCCGGCCCTGTGTGCCTCCCCTCGGCACGTGTTTCTTCTGTAAGGAGCACTTAGACTGCTCACGTTCCTGGTTTGCTGATCTTCTCTGTTGGTCCAGTTCCCTGAGGGTACAGACTACAGCCGTTGAGCCTAGGCCTTGGTGGCAGGTGAGCCCCAGAGCTTGGATTGCTGTGAGATCTGTGTGTCGGGCCTGTGCTGGGAGCATGGACGGAGCCCTGGAGCTGGGGTTTGCTCTGACCCCTGCTGGCGAGGGGAAGAAGGTCAGGACAAAGAGCATTGCTTTCCTTGTCTCCCGCCAGGGACTGCACTGCCCTGAAACTCGGTGGCTGAAACAACAATCATCATTTGTTATCCCTTTGAGGGGACAGGAATTCAGACGGCACAGAGGAGATGACTTTATTTTGGTCAATGAGTCTCAGCTGGAAGACTCGAACATGGGGGTGGTGTTAGTGTGGGCTGCGTCCTTCCACATCTGGTGGCCAGTGCTAGTTAGTGGGTTCTTGGCTAGGGCACCCATGTGTGGCCTCCCGGGTGGCGTGGGCCCCTCACACACAGTGGCTAGGCAGCACAGAGCAAGCTAGCAAGGCAGAGCTGGGTTGAGGCCGCCGTCTGTGTCATGGGCTGCCACTTCAGCCACATACTTCAGGTCCACCCAGGCAAAGGAGGGGGATACCGACCCACCTCTCGATGGTGGAGTCTCAGAGTACTGCTGGAGGCACATGAGGGACTGGCAGATATTTGCACTGGTTTTGCCATCTTTGGACAAATGCCATAGCCGAAAGAACTGGACAAAGGCAGTAGTAGGGACGGGGCCACCTTTGATTGTCTTTCTTTGCAGAGAGGCTCAATCAAGGGTTAAGCAGCAGATGGAAAGGGAATCTGTCCTGATATTTTAAAATCCCTTAAATGTAATTTCTGGGGCTACTTTGGATATTAATTGTTTTTTTCCAAATTTAGGAACCAACTCTCCTTTTTCTGCCAAGGGAAAAAACAAAAAGACAAAAGAGGGAAAAGAAAATCTCTCAGATATTGAAAGGATTCATTCTTTTTCTCTCCACCCCTTTCGATAATTAGCTGGTGAAATTGGTATGTGGAAAATGGTTTAAAATTAGGGGGCGGGTAGAGAGTGCTCTTCATCTCACGAGTTTCCTGGACCGAAGTTGCTTCCCATCTTGGAGAAGCCGTTTGGCATTTAAAGTTCCTTCTTGCTGCTGTTACAGTTCCCAAGGAGAAGACAAGTCTCTCTTCCAGATCCTGGGCTTTCCTAAAGCAGAAGGGAGCAAATGGCAGATTGGAATGTGACATTTTTCTTATTTTGACTAGAATAAAGAAAAATCTCCACTGTTAGGTAGAGAAGGCAGTCTTTTGTGTTGGTTGTTGTGAAATGACGTTTTTAAATGTTGATAGCGTGTAGGATAGTCCAGTGGACCAATGTATTTTCTTGAGGGGGAGAAGGACCTTCCTTCTAATAGTCTCCCCCAGGTTGTGAAAGGCAAACATCAAGTTCAACTGTAGAATCACGAAGATAAGTTTAAAGAGACCGCACAAGGGTTTTTCCTTCCATTTTCTTCATGTCTTGCCGTCATGGGGGTATCTTCAAAGCTCGGGTAGGTAATATGTGAAAGTTGACACACCCCTCCCAAAACACAAATGGCAAGGTGGAAGTGTGTAGAGGCCATGCTGGGAAGAATACCAGATCAGTTCCAGGGGAGCATGCCTGCGTCTTCCTTCCTTTCCTCCTGAGCTTGTGTGCTTCTCACTTGTAGTTGTGCCTTCTGGTACTTCTGACCCAGAGGCACAGGACCCCAGAGCAGACCACAGAGCTGGCCCTGTGAAAACAGTGCAGAGACTGGGTGTGGGGACTCACACCTGTGATCCCAGCACTCTGGGAGGCTGAGGCGGGCGGATCGCTTGAGGTCAGGAGTTAGAGACCAGCCCGGCCAATGTGGTAAAACCCTGTCTCTACTAAAAGTGCAAAAATTAGCTGGGCATGTTGGCATGCACTTGTAATCCCAGCTACTTGGGAGGCTGAGGCAGGAGAATCATGTGAACCTGGGAGGCAGAGGTTGTAGTGAGCCGAGATGGTGCCACTGCACGCCAGCCTGGATGACAGAGTTTGTCTGTTTCAAAACAAACAAACAACCAGTGCAGAGTTTGAGATCCATGTGCCTGATTGTTTTAGCACTTGACCTCCATGTTTCTGTGGGGGTCTCTGGTTCCAGGGCAGGCACTCCTGGAGCTCATTTGCCCTGAGGGAGATCCTGCTCTGCCCACTGGGATCGGCCGGCCTGGCCTTGTGCTCACTGCACACAGGGTCATACAGTTTACCTAGCATACTGTTTGAAGATTTTTTTGAAGCGGTTTTAAATTTCTGGTAACTTTAAAGATTTTTCTTTTAGCCTCATGTAGAAGGACACTTTTTGTGGTTAAAATCTTACTGTTGAGATTAGAAATTTTTCCTTTGGATCATTTACATTATATTTGGTAAGTTAGAGTGAATATGTTGATAGAATATTCATTTCCAAAGTAGTTTTTATTCTTGCATCCTTGTAAAATAAAGCCAAATTACAAGAAGTCTTCAGTAATTTGTTTAGTCTAAGAAAAGAACAAAGCTTTCTGGAAAAATGAGCAAAAGAACCCTGAGATAAGATGATTATATTTTCTCCCCGTTAAGTTTTCCGTTCAGATGATTCTATCCATACAGCTCCTTTTTTGTAGTTTGACTTTTTGAGTAAAATGTGATTGCATATTCTGGTCCAAAGGGAGGATGGCACTGTTGTGAGGGCAGCGTGTGAGGGCGGCGTGGCTCGCGGAGGCCTCACTCCCCACTGTTGTGAGGGCAGCGTGTGAGGGCGGTGTGGCTCGCGGAGGCCTCAATCCCCACTGTCGTGAGGGCAGCGTGTGAGGGCGGCGTGGCTCGCGGAGGCCTCACTCCCTGGCTTTCACTCCAGCCTCCTGGTAGCATGCAGAGACACAGTGTGGAAACGGAGGCCACTGTCACAAGCGCTGAGGAGGATCATTATTACTGGTTTGTTGACAAAACGTGGACGCATTTTGTCTTATCCAGCATGTTGTAGAAAAGCAGGGATTGCCGTGGAAACTCCACACTTTGACTAGGAAAAGAAATGATCACTTCTGAGGTAACTGTGATGTAGATGTATTATTGTAGACATGGTAAACTACCTTATTAATCTTCACCTCATGGTGGTATTGACTGGGCGGATTGTAAAATGCCATTGTTTGCTCTGTCTTTGATAAACATGAAGGATCAGGTGTCATCTCTTTAGTGGGTGAGAAAGTCTCTGGAAGACCATTGAAGCTGCCTAACACCAGGTATCGCTGAAAGGATTTTTAAAGCTAGTGAGCAGGTTGCCAGGTTGTTCAAAGGTAGAGTGGGCAGGGAGGTGGCTGGCTATCCCCAGGGCCCAGATGCAGATGGGCAGGGGTCCTTCCTGCCAGCCTGGAACCTTAGGTGCACCCTCAGTCTGTTTCAGGGTCAGGCAGGGCCTAGGTTTACCAGCAGCCATGAAACCATTGAGTCTTTTCTTCATGACATACCAGTGGCCAGTGTCGCAGTCAACACAGTTCCATTGGTTCTTTTTCCTATCTCTTTAAAATTTAAATTTATAAAATTATTTAAATATTTTTATGGGCTTGTCTTTGAATAATTTTAACAGAGATTATCCAAAATATGTCTAGTCCTTATTTGTCTTTGAATTTTAGGAATCTTATAAAGGGCAGTGTCTCAGTTTCTATGATCTTTCCCCCACTATACATTGTTTATTTAAAAAAAAAAAAGTCAGTAGTTTGGTAGAAATTGATGGGGCAGGAGGCCACGCACTGGGAACCTCACCTGCAGGGTGCAGGGTGTGCCCTATTCTTCGCCTGTGGGGGATGGTGCCTCATCTCTTAGGTGGGCTGCTGGTGCAGGTGCGGCTGAGGAGGCTCCACAGGAGCAGGCATTTGAACCCTGAAGGCGCGCTGCCGTCTTCTCTGGAAAGGTGATGCTGAGCTCTTCACAAAAGTTTAATAATTTATACTGTAGGTATAATAGAAATTGTCTTTTAAAAAAGCATCTAACATCTAATGTAGTAAAGTTAAGGTTAACTGTTATGACACATTATATTGGATGCATGGTCATTTCGTATTAAATGACAATGGAGAGGTGTCTATTTGTAGATGAAAAATAATGTTGTCCTGTCAGCCACAAGAAGGAAATTAATTCAGTTAAAAATGTTGGGCCAGGCATGGTGGCTCACACCTGTAATCCCAGCACTTTGGGAGGCCGAAGTGGGCAGATCACTCGAGGTCAGGAGTTTGAGACCAGTCTGGCTAATGTGATGAAACCCCGTCTCTACTAAAAATACAAAAATTAGCCAGGCTCTAATTGCCATGCGCCTATAATCCCAGCTACTTGGGAGGCTGAGGCAAGAGAATCGCTTGAGCCCAGGAGGCGGAGGTTATAGTGAGTCGAGATTGCGCCACTGCATTCCAGCCTGGGTGACAGAGCAAGACTCTGTCTCAAAAAAAAAAAAAAAGAGAAAAAGATGTTGGCCTGGCACAGTGGTACATGCCTGTAGTCCCACCTATGGAAGGCCTAAGTGGGAGGATCTCTTGAGCCCAGGAGTTGGAGGTTGCAGTGAGCTGTGGTTGCACCACTGCACTCCAGCCTGGGTGACAGAACAAGACCCTGTTTCTAAAAATGAATGAACAAGCAAATATGTATATGCTGCCTTTGTTTTTCCTACAGATTATGTTAAGTTGTGATTATTGCATGCTTATTTTATGATTACATTTAGAGGAAGAGACATACAAATAAAGTGGTAGTGTTGTAAAAACTTGAAGCTTTTTATTTTAATCATGAAGAACATTTCAGTTACGTAAATGTATATCATCATGTGGAATAAAGAGGTTACTGTCTTCTGTCCTGTGTTGCTAAAGAGAATTTGTGAGGTCACTGGCATGAATATAGCTACACACCAGTATTTACCTATAAAATACATTTATTTTATGGACTTGACATGTGAGTATTTCTCCTATCCCTCTATCCCTTTTGGATATTTTCTGAGCTGTGAATGTAACTGGGTGTCTCATGTCATGACAGCCTGTAGTGCCCACCTCCCCGGGAGCTGCTTGTGTACTTGGCCTCCACGTGCAGCATGGGGTCTGAGTTCTACTTCACTATCTGGGGAACTTTTTTCCCCTTAAGTTTTTGTGTCTATCTGAACCCACCAATTAACATTTAAGGAAAAAACTTCACGAAGTGGGAAATAATCCTTTTTTCTCCAGCCACATCAGTGCCTTAGACAATATATTAAAGTGGGCATTCGGAAGAAGACAATGTTGTTTTCTAGAAGGATGGTGGAGTCCAGCTCAAGCACGTCAAATGTGTGCTGAGGTGGGCCTCATTAGTCCGCTGTTCTCCTTTCTCAAAAGGTTTGATTTGTTGCTGTTGTGACCCATTTTGATCATGGATTGGGTAGATTTTGCACCCCTGCCATGCCACCCCACCCTCCCTACCATAGCATTCAGCCCTTGATGCTTAGGTACTGTTCTAATTGAGGTTTTATTATAGGCTGTGACATTGATGAGAATCTGGATAGGTCAGTGAAGGAACTGTTCCTGTGATCAATTCTGGCTTTACAAATTGTAGCTCTTGTTTTACTATAAAAAATGCCAGGTTTCTGGGTGTATTGGCTCGTTCTCACACTGCTATAAAGACATACCTGAGGCTGGGTAATTTATAAGGAAAAGAGGTTTAATCGGTTCATGGTTCTGTGGGCAGGCTGTATAGGTTTCTGCTTCTGGGGAAGCCTCAAGCAACTTAAAATCATGGCGGAAGGCCTAGGAGAAGCAGGCATATTTTCACATGGCTGGCAGGAGAGAGAAAGCATGAAGGGGAAAGTGCTGCACACTTTCCAACAACCAGGTCTCATGAGAACTCACTCATTATCATGAGAACAGCAAGGGGAACGTCCGCCCCCATGATCCAGTCAGCTCCTACCAGGTCCCTCCCCCAACATTGAGGATTACAGTTAAACATGAGATTTGGGTGGGGACACAGAGCAAACCATATCATTTTGCCCCTGATCCCTCCTAAATCTCATGTCCTTTTCACATTTCTTTTTTTTTTTTCTCTTGTTTTTTTTTGAGACAGAGTCTCACTCTGTCACCTAGGCTGGAGTGCAATGATGCGATCTCAGCTCACTGCAACCTCTGTCCCCCAGGCTCTAGTGATTCTCCTGCCTCAGCTTCCTGAGTAGCTGGGATTGCAGGCATGTGCCACCACACCTGGCTAATTTTTATTTTATTTTATTTTATTTTGACGTGCAGTTTTGCTCTTGTCGCCCAGGCTGGAGTGCAATGGTGTGATCTTGGCTCACTGCAACCTCTGCCTCCCGGGTTTGAGCAATTCTCCTGCCTCAGCCTCTTGAGTAGCTGGGATTACAGGTGGGCGCCACCATGCCTGGCTAATTTTTTTTTTTTTTTTTTTGAGATGGAGTTTTGCTCTTGTTGCCCAGGCTGGAGTGCAATGGTGTGATCTCAGCTCACTGCAACCTCCACCTCCCAGGTTCAAGGAATTCTCCTGCCTCAGCCTCCTGAATAGCTGGGATTACAGGCACGCGCCACCATGCCTGGTTAAATTTTTTTTTTTTTTTGAGACGGAGTTTTGCTTTTGTCGCCCAGGCTGGAGTGCAATGGTGCGATCTCAGCTCACTGCAACCTCTGCCTCCTGGGTTCAAGTGATTCTCCTGCCTGAGCCTCTCAAGTAGCTGGGATTACAGGTGCCCGCCACCATGTCCATTTAATTTTTGTATTTTTAGTAGAAACGGGGTTTCACCATGTTGGCCAGGCTCGTCTCGAACTTCTGACCTCAGGTGATCTACTCGCCTCAGCCTCCCAAAGTGCTGAGATTACAGATGTGAGCCACTGCGCCCAGCCTAATTTTTGTATTTTTAATAGAGACAGGGTTTCACCATGTTGGTCAGGCTGGTCTCAAACTCCTGACCTCATGATCCACCCACCTCGGCCTCCCAAAGTGCTGGGTCCTTCTCACATTTCAAAACACAAATATGCCTTCCAGCAATTTCCCAAAGTCTTAACTCATTCCAGCATTAACTCAAAAGTCCAAAGTCTTATCTGAGACAAGGTAAGTCCCTTCTGCCTATCAGCCTGTAAAATAAAAAGCTTACTTCCAAGAAACAATAGTAATACAGGCATTGGGTAAATGCTTCTGTTCCAAAAGGGAAAAATTGACCAAAACAAAGGGGCTACAGGCTCCATGTAAGTCTGAAACCCAGCAGGGCAGTCTGAGTTCCACAATAATCTTCTTTGACTCCATGTCTCACTTCCAGGCCACACTGGTGGAAGGGGTGGGCTCCCAAGGCCTTGGGCAGCTCTGCCTCTGTGGCTCTTCAGGGTACAGCTCCTGCAGCTGCTTTCATGGGCTGGCGTTGAGTGCCTGCTGCTTTTCTAGGCGTGTGGTACAAGCCGTAGATGGATCTACCATTCTGGGGTCTGGAGGGTAGTGGTCCTCTTCTCACAGCTCCACTAGGCAGTGCCCCAGTGGAGACTCTATGTGGGGCTCCAGTCCCACATTTCCCATCCACACTGCCCTAGTAGAGGCTCTCCGTGGGGGCTTCGCCCCTGCAGGAAGCTTCTGTCTGGACATCTGGACATTTCCATATACTTGGCCTCCACATCCAGCATCCTCTGAATTCAAGCAATTCTCCTGCCTCAGCTTCCTGAGTAGCTGGGATTACAGGCATGCGCCACCACAGATGTATGGATGATATCCATACATCCTGTGAAATCTAGGTGGAGGCTCCCAAGCCTTAACTCTTGCCCTGTGTGCACCTGCTGGGTTAACACCATGTAGAAGCCTTGGTAGCTGCCAGCTTGCACCCTTTGGGTCAGTGTCCTGAGATGTATCTGGGGCCGTTTCAGCCACCACTGGAGCTGGAGTGGCTGTGATGCCGGACACCATGTACTGAGGTTGCACAGAGCAGCAAGGCCCTGGGTCTGGCCCACAAAACCATTCTTCCTTCCTAGGCCTCCAGGCCTGTGATGGGAGGGGCTGCTGCAAAGGTCTCTGAGGCATTTTCCCCATTGTCTTGGCTATTAACATTCAGCTCCTCATGCAAATTTCTGTAGCTGGCTTGAACCCCTTCCCTGAAAAATGTGCTTTTTTTCCTACCACATGGTCAGGCTGCAAAATTTCCAAACTTTTATGCTCTGCTTCCCTTTTAAATATAAGTTCCAGTTTCAGATACTCTCTTCGTGCACGCATGTGAGTGTATGCTGTTAGAAGCAGCCAGGCCACATCTTGACTGCTTTGCTACTTAGGAATTTCTTCCACCACATACCCTAAATCATCTCTCTCAAGTTCAAAGTTCCACAGATCCTTAGAGCAGGGACACAGTGCCGCCTGTCTCTTTGCTAAAGCATAGCAAGAGTGACTTTTACTCCAATTCCCAATAGGTTCCTCATCTCCATCTGAGACCTCCTCAGCTTGGACTTCATTGTCCATATCACTGTCAGCATTTTGGTCAAAACCATTCAAAAAGCCTCTAGGAAGTTCATCTTCCTTTCTTCTTCCTAGCCCTTTAACCTGTTCAAACTTCGGCCCATTACCCATTTCCAAAGCTGCTTCCACATTTTCAGGTATCTTTATAGCAATGCCCTACTTCTCCAGTACCAATTTTCTGTATTAGTCTGTTCTCACACTGCTATAAAGATATACCTAATTCTGGGTAATTTATAAAGAAAAGAGGTTTGATCAGCTCATGGTTCTGTGGGCTGTAGAGGCTTCTGCTTCTAGGGAGGCCTCAGGAAACTTAGCAATCATGGCGGGAGGGCAAAGGGGAAGCGAGCACATCTTACCTGGCCATAAGGATGAAGAGAGAGCAAAGGGGGAAGTGCCACACACTTTCCAACAACCAGATCTTGTGAGATATATCACGAAAACAGCAAGGGGGACATCTGCCCCCATGATCCAGTTACCTCCCATCAGGCCCCTCCCCCAATATTCGGGATTACAGTTCAACATGAGATTTTGGTGGGGACACAGAGCCAAACCATATCACTATGTGTCTGTAAACAGTGAGGTTATGATGTGACCTCAGCTCTGCAGCCTGTAGGGGAATGTGTGGGAGGAAGGAGCTCACTGAGCTCGGGACTTGGAGGGAAGGACTGGGCCACTTTGTTCTCATAAACAAGCAGGACCAAGACCGGAGGCTTGTGGCCTTGCCCTGGTTGTAGATTGAGGATTTTCTATTGGTTTTAATTTTAAGAAACATGGACATTTAAGATAGTGTTTGGTTTTTTTAATGGTATTTAAGAAGAATAGAGTTTTAGGACTAAAATGAGTTCTGTATTTCTGTTCCGAGAGGAGTGTCCTTGGGTCATCCCTTGGCCATTTGTCTTGGTCCTTCACCCCATTCCCCTTTAGTTTGCAAGAATCTTCATTATTGCTGCTTGGTATCCTCTCTTCTTTTTACTTTGATCCTTCTATCTTTTTATTTAGGATTTTGTATTTAAAAGGCCCTTTACTTGAAAGAAGCATCAGAATTCCTGGAAATCCCAGGCTCTGGGAGGGAATTTCCCTTCCTCCTGCCTTCCCTCCCTCCCGCCTGCCTTCCCTCCCTCCCGCCCTCCCTCCCTCCTTTTCTTCCTGCCTTCTTTCTTTCCTTTCCTTCCCTTTCCTTTCTTTGTTCCTCTCTTTCCCTCCCTCCCTCCTTTCCTTTCCTTGTTCCTTCCTTCCTTTTCTTTCTTTCCTCCCTTCCTTCCCTTCTTTATCCCCTCCCCTCCCCTCCCTCCCTCTCTCTCTTCCTTTTCCATTTTCTTTTCTTCTTTTGACAGCGTCTTCCTCTGTCACCCAGGCTGGAGTGCAGTGGTACAACCTTGTTTCAAGGAAACCTTGAACCAGCCTTGGTTCAAGGGAACCTCCCACCTCAGCCTCCCAAGTAGCTGGGACTACAGGTGTGTGCCACCACTCCTAGCTAATTTTTAAAAATTGTTTGTAGAGATGGGGGTCTCACTGTTTTGTCTAGGCTGGTCTTGAACTCCTGAGCTCAAGCAGTCCTCCTTCCTTGACCTCTCAAAATGCTGGGATCACAGGCATGAGCCACTACACCGGCCTGGGAATTCCTTTAACTTGCGTTTGAAAGTTGGACATGAAATCTCCTGAGTGTTCTTGAGTTTGGGCAGATGTACTGAGGATAAGAAGAACTTCCAAGGAGCTGGGTTTTTCTGGACTTGAGATAATGTGATTTTTAAGTGGCAAGAACTGAAGCCAGTGTTTGAGTGAGAATTGGAATGTGTGCATGCTTCGTGTTCATGCTTTGCACACACTGGTTTTGTTCTCTTACCCACCGTCCTGGTGTGTACTCTACATTGTGCACAAGTTGTGGCACTAAAAATGTAAGGTCTGTTGCTCAGGTGGAAATGGACTGGTCATGTGTTTTGCCGTGCGGGCGCAGAGGTCAGGCTGGCTCTGTGGTTAGCAGGTGCAACCCACGCGGAAGGGGAGGAGGGGTTTCCTGACTGAGCGAGAAGCCCCAAGTCAGGGCTGTCCTCCCAGGGTAGGTTTGGAGTAGGCACTGCACTCAGTCTCTTGTTGCTGTGAGGTTGGGGGATGGCCCTAGAGGGCTGTGGCAGTCTTGGGGCTGTGAGGTCTGGACCAGCCCTGCCCTGGTACCTGTACTGACCAAGAGAGGCCCACGGTCCCCTCCTCTCCCCACAGCTCTGGGGCTCCTGTCTACCTCTGAAAAGTGAGTTGCAGTGCCTCCCTCTCCTGGACTTCCAAATTGCGAGGTGGGGAAGGCCCAGGCCGTTCTTCCTGGAGTGGACCTGGACCCTTCACTTCTGCCTGGGCTCCTCTGCCTTGTGCGTTGGGGGGTTGGGGGTGGGGCGTCAGCAGGGGTGGGGCATCAGGGGCGGGGCTAGGCTCTGCCAGTCAAGGCACACGGGGCCATGGCAGGGCAGGGCATGCAGAGCCGACCTGGCCTGGGGGTTGGCGAGTCCTGGACCATCCCGGGGAGTTGTAGGTTGGGGCTCCTGAGGGAAATGCAGATGATTTTTTTGGGAATTTTTTGGCTAGGCTTCCTGGACTGGGCAGAGCTTCTGCAGTGCGGGGTCTGAGTCCAAGTAGTTTGCTCACTCCAGCTAGGTGGATGTTGTGAGTGGAAAGGTCTTGATTTAGGATACATAAAACACAATTTTGTTTTAACTAATTCATTTTGTTTTGCTTAGATCAAGGAGAAGGAATAATGTGCTAGGCTGAATGATTGAGATGAGACAGCATTTCTGTCACTGTTATGAACAGGAGCCCTTCCTCCCCTTATTTATTTTTGAGACGGAGTCTCGCTCTGTTGCCCAGGCTAGAGAGCAGTGGCGTGATCTCGGCTCACTGCAACCTCCGCCTCCTGGGTTAAAGATATTCTCCTGCCTCAGCCTCCTGAGTAGCTGGGATTACAGGTGCCTGCCACCACGCCCAACTAATTTTTGTATTTTTAGTGGAGATGGGGTTTTGCCATGTTGGCCAGACTGGTCTCGAACTCCTGACCTCAAGTGATCCGCCTGCCTCGGCCTCCCAAAGTGCTGGGATTGCAAGCGAGAGCCACTGTGCCTGGCTTCTCCTTTTTATTGAGACATTATTTATCTTTTATACATATATATATATTTTTTGAGATGGAGTTTTGCTCTTTTGCCCAGGCTGGAGTGAAGCAGCGTGATCTCAGCTCACTGCAACCTCCGCCCCCGCCCAGGTTAAAGTGATTCTCCTGCCTCAGCCTCCCGAGTAGCTGGGATTACAGGCATGTGCCACCACTCCCGGCTAATTTTTATATTTTTAGTAGAGACGGGGTTTCGCCATGTTGGCCAGACTGGTCTCCAACTCCTGACCTCAGGTGATCCACTCACCTTAGCCTCCCAAACTGCTGAGATTACAGGCGTGAGCCAGCGCGCCTGGCCTATCATTTACATTTGTATTGTAAACTAATTTGTCCTTAATCTGGAGGTTTCATAAAATCCTAGAGTCCGTCAGCCATAAGGAGACTTGGCAGCGCTGCTTGGGGGGGCTGGTCTCCGAAGCCAGCCTGTGGTGCTTCAGCACCCTAGGAGCAGCCCCTGGGCTACAGAAGCAGCATCCCTTGCTGGGAGAAAACCTTCCCGAGCCTCCTGGAAGTCAGGAGAGGCCACGGTTCTGGAGGAGAGGGCGGAGCCGCTGCCTTGCAGAGCCTGGTCTGTCTGCCTCTGCTGGGCCTCCCTCCTCCCCGGTGCCCCCTTTTCCTTTCGCCTCTGCCCTGGGCCATCCTCAGCTGTCCCTTAATGGAAGTGAGCACTGGGGATGCTACAGACCAGGCAGAGGCATCTGTGCTGTGTTTCTGGCCCTAACACTGGTATGAGGCCTGGCATGTTGGTCAGTGCTTGTCAGAGGATTCCTGAGTGCAGTTGAATTGGACACACAGCAGAATGGTGGATGATTCTAGACATTATTCGGTAGTGTGTTACATAGCATTCTTAAACATTTTTTCAAAAGATTACAAAACTTAATTTCGTGGGTAGGATTTGTGGCTGGTGGTGGTGATGAGGACTGTGAGATGGAGTGGGGTTTGGCGGGTGCCTCCAGGAGGGGACAGCATGTGAGGGGCACAGCTGGTGCCCAAAAATGCCTGTAGACCCCGGCAGCCTCACAAGGTCTGCCCTGCCATGCTCCACCCCGGCTCATCTCAGGCCAGGAGACCTTGTCGGCAGAGCTGTGCCGTGGCAGGCAGGGTGTCTTTGGTGTGCCTCAAGGCCCTGCTCTTAAAAGTATTGAGGACCCCAGAGGGCTCTTGTTTATTGGGTTGTATCTAATGATAGTTACTGTAAAAGAAATGAAAACTGAAAAGTTAAAAATCACATTTTTAAAAAATAATAAAAGTAAACATGTAACATTTTATTTACATGTTAGGGAATACAGCAGTTTCTGTGAAAAGTACTTTTTCTGAATGAAAAAAACTCAGTTGAATGGCATTGTTTTCCATGTTGGTCCATCTCTGTCATGTCTGGCTAATCGAAGAGTCAGCTGGATTTGCAGATTGGCTTCTGCACCCAGCCTGAGGTGATACTGTCTGAAGAAAATCTGGTCTCCCATAGACATGTGGTTGGCAAGGGGGAAGTATTTTGATATCTTTTCAGATAATTGCAGCTATTCTGCTTTGATATGACACGAAAACTCAACAAGGTGAAACTGTGCCAATGACCTTCTTCCTCTGTGACATTAAAGCCCATCTTGGATGCATCTTTGTCCCATGCGTGATTTTGAATATTAGGCACTGGGCATTTGGGGAGTGTCAGCTCACCTTGTTAGGAAGATCTTCCCCATGTTGACACATTTTATTATATGGTATCAAAAATCATAGTCACTAATGATACCGCTCATGTAATAAGAAAAGTCATAAATATGGAGAAACTTTCAAGCTCATGGGGACAGATACACATTTACATGTGTTTCGAAAATTCAAAAGGTAGAGTTTTAACATTGGCAACAAATACTACTGGTTGTTTTCTTTGAGGCTCACTCTGTTCTGTGGAAATGTCTGCCAGATGTCCAGGTCTGACTGAGTGGCATGTCCAGGCCTGAGTGGCATGTCCAGGTCTGAGTGGCATGTCCAGGCCTGAGTGGTATGTTCAGGTCTGAGTGGCATACATTTTGCCAGTTGTTCTTTTAAGTGAAGATGCTCTGTGAGTGAGGAAAGCTTCGGGTTCCACGCAGCCACTGTGCCTGGCCTGCTGCCTGCCCCCTTCCTCTGATGTGGAACGCTGGAGAGCTGTGCTCACAGGCCATCATCTCACTGCCTCATCCAGGGCACTCTCAGGCGAGCCCCCCAAGTGCCTGCTGGTCAAGAGTTCAGTTGCTGGAGTACACTTCGGTGTCCTGACCTGGTCGATGCAAAGGGGCTGACACCACCGCTTGGGCACCGTCTGTGCAAATATCAGCACAGTGAAAAAGGCAATTGAGGTCCTAGTATTACCATGAAAATAGTTTTGACCTCCTGGACTCCTGGAAGGATTGCAGGGACCCCGGAGAGCTCCTGTTGGGGGGTAGGTGTGAAGGGTGCAGGCTGAGCTGGCTGGCGTACAGCTGTGATGGACCAGGAAAGGTAGCGTGCTCTGCATGTTCGAGGGCTGGCCATGAGCAGCTGGGCTGCTGGCCCTGGCTTGGCAGTGGGAGATCAGGGGGTGGGAGGTGGAAACCTGGGCCCCCCTGCCTTACCGTGGTGGGGTGGGCTGTGCACAGTTGCTAAGACCAGCTCCTGGGGAGGGTGATGCAGTTAGGTCCGGTGTTACCAAGTCAGCCCAGAAGGCAGCGAGACCATATGGATGTGAGCCCTGGAAAGCAGTAGGCACATCCGGGCTCAGGTAGGGGCTGGCCTGGCGTCTGCTTTGTGGGGAGGAGGGGTTCTGTTGAGAGGCCCCATTGTTGACATGTTTTCTCATCCAGACGCTGGACACCCGGGTTTTTGCAGCCTCTTCTTACCTGTTGATAGTCAATTAAAGATGGAATCAGTGCGTGGCTGGCCTCCTGCAGCTGTCTGACTGGCTGCTCCTAGTGACCTCGGGCAAGTCTGTGCCTCTCCTCTTCTGGTTGTGGACTCGGAGCACCAAGTGTGCCTCCCTCAGTTGTTCCTATTTTATCACTCTGACCCGGAGGCTTCCTGCCCACTTCCAGCTTCCAGTGGCCTCACCAGAGGGCTTTCTCCAGTATCACATCACCAGGTGTGGGTGTCAGCCTGACAGCTCCCACTTGCAGTCTGGCATCTCCAACTGCCCAGAGTGGTCAGCAGCCCTCTTCCCCGGCCCCCAGCTGTGGGTGGGGCATTTGCAGACTCCCTGCTGCCTCCTTATGGACTCCATGGTCCTGCTGCTGCGTCGGGAGAGGCCTGGCTAGGAGTG
Organism: Homo sapiens; assembly: GCF_000001405.40. Taxonomy (NCBI): domain Eukaryota; kingdom Metazoa; phylum Chordata; class Mammalia; order Primates; family Hominidae; genus Homo; species Homo sapiens. The sequence continues at coordinate 137,710,092 of NC_000009.12, forward strand.
TTTTATGTGTTTATGTTCACTTCTCCAACCAGACTCTAAGCTTCTTGAAGGCAAGGATTTTTGTGTAAAAAAAAAAAAAAAAATTCTGTCCAAGTGCCACCCAAGTGCAGTGGCTCACACCTCTAATCCCAGCACTTTGGGAGGCTGAGGCGGGCGGATCACTTGAGGCCAGGAGTTTGAGACCAGCCTGGCCAACATGGCGAAACCCCCATCTCTACTGAAAACACAAAAAGCATCTGGGTGTGGTGGTGTGCACCTGTAGTCCCAGCTACTCAGGTGGGTGAGGCCTGAGAATCGCTTGAACTGTGGAAGCAGAGGTTGCAGTGAGCCGAGATCGCGCCACTGTACTCCAGCCTGGGCGAGAGAGTGAACTCTGTCTCAACAAAAAAATTGTAAGAGGCCTTGTATAATACATACCTCTATAGATGCTTAATCTCAAAGATTTAGTGATTTAAGTTCCTTATTGAATTTTCTTGATTTATCTATTTCTATAATTTTTTGTAGGAGGTTGGACATTTGAAATATATGAATTATTGTCAGCAGTAGAATGCATTTTGAAATAAATTGTAACACTCCTGTAACAGAGCCCAAAGATTTCAGATATCTAATTATATAAATGATACATGAATGCGTTCTTATTGTTAAGAAACTGTCTTCAAAAATAGAAATACAGGAGAAGTTTCCTTGGACTGTGTTCTGAATGCCAGTTCTTCTGCTGGAGGCGACTGTAACCAGCTGGCAGGAGTAAATCTGACTGTCCAGCAGCTCATGGTGAATGTTGTAACTACGATTTTTTGACTTTTTCCAAATGATGTCCATTTGGAAAAGCGGCCTCCCACTGAACCCGGCTGACGGCTGTTGTTTCTCTCTAACAGGCAGTTCCGGCGAGGGGGGAGCCTCAGCAGGATTGCTGTGTGAAAACCGAGCTGCTGGGAGAAGGTGAGGGCGGTGTGCACCGAGGGACAGGAGCAGCGCCTCCCTCCAGACTAGAAAACCTGCTGCTCTTCCTCTCTTATTAGTCCCCGTCTTCTGACTTTCTTTGCTTCACCTAGGTTTATGGTATAGTTTCTAATCTATCCCATTCCTAAATAGCACAGTTGCACAGACAAACACAAAAGCTCTGCCAGAGAAGGAACACATTTGTCAAAGTATGAAAAGCAAAAATCCTGTATATCCTTGTCTTAAAGTACACCCAGAAAATTAAAAGTGAGTGGCCACACAAATGTTTATAGCAGCATTGTCACGTCGCCGAAAACCGGAGACACTCCGGTGTCCTCAGTTGATAAGGAACTGGATAAACAGATCGTGGTACATCCACACAGTGGGACAGCGGTCAGCAGCCCAGAAGAGCACACAGCATGACTGACGCCGCGCCATGGATGAAGCTTTTGTACGGTTTGTTAAGTGAAGGAGGCCAGACCCAAAGGGCCACAAGCTGCATGACTCCAATTTTATGGCAGACACTTGGAGAACAGCAGTGGTTACCAGGAGGTGGAGGGAGTGGTGTGGAAGCAAGTGTCTGCAGAGAGGCAGGGTGAGGGGAGTTGGGGCGAGGGGAGTCGGCGGGGCTGCACCCCTCTGTAAGGCGTGGCGCACACATAGGGTTCGGATGTTCTTGGAGAGCCTGCACCACCAAGAGCGCCCCCAGGAAATGAGGGCAGGTGGCGCCAGACGAGCTGTGCTGTGCTCCACAGTGAAGGGAGAGTGGTGTTCTGGCTGGACCCATAAGGGTGGCGGCCGTGGGAGCAGCTCAGACACTGGACTTGCCTAAGGCTCTCCCAGCTGGAGCCTGCTCCTCTCCAGACAGCGCGCAAGGCCTGGCTCCTCATGGACTGTGGGCTGTGGCCCCTGCCGTGTTCTCCTTTCACCCTAGATGGCCTCGCTGTGCCTGTGGGTTCTCGTCCACCCACTGGCTGTGCACTGTGGTGACCGCTGCCCGCCTCTGCCGCTACCCCTAGCCGGCCCTCCAGGGTTGCCCCCACCTCCTGCGCCATCCACCTCCTGCAGCCTGACTGGGTGTTTTCTTCCTGTACTTTGGCCCCTTCCTGTTGCCGTCCTTTCTGTGTCTTTGAACTGTTTCTTCTGTTGGCTCCAGTGCCCTCCGGCTCTTCCCCCTTCTCTCCCTGGTCACCCCTCCTTTGACCTTCCTAGTGGAACTTGTTTCCTACGTGACACCAGATGCCACAAGCCCCAGGTTATTCCATTACGCTTTAGGCTTTGCCTGTGCCCTGTTCCCTTACACACTGCCGCTGAGCCACGGCCTCTCCACCCTGGGGGAACTGCTGGACCCCCACGGTGGCTGCCCCATCTTGCTTTCCCTGCAGCAGTTGCAGAGGGCTCCAGGTTCTCCACGTCCTCGCCACCATTTCTTAGTGTCTGTGGCTGTCCTGGCGGGTGGGAAGTGGCATCTCATTGTGGTTTTGGTTTGCATTTTCCTGACGGCCAGTGATGTTGAGCATCATTTCGTGTGCTTACTGGCCATCTTTAGAGCTTCTTTGGAGAAATATCTCTTCTCCTGTGATTTCAAATTGGATTGATTTTTATTGTTGAGTTTTCAGTGTTCTTTATATAAGCAGAAGTCCCTTATCAGCCATGGGATTTGCAAATATTTTCTTCCGGTCTGTGGCTTGTCTTTCCCCTTTCTTGATGGTGTCCTTTGAAGTATAAATGTTTTCAATTTTGATGAAGTCCGACTTACCTGTTTTTTTCCTCCTTTTAGTTGCTGGTGCTTTTGGTCTAAAACCTAAGAACTTACCATTACTTAATAGAAGGTCACAAACATTTACATTTATTTTTTCTTGGAGTTTTATAGTTTTATCTCTTTTATTTAGGTTTTCGATCAATTTTGAGTTAATTTTTGTATATGGTTTGAAGTAGGGGTCCCAGTTTATTATTTTGCAAGTTGATAATCAGTTGTCCCAGCAACATTTATGAAAAAGACCTTTCTTCCCTCATTGAATTGTTCTTGCACCCTCGTTGAAAATCAGTTGGCTTTAAATGTGAGGGTTTATTGTAAGATTTTCTTTTCTTTAGACAGGGTCTCCCTCTGTAATCCAGGCTGGAGTGTGATCATGGCTTACTCTAGCCTCCATCTCCCTGGGCTCAGGCAATCCTACCACCTCAGCCTCCCAAGTAGCTGGGACCACAGGTGTGAGCCACCACACCATGCTAATTTTTTTTTTTTTTTTTTTTTTTTGAGATGGAGTCTTGCTCTGTCACCCGGGCTGGAGTGCAGTGGCACGATCTCGGCTCACTGCAAGCTCCGCTTCCCGGGTTCACGCCATTCTTCTGCCTCAGCCTCACGAGTAGCTGGGAATACAGGCACCTGCCACCATGCCCGGCTAATTTTTTTTGTATTTTTAGTAGAGACGGGGTTTCACCATCTTAGCCAGGATGGTCTCCATCTCCTGACCTCATGATCCACCCGCCTTGGCCTCCCAAAGTGCTGGGATTACAGGCGTGAACCACTGTGCCTGGCCCCTAAGTATTATATTTTTTGATGCTATTTTAAATAGAATTGTTTTAAAAATTCTTTTTCATTTTGATCATTGATACTGTATAGAAATACAAGTGATTGGCTGGGCACACTGGCTCATGCCTGTAATCCCAGCACTTTGGGAGGCCAAGGTGGGCAGATCACTTGAGGTCAGGAGTTCAAGAGCAGCCTGGCCAACGTGGTGAAACCCCATCTCTACTAAAAATACAAAAATTAGCGGGATGTGGTGGCTCGCACCTATAATCCCAGCTACTCATGAGGCTGAGGCAGGAGAATCACTTGAACCCGGGAGGCAGAGCTTGCAGTGGGCAGAGATCATGCCATTGCACTCCAGCCTGGGTGACACAGCGAGACTCCATCTCAAAAAATAAAAAAAGTTAAAAAAAATTGATTTTTGCATATTTATCTTATATCCTATAACCTTGCTAAACTCGTTTATTAGTTCTAATGATTTAAACTTCCTTGGGAATTTCTGCATAAAAGCTTGTGTCATCTTTAGGGCTCATTTGGTTTCTTCCATTCCAATCTGCATTCTTTTTATTTCTGTTTCTTCCTTATGGCCCTACTTCGAATCTCTAGTACAGGGTTGAATAGAAGTGGCAAGACTGGACATCCTTGTCTGGTTTCTGATCTTAGGGAGAGAGCTTCCCGGGTTTCACCTTTAAGTGTGATGTTAGCTGTAGTTTTTCATAGATGCCCTATGTTAGATTGAGGAAGTTTTCTTTTCTTAGCAAACCATTTGCTAAGTGTTTTGACCATGAAGGGGTGTTCATTTTTTCCTGTCTAATGAGATGCTTGTGTGGTTTTGTCCTTTATTTTGTTCTATTGATATTTGGCATATTAATTCATTTTTAGCTATTAAGCCAACCTTGCATTTCTGGGGTTAAATTCCACTTGTTCATGGTTTAATCCTCCTCACCAATTTTGTTTTGTTGTTGGGGGGTGCGGAGCTGGATTCAGTTTGCTCATTTTTTTTTTTTTTTTTTTTTTTAATGAGACCTGTCACCCAGGCTGGAGTGCAGTGGTGCAATCATAGCTCACTGAAGCCTTGACCTCCTGGGCTCAAGCGACCCTCCTGCCACAGCCTCCTGAGTATCTGGGACTACAAGTGTGCACCTCCATGCCCGGCTAATTTTTTAATTTTTGGTACAGAGTCTCACTATGTTGCCCAGGTGGGTCGTGAACTCCTGGGTTCAAGCGATCATGCCTCCTTGGCCTCCCAAAGTGCTGGGATTACAGGCATGAGCCACCACACCCAGCTTATAGATTCAATTTGAGGGGACTTGACAGCTTTGTAATGTCATCCATTTAGGAGCATGAAATGCCTTCTATTTAACTTTTTTTTCAACACATTGGCTTTGAGTAATCTTGGCAAATTTCCTAATACCCTTTGTAGTTTTCCCTACTTCTGTGAATGATACTTTTTTTTCTTACATTTTCTAGGTAATGTTGATATAAATAAATGTCTTTGATTTTGTAACATGATTTCAAATTCAGCAGTCTGGTTGTACTCTTGTGTTTTAGTTGCTAATTGAGTCTGTTTTTAAGTAAATGATTGTGTCAGATGCAGGTGGGAACAGTTTGACCCTCACATTGTTCTTTCCCTTTGGTGTCACCTGCACTGCCTTTTTATGTCAGACACTGGTAGTGTTAATAGATCTTATATGCAATTAATTTAGCATTTACATATACATCTGCTGCAGGATTTGGTATGAGGAAGTTTCCACTTACTCTGTTTTGTTAAGGGTTTTTAAAACATAGTTGTTTATTCAGAACACACACATTAGATGCCAGGCCTCGTTCATGTGCTCAGGGTACACTGGTAAACAGACAGGGCATTTGCGCTCATAGGACTTAACGTCCTCGGGTGGAAGGACAGACGGCCAGCATGACAGATGATCAGGTCTGTTGTGCTCGAGGTGATAAGCACCAGGAAGAACAGAGCCAGGAAGGAGGGCACTGGGCGGTGGCATCTCAGGCTTGACTGAGCTCCGTGTGCACCTAGCGATGCCATCGCAGGCTTCCTGCCTCAGCCTGTCCTGAGCTGAGTGTGTGTGTCAATCTCGTGATGTAAAATAGTGTCTCCTTGACTGCCCTGGATATGATTTCCTGGGGTTGTCATCGGAGAGTGAGCCTCTGTAGGGAGTGGAGAGCAGACCACGGATGTGCTCCAAGTATAAGCCCTTTTTCTGACCCATTTTCTCTGTTAGTTATTGTGAAGCCTCTTCTGAAGCCTTGTTTTCTATCTCCAAATAACACTCCATGTTTTATTATAGCAGTGATTCCCCAAACTTAACCAACTAACGTTCAACGTTAATGCTTAAGAAATGTTTATGTTTAATATGTTTGAACTGAAATGCTGGTTTGCTATGAAACAAAATAATTTTCTGTAGACAGTTTTATATAAGCCAGCCAAAGAAATTGTGTTGGTGGTGGTGTCATAGGGGGAGGAAATTGTGTTGGTGTCATGGTGGGGGGAGGAAATTGTGGTGTCGTGGTGGGGGAGGAAGTTGTGGTGGTGTCATGGTGGGGGAGGAAGTTGTGTTGGTGTCATGGTGGGGGAGGAAGTTGTGGTGGTGTCATGGTGGGGGAGGAAGTTGTGGTGGTGTCATGGTGGGGGAGGAAGTTGTGTTGGTGTCATGGTGGGGGAGGAAGTTGTGGTGGTGTCATGGTGGGGGAGGAAGTTGTGGTGGTGTCATGGTGGGGGAGGAAGTTGTGGTGGTGTCATGGTGGGGGAGGAAGTTGTGGTGGTGTCATGGTGGGGGAGGAAGTTGTGGTGTCATGGTGGGGGAGGAAGTTGTGTTGGTGTCATGGTGGGGGAGGAAGTTGTGTTGGTGTCATGGTGGGGGAGGAAGTTGTGTTGGTGTCATGGTGGGGGAGGAAGTTGTGTTGGTGTCATGGTGGGGGAGGAAGTTGTGGTGGTGTCATGGTGGGGGAGGAAGTTGTGGTGGTGTCATGGTGGGGGAGGAAGTGGTGGTGGTGGTGGTGCCATGGAGAGCGTGGCCTGCAGTCAGTGACACTCGTTTCTTTGTTGGCAGAGACACCTATGGCTGCCGATGAAGGCTCAGCAGAGAAACAGGCAGGAGAGGCCCACATGGCTGCGGACGGTGAGACCAATGGGTCTTGTGAAAACAGCGATGCCAGCAGTCATGCAAATGCTGCAAAGCACACTCAGGACAGCGCAAGGGTCAACCCCCAGGATGGCACCAACACACTAACTCGGATAGCGGAAAATGGGGTTTCAGAAAGAGACTCAGAAGCGGCGAAGCAAAACCACGTCACTGCCGACGACTTTGTGCAGACTTCTGTCATCGGCAGCAACGGATACATCTTAAATAAGCCGGCCCTACAGGCACAGCCCTTGAGGACTACCAGCACTCTGGCCTCTTCGCTGCCTGGCCATGCTGCAAAAACCCTTCCTGGAGGGGCTGGCAAAGGCAGGACTCCAAGCGCTTTTCCCCAGACGCCAGCCGCCCCACCAGCCACCCTTGGGGAGGGGAGTGCTGACACAGAGGACAGGAAGCTCCCGGCCCCTGGCGCCGACGTCAAGGTCCACAGGGCACGCAAGACCATGCCGAAGTCCGTCGTGGGCCTGGTAATTTTGTGTCTTCTCTTGCTGTTTCCTTTTTCCCATCTCTTTTGTTTTAATAACGGCAAATGGACTTTGGTGCATTGAGGAGAAGCCAGTAAGTGTCAGTGGTTATCCGACAGGGCCTATGAGGAGCTAGGAGAAGGCCGGGAGCAGTGGCTTACAGCTGTTATCGCAGCACTTTGGGAGGCTGAGGCGGGTGGATTGCTTGAGCCTAGGAGTTTGAGACCAGCCTGGGCAGCGTGGCGAAACTCAAATGCAAAATTTTGTAAAAAATGCAAAAATTAACTGGGCATAGTGGTGCGTACCTGTAGTCCCAGCTACTCAGGAGTGTGAGGTGGGAGGATTGCTTGAGCCTGGTGGAGACTGCAGTGAGCCCGGATCACCTCACTGCACTCCAGCTTGGGCACCAGAGTGAGACCCTGTCTCAAAAAAAAAAAAAAAAAAAAAGAGATGCTGCTAATGCCTTGTGCGTGAGTGACAAAGCGGAGTGATGCCAGGTGACGCCTCGCTTCCTTCTTGTGCTTTCTCTTCTCACAGGATTCTGTTGCTCTCTGTAGAAACGTGTCAGATCCTTTCAAGGAGGCCACGGCCTCTTCTGCTTTGGACATTGGGGCTTTCACTCCAGCTAGGGAAGACTCAGCCCTGACCCTGTTTCATTGAGAAGTGAATAGAAATGAACTTGGTTAGGGCCAGAATGTCACAGAAGTGAGGGGCAAAGGGCCACCTGGAGACATGCCGAGGTCTCCCTCCCAACCCTGAGCTGCTGGGCTCAGCCGTACCTTGAGAGCAGAATGAGTCTTGAATCCTGAGCGCTTCACACACAGGGCGCGCCCACCCCTCGCATGCACCATGATTTTCACACGCAGGGTGCGCCCACCCCTCACGCACTGTGATGATTTTCACACACAGGGCGCGCCCGCCCCTCACGCACCGTGATGATTTTCACACACAGGGCGCGCCTGCCCCTCACACGCACCGTGCTGATTTTCACACACAGGGCGCGCCCGCCCCTCACGCGCACCGTGCTGATTTTCACACACAGGGCACGCGTGCTTCTCACACATGCTGTGCTGGACTGATCACCAGATCTTACGTGGTGCATACACGATACAGGTTTTCAAAGTGTTCATGGTGCTTTTAGTGTGCTCTCTCAGTTTGATGTGAATTTGGGTGTAAGTTCTAGGTTTGTGATCACATTCCCGTGGAATTTTCTCTCTCTGACATTGCTGGTGAACATTCTGACAGCACTTTCTTGTCATTTGTTTGTAGATCGTTTGCTCTTTCCCCTCAGCCACTGTTTAGGGCTTCACAGCCCTGTCAATTGGAGGATTTGTGTCTTCAGCTCCAGAAGGATGCTCTGTATGAGTTTTCTTCTGTTTTCTTCCCATGGAGCTCCTCTTAAATGGCCGGCTCTTCTGTCCTCCTGGGCAGTTCTCTGTCTGTTTCCAGCTTCCTTACTGGTTCCTCAGCCCTTCCCCTTCTTGCTGTTCATCCCATATATTGATATATTTTATTCTGACATAAATTTTTTTCATGCCCAGTATCTCTGATTAGTTCTCTCTCTTTTTCTTTTTCTTTTTCTTTTTTTTTTTTTGAGACGGAGTCTTGCTCTGTCACCCAGGTTAGAGTGAAATGGCGCGATCTCAGCTCACTATAACCCCCGCCTCCCAGGTTTAAGTGATTCTCATGCTTCAGCCTCCCAAGTAGCTGGGACTACAGGCGCCTACCACCACACCTGGCTAATTTTTGTATTTTTAGTAGAGATGAGGTTTCACCATGTTGGCCAGGCTGTTCTTGAACTGACCTCAGGTGATCCATGCGCCTCGGCCTCCCAGAGTGCTGGGATTACAGGTGTGAGCCACCGCGCCCGGCCTGATTAGTTCTTTTAATTTAAAAAATACTGAATTCTATCTTGCGTTATCTTTCAAAAGACGGTGATTATAATTCTTCTATAATCTCTGTTGTAAATTCTGATTCCTCAAGTGGGGGTTCTCTTGGACTTGACACCTCCTGTTTGTGACTTTTTTTTCCTCTCAGATTTAGCTTTTTCCCCCACCAGGGTGTCTCCATCTTTGTTTCTGTCATAGTGTCTCAGCCTGACTATGAGTGCTGTGTGCGTTTTCTGTGGCCTGTCTGCAGTGACCACAGTGGGTGGTGGGCACACTGTGGGGCTGGACTGCTGGCTCCTCAGGGGGTGGTGGGTGCGTTGTGGGCCGGACTGCTGGCTCCTCAGGGGCCCACAGCTGCTGGGTGTTGCGTCCTCTCCTAGGACAGATAAGGCGGGCACCTCGTGGTGCGGACAACTGCCCTAGCCCTGGGGCTTCTCCACTCCCAGGCTGGCCGGCCTGACCCGACCTCAACCTTTTGCAGTATTCTTCTGTACATGGCAAAGCTTTAGAAAATCTTAAAAATAATTACAGTGTCACAGGAAACTGCAAAAAAACCTTTCACCAAGCTTCCTTCAGTGGTGATGTCTTTGATAACTAGAGGACAATGTCAGACCCAGGATGCTGACATTGGTAAAGTCCGTGGGGCTTACTCAGTTTCACCATCACCTGTGTGCACGTGCATCACGTGCAGGGTGTTCTGTGCAGTTTACCGTGTGTGGATGTGTGGAAACACCACTACAGTCGAGATGCCGAACCCCCTCCACACCAGGACACATGAGGTGCCGAACCCCCTCCACACCAGGACACAGTCGAGGTGCCGAACCCCCTCCACACCAGGACACAGTCGAGGTGCCGAACCCCCTCCACACCAGGACACAGTCGAGGTGCCGAACCCCCTCCACACCAGGACACAGTCGAGGTGCCGAACCCCCTCCACACCAGGACACAGTCGAGGTGCCGAACCTCCTCCACACCAGGGCACAGTCGAGGTGCCGAACCCCCTCCACACCAGGGCACAGTCGAGGTGCCGAACCCCCTCCACACCAGGGCACAGTCGAGGTGCCGAACCCCCTCCACACCAGGACACAGTCGAGGTGCCGAACCCCCTTCACACCAGGGCACAGTCGAGATATGGAACCCCCCACACCAGGGTCCCTGACGTCACCCTGTGTAGCCACCAACCAGACCTGAACCTGTGCCAGCCTCTCATCTGCAGATTCCATTTTTATAATTTTGTCATTTCTTTTTTTTTTAAGACAGGATCTCACTCTGTCACCCAGGCTGGACTGCAGTGGCCTGATCACAGCTCTTTGCAACCTCTGCCTCCCAGGCTGAAGTCATCCTCCTGCCTCTGCCTCCTGAGTAGCTGGGTTTACAGATGTGCACCACCCTGCCCGGCTGATTTTTATATTTTTGTAGACAAGGGATATTGTCTTGTTGGCCAGGCTGGTCTTGAATTCCTGAGCTCAAGTGATCTGCCCTCCTCGGCATCCCAAAGTGCTGGGATTATGGGCATGATCCAACGTGCCCGGCCTATTTCTGATTTTATATAAATGGAATTATAATGTATGTAACCTTTTGAGAGTAGCTTTTGTCACTCAGCATAGTTCTCTTAAGATCATCCAAGTTACGTCATTAGCCCGTCCCGTTCTCTGCTGAGGCCTTGGTGTTCTGTGGGGTGTGGACAGCCTTGTACGTCGGCACTCACCCGCTGAAGGACACTGGGCATTTTTACTTTAGAGCTGCTCGGGGCATTTACGTACACGTTTTGGATGTAAGATTTACTTCTGTGGGTCAAACACACAGGAGCATAATCACTGGGTTCTATGGCCTTCGGGTGTTTCATTGAACGAGGAAATTGCTGAACCACACTCCAGAGTGGCTGCAGCCTTTCACACGCCCACCGGCGATGTTGCAGTGGCCGCCTTTCTCCCCTCCTCGCCGGCGTCCTCGCCAGCGTTAGCTCTTACCCACTTTTTATTTAGCGCTTCTGTTGGGTGCGCTGGTGTTTCCTCGAGGCTTCAGCGTGCGTATCCCTGTGACTGCTGATGGGGAGCATCCTCTCCCAGACTTCTCACACTCACCCCTCCCAGACTTCTCACACTCACCCCCTCCCAGACTTCTCACACTCACCCCTCCCAGACTTCTCACACTCACCCCTCCCAGACTTCTCACACTCGCCCCCTCCCAGACTTCTCACACTCACCCCTCCCAGACTTCTCACACTCACCCCCTCCCAGACTTCTCACACTCACCCCTCCCAGACTTCTCACACTCACCCCCTCCCCTCTCACCCCCTCCCACGCCTCACCCCCTCCCACGCCTCTCACCCCCTCCCACGCCTCTCACCCTCTCCCACGCCTCTCACCCTCTCCCACGCCTCTCACCCTCTCCCACGCCTCTCACCCTCTCCCACGCCTCTCACCTTCTCACACGCCTCTCACCCTCTCCCACGCCTCTCACCCTCTCCCACGCCTCTCACCTTCTCCCACGCCTCTCATCCTCTCCCTCTCCCACGCCTCTCACCGTCACCCTCTCCTACATCTCTCACCCTCATCCTCTCCCACGCCTCTCACTCTTGTTCCCTCCACGCCTCTCACGCTCATCCCCTTGCACATTGCTTTGCTGTCGGTGTGTCATCTTTGGTGAAATGTCTTTCAGACTTCTGCTCGTTTTATGATTGCATTGTTTTGTTAGCTTTGAGAGTTCTGTATATGAGTGTTTGTCAGCTATGTGGTTTCCAGTATTTTCTGCTGGTCTGAAGCTTCTCTTCTTTCTCTCAAAAGGTCTTTCACAGAGCAAAGGTGTTTCATTTTGATGAAGTCCGGTTTATCAGTTTTCTCCTGTGGATTGTGCTGTTGGTGTTGTGTGTGATAACTCTTCACCTAGCCCTAGATCTCAATTTCTCTAATTTTTTTTTTTTTTCAGTCTTACGTGAACTTTAAATCTGTGATCCATTTTGAGTTAATGTTTGTATAAAGTCTGAGGCTTGGGCTGAGGTTGAATTTATTTTTGCCTGTGGATGGCGCCCCAGTCACAGTTTTAAAACTCACGTTAGAAACTGTACATCATTCGTCTCTCTGAAGTTATGCTTTTATTACAGTCCTACTTCCAGGATTTTATTCTCATATATTTTTATTCGTGAGGATCTTTTATTGTCATCCTATTACATTCCTTTAGGGAAAAAAAGCAATTTGAAATTTTTAGAAAATTCTCTGACCATGAGGCTTATTTAAGTGATCGCTTTTTTCTGGATTGAGTAATTAAAGTGTAATTGATTACAGCACATCATTTGGTTGAAAATTAGTGAACATTCACAGGCTGGTCTGTTGTAGGAAAAGAGAACTTGAGTGTTTTGAGGCTTCGGAACCTGGTTTCCTGAAGACTCTCCACTGCCTCTCCGCACCCTGGAGAACTTGCTGTGCTCCTGGGGGAGTCTGCAGGAGAAGGAGGGGGTGGACTGAGCCAGGGCAGGGCTGTGTGTGTGGGCCCCACGGAGGTGGTGCGGCAGAGACTATGGGTGGGAGGGTGCCTGCCCTGCACCTGCGGTGTGCTCTGTGTCTCTGGGCCCCACGGAGGTGGTGCGGCAGAGACTGTGGGTGGGTGGGTGCCCCCCTGTGCCCCCGGTATGCTCTGTGTGGGCCCCACAGAGGTGGTGCGGCAGAGACTGTGGCGGTAGGGTGCCTGCCCTGCACCCGGAGTGTGCTCTGTATCTGTGGGCCCCACGGAGGTGGTGTGGCAGAGACTATGGGAAGGTGGGTGCCCCCCTGTGCCCAGGGTGTGCTCTGTGTCTGTGGTTCTGGGCCTGAGCCCGGGGTGTGTCTGTGTCTGTGGTTCTGGGCCTGAGCCCGGGGTGTGTCTGTGTCTGTGGTTCTGGGCCTGAGCCGGGGGTGTGTCTGTGTCTGTGGTTCTAGGCCTGAGCCCGGGGTGTGTCTGTGTCTGTGGTTCTGGGCCTGAGCCCGGGGTGTGTCTGTGTCTGTGGTTCTGGGCCTGAGCCGGGGGTGTGTCTGTGTCTGTGGTTCTGGGCCTGAGCCCGGGGTGTGTCTGTGTCCGTGGTTCTGGGCCTGTGCCCGGGGTGTGTCTGTGTCCGTGGTTCTGGGCCTGAGTCCGGGGTGTGCCTGTGTCTGTGGTTCTGGGCCTGAGCCCGGGGTGTGCCTGTGTCCGTGGTTCTGGGCCTGAGCCCGGGGTGTGCCTGTGTCTGTGGTTCTGGGCCTGAGCCCGGGGTGTGTCTGTGTCCGTGGTTCTGGGCCTGAGCCCGGGGTGTGTCTGTGTCCGTGGTTCTGGGCCTGAGCCCGGGGTGTGTCTGTGTCCGTGGTTCTGGGCCTGAGCCCGGGGTGTGCCCTGTGTCTGTGGTTCTGGGCCTGAGCCCGGGGTGTGCCCTGTGTCTGTGGTTCTGGGCCTGAGCCCGGGGTGTGTCTGTGTCTGTGGTTCTGGGCCTGAGCCCGGGGTGTGTCCGTGTCTGTGGTTCTGGGCCTGAGCCCGGGGTGTGTCCGTGTCTGTGGTTCTGGGCCTGAGCTCGGGGTGTGTCTGTGTCTGTGGTTCTGGGCCTGTGGCCCGGGGTGTGCCCGTGTCTGTCTGGGCCTGTGGCCTCTCCACCCTTCAGGATTTCCTGCCACCCCAAACCCAATTTAGTCTTGTTTGGTATTTTTTTAAAGCCACAATTTATTGAAAATTACGTTTTAAAAAGTCATTCCAGTGATAAAACGAATGTTGCAGGCTTTAATAAATCCAATATTCTCATAAAAGTTTAAACATGAAGGTGTTGTCACGGCTGCAGTCTCACGATCCCGTGGCCAGAACCAAGGGATTTGGACCCTGTATCCAGCGTTAATCCCCATCATAAAGCCCCAGCTCAGAGCGAGGCCTGCTCACTGGCAGCTTCACTGTTGTTAGGGCAAAGAAAGTGGAAGTCGCCGGAAGGGAACATTTTTTTCTACCTGGAAATGCTTGTTACTGTGACCTGGTTGGCAGCTCCATTTCCTTGTAAATTGTGCCCACTCCAGGAGGCGTCAGCATGGGGCCCCTTGTTTTTCTCTCTGTGTGTGTGTTTCCACACCTCACCTCCTGGTACCCACTCTAGGCTCTAGTTGCTGGGAGAGAGGTGGTGCCTGTTGGTCTGCACTGGAGGTGGTTCTTAGCAATTGTGTGAAGAAGTGCTGCTAAGTGTCCTACTGTGTGACTCACCCTGGTGCACAGCCCACCGCCCCACCCCCGCCCTGCCAGGAGGGAGGAGCCTCAGCGAAGGGGCCTCCCGCCCCCACAGGAGGGAAGAGCCTCGGGGAAGGGCTGCCCTCCCAGAGCCAGGCCCTGTGGAGATGGGATGGGCCGGCCGTGCTGCCTCCATGGCTAGGTCTTTCCTTGTGCTTTGTTAGGTAACAAGAGTCCCAACAAAACCTAAATCTAGAATTCTCACCTCAGTTAAGCCATTCTTAGTCTTACTGTTGAGATTCTTGAAAATAACCTTTTAAATTAAAGAATAGGTGTGTGTACCTCGGCAAGAATTAGCCTCACATGGCTATTTTCTCTTCAGGTTTTGTTTTTGTACCTTCATCAATATGTACTTTGAAAGCGCATTTTGTGTTTGTAAGCACCAGCTGAAGGGGAGAGCCACGTGAGCCAAACAGCCTGGTCGGTGGTTTGTAGGTGACATAAAGGGGGACCGACTCCTGAGTTCTAACAGTGGCTTCACTGCAGTCAAACCTGGTGTGCTGGAGAAAGACCAAGAAACGTTATACAGCAGACGTGTGGCATTCGTGTGGTAGACTTGTGGCATTCGTGTGGCAGACGTGTGGCATTCGTGGGGCAGACGTGTGGCATTCGTGGGACAGATGTGGCATTCGTTGGGCATTCGTGTGGCAGGCTTGTGGCATTCGTGGGGCAGGCGTGTGGCATTCATGGGGCATTCGTGTGGCAGACGTGTGGCATTAGTGTGGCAGGCGTGTCACATGGGGCAGGCGTGTGGCCTTCGTGGGGCATTCGTGGGGCAGGCGTGTGGCATTTGTGTGGCATTCATGGGCAGGCGTGTGGCATTCCTGGGGCAGGCGTGTGGCATTCATGGGGCATTCTTGTGGCAGGTGTGTGGCAGGCGTGTGGCATTCGTGTGGCAGGCATGTCAGACGTGGGGCAGGTGTGTGGCCTTCGTGGGGCAGGTATGTGGCATTCGTGGGGCAGATGTGGGGCAGACATGTGGCCTTCGTGTGGCATTCGTTGGGCAGACGTGTGGCCTTCGTGTGGCAGACATGTGGCCTTCGTGGGGCTTTCAGTGTTCCGTGTGTGAGGTGCCTTCATTAGTGGACATGGCAGGAGGAGCTGTCATGTCTGAGCTGTGCTTTGAAGGAGGAAGGAGAGCATTCATCCCTCGGGGAAAAAGTAAGGGCATCCCAGAGGTGGAGGTACATTCCAAGAGGAATCACTGAATGTGGCACACAGGGTTGCTGAGCTGGACAGGTCTCCACAGGGAGAAGCAACAAAAAACTCCAGGGAGCTGTGGCCACTAGAATGTGAATCCAGGGTAGGTTCCGCAGTAGGGAGCCCAGGTCGTTCTATGTCTGTTCTGGACATCAGTGGGGTGTCTGGCAGTTTAGTGTGGGCTCACTGAGAAGCTTTGCAAGGACCACATGGCAGCAAGATGCGCTCGAGAGACAGAGAGGCAAGGAGGGAGGGAAACAGACACAGACAGAGTGCGCCTGTGAGACAGAGAGAGGTGGAGACCGTGAGGCCGTGAGAGCCAGCCCCAAGAGTACTCGCTCCCCTGTGCCTTCCAGCTCGCCCTGGCACACCCCTCTCATCTCCCAGCCAAGCCAGGTGCTACCCTGTTCTCCTCCGTGTGCTCTTGCCTGGAACTCTCGCTCTGCCTCCCTGCCTCACCTGTAACCTCCACAAGCACCTCCTGAATCCCTCAGAGCTGTCTCTGCAGCCACATGTTCACCCATGTCATGGACCCACCGAGCACTTTGAGTTACTTATGACCTTGGTTACTTCTCCCTGGCCTTGACTATAGTTGATGCAGGTGCCTTGTCGTGTGTGTGTGTGTGTGTGTGCGTATGTGCGTGGTAAAACACATAATATCAAACTTAACCATTTTTAAGTAAACAGCTCAGTGGCATTAAGCACATTCACGCTGCCGTGCAGCCATCGCCACCCTCCGTCTCTGGAACCTCTTCATCTTCCCACACTGAAGCTCTGTCTCCTTTAAACACTGACTTCCCATTCCTCTCTCCCAGTCCCTGGCAATACCATTCTACTTTCTGTGTCCATCAGTTGGACGACTCTAGGGACCTCCTGTAAGTGGAATGGTACAACGTTTGTTCTTTTGTGGCTGACTTACTTCATTCGGCACAGTGTCCCCGAGGCTCATCCACGCTGCAGCGCGGGCCCCAGCTTCGCTGCTTCTCAGGCTGAGTCACACGTCACTGCGTTTTGCACACGACACTTTGCTGATCCGTTCGCCCGACAGCCGACCCTCGGGTGGCTTCCCCCTTTTGGCTGCTGTGGTTGATGCTGCTATCAACGTGGGTGTACAAGCATCTCTTCAAGACCCTGCTTTCAGTGCTGCTGGGGCACGTGCCCAGCAGTGGAACTGCTGGATCACATGGTAGTTCCACACTTAGCTTTTTGAGTTTTCCACAGCGGATGCACCGTTTCACTTCCTACCAGCAGTGCACAAGGGTTCCCATTTCTCCAGTTCTCACAACACGATTTTCTGTTCTTTCCTAGTAGCCATCCATGCTGCTCACTGTGGTTTCCATATGCATTTCCCCAATGATGTTAAGCATTCTTTTTTCATAGTAGCCATCCTAGTGTGTGAATGGTACTCACCGTGGTTTTGATATGCATTTCCCTGATGAGGGTAAGCATCTTCTCATGTGCTCATTAGCCATTTGTATGTCTTCCTTGAAGAAATGTCTGTTCAGGTCCTTTGCCCATTTTTTATTCTGGTGGTTTTTTATTGTTGAGTTGTAAGACTTTTTCATGTATTCTGGATAATAATTCCTGATGGATTTGCAGATGTTTTCTCCATTCCATAACCTGCTTTTTCACTGTTAACTATGTCCTTTGATGCACATAAATTTTAATTTTTGTAAATTTTTCTTTGTAGAGACAGGGTCTTGCTATGTTGCCCAGACTCATCTTGAACTCCTGGCCTCAAGTGATCTTTCCCCCTTGGCCTCCCAAAGTGCTGGAATTACAGGTGTGACACACCACACCTGGCCCAGAAATTTTAACTTTGATTAAGTCCAGTTTGTCTATTTTTTTCTTCTGTTGCCTGTACTTTTGGTTTCACGTCTAGAAAATAACTGCCAGATCCAATGTTGGGAAGCTTCCCCGGTTTCCTCCTGAGTTTTATACTTTTAGGTTTTGCAGTTAGGACTGTGGTCCATCTTGGGTTAATTTTTTTATATGGTTTAGAAAAGGGTCCAGCTTCATTCTTTTTCATGTGGTCATTCAGTTCTCCCGGTACCATTTCCTGAAGAATGCCCTGTCGTTTAACACTTTTTACTGTGTATTTTTACTGTGTATTTTACTGTGTATTGCACCCACTATGTGCACAGTAAAGTGTGGTTCAGTTGAATTAGATTTGAAGTTAAACTATCACAGGTCTGTAGGTGACGAGGGAAGCAGACAGAGAGTGGAGGTTCAGTTGTGTCTGTGCATTCTGCAATGAAGGAGGTACTGGGAGTTTGCTGTTGGTATCACAGCCTTGCCCTGCAGGCTGAGACTAAAGGCAGATTTAGGAGATCACTGAGACTGAGTAAAATACCATTTTAACACACAACATAGTTACCTACTGTGGGATAAATGCCATTTGGGGATGTTGCAAACTGTAGCCATGGTAAACTGGGAAAGCAGGTTTTGAGAGGTTTTGATGCTGCCCATTTTGGGTATTTTTTAGCTTAGTAAGTGTATTATCTAAGTCAGGGGTTGGAACATTTTTTTCTGCAAAGAACCAGCTAGAAAATGTTTCAGGTTTTGTGGACCACATGTGGTCACTGTTCCTCCTCCCTCCTGCTCATTCCTCCTTCTGGCCTTTAGCCCTGTAAATGCTGTTCTTAGCTTGGGCCATGGTTTGTAGATGCTGACCTAACCCATCTGAGGGGCAACTAGGCACACGTGAGGACAGCTGTGCTGTTTCCGCTTGCAGACTTTCTCCTCTCTCCATTGTATCTCATCTTTCGGTTGTGGGGAATTATCGGGGAGAAGAACTGTGATTTTGGTTGCATGTTATTTCAGTGACCACCTGCTTATGCAGTTATAGTTATTCACTGTCTTTGTTTTGAAGCATGCAGCCAGTAAAGATCCCAGAGAAGTTCGAGAAGCTAGAGATCATAAGGAACCAAAAGAGGAGATCAACAAAAACATTTCTGACTTTGGACGACAGCAGCTTTTACCCCCCTTCCCATCCCTTCATCAGTCGCTACCTCAGAACCAGTGCTACATGGCCACCACAAAATCACAGACAGGTAAAGAGGACCCGGCAACTGTCTCTGCTCTTTGAATGTATGTTTCGAGCCTGCCCCTTGCCAGGTGAGAGTTCTGTTTGGCTGTAAGTGCCTGTGCTGCTCTTGATGAATGACTGTTGACGTCAGCTGGCCCTCCTGTGCTCGCCTGTATGCCTGAGGAGGCACACCTGACCTCTGCTCTAAGCCTTGTCTCATGCCAGCATTGATTTCCTAGCTTGTTAACATTCTCAAGATGAAGACTGTTTTCTTTACTAGTATGTGACTCACTTGGTCTATGTGGGGAGAAGACCCTGGAGTTGGAAGCTTTCCTGGTTTGTAGGTGGAGTGCCTTTGGAAATGCTGGGGTGTGCTGGGGAAGTCTGTGGCCCAGGGTGAGGACCACCGCCCGCTCCAGCTGCTCTGCCACCAGCCACCTCGCTCCAGGCGTGCTCCTCACTCTCCTGGGCTGGCTGCTTCTATGGCCAGTTCCGGGAGTGGATGAACGTTTGATTCCTTACCGGGGACCTTTTGTGGGAGGTGCTGGGAGGGCACCGGGACCTCAGAGTGAGCGCTGCGTCAGGGCTCCCTGGGCTTTCAAACCTCCTCAGCTTCTGGGATGGGATGTGTGCGTTTGGCGCTGTCCTGAAGAGATGCAAGGCCCTTCCTGCCAGCCCTCGTGAATGCTGGGAGGTCAGCCGGCCCTCGTGAATGCTGCTGCTGCTGGCAAGGCTTCACTTGGGGATGATCACCTGGCCACAGGTGTCTGTCTTTTTCTGGACTTTAAAAATACTTTTTATTGGCCAGGCACGGTGGCTCACGCCTGTAATCCCAGCACTTTGGGAGGCCAAGGCGGGTGGATCACGAGATCAGGAGATCGAGACCATCCTGGCTAACACGGTGAAACCCCGTCTATACTAAAAATAAAAAAATTAGCCGGGCATGGTGGCGGGCGCCTGTAGTCCCAGCTTCTTGGGAGGCTGAGGCAGGAGAATGGCGTGAACCCGGGAGGCGGAGGTTGCTGTGAGCCAACATCATGCCACTGCACCCCAGCCTGGGCGACAGAGCAAGACTCCATCTCAAAAAAAAAAAAATTTTTTTTAATTTAAGTATTTTCAGACCTCCAGCAAAGTTGCAAAATTCTACGAATAAGTCCTGTGTACCCTTTATTCATTTCACCACATGGCACAATCTCGCCCCCGGCCCCCCCATGTATTACTTTTTTTTCTGAGACATGAATGTAAGTTGTAAACATTGTGCCCTTTTATCCCTGAAAACTAATGTTATTTCCTAAAATTACTGTCCCTCAACATAAAGACATTCTCTTAGATGACTACAGCACAGACATCCCGGTGAGGAAGTATACCGCGACGCCGCTCTCTAATCTCAGTGTCCTGTTCCGCATTTCCCATTCCCGACTGTCTTTTAGGGCAAAGGACAAATAAAATCTGGTTCTAGAGCTTCGAGCACCTAGTTGTTGTGTCTTGCTAGTTTCCTTTAATCTGAACCATTCTCAGCCTTCTTTGTCTTTCTGAACCGTGGTGTTTTGAGTACAGGCCAGGTCTTTCATAGAATGTGTCTGATGTGGGTTTGCCCAGTGTTTCCCAGGATTGTGTGCAGGTCGTGGAGCGACGCAGGTGACTGACAAGTGTCCTTAGGAATTGAATTGTGGTGGTTTTTTGTCCATCTTCAAGTTACTGCTCACCAGACTGCAAGCATGTCTTGCAGGGAGAGACCCTAAGGTGCTGCATGTACCTCCCATCACATCCCACCAGGGTCTTCAGCATCTGCCATGGCCCACGCTTAGCTAGTACTGCACGGTGGGTGCCAAATGGTGGTTTTCTAACTCCATCATTTCCTCTCTTGATTATTTCAGTTTCTGCTGTAAGGAGGTGCTTCACTTTCCTGTCCGTCCACACAGTTATCTGTCCATTTACTTTACAAAAAAAAAAACTTAAAAAAAAAATAGAGATGGGGGTCTCGCTATGTTGCCCAGGCTGGTCTTGAACTCGTGGGCTCAAGCAGTCCTCCTGACTTGGCCTCCCAAAGTGCTAGGATTACAGGCGTGGGCCACCGCCCCCAGCCTGTCTGTCTGTTTTTAAGTACTAATTTACGGACTCTTATTTGAGTCTCTGGACTGTAATCCATTCCTATCATTATTTATTTTGTTGCTCACATTGTCCCAAGTTTGTCCAGTGGGGTCCCCCTAGGCTGGTTCTGAGTCCTGGGGCGTGGGCACCTCTTCAGGAAGACCTTCCCCATTCACTGGATGGTCTGCTTACCTTGCCTTGTCCCTTCCCAGGGCCGGAATCGGCTTTCTCCAGGGAGCCCTGGTTCTTTTCATTGGAAGTTAGAAAACAAAATCAGTCATTATCTGTTCCCCTCACCATCAACTTACCAACTTTTTTTGCTATTTGACGTAATTTTATTTGTTTGAAACAGTTAAACTTGGTGTTTTGCAAAACTATGGAGTTATGCTCACGTATGTGAGGACTTAAAAGTAATGTCTGAAGAGTTGTTAAAGTGTTGAGATTTTCTTTTCCTATTTTAGCTTTATTATATCGCCATCTTTTAAAAAGAGCTTTCTAAAAACAAACTACCCAGCGTGTTTAGCAGGCTCCAGTTTACCCTTCCACAGCCCCCTTCCTCCACCACCCCTTCCTTATCCGTAACCTGGAAGTGGGTGGTCCATCAGCGTGTTAGCCTAGGACAGTGTGTAAAATGGCCTTGAGCACTGGAGGAGATGTGCTCGGCAGTTAGCTGCCTGCTGTGGTCCAGTGGTTAAGATACTCCCTCAGCCTCAGCTGCTCCCGTGTGTTGTCACCCCAGGGCTTCCGGAGTGGGCACAGAAGTTACAGTTTCTGTGCTAGAACGTGTTAACTAGAGAGGAGCATGGCATGCCCAGCTGCCTTGTCTTGTGATGGTCATCAGTGCACCTTTCAACATGGCTGGAAAGACAGGAGTGCAGATGGAGGAGTCCCCTGTTAACTGTCCCCGGGGGTGCAGAGTCCACTTATCGGGATGGCAGAGAGAGACAAAGGCCTTTTACAACAGTGTCCATACAGAGCAGGAATCGGGGTACGTCCTATCCTGTTGTCACAGGATCCCTTGAGTGTCCCTTTGCTGGTCATAAACCTCTGCAGCCAGCGGCGCCTCTGCTTGAGTTTCACTTGCACCTGCTGGGCTCATTCTGCCCACTCGGCCCAGCAGGCTGTACTTGGCTCATGCTACCGGCCCAGATCCCACACCTTCCGAGGGCAAGCCAGGAGTGGAGCAGCGAGGCGTGTGTTGACGAGCAAGCATGGTGTGGGGCCACTGTGCACAGCCAGGCCTGCTTGGCTGCTGTGGTGGGGCAGGCAGCTCCAGGCTCTGGCTCTGTGCAGAGCTGTGGCTGGATGAGGCATACCACAAGCAGTTTACACTGCAGGCGCTGGCGTCTAGATGAGGGGAACACGGTGGTGCCCCAAAACTCGGAGTCACCAGCAACTGCAGAGCCCCAAGGGGATAGGGTGGGAGAGTGTGCTATAGCTCTCTTGCTGTCACCACCCACAGTACGGGCTGGGGTGTGTTCCCAGCTCGTTCAGTTCTGCCGCTTTCGCCCTGGCCTGCAGCTCCCAGGCTGGCCTGGCTCCACTGCTGCTTGCCATCACACGGGGCAGCCGCCGACACCAGCGGAGGGCAGGAGGGCTACAGTGTTACAGCTCTGGCTTGAGGAATCCCAAGGTTTGGGTCCCCAGAAGGATCACCGCTCTTCACTCCCGCAGTTCAGCGAACGGGAGCGTGTCACTGCCTGCAGCTCAGTGAACCGGCCAGGAACATGTTACAGCCCTTTTTGCACCCGCTGTTGCGTGGGTCCCGAGTTCTTGTCTTGGGTCCAGGAAGAATGAGGTTACATGGACAACTGGAGGGGAGCAAGGTGGAGAAGAGTTTTATTGAGCAGCAGAACAGCTCTCAGCGGAGAGGAGACCCAAAGTCAGTAGCTCCTACTGGCAGGGAGGCAGTCCTGTTGTGTGGCTGAGTCTGGGGGTTTATGTGGGCTCAGAATGGAGGAAGTGCATGAAGTGCATGCTGATTGGTCCATGGGTAGGTCTGGAAAAAACACCATTTGATTGGCTAAAAGGCATCAAGGAAGTTCTCACTCCAGGTTGTGGATTCTGCCGGGAACTGGCAGCCCGGTTTTCAGGCTTCAGGCGGCCTTTGGCTTGAAGGTCAGGTTTCACCGGGGACCTGCTCCTATCTGCCTAGGAATTTGTCTGCCATTATCACTTTTATTTCTTCAACTGTCACTCCATTGCCTGCCATTCATTGTTGCCTCCCTGTGGGAGGGGTGTTGGAGCCAGGTTATCAAAGAAAGGCTGAGATTTCTTGTCACGTCTTTCTGTTAATTTTTAATTACTGTGGCGATGATCACAGATGGTTCTGCTCTTTCCCTCCTGCTACCCCCTTAAGTTTACCACAGGCAGGAAAGAAGAGCAGAGTCACATGTTGGTTTCAACGTGCATTGTACTCCTGAAGTCATAGCAGAGCCCGTGTGTGGTAGCTTGTTCCCATGGGCAGCTGTAATTCTTAGTTTTAGATGGAGGGTGGCTGTGATTCTCTTCGACCT
Source organism: Homo sapiens (assembly GCF_000001405.40). Classification (NCBI taxonomy): domain Eukaryota; kingdom Metazoa; phylum Chordata; class Mammalia; order Primates; family Hominidae; genus Homo; species Homo sapiens. The sequence goes on from NC_000009.12 coordinate 137,733,112, forward strand.
GTTCTGCACCCTCCACCCTGTAGTATCAGAAATGAAAGATCTGTGCTGTGCAAGAAGGTTGAGAACATGCGTTTATGTGACAGCCCCAGGCTGGGGATGGCCGTGCTGAATCAGGATCTCAGGCACCCAGCATTGTTTTAGGTGAGCATTCCTTCTTTTTACAGAGTGGACTGGCATCTTTGTTAGCAGCTTGTTCTGTATCTTTCCCACGTGTAGCGGTTCACAATTTAAAAACAATCCTCGCAGTACCAAAAACTGATTTCAGAGGGTTCTAGAAAGATAGTGGGGCAGGAAGACCAGGAATTCATCTCCTCACCTAGACAACAGTTCCACTGGCAGAATCTGTCTGATGTAACTATTTTGGAACTCTGGAGTCTACTGAAGGTTTGCAACTTCTAGGCGGGAAGCTGGGACGGTTAATTTCAGTCAGTTTCAGCTCTGCTGCCCACTGCCTTCCTCAGCCCTGTGGTGCAGGGTGTGCGGTGTTCCTGGAACAGTGTGCGTGCAGCTTGTGGGAGCCAGGGTGAGCAAAGAGGACCTTGTCCCCAGGTGCATACAGAGAGGCCCTCTCATCCGGTTGTAAGCCTTTCTTCCATGTGACGGCCAAGAAATCTAAAGGGCCAGTGCTCTTTTTATCTCCCCACTTCATTTTTATTGTTTTCTCCTTTTGGGAGCCAGACATTAAAGACTAGGATATTCAGAAGCAACTGTGTATATGGGGTAAATTATAAAGTGACTGCATGTGCCCAGGGAAAGGCACAGGCTAAGGGAAGACATGAAAAGACCTTAAGTTTAAATCTCAGGCTCACCCTCCTCACAGAGACAGCCTACAACTATAAAAAATGACAACAACAAAAACACCCCAAAACCAGTAACAGCAACAAAACAGTACACCCTGGAAAAGGAGGAGAATCAGCTTTTCAGAGTTTCTACATTATTGGATTCAAATGTCCAGTTTTCAGCATAGAACTACAAGGCATACAAAGAAACAGGAAGGTATGGCCCAATCAGATGCAAAAATAAGTCAACAGAAACTGTTCCCAGAAAAGATCTGATGCCAGATCCACCAGACAAAGACTTTAAAGTAACTGTCTTAGATATGGTCAGATCCTAAAGGAAGGTATGGAGAGAGTCAAGAAAATGATGTATGATCAAAATGGAAATACCAATAAAGAGCTAGAAAACGTAAAAAGGAACCAAAAGAAATTCTGGAGCTAAAAAGTATAATAAGTGAAATGAAAAATTCACTAGAGGAAATCAAAGGCAGATCTGAACAGACGGAAGAAAGAGATAGCAAACTTGAAGATAGGACAGTGAAAATAATCAAGTTTGAGAAGCAAACAACAAGACTGAAGGGAAGTGAGCAGAGCCTGGGGACCTGTGGGCATCATCAGGAGGACCAAACAGGGATTGTGGGAGTCCAGGAAGAAGAGAGTAAGAAAAGGGTGGAGAGAATATCTGATGAAACCCATGAGTATAAACACCCAGGGAACCTGGTGAACTCCAGTAAGATGAACTCAAAGAGACCCACAGTAGACACGTTATACTTGAGACACTTCTGTAGAAAGACAAAGAGAATCTTGAAAGCAGATGAGAAAAGAGACTCATCACATACACGTTTCCTCAGTGAGATCATTGGCAGGTTTCTCATCAGAAACTTTGGGGGACAGAATATATCACCGGTATATTAAGAGTGATAAAAAAATCTTTCAACCAAGTATCCATATCCATGGAAACTGTCCTTTAAGAGTGCAGAAGAAATTAAGATATTCTCAGATAAACAAAAGCTGAGGGAATTTGTTACCACCTGACCTGGACCTGCAAGAAATACTTAAAGGAGCCTAGCAGGTTGAAAAGAAAGAACACTAGACAGTAACTTGAAGCCATATGGAGAAGTAAAGACATGGGCAGTTATAAAAGCTAGTATTGTAACAGTGGTTTGTACCTCCACTTTTTGTTTTCTGTAAGATCTAAGAGACAAATCCGTTTAAAAAATTAGTCTGCAAGCTAGTATCATTGCAACTTTGGTTTGTAACTCCACATTTTTCCTACATAACAAGAGACTAATGCATTTAAACGAATTGTTTATGTTTTGGGGCACAGCATGAATAAAGATGTAGTTTTGTGACATCAGCAAATGAAAGGGGTGGGAACAGATATGTAAAGGAGCAGAGTTTTTCTGTGTTACTGAAGTTAAGCTGGCATAAATTTAAATTAGAATGTTATTACTTTAGGATGTTAAATGTAATCCCCATGGTAACCACAAAGAAAATAGCTATAGAACATACACAAAAGGAAATGAGAAAAGAATTTAAACATTCCACTATAAAAAATCAACTAAATATAAAAGAAGACAGTAGTGCAAGAAATGAGGGACGAAAAAAGCTATAATACGTGTAGCAAACATAGCAAAATGACAGAAGTAAATCCTCATCAATAGTTGTTTTAAATGTAAACAGATGAAGATTTCCAATCAAAAGACGAAGATTGGCAGTGCTATGGTTTGGATGTGGTTTGTCCACACCAAAGCTCATGTTGAAATGAGATCCCCAATATGGCAGTGTTGTGAGGTGGGGCCTAGCTTGAGGTGATTGGTCATGTGTGTGGATTCCTCATGAATAGATCAGTGCCCTCCCTCCAGGTGAGTGAATTCTCGCTCTTAGTTGCCTTGAGAGTGAGGTGTTTGAAAGAATCTGGCTTCCTTGGTTTCTCTGTCTCTTCCTTCTTCTCTCACCATGTGATCGCTTGCACATGCCTGCTCCCTTTCCAATTTCCACCATGAGCCAGAGCATGAAGCCCTACCAGGTGTACCTGCTCAATATTAAACTTTCCAGCCACCAGACTCAGGAGACAAATCTCTTTATCTTTTATGGCAACACTAAATGGACAAAGGCAGATGCATCAAGAGAAAAAAAACAGATGATCCTACTACATGCTGTCTATAAGAGACCCACCTTAGATCCAAAGACAGAAATAGATTGAAAGTGAAAGGATGAAAAAAGATATTCCATGCAAACAGTAACCAAAGAGAGCAAGGTGGCTATCAGACAAAATTTAAAAATAAAAATTTATTTCTTTTTAAATAAAAAAAGGTTACAAGAGACTAAGAAGGACAATATATAGTAATAAAAGTTTCAATACAATAAGAAGGTATAACAATTACCTGGGTAAACATTTACATACCCAACGAATGATAGACTATCAAGATACAAGAAGTAAAACTGATAGAATTGAAGGGAGACATAGACAATTCTACATTAATAGTTGGAGACCTCAGTATCCACTTATCAATAATGGATAGAATAACCATATAGCAAATAAGAAAGGAAATGGAGGACTAAACACCATAAGCCAACTAGATTTAGCAGACATACAGAGCACTCTGCCCAACAGCAGCATGTACACTCTTCTCAAGTGCACCTGGAAGACTTTCTAGGATCGACCATATGTTAGGCCACAAATAAGTCTCAATGTTGATTTTAAAATACAGAGATTTGAGCCGGGCGCGATGGCGCACGCCTGTAATCCCAGTACTTTGGGAGGCTGACGTGGGTGGATCACTTGAGGTCAGGAGTTCGAGACCAGCCTGGCCAACATGGTGAAACCCCATCTCTACTAAAAATACAAAAATTAGCTGGGCGTGGTGGCACGTCCCTGTAATCCCAGATACTTGGGAGGCCGAGGCACGAGAATTACTTGAACCTGGGAGGTGGAGGTTGCAGTGAGCCAAGATCATACCACTGCACTCCAGCCTGGGTGACAGAGTGAGCCTGTGTCTCAAAAAAAAAGAAAAATATATACAGAGATTTGGCTGGGTGTGGTGGCTCAAGCCTGTCATCCATGCACTTTGAGAGGCCACGGTGAGCTGGTCACTTGAGCTCAGGAGTTCCAGAGCGGCCTGGGCAACATAGCAAAACCCTGTCTCTTAAAAAAAATACAAAAATTAGCCAGGCATGGTGGCAAGTGCCTGTGGTTCCAGCTACTCCAGAGCCCCAGAGGCTGAGGTGGGAGGATTGCTGGAGCCCAGAAGGTCGAGGCTGCAGTGAGCCATGATTGTATCACTGCACTTTAGCCTAGGTGACAGAGTGAGACACTGTCTTAAAAAATAATATATGTATATGTGGAAAAAGACAGAGATTCAAAACTTACTACAAAGCTATAGTACTCAAAACAGTGTTATTCCAGCATAAAGACAGACATATAGGCCAGTGGGCTAGAACAGAGAGCACAGAAATAAACCTTTGTGTTATATGATCAGTTGATTTTTGACAAGAGTGCCAAGACCATTCAACGGGGGAAAGGACAGCTTTCCAACAAATGGTGCGGGGAAGACTGGATATCCACATGCAGAAGAGTGATACTGGACCCTTACCTCACACCATATGCAGAAGTTAGCCTAAGACAGGTCCAGGACCTAAATGTAAGACCTAAACATATAAAATTCTGAGAAGAAAACATAGGACAAAGGCTCCACAACCTTGGATTTGGCAGTGATTTCTTGGACATGACACCAAAAGTGTAGGTAACAAAAAAAAAGGAGACACACTGGGTTTGATGAGACTTGGTGTCTTTTGATGCACAAAGCTTTCTATCTCCTTGTTTCCCTGTTTCCCTGCTTCTTACTGCTGCACTTGGCTAGTCGTAAAGAAAAGACACTGTTAACGGAATAAAAAGGCACCTGTGGAGTAGGAGAAAATATCTGCAAATCCTATGTCTGATGAGGAATTACTACCCAAAATATACAAAAAAAATCCCACAACTCAACAATAAAAACAACTTGATTAAAAAATCAGCAAAGGAGGCCGGGTGCAGTGGCTTGCGCCTGTAATCTCAGCACTTTGGGAGGCCGAGGCAGGCAGATCACCTGAGGTCAGGAGTTCCAGACGAGCCGAGCCAACATAGTGAAACCCCATCTCTACTACAAATACAAAAGTTAGCTGGGCATAGTGGTGCATGCCTGTGGTCCCAGGTACTTGGGAGGCTGAGGCAGGAGAATCACTTGAACCCGAGTGGTAGAGGTTGCAGTGAGCCGAGATCGGACCACTGCACTCCAGCCTGGGTGACAGAGTGAGACTCTGTCTCAAAAAAAACAACAACAAAAAAAAAACAACAAAAAAAACCCAAAAAAGGCAAAGGACTGGAATAGACGTTTATTCAAAGAAGATGCACAAATGGCCAGTAAGCCCATGAAAAGATGCTCAACGTCACTAATCATAAGGTAAATGCAAATCAAAACCACAGTGAGATACCACCGTACACCTGTTGAGGACAGCAACTATCAAAACAGAAAATGGCACATATCAGTGAGGATGCGGAGAAATGGGAACCCTTGTGCACTGCTGGTAGGAAGTGAAACGGTGCATCTGCTGTGAAAAACTCAAAAAACTAAGTGTGGAACTACCATGTGATCCAGCAGTTCCACTGCTGGGCACGTGCCCCAGCAGCACTGAAAGCAGGGTCTTGAAGAGATGCTTGTACACCCACGTTGATAGCAGCATCAACCACAGCAGCCAAAAGGGGGAAGCCACCCGAGGGTCGGCTGTCGGGCGAACGGATCAGCAAAGTGTCGTGTGCAAAACGCAGTGACGTGTGACTCAGCCTGAGAAGCAGCGAAGCTGGGGCCCGCGCTGCAGCGTGGATGAGCCTCGGGGACACTGTGCCGAATGAAGTAAGTCAGCCACAAAAGAACAAATGTTGTACCATTCCACTTAAAGGAGGTCCCTAGAGTCGTCCAACTGATGGACACAGAAAGAGTAGAAGGGGCTGGAGTCTGGGGCTGGAGGAAGGGAATGGAGAGTTAGGGCTTAATGGGAACAGAGCTTCAGTTTGACAAGATGGAAAGAGTTGTGGAGGTAGATAGGGGTGATAGTTGCACAACATTCTGAATGTATTTAATACCATGGAACCGTGCACTTAAAGATGATGAAGATGGTAAATTTTGTGGTGTGTGTATTTTACTAGTAAAAAAAAAAAAAACAGGCCGGGCGCGGTGGCTCATGCCTGTAATCCCAGCACTTTGGGAGGCCGAAGCAGGCAGATCACAAGGTCAGGAGATCGAGACCATCCTGGCTAACACGGTGAAACCTCGTCTCTACTAAAAATAGAAAAATTAGCCGGGCGTGGTGGCCCAGGTACTCAGGAGGCTGAGGCAGGAGAATGGCGTGAACCCAGGAGGCGGAGCTTGCAGTGAGCGGAGATCGCACCAATGCACTCCAGCCTGGGCAACAGAGCCAGACTCAGTCTCAAAAAAAAAAAAAAAAGAAAGAAAAAGTAAACTTAGGTCATAAAGCAGTTTGAGTGTCCACACTTGTAGGTTGCTGCTGGGTTCAGTGTCCACACTTGGGTAGAAGCTGCAGGTCCCTGCTTGGTACAGTGTCCACACTTGAGTAGAAGCTGCAGGTCCCTGCTGGGTTCAATGTTCACACTTGGGTAGAAGCTGCAGGTCCCTGCTGGGTTCATTTTCCACACTTGGGTAGAAGCTGCAGGTCCCTGCTGGGTTCATTGTCCACACTTGGGTAGAAGCTGCAGGTCCCTACTGGGTTCATTGTCCACACTTGGGTAGAAGCTGCAGGTTGCTGCAGAAGTTGCAGTGCTTCCCTTGCGCTTTTTTGCTGGTGACCACAGGACATGCCCAGAGTGGAGGCCCTGCCTTTTGCTTTGTGAGCTTGGAGTGTTCGTGCCTTCTGCATAGGTGGGTGGGAACAGTGCCAAATACTGATCCTGAATGGCCTGGGGTCTCTGTGTGGACTTGTCGGGCAGGGAGGAAGGAGGACGGTGTCTCTGATGGCAGGGAACAGTTCTACAGGTGCTGCTGTCCAGGCATGAGGCCTGGACATAGAGCTGGGCCCTGCTCTATGTGACCTGAGGACAGAAGCCCTTGTGAGTGGCAGAGTTGTGGTGGTGACCACGCAGACTGCTGTGTTTCCCGTGCACTTGCTTTTTTCCCTCACTTCCAACCTCCCATCCACCTTGTCTGCCCTCTGGAGCCTGTCGCCTTTCTTCCTTGTCCACACCTCTTCTACCCAGCAGCCCAGCCTTCCTGCAGAGCAGCTGGGCAGTGCCCACCCCCACCCCACGCCCATTTCCACTCCTGGCACTATTTTTCCTGGAACTGTCTGTTCCACACTGTCCTATGCCTGGGCCTCCCCGAGCGTCCTGTGAGATGCCAGTTGGCGAGAGTCTTTGCTCGGGGTCCTGAAGCCCCCCCCTCGCCCCCCTTCTTGATGTTCTCCACCAGGATTCTCCTGTGCCAGATCCCATCTGCAGGGCACTGGCCCCGCTTCTTTGAGGCCTGGACTGCAAATCCTCCTTCCAAAGAGGCCCTCGAGCCTCTTCGAAGCTTACTGCCAGCCGTCCTGCAGTTTTCTTTCTCCTGGCCCCTGATGACGCTGAATCCCAGCCGTCTGGCTCAGGGCCAGACCCCTTCCCTGGACACAGCTGGAAGTCCCCCTGCAGGACTGAAGCGGCTCCTCTTCACACTTCAGCCACGTGCTCAAACACTTTCAGGTCCTTAATAGATTCTACATTTCTGAAAGTCATCCATAGATGTTTCTCTACTATTTAATGTGTAGCAAATTTTATACCTAACATCTGTTTCACACATACAACCTGTCACTCAGTAAGAGGCCCTTAGACACCATTCTTCACTTGTTTGCAGCAGACAGACTTCCTGACATGATTTATTTTATTTTATTTTATTATTATTTTTTGAGATGGAGTCTAGCTCTGTTTCCCAGGCTGGAGTGCAGTGGTGCGATCTCGGCTCACTGCAAGCTCTGCCTCCCGGGTTCAAGTGATTCACCTGCCTCAGACTCCTCAGTAGCTGGGATTACAGATGTGAGCCACTGCACTGGGCCCCGACATGATTTTTTTTTTGTTTGTTTGAGACAGAGTCTCGCTGTGTTGCCCAGGCTGGAGTGCAGTGGTGCGATCCTGGCTCACTGCAAGCTCCGCCTCCCGGGTTCACGCCATTCTCCTGCCTCAGCCTCCCGAGTAGCTGGGACTACAGGCGCCCGCCACCTTGGCCGGCTAATTTTTTATATTTTTAGTAGAGACGGGGTTTCACTGTGTTAGCCAGGATGGTCTCGATCTCCTGACCTCGTGATCCACCCGCCTCGGCCTCGCAAAGTGCTGGGATTACAATAGGTGTGAGCCACTGCGCCCGGCCGACATGATTCTTAAGCACATGAAATGCAGGGTTATCTCCTTTGTCCTCACTCAGCCATTCATTACAGGAGTCAGCAAACTGTTTCCAGGGGACAGGTAGCAAACTGTTTCCAGGGGACAGGTAGCAAACGTCAGCGCCTTTGTGGGCCACACTGTTCCTGTCCCAGCTGGTCATGCTGTTGTCACATTGAAGCAGATGCAGACAGTATGTAGACAGTGGGCATGGGTGTGCACCAATAAAGCTTTATTTATAAACAGGTGCCATGTCCGATTTATGATATTAATAACCATGGGTTACTGAGATGAAATGAGGAAAAGAATCTAGTGAGAAAGTACATGTAGTCACCCTTGGGTATATGCAGAGATTGGCTCCAGGACCCCATCCCCATACCAAAATCCGAGCATGCTGCAACCCTGCAGTCAGCCCTGCAGAACCTGTGTAATATGAAAAGTTGGCCCTCTGTGTTCAGGGGTTTTGCATCTTGCAAACATTGTATTTTCAACCTGTTTGGTTGGGAAAAAAATTCTGCTTGTAAGTGGACCTATGTGATTAAAATCCATGTTCAAAAGTTGGCTGTATATATATTTAAAGCTGAGAGACTTGACAGTTATCTGATTAAATCCAGGCCTCCTTCATCCCCCCACAAAATATCTATTCAAAATATCAAGATGATTATGATAGTGAGTTTAGGATTCCCAGGGCTACCAAGGGATTTCTGTTGCTTGAGCACAGCCATGCTGGCCTGTCAGCCTGTTATAGTGTGGACAGACAGAGCCAAGTGTCTGCATGTTGGCTGTGTGCTCCGAGCCTGACCCCCATGAACATACTGCAGACGCCTGGTGTGATCGTTTCCCAGCGTCCGTGGTCCCAGGCACCTCCTTACTCCAGAGCGGATTGCCCAGGCCCCGCGGCGTCTGTGGGTGGTGCTGTCAAAGGACCTACCCGCTTTGGATGGTTCTCACTCGTTCACGTCCCTCCAACTGTTGCTTCTGCACTTTGTAGAACCAAATTTGTGTGTGTGTGTGTGTGTGTGTGTGTGTGTGTGTGTGTGTGTAAGTAAAGGGGGTCTCACTGTGTTTCCCAGGCTGGGCTTGAACTCCTGGAATGAAGCAAACCCTCCCTCCCACTCAAGCCTCCTCAGTAGCTGGGTCTTCAGGTGTGAGCTGCTGTGCCCAGCTTTAAACAGAGTGGATTTTCCCCATCCCTTTAGGAGAGTTTCTTTTATGTTAAAGCAGTGGCTTTTAGATCTGTTTTTCTTTAAATCCTGGAACTTAAAAAAAGTCATGGAGTCTGATTATATAAAACCAGTCGAACCTAGAACTGCTTTGTTCAGAATGGGGTTGGGAGCCCCCAGGCCCCTTCCTCGCTGCTGCTCTTGTTTGGAAACCACTGCTCCAGAGCCCCCAGACATTTGCTTCTCCCTCTCAGCCTCTTATCTTTTAATAGAGAGCTGGACCGTAGCTCCAGGCACTGTCTTTCCCCTTAGTCACTGGATTGCAGCGCAAGGAGGATGGTGTTGGGGAGAGGGCCTAGGAGGATGGTGTCTGGGTGTTGGGCTGTGGAGTCACAGGGGTGGACCTGGCACAGAGCTTGTGTCCTAGGAAGACTGGCCTGGCCTGGCCCCTGTGCTGGGAAGGGAGGCTGGGCTCTTCCTGCTCCGCGCTGCGTCCTCCCTGCTGCACATGCTGTTCACGTTGGTCTGTTTTGCAAAGTGAGAGGACTTCTCAAGGGTAGTCATTCCATGTGCAAAGCCAAGGGGACTGGGAGGAGGAGTCGCTTCAGAGCCCTGCTACTGATGATTTGTGGCTTTCCTGCCTCCAAGGTGGGGTGATAATGTTTGCTCCGTGTTTTGTTGTGAATGGAACAGATGAACAGATGATCCAGGACGTGTTTCTGATTCTCTGTGAATTGATCGTGAGGGAAGGATGCCTGTCACTGTGCTGATGACCTGCGGGCAGTGGGCCTGTTGTGATGGGGTTTGCTGGTGATTTTGGTGATCAAGTTTTGTAAACTGTCTCTTACCTTTGAAAAACATTTGAATGGTGTTTCTTTTCCTTTCTTGTCCCCTTTTGACTTTTTTTTTTTTTTTTAGCTTGCTTGCCTTTTGTTTTAGCAGCTGCAGTATCTCGGAAGAAAAAACGAAGAATGGGAACCTATAGCCTGGTTCCTAAGAAAAAGACCAAAGTATTAAAACAGAGGACGGTGATTGAGATGTTTAAGAGCATAACTCATTCCACTGTGGGTTCCAAGGTAAGAGACGCATTTGAGTGAGTTGCCACGTGTGCGTGGAAATGCGTTTCTGTGTTCAGGGCCTCGTTATCAGTAATTTGGGTGACCTCAGTCCCCGGGAAGGTGCCAGTGCCATGAAGCTCCTCTGCCATAGGGGCAGAGTGTTCGTGTCCAAGATCATTGTGGGGGACTCCACCCCGTCCTCCCTGCCCTCCTCACCACAGCCCACCTGTCTGCCGGGCTCTTCTCCAGGTGGCAGGGGCACCTCTTCGTGTGTCCCCGCCTCCCCACAGGCCCTTGCACCTCCCAGTCACCCAAGACTCCTCAGTGAAAGCAAGTTTGTTCATGATGCGCACTGATCCTGCCTTGGGGTATACACCTGCCCGTGTTCTAGGGGGAGAAGGACCTGGGCGCCAGCAGCCTGCACGTGAATGGGGAGAGCCTGGAGATGGACTCGGATGAGGACGACTCAGAGGAGCTCGAGGAGGACGACGGCCATGGTGCAGAGCAGGCGGCCGCGTTCCCCACAGAGGACAGCAGGACTTCCAAGGAGAGCATGTCGGAGGCTGATCGCGCCCAGAAGGTATGTGTTGCTGTCTTGGGTGACAGCACAAGGAAAGAGCATCACAAAGTTGGCCGTGGTTCTGAAAATTAACAGTCTGGTCACTTCTAGACCCTGATAAAATCCCCTGTTTACAATTGGCTTAGATTTTTGTATTTTATTTTTCTTGATTTATTAGATTATTTTCATTCAAGAAGTATTTATGTTTCTGTACATCATTCATTGAAGTAAACCTCTTTTTTTTTTCTGTGTTTTCTTTCTTTCTTTTTTTTGAGACAGGGTCTTGTTTTCACCCACGCTGCAGTGCAGTGGCACGATCATAGCTCACTGCACTCAACCTCCTGGGCTCAATGATCCTCCCATCCCAGCCCCCCGAGCAGCTGGGACCACAGGCTCACGCCACCATGCCTGGCTAATTTTTAAATTTTTTTGTGGAGACGGGGACTCGCTTTGCTGCCCAGGCTGGTCTTGAGCTCCTTTGCTCAAGTGATCCTCCCGCCTCAGTCTCCCAGTGTTGGGAATACAGCCATGAGCCACGGCGCCCGCCCTCTTGAACTTGTTCTGGGCTCTAGATTGACAGGAATGATATTGCTGACAGCTTGAAGTGCTGATTGGCGGCTTGCTGTGTGCTCGTTTGTGGTTGGCTTTGCGTGGCCTGCCACCTTGCACTGTGGACACCACACATGGGCCAGGCGTGCTCTCTTCACAGACAGCCTCATCCTGTGTCCACCCAAGGACAAGCACCAGCACGGGCCAAGGCCCCAGCCTTGTCACAGCGGTGCTGTTGCCCCTGGCCAGGTATGGGCACCTGGGCCAGTGTCTCAGGGAAACTGAGGAAGTTCTTAGACATACAGTTTCGGAGTTACATTCATGCTTTTTCAGTTCTGAGGGGTCAGTTAGGAGTGACGCATTTCATAAGGACGAACAGTGGAAAGTTAAGAATCAAGTTGACATGCAAATCTGTGGTTTATTGTTCGAGTGTGTCCAACCATGTTTATTTAGACGCAATCTTGTATCTAAGAAGTTATTCCAAAACTAACAGTAGGAATAGCAGTCCAGGTGAGTTCATCCAAATAGTGACTTACTGGAAAATGCATAATTTTAGTGGTTAAGGTTTTTCCCCTTTCAGTCAGCTTTGTGTGCTATGGCGTATCCCTGAATGTATACAAAGCATTTTCTATCATTTGTCAGAGTTTTGGGGATGTGTTTTCTTCCTTTTGCTTCAATTTCAAAGTCTGTTGTACATTTTTAGCATGTTTTAGGGCAAATTTTTGAATGTTGCTCCCAGGTTGTAGCTTGATTATTTAAAAATTCGTTGGAAATATTACCATTAGATATTTAAAGAGGATTTAAAAATTTTTTATTTTAAGATAATTATTAGTTTTTTCTCCTCTTATATGAAGAAGCATGAGGAAGAAAACACAGCATCATCACCCCATTGTCCTGGTGGCTCTGGCACTCTGAAACAGTCACTACAGGAACTTCCTTAGACGTGCCCAGCACAGCCCAGCCCTCCCCGAAGGACAGGCAGCCCTGACTGCACCGTGGGGAAGCAGCTACCCCAGCAGCTGCCGCGGTCTCTGCACACACGTGTCTGTCGCTCCAGTGCACTGTCTGTTCAGCTGTGTTACGCTCTTTCTGTCAAGTTACAAGGGGTATTCAGTGTCACAGTTTTGCTGAGTATGCCGGAGGCTCATAAGTGCTGTCTGCATTTACAGTGTAGCACTTTGATGTCACCAGGCCACCTCTGACTGTATCCTTCCACCTGCAGAGACCTGAGGGGTGTGGTTTCCTCACCTTCCCCAGCAGGGCTGCCTTCTTGGAGTCCAGCAGCTCTTCATTGCTGAGTCATGCCTGGGGCTGAGCAGCCAGCCACCAGTGTTTGTTCCTCTGTAAGCCGCTTGCTAAATAGCCCCTGCTCATTTTTCTTCTGGATTTTGCATCTTTTGAATGTAGTCTGACGATCTTTTTTGTCAACGAAGAGTTGATCTGTTGGCTCCAGTATGAATGGAGGTTTTTTCCCCAGGTGGATTTTGGGTTTTTTGTTTTGTTTTTTATTTTTTGGGGACAGGGTCTCACTCTGTTGCCCAGGCTGGAGTGCAGTGGCGTGATCACGCTCAGTGCAACCTTGAACTCCTGGGCTGAAGCGATCCTCCTGCCTCAGCTTCCTGAGTAGCTGGGGCTACAGGCACGTGCCACCATGTCCAGCTGATGTTTTTTTATTTTTTGTAGAGACAGGATCCCACTGTGTTGCCCAGGCTGGTTGAACTCCTGGGCTTAAGTGAACCTTCCACCTCAGCTTCCAAAAGTGCTGGGATTACAGGCGTGAGCCACCACGCCCAGCCGATTTTGTCTTTTGACCTTGTCTGTAGTGTCAGAACTCCCAGGTACTAATCAATTTCTTTATGATTTCTGAGTTCTGTGTTCTAATTATGATAAAAACCTTTCTCACTGTTGATTTTGAATGAATTGATGTATGCTATCTTCTAATACTTCTTTTATTTCATTCTTGTATATAAATATTTGATTCATATAGAATTAAAATATCAGGTAGGGCTGCTCAGAATGGGGGAAGTTTATGACATATTAATTATATCTCAATAAAGCTTTTAAAAGAAAATGTGAGGTAAGGGTCCCAGGGCTTCCCTTAAAATGCTTAGGTTTCAGCTCCACTTACTGACTGACATTTCTTCCCTTCTCATTTACAACACCACGTTTATCATGTACCATATGGGATATTAATTTCAGTCTATTTCTCGATTCTCTCTTTCGATTGAGGTTCTCATCTTCTAGAGGAACTGGACACTGAATAACTCTAGGTATTTGTCATAAAGTAAAACATTAAATGACTGTCAAGGCACGAAAAGAATCAAGAAACAAAAGCAAAGCCAAGAAGAAAATGTGGTCAGTGTAAAACAGAACAAGATGGCAGGAACAGCCTTAACTAGATGGGCACTGACAATCAACAGTGATAGTTTCGTTACGTAAGTGGCTCCAGAGAATAGAGAAGGATAGGAAAAGTACGCTAGCCCATTCTGAGACTAAAATATAGGCTGAAGTCACCTAAATCCTAAATACAAAAGTCCTAAATACATTTTTTTTTTTTGGGACTGAGTCTGGCGCTGTCACCCAGGGTGGAGTGCAATGGTGCGATCTCGGCTCACTGCAACCTCTGCCTCCCAGGTTCAAGCAATTCTCCTGCCTCAGCCTCCCGAGTAGCTGGGATTATAGGCACCCACCACCACACCCAGCTAATTTTTGTATTTTTAGTAGAGACAACGTTTCACCATGTTGGCCAGGCTGGTCTTGAACTCCTGACCTCAAGTGATCGACCTGCCTCGGCCTCCCAAAGTGTTGGGATTACAGGCGTGAGCCACTGCGCCCGGCCTCCTAAATAAAATATGAATCAAATGCAATGACATATTAAAATAATGATTGTAAGGAAGTAGGGCTTACCCCAGGATGAGAGTGATTCATTACTAGAAATAGATTATTTAAAGACCAGGATTTACTAGGTTAACAGAATAAATGAGAAAAACTACACAACGTATATGTGTTTTTAAAAAAGGCATTTTATAAAGTTCAGTCCGCTTTCTGTTTTCTGAATTTGGGGGGATTACATTGTGATTGCATGTATGACAACGGTACAGTTGAGTAATGATGGAAGAATGACGTACCTGTGTGGCCACCACCCAGATCAAAGCCTTGAATTCTGGTGGCACTGCAGAAGCCCACTGACCTCCCATCCCCAAAAGTAACCCCTCTCCTGAGTGCTAACCGTGTAGGATGGTCGTGTTTGAAGTGCTAACTCTGTAGGATGGTCGTGTTTGAAGTGCTAACCCTGTAGGATGGTCATGTTTGATTTCGTTCTTTCTATAAATGGAATTACACAGAATGCATTCTTTCTTTTTTTTCTTTGAGTGTGGCTTATTTTACTCAACGTTGTGTTTCTGGGATTTATTTATATTATTAGTTAATTTTCATTGTTATGGAATAGTAGTTTTCAAAGTGGTCTGGGTGGGGGCATTCTGAGACCTGTTGGGAGAGTCTGCAGATCAAAACTGTTATCATACTAATGCTCAGATGTTGGGTGCCTTTTTCACTATCATTCATGGAATTACATGTGATGGCGGCTTTGCTGTGGTGGCTGACACTGTGTCCTTGTAGTTTGAACATGTCTCAGCTTAAATTTCTACTACAGTACATGTTAATAGATACTTGTATTAACAAACGTTCTTTATGGTTCTTGGTGCTATTTCAGAGTGTGCGGGGCCTTAGGCCAGGGAGGCGACCATACAGGTTCCTCTGTATGGCTGCTCTCGTGTCTGTGTCCGTCCCACTGTGGATGGCCTGTGGGTGGTTCCAGTGGGGCCGTCCTGGAGGAGGTTGCTGCCAGCACCCTCATACAGGTGTTGCCCCAGGTACCCACTGGGAACGGAACCGCCATGCCTTGTGCTGGCCTCCATGGACTCTGCCATGCGGCTCCCCACGGTGGCTGCTCAGGTTGCCTTCTTCCCCACCGCCTCGGAGCATCCCCTCTGCTGTGCCGGCCACACTCGGTGCTGCCACTCCAACGAGCAGATAGTGGCATTACGTTTTCAGTTTAATTTGCATTTTCATGATTTATGAGAAGGTTGAATACTTTTTCACATACTTACTTTGCCATTTGGATGCCTTTTGTGAAGTGCCTATTCACATCCCAAACATTTATCTACTGGGCTGTTTGTCCTTTTTGAAACATGTTTTGTAGGGGTTCTTTGGCCTGGAAACAAGCCCTTGTTGTGTAGTCGACATGATTCCTTCTTCTGCATGTGGCCTGCCTTTTCACTGAAACAGTACCCGGTTTAGCCATTCTGCTCAGAAGCCACTTGCCAGAACCTGTTGCTTGACAGCTGGTGCGGCAGCCACTCTGGGTGCTGGTGAAGGGAGAGCTGGACCCTCTCCCCTCTTAGCCTGAATCTGTTAGTGAGCCTGGTGTCCAGAGTTGTGTCCTGCTGGGTGGGGGACAGGCAACTTTTGGTCTGTGGCCTGCTACCCACCCCCAGGACAGATGTGGGAAGCTCCTGGCCTGCTCCTGACCTGCTACCCACCCCCAGGACAGATGTGGGAAGCTCCTGGCCTGCTCCTGGCTTCTCTTTTCCTGTTTCACTTGGGTGTCAGCCTTCTCAGTTCACCTGCATCAGACTCTAAGTTCCCTATTTACTTTATTATTTGTGTGTGTGTGTGTCTTGCTCTGTTGTGCAGGCTGGAGTGAGTGCAGTGGCAAATCATAGTTTATTGTAGTCTTCACCTCCTGGGCTCAAGTGATCCTCCCACCTCAGCCTCCAAAGTAGCTAGGACCACAGGCATGCGCCACCATGTCCAGCTAATTTTTTTTTTTAATTAATTTTTTTGTAGAGATGAGGTTCTCTCAGTCGACAGCCTCTCACTATGTTGCCCAGGCTAATCTTGAACTTCTGGGCTCATGTGATCAACCTGCCTTGGCTTCCCAAAGTGCTGGGATTCTAGGTATGAGCCATGGCGCCCAGCCTCTTCTTAATTCTGATGTCAGTGGTTACCCCTTCTCTTTCTAATCTCCTTGGGTTTTCAGCTTCCACTTGATTCCTTACAGCTGTCTTATGCACAGTGATCAAGCAGCCTCTTATAAAGAAGCTCTTGTTCCTTCCTTAAAAGTCGCTTTGCCAGAGTTTTGGAAGGAAGTGGAGTTAGCTGTGGTGTTAGTCTGCTGTTAATTGGTGGTTTCATTGCCTTGTCTTGTTTTTAAAATAAGAAACCTGTCCAGTGACATGAAAACTCCTGTCAAAGCCGACTGAAGTGTCGGAATGCTTATAGAAGGGTTAGAACATTTCGATGGTCAGTCGTGAAGCAAGGGAGGAGAGGCTGCTGCTTTCACCTCTGACACGAATGCGGCAGCATTGACTGTTCCTGCTGATTCTGTAAGAGAAGAACCGGAAATAAACATTAATATTTTAAAAGACAAGAGAGAAGAGTTTGCTGAGAATATACTCATCCATCTGAAACATCTAGCAAAATCAGCTCAAAACCTATTACAGCTCCTAAGCTGACCTTACATGTGATCAAGACATAAAGACCAGTTATTTTCCTGTATAGCTGCAATAACCAATTAGAAAATGTAGTGTCAGCATTATCAGTAAAATCAATAAATGTCTAGGGATATTTTTAAAGATTTTCTCTAGAAAATTTCAAGCTGCACAAACACACAGAGGACAGTGAGCATTCTCCAGCATTTGGCCTCGTTCTCCACACGTGGGTTGTCTTGGAGCAGATATTTCAGTAGGGATCTTTAAAAGATAAGGACTCTTTGAAAGACAAACCACAATATCAGACCTAAAAAGTTAGTTGTAATTTCTTAATATCACCAGAGTACCTAGAAATAAACTTAACAACAAAAAAAAGAGTGTTCCTTGTTAATGTGGAGGAAAACTATAAAACTGGTGAAAGAGTTTAAAAATTAAGTTCCTAGAGAGAGTTATTATTTGCCTGAGTGACAAGATCCATTGTTTTATTTTCTCCATGTTTGCCTCTAAATTCAGAACAGCTCCCATCAAGATCCTAGCAGGACTTTTGTGTAACTGCTGGTTCTGAAGTGAGGGTGGAGGTGGAGACCCTCTGGAGTAGTGGTGGGGACTGTGCACAGTGGGGGACACCGGAGCTCAGGACGTGGCTGCCGGAGGGGGCGCGGCTGCCGGAGGGGACGCTTACTCAGGAGCGCTGAGGCGGTTAATGAGTGGGACAGGGAGCCTGTGACATGTATAAAGGTCGATTGTAAGACTGGGGTATTAAATCAGTGGTCAAGGGGTCATGAACTTTTTAATAACTATGGTTG
This sequence comes from Homo sapiens, assembly GCF_000001405.40. NCBI lineage: Eukaryota > Metazoa > Chordata > Mammalia > Primates > Hominidae > Homo > Homo sapiens. Next base: position 137,750,917 of record NC_000009.12, read on the forward strand.
GGCCAGTTGACTAATATTTTGGGAAAAGGCAGCCTGCACTTGTGTCAGGGCACGTAACAAATGTGAGCTCCATTCTAGAGTCTGACAGTGGTGCTTGCTGCACAACTCAGAATATATGAAAAACCACTGAACCGTACACTTTGCAGGGTCGGTTTTAGAGTAGGTGAAACATATCTTACTGTGGCTATTATTTTAAAAAACGAATTCCAGAAGATTTAAAGTGTCAATATAAAATATTGAACTATGGGTAAAAATATTGGGAACTGTTTTTTCCAATCTCAAATGAGGACGTTCTTCTAGTGTAAGACACAAACCTGGAAGCCATGAAGGAAAAGATGGACACCTTTGACTTGTTCAGATAAAATTCAAAAGTTTTATGTGATAAGAGATATCAGAAATGGAGCTTTAAAAACTTGACAGGAAAAACAGGGGTCTCGCTGTGTTGCCCAGGCTGGTCTTGAACTTCTGGCCTCAAGCAGTCCACTCGCCTAGGCCTCCCAGAGCATTGGGATTACAAGCGTGAGCCATCGAGCCCGCAGAGTACACCCTTGATGTGAAGTCGCATGGGTGCCTGTCCACCGGGAAATGCAGAGAATAGTGGAATAGCGCAGCAAAGGCAGCCCCATGCCGCCTTAGGGAGTGCCGGGCACAGGGTGGACGGAGACTCACGTATGTTTCAGTGTCTTTTGCACTGAACGTCTATTTGCGTATTGCCTGTGCTTATAGAAAAGATAAATACAGCAGAAAAAATAAGATGTGTCTGTTCTGGTGTGGAAAGAATTCCAGAACATATTTTTAATTAGAAGAAAATAATATTCACAGAACTGTTGAGTGTCCTGCCATCTGTGCAGACTAGAAATGCACTGTCGTCTGTGGGCCCACGTCTGCCTGGATGTTCACTGGAAGGAGGCGTGGGCAACTTAGCTGTGGTGGCTCCGAGGATTGGACTGGGATCATGGGTGTGTGGGGGTAGGTCTCACACTGTGTATTGTTTTGTGGCCTCTGAAAATCTTTTTATGATTGTTCTGTGTGTTTTGTGATGTGTTTATTGAATTATCCCATTCATAAGATACAGTGAGTACCTGAACCCTCACTGATACAGCACCCAGCGGGTGAGCTCTTGCCTCAGTCCGCACCAGGGCAGCCACTCTCTGGTCCCGATGTGGAGACAGGACCGGGGAGCAGAGTGGAAGCTCAGAGTGTGTCTCTGGCCCTGCCTGGACCAGCACTCGGTCACCCCACACACCAGCCAGGGCTGGAGCAGGCCGGCGGCGCCCCCGCCCCGCGAGCGTCTCCGGCGTGTGCGGCCAGTGCCCGTTTCGAGGTTTGCTTTGGATCCGTCATCTGCCACTAAAGGATGTAATTGGTTTCTGTTTTCTGTTTGGGTTCCCGCTTCGACTGTGTGGCTGATCAGATGGACGGGGAGTCCGAGGAGGAGCAGGAGTCCGTGGACACCGGGGAGGAGGAGGAAGGCGGTGACGAGTCTGACCTGGTAATGCCCAGCGCCTCCTCCTGCGTCTGTGCTGATGTAGAGGAGATGCAAAGACACCAGCGTCCTTCAGTTCTTTACCCAACAACCCTTGTTGCCTGAGCGCTCACCCATGTGCTTGGAGCTGGTCATGGTGATGGCCACAGATGGGTCCTGTCCCTGGCAAAGCCTCATGAGAAAGACACCGTGCAGAGTTGCAGCGCAGGGCTGGGCCTGGCACGGGGCTGCCCCAGCTGCGTGCTGGGTGGGGTGGAGTTGAGTGGCCTGTGGAGGTTCTCAGAGGGAGAGGGTGTGGTGGGAGCCGGCAGCAAGGACACCTGTTTGGGATTCCGCTGCATCGGCTGATGTGCGAGAAGGAAGGGCTGGATTTGAAGGTTTCCAGGTAGAACGGCAGAGGGAGAGGGTGTGGCGGGAGCCGGCAGCAAGGACAGCTGTTTGGGATTCCGCTGCATCGGCTGACGTGCGAGAAGGAAGGGCTGGATTTGAGGGTTTCCAGGTAGAATGGACAGAACTTTCTGGTGGTGAGGACTGGAGGGAAGAGGGGTTCTGCTCCGTCCCTACTGAAGCCTGTTATTCCTTGAGGAGGGTCCAGATCGGAATTGTGCACCCTGGTCTGCGGGAATTGGGTGTTGGAAATGGGTAAGAGCAGCGAGTCCCCAGGATGGAGCCTCAGGAAGCCCCCAGCCTGTGAGGGTTCCACAGGGGAGGAGAAGTTGGCTCCTGCTTCTGAGGAGGAGCTGTCTGTGCCGTGGGGGGAAAGCTCGGCAAGTTTGGGTCACATGAATTGGGAAATGCTCTGAAACAGGAGAAGTGGCTCACGGTGTGGGCTCATTACACCAGCGAGTGGGAGGAGGACACAGGGGCCGAGCAGCGAGTGGGAGGAGGACACGGGGGCCGTGGTGTTCGGCGATGAAGGGGTCTGTCTTTGGGTGGCAGAGGGGCAGCTAGATTTCCAGCAGCAGCAGCTTTGGGTGTGGCGCTTGCTGAAATTCTTCCCAAAAGTTTTGCCGTGCGGGGAGCACAGGGGAGCCGGGGCTGTGTGTGCTGCAGACAGGGCTCCCGGTACCGTCCTCACGTGGGACCCAACTCAGGAAGAAGGCTGCCCAGCAAAGGCCTTGTGCAGGGACATGTTCAGTTGGTCAGCGAGGCCCACGTGCTGCTGCTGTGCCTACCTTAAATGTCCCCCGCCCACTGTGGCCTGCACGTGGCCTCCTGTGGAGGGGTGGGGGCGCCTGCTGTGCATCCGTGTGTGACATGTGGCATGGATGCCCTTGCTGCATCCGGATTTTAGAAGCAGATGCTTAAAACATATCTTGAAATATTATAAGTTAATTACAGCCTCTGTCCTTGTTCTCTGTGTAGATCATTCATGTGGGTAGGTTCTGAAGCAAGCCGAGCGTTGATTGTCCCTTTTCTTGTGAGCGAGATGAACGGACCCTTTTCCTGAGCTTACTTATTTAGTTCCTGAGTAGAACTTTCCAATTTATTTATTCTTTTATGCCAAACTCAAATAAGATGGATACATTTCACTTTCTGCTTTTGTTTTGTTTTATCTCTAAAGGGACTGAGCTGAGAGAGTTAGGGAAAAGCGCAGGGTGCCTTTAAGCGTGTGACCCAGCAAAATGTCTACAAGTTAAGTTCACCGTTTAATTGAAGATCAAGACATAGCCAGTGTTCTGTTTTGCAAGAAAACACTTGTAGTGCTCTTGCCTTCCGTAGCTTCCTGTGCTTAGTGGTTTATATGCCTGCCCGTTTGGTTCTCCAGAGTTCGGAATCCAGCATTAAGAAGAAATTTCTCAAGAGGAAAGGAAAGACCGACAGTCCCTGGATCAAGCCAGCCAGGAAAAGGAGGCGGAGAAGTAGAAAGAAGCCCAGCGGTGCCCTCGGTAAATGCCGTGGGGGTGTGGGCCATCACGGGGACTGCCTGGGAGGGGATGGTGCCAGGAGGCCCACCTGGGGTTGGGGTGCGTAGGATTTCATTAGAAAAGAGGGCATCACTGTTTAAAAAAAATGTTTGAAATGACTTTGTTAGAGAAACTCAAGTGATTCTAAAGTAGTTTCCTTCTGGCCAATGTAGTGGACGTTGACTTCACTGTTGTTGTTTTTAATTTAATTTTTTTTTTTTGAGACAGGATCTGGTTCTGTTACCCAGGCTGGAGCGCAGTGGCACGATCTCAGCTCACTGCAGCTTCCACCTTCTGGGCTCAGGCGATCATCCTACCTCATCTCCCCAAGAAGCTGGGACTATAGGCGTGTGCCATCATGCCCAGCTTATTTTTTTGTGTTTTTTTGGTAGAGATGGGGTTTTGCTATGTTGGCCAGGCTGGTCTCGAACTCCTGAGCTCAAGCGATCTGCCCGTTTTGGCCTCCCAAAGTGCTGGGATTACAGGTGTGAGCCACTGCGCCCGGCCCCAACTTCATTGTTGAATGTTGAACCGAGGTGAATCATTTGCTGCCCGCATGGGTGACTGGAACCTGTGGCCTGCATGGGCAGCTCCCACGTTGTGTGCAGGAAGCGGCCCCTCAGTGAGGCACCTGTGCCTCGGTCAGAGTCCCCTGTTCCAGAGGAACTTTGTGAATCACAACGTGAATGTAGGAAGGAAATCTCCTCAAACCCAGAAGGGATGCAGCAGGTTTAGGGTGCCAAGGGCCGTTTTTGTTTCCAGCTTAACCGAGGTGCACCTGGCATCCAATAAAATGCACAGAAATAAATTACACAATTTGACAAGTTTTAACATGCTTATGACCTTGAATCCATCACCACAGTCAGATGATCAGTGCCATGAGCTCCTCTGTCACCCCGGGTCCCTCCTGCCCTTTGATAACCTGGCCCCTTCCCTGCCTCCCTTCCCTGCTCCCAGGCAGCCCCTGGTCTGCTCTGTTTCCATGTATTGGTTAGTGTTCTGTAGAATTTTATATAGATGGAACTGTGTGGTTGTTTTTCATCTGGCTTCTCTGAGTATAATTGTTTTGAGTTGCCAGGCTGTCGAATGGCCAGGAGTTTGTTTCTGTCCATTGCTGAGAAGTGTCCCATTGTGTGGCTGCCCCACAGTCTTATCTGTCCATTCATCCGTCCATGGGCTTTGGGCTCTTTCCAGCCTTGGCTGCTAGAAATTAAGTGGCCGTGAACATTTGTGTGCAAATCTTTTTTGAACAGGTGCTTCCCTAGATCTTGGTTAGGTATCTGGGAGTGGAATGGCTGAGTAGAGTGGCGTGTGTTCAGCTCTTCAGGAAGCTGCCAAGCTGTTTTCCAAGCACTCGTCCTGTTTTAGGTCCAGACAACACACAAGCATTCCAGTTCCCCTCTGTCCACGCCAGCACTTGTTAGGGTTAGTCTTTTTAATTCCAGTGGATCTGTGGGTGTGCAGTGGTGTTTTACTGTAGTTTCAATGCTGTTACCTAATGAGTAATGAGATTGTACATTTTAGCCTTCATTTAGTTTTTTTGAAACGTGTCTGTTCACATCTTTTGCTCACTTTTAAAATCTGGTTGTTTTTCTTCTCATTGGGTTAAAAGAGTTTTTAACATATTCTGGAGACAAGTCTTTTATCAGGTGGATGTTTTGCATGTATTTGTACCTAGTCTCTGACCTGCCTTTTCATTTTCCTAATGCTGTATTTAGAAGAGCAAACGTTTTTAAGGTTTTCTTGAAGTCCAAGTTACGAGTTATTTTACTTGGGGGGTTCATGCTTTTGTGCTCTAAGAAATCTTTGACAGACCCAGGTCACAGAGGTTTTGTCCCTTGTTTTCTTCTTGGCATCTGCAGGCTCCGCGCTTGCCTGTCGGTTCATTTTGCACTGATGTTTGAGTGAGCTGTGGCGCAGGCCCCTTCTTGGCAGTGGGTGTGCAGCTGCCATAGGCACTGCTGCTTGAGTTGATTTTTCTCCACCTGTTGACATTCAGTGTGTGGGCTGTTCCTGGACATTCTGGTCTGTTTCATTTATTTATTTGTTTATCCTTATACCAGTGTCACCGAGTGGCAGCACTTTGTTCTTATTCACAGTGATTTTGGCTAATCTAGATTCCCCAATGTAGAGTACCTCTGTTAACTGGATGTTGGGGAGGCGTCATCCCCTGAAAAGAGAGGGTTGCGGGAGACCTGGGGCGTGAGGCAGTCACCATGGAGGCTCCTGGCGTTTGAGGGTGGAGGACGTGTGAGCCCCCCGGGAGCTGCATGTGGTGCTTCAGTTACGTTTCTCTTCACCTCAGTTTATTGATTCAGATCATAACACCAGATGTGGCTTTTACTGTTGGCCAACAAAAGCATTTTAGAGCCAAGACTAAAAGTTGTTTTTGGGGTAGAGATTTCATCTTTGTCATCTTGGCTGTAATGTGCAAAATGTGTGCTTTTAAATATTCACAGAGGAGTTTGAATTTTATTTCTTTATGAATTTTTTATTTAAATCTTCTTTTCGTTTAAAACTATACAAAGTGTACTCCTGTTCTTCAAGTTGATGATGGTGATTTCTCAAAGGTGGTTGACTTTTCCTGTCTGTCTAAGATCTAGGTGGAGCATGTGGCTTGAATGAAAAGACTGGTTACCATACCTCTCTGTGCTAGTGTTCATTTATTTCCAGTCATTGAAATAAGATTGGTGACTAGTCCCTAGAAGCTTGGCTGTGAAATGTGACCATCTGCCCTTGGCCGGAGTTAGATATTACCTGGTACAGGTACACACTTTCATAGGCCTCCTCAGTGAATGCCCTTGTGATTACAAACACCCAATTTTATATATCTTTCTCCGGCCCTCCTGGGAAGTGTGGACAGGCTGGCCTGGCCACCACTCGTGTGTCCTTGAGGGCAGGGAAGCCCACAGAAGTGTTTGCACCCCCCACTGCCCTCGCTGCCAGCCAGGGGACACCGGTCCTTCTCACAGCACCCTGCTCCCTGGCACCTTCTGTGGGTGTCGTGAGCCTCCCGTGTTTACTGGAGTCGACACTGATCCTTTCCGGGAGCCTCCCTGGATTTCAGCCAGGACGCCCGGGAGGTCATTGCTTTCTCTCTGACACAGATTTGCCTGCAACATGGCACCTTGGGCCATCTCTTTAGCTACTTTACATCTGATCTTTCAAATCTGCAAGTTAGATTTTTCTGTTTTATTTAAAAATAATCTACAACATATGACTACCATGTTTTTATCTGTTTCTTTGATCATTTGATAGCTTTTATGTAGTTGGTGTAGTTACAGAGAAAGATGTGCTGACATGTTGGTGCCTTTGTTTTTGTCTATACAGCTTCTCTCCTCCCCCATGAATATTATGTCTAAAAGGGGGAATTAGCAAAATAATATGCGGGAGAGAAAATGATAGTGAAACTGGAATGGTCTAAACCATAGTGGGTTTCAACTTGTGGTTTTGAATGGATTAATTAGAAGTAGTCCATTTCCTGGGGCCCCAGCCTTGCTGCCCTGTGCGTCTGGGTGGGTGCGGCCGCCTGGGTGCGTGGTGTCTGATGTGTGTGCCTTTCATACCTAGGTTCTGAGTCGTATAAGTCATCTGCAGGAAGCGCTGAGCAGACGGCACCAGGAGACAGCACAGGGTACATGGAAGTTTCTCTGGACTCCCTGGATCTCCGAGTCAAAGGAATTCTGTCTTCACAAGCAGAAGGTGAATGTGGTGGTGTAACTTAGACCGGGCACCATCTTGGTCCTTTGTCTTCTGGGCTCCTTCCTCTGTATTAGCATGATGCCCCTTGGTGGACACTAGTAGAAGATCGGGTTAACTGCATCACTTCCAGCTGAGGTGTAGACAGGATGGGGTGCGTTTGCTGTGTCCCGGTGTTCAAGTGAAGAAAGAGACATTACGGAAACCCTCTAAGAGTCAACTGGCGAAGCCCAAGCATGGCCCAGCGTGGCGGTCATCTCCCTCCGTGGGTCAGGCGTGCTCCGTGGAGGATTGCCCACGGCCAGACGCCCTCCCTGGTGGCATCTCAGGACACACGGGGACGTACTGTTGAATAAGGTGTCTCTGATTGGCTGAAATATGTCCCTGGTCAGTGTTGAGCTGAGAGTTCTGACATACGTTCTGTAATGGAATATTCGTATTTAGTGTATTTTTGTACCTCTAAATCACAGGTGAATCAGCAGCTTCTGTTGGGAGTTGTTGTGCCAGAAGTTGTCCGTTCTCACACTTTCTATCAGTTTTTTCTCTTTTTAAGCAACTTAGAAACCTTATATGAGTGAAAAGTAGCTAATACCTATTTGATTATTTGGGAAGATTTATTCGAAGCATGATGTGGAGGAAATGCAAATCTTATTTACATTCCCCACAGATCTTACTGGTGTGGCATTGCAGACCACTGCAGGGGGCTTAATGGGCCATTTAAAAATGACAAATAGCTAGCTTTTTAGGGTTTTGAACACTGAGGGAGGTTTGAGTCACCTATGTAATTCACCTAGGAAATCACATCTTTAGCTTAAGATAGAAATCTTAGGCTAGTCCGGCTGGGCGCGGTGGCTCACACCTGTAATCCCAGCACTTTGGGAGGCCGAGGTGGGCAGATCACGAGGTCAGGAGATCGAGACCATCCTGGCTGACATGATGAAACCCCGTCTCTACTAAAAATACAAAAAATTAGCCGGGCGTAGTGGCGGGCGCCTATAGTCCCAGCTACTCGGGAGGCTGAGGCAGGAGAATGGTGTGAACCCAGGAAGCAGAGCTTGCAATGAGCCGAGATGGCACCACTGCACTCCAGCCTGGGCGACAGCGAGACTCCGTCTCAATTAAAAAAAAAACAAAAAACAACAACAGCAGCAACAACAACAAAAGAAATCTTAGCCTAGTCCGTCATGGAAACGATGATATTTTTTCCTCTTCTTGCACCAAATGGAGCAGAACCCCCTCAAGCATCACGAAGTCCTTCGCATGGTCACCCCATGCTTTCCGAGTATAACACTGGGTGTTTCAGTTCTCTAAACTTGCTTTTAGATTTGGAGGTCTCAGGAAGTTACTTGGTTTTAAGGAGTAAATAGTATTTCATTTTGTCAAATCGACTCCTGCTGTGGTGGCCTTGGGCATGCTGAGTGGCAGGAGACCGGGAGCTGGCACATGAAGGCCGTTCCACCTGTCAGTGTGCGCCTGCTGTCTCTGGTGAGGTCGGGGGAAGGTAGCTCTAAAGGAAGGATGGTGCCGAGCATCAGGGCCAAAGGGCGAGAGCCAACACAAAGCCGGAGGAGAAATGGCAGGGAGTAGAGGCTCCTCAGCTTGTGTGACATTTTGTAAACTGCCTCCCAGAATTGATTTCCCTGTGTTTGATCAGCGCCGATTGGTCAGTCAGCGATTGGCCTGTTCAGTCATGCTCTTGATGTAGATCATCAGTGTGTAGAAGAGACAGGCGGTGCGCCCACTGTGCTGGTGCTGGCCGTGTGGCCCGGGACCCCAGAGGGAGGCAGTGGTCAAGTGGCGCTGGATGGCGTCTGGGGCTCTGGGAGACCTGGGTGGTGTGTGTTTCAGATGGGACAGGCGCCATCGGCCTGTGGAGTGTGCTGAGCGGGTCAGTGGGGGCAGGTGATGCCGCTGGTTGTGGGTCAGGGGGTCCAGGCTTGAGCCTTGGGCCAAGGAGAATATGAAGATGAGAAGTCCTCTCCGTATGCATTCGTCTCTTTCCCCGTTGCCTTGCTCTTGGGCCTGCCTTATTGAGGCTGAATGGCGATGTCACCCAGCAGCAACAGGAGGCAGAGGGTCTGAGCCTGGGAGGGGCCAGGAGTCGGTAACCATGGCAACGTGGGCTAGGGCGGGAGAGGCAGAGCTTGGCGGAGGTTGATTGCTTGAGGCTTGCTTCAGTCAGTTCGTTTGATGTCCCTGGTAGTTCCACTGTGGGAACAGAAACACTCCACCTCCACGGAGGTGTCTGAGCCACTGCATTGTTATCCAAGCGTGTAGGCCCTGGGTTCTTACCTATCTCACTGCAGCCTCTTGGCTGCTGTTGGCCAGTGCTGTGGTAGGACAGTTATCTCACAGCGTTGTGGGGTTTGTGTGTGTTTTCTCCTTTTAAAAATCAGGTTGCTGAGCAGGATCATCTCAGAGACCCCCCCAGCTTTAAACTTGTAGTGATTTGAATTCAAGTTTCACTTCATCGTTTTCCTGGTCTTTAGGGGTTTGGGTGATCCAGAGGCGAGGCTGGGACCTCGGGCAGCACATGATTAGGAAGTGCCTCCTGCACAGAGTCCTTGACGGCAGCGTGGACCGTTCACGTGCTTTTTGGCTCTTTGCACAGATTTGGATTCTCTCCTGGCCGTGACCAATATCAGATTCCAAATGGGCTAGAGACAGACAGAAGCGGCTGTGGTGACTCAGCATGGGTGTTGGTAAAAGATGCACTAAGAGGCTGGCAGGGCGGCTCAGGCCTGTAATCCCAGCACTTTGGGAGGCCGAGGTGGGCAGATCACAAGGTCAGGAGATCGAGACCATCCTGGCTAACACAGTGAAACCCCGTCTCTACTGAAATACAAAAAATTAGCCAGGCGTGGTGGCGGGCGCCTGTAGTCCCAGCTACTTGGGAGGCTGAGGCGGGAGAATGGCTTGAACCTGGGGGCAGAGCTTGCAGTGAGCTGAGATCGCACCACTGCACTCCAGCCTGGGCGACAGAGCGAGACTCTGGCTCAGAAAAAATAAAAAGATGCACTAAGGCACAGTGCAGCTTTTAAAGGGTTTCCTTGAGCAGCGATTCATGAACGAGGCAGCTCCAAACCAGAAGCACGTTGGGAGCTGCACTGAGGAAACACGAGGGGAAGGATTTTTAGGGTGAACGTGGGAGTAAAGCCAGGAAAACACCCCACTGGTTCATGACGCAGTTTCCTCGTTTGTTCTGTCCCTGCTGGAAAGTCCCTAGTTCTAGAGATTGGTTGGCTGCTTCTGAATGGTAGAGCTTAAGTTTTATTTTTCTTTACTATAGGCATTTGCCAAAAGTAGCCCAAGATATCCTTTGTTTTCAAATCAAGCAAGGTCAAGATGGCCTCCTTGGCTCAACTGGCTTTGTCTGTTCAAGGATTCTTTAGTCTTGGTCTCCATTTTAATTTACTTTAACACTATATTTTTAGATGTGAAAACAAGAGTTAATGTTTTTTTTTGAGACGGAGTCTCACTCTGTTGCCAGACTGGAGTGCAGTGGCACAATCTCAGCTCACTACAACCTCCGACTCCCTGGTTCAAGTGATTCTCCTGCCTCAGCCTCCTGAGTAGCTGGGATTACAGGCATGTGCCCCATGCCCAGCTAATTTTTGTATTTTTTTTTTTAGTAGAGACGGGGTTTCACCATGTTGTCCAGGAGGGTCTCGATCTCCTGACCTCGTGATCTGCCCGCCTTGGCCTCCCAAAGTGCTGGGATTACAGGCGTGAGCCACCGCGCCCAGCCAAGAGTTAATTATTTTTAATTAAGAGAGGTAATAGTGAGTATTTGAGACAATGATTCATCTTCTATTTCTGCTTTGACTGTTTAACAAAAAAGAAAACGTGAAATGCGATCTGGCTTCCTTTGGGAGCGGCACCCACTGTAGCCACTTGCCAAGCTTAAGGGTCTTCCTGGCGGTGCCCTCCACCCCCGCCCCTGCTGCTCAACAGCCTTGGCCTTGCCCGTCTCTCCCATCCGGGGCTGGGGCAGGGCATGGGGGCACCAGCCCTGGCTGTGCTGGGACGGGCCCAAGGCCGCCTGCCTGACCATGGCCCTGCTGCAGCCTTCCCTATGGACTATGCTGTCATTGTCAGCTGCATATTGAGCTCTAATTCTCCTCTAGTTTATCTTTCCTTGTTTTTCTGGTGCTTTCCTCTTTCAGCCTAATAAATGGGCTCTTTGGACTATTGTAGTAGGTGAGTGAGATTCTAGATAATAGATGAACCGTTATTAAAACCTTCCAAACTGATTTTTTTTTTTTTGTGGCTGCCATTCTAAAACCAAGTAGGAAAACAAGGTCTTAAAGGGCAGTGAATGCTCTTTTGTTTGAAAGCAAAAGATTTAGGAGCTACTGCCAGAGGTACCAGCCTCTGGCTTTGGAACTTGTGTCCTGGGTCCTGAGAACCTGAGAACACAGGTTAATAGGTGCCTCTTGAGACCCTGTCAGGGGGTTTGTTAGCTGGGGAGGCACAGGCCACCCCTTCATGTTGCCCAGGTGGTGGCCATCCCCGCCCCACGCAGGGCTGTTTGTGCTGGGTAATCAACCGCATTGCTTTCATTTCCTGGCGTGTGAGATCACTGTTGAGACTATAATCGATCACTTTCTAGATGTTCTTTTGAGGTCAGGATTGCATGAGCTGACATGTGTCTGTGTGACGTTAGGGTTGGCCAACGGTCCAGATGTGCTGGAGACAGACGGCCTCCAGGAAGTGCCTCTCTGCAGCTGCCGGATGGAAACACCGAAGAGTCGAGAGATCACCACACTGGCCAACAACCAGTGCATGGCTACAGAGAGCGTGGACCATGAAGTAAGCACGTTTGTTTTCATTTAAAGCAGCCACGAGGAGTGAGTGAGAAAGCCCAGCCCAGCAGGGGCCCCGACAGCCCCTCGAGTGAGTTGTGCTGCGTGACCAGGGCGGGAGCCTGAGTGGATTCTGCGCAGAACCAATCGAGCAGATCCCAACAGTGAAATCACGGCAGATGATGAAACACAGGTCTAGAGCTTGTTAAAAAGGAGGACTGTGTAGACAAAGTCTTTGAATGAAAATGGCCTGTTGTATTTCTTTTTTATGATCATGGTTTTGTCAAGGTTTTTCCTACCTTGCTATAAACAAAGTGAGTAGATTGAGGCAGGATAGTCACACCAAGGTGAGTCCAGAACTGCCCAGAACTGTGGTTTCCTGCAGGGCAGGCCCCGCAAGGGCCGGGCCTCGGCCACCTCCCTCCTTTCACCGGGGATCACAGACTCAGAGGGTTCAGCACGTCCCGTCTCTGCTGCCTCTGGGACAGGAGGGGGGATCAGGCAGAGCACAGACGGAATTAATGTTTTCTGAGAATTTCTCCAGTTCTTTTTAACACGATTTCTTTCAGCCCTCAGAGCCTCGTGACCATGGCTGGCCATGGTGAGGGTCTGAGCAGGAGGCTTGTTGGCACCAGGCCGAGAGGCACCACATGCAGTCACACTGCTCAGGTGTCTGGCTGCCCCGGGCTTGCATTTGCTGTGGCCGAAGTCAGCACGTGGCCATTAGTGTCGTCTGCTTCCTGAGGGGTGTGTCAGGCTGTTGCTTCCACGAGTTTCCTGGTCTTATTGGCCAGCGGATCCATCTTCAGCTCGATTATTGCGTCTTAGCTGCACATTGTGGAAGTAAGTGAGCTGTGAACAGGACAACCATCCGTGTAGCAATGCTGGGCATTATTCCAAGCCTTTTGCGTAGGGCGCTCCTCCAGGTCCACGGCAGCCTGTGCAGCATCGGCCGTCGCCCAGGTGATACAGGTGAGGCCCGTGAGAGGGGCCAGGTGGCGCCTCCAGACTCACTGGCCTGCTGTGAGGAAGGCAGGAATGGGAGCCTTGTTCCAAAGGTCAGGCCCGACCGCTGTGTCGGGGAGCATGGGCAACACCCGGGAGGAGCGGGCAGAGCCCTGGAACAGGCCAGTCAGTTTCGCCCATGGCCCTCACCCTGGTGCCTGTTGGCGTGGCCGGGGTTTCTGATTCAGCAGGTCTGGCCTGGCTGGGATTTTGCTTTTCTAAAGTGTTCCCCGTTTCTCCTGATGCTTCTGGTCCAGGGACCACACTTTGAGAACCACTGGTTCGCCTCCTCTTCTCCTTCTCCGTAGGTGTTAAACAGGATCCAGTGGAGTCAGATCCCCGTGTGACACGTGCTTCCCTGTGACTTTTCTCTCTGTATCTCCACGTTTCCGGTGCACATGCCTTTACTCAGACTCCGACACTGGCGTTGCTTTTGTCTCATCCCAGCTAGGCGACGTCTGCGTCAGCGCCTCTCATCTGTGGCACGTGTGCCCAGCGGGCTCCCTATGTGACGGCTTTTCCCACCTCTGAGTGTTCATGTCACTCGCTGCATGTTCTGCCACACTCGGCCCCTCTGCAGAGCCTCTCACTTGTTTCAAAAGAACTTTCCATAGTGACAAGTGAGGGCGCAGTTAGCCTTTGGAACCCTCGACTCGGCTCCTCTGTCACCAGCGTTCTCTCCCACCCTTCTTTCTTGGTTTTGAACTACTTACTGTTTTAAAACAAACCCCATTTTACTACTGAATAGCACAGTGTGTTTCTATTAAGATCAAAAATGGACCATTGTCTCACATAACAGCAATGCTTTTCACATGTAACAAAAATAACAATTTCCTGTTATTATTTAGTGCCTAGTCCATGGTCAAAGGTCTGTTGACAAAATGCCTTTTACTTTTTTTCTCTCTTTCTAATTGGATCCAAACTGGTTCCACTCATTAAATCAATCTGCTGCAATGTCTCTTAAGTCTTTTGTGTTTCTTTCACCCAGAACATTCTCTCTGTCCCCTGCTTCTTCCCATTTGCCACGCTGTTGGCTAAAAGAATCTGGATTCCAGATTCTGGACTTAGCTCATAACTTTCTTGTGTTGTTTAAGTCATTTGCCTTAGTTCCTATAGCCTGAAAGTTAGATTCAAAGACTTGGTTTACATTCAAGTACCTAAGATTTTTATTTTATGATTTAATTCTGGCGAGAATGCTGTGGAGGTTCGTGCGCTGGGAGCGGTGCTGAGAAGGCTCTGGGTTTCTGCGGCGGCCGCCTGTCCGCCCGAAGGCGGTATTGTCCTTGGTGACCACTGCCTGCATCCATTGTTTCATTCAAAGTTTCAAAATGGTGATTTTGCCATTCTGTCATTCCTCCTGCAAGTACAGGCTGGAATTCTTTGGTACAGAAGAACTTCCCCACATCTGCTAGGGCTGTTTCGTACCTCTGAAACAAGCTTCAGCCGGGATTGGCAGAATAAATAGCTACTTGTCTTTGCAGAGTAATGAATGGGTGCTCTAACAACCTCTAGTGGTATCCGGAGGGCTTGATTTTGCTTCTCTCTGTCCCCTCTCCACCTCCCTTTCTCCCTTAGCATTCTTAAGAACTCATGGTCTTCTCTGTATTCAATGTGTGGTAAGCTTTTTTTGTTTAAAATTAAACACAGATCCCTTGGGCTCTCACTTATTTTTTGGATAGAAAACTCAAAATAATAATAAATTAAATTAAATGAAACGTAGATCCCGAAGACCATACAAAACAAACATTGGGCTGAACAAACCAACTTCAGCTGAGCTCTGGTAAACACCGCCAAGGTGGAGAAGCGGAGCCTGACCCCCCAGCCCCACTCCCCTCACTGCCCCACTCCCCCCGCCCCCGCCGCCCCAGCCTGTCCCCGCTTGTGTTCTTCCCGGCAGCCCCGCCCAGCAGCCTCTGTCCCGACTCCCACAACGCCCACTTCCAGGGTCAGTTTCACTGTTTAGGTTTGTAGCTTCCCCTGTGGCACTGCTGCCCATCTGTCCTTCAATTTCTATATTGTTCTCGGTCCCTTCTTTTTCTTTCAATGTGTCTGTTGAACAACCCAGGCTGTTGGAAGCTTCGAGGCTCCCATAGTCTGGATTCTGTGAATCCCACACTTAGGTGGCAACTCAGCAGGTTCCTCTGTGTTTCTTGCAAAACCTGCCAAGGCCGGGTGCAGTAGCTCATGTCTGTAAAATGGGAGGTCGAGGCAGAAGGATTGCTTGAGCCCAGGAGTTCAAGACCAGCCTGGGCAACATGATGAAACCCCATCTCTTAAAAAAACTTAAACAGCCTTACAAGTTTGGCCCCTTTGTAGTACTCTTGAGTGTGGGGAGGGTTTAGCCCAAAATGAAGGGCCATGTTGTCTGGCTGTCTCACTTTCTCTGATATTGGCAGCTGCTGATGCTTAACACCTACATTTGTTGTTTATTCATTGGAGGTTTCAAAATGGTGCTGATTTTATCATTTATTATTCATTGTTCACTGGAATGGTTTTATAGAGAGACATATCTCAGGCCAGGCACAGTGGCTTATGCCTGTAATCCCAGCACTTGGGGAGGCCGAAGCAGGCAGGTCACTTGAGCTCAGGAGTTTGAGACCATCGTGGCCAACATGGGGAAACACCATCTCTACTGAAAATACAAAAAGTAGCCACTTGTGGTGGCGCCTGCCTGTAGTCCCAGCTACTTGGGAGGCTGAGGCAGGAGAATTGCTTGAGCCTGGGAGGCGACGGTTGCAGTGAGCATCAGTCGTGCTGCTGTTCTTCAGCCTGGGCGACAGAGTGAGACTCCGTCACAAAAACAAAAACAAAAACAAAAACTACCTGTTTTGTTTTAAAGGCTGTGTTGTCTGATATTAACATAGCTACTCAGCTTTCTTTTGATTAATGTTTGCACCGTACGTCATTTTCTACACTTTTGCTTTTAGTCTGTCTCTGTCTTTAAATTTAAAGTGGCTTTCTTGTAGACAGCATGTAGTTGGATTTGCTCTTTTAATAAAGAAAAATTTTGCTTTATTTTATTTTTCGAGACAGGTTCTCACTTGGACCCCCAGGCTGGAATGCAGTGGCTCTCATTGCAGCCTCCACCTTTGGGGCTCAGGTGATTCTCCCAGCTGAGCCTCCCGAGTGGCTGGGACTACAGGCATGCAACACCACGCCCAGCTAAGTTTTAATATTTTTATTTTGTAGAGATGGTATCTCACTATGTTCCCCAGGCTGGTCTCGAACTTCTGGGCTCAAGCTATCCACCTGCCTTGGCCTCCCACAATGCTGGGATTGTAAGTGTGAGCCACCGTGCCCAGCCTACTTTTATTTTTTAGAGATAATGTGCCACTCTGCTGCCCAGGCTGGAGTGCAGCGGTGCAGGCAGAGCTCGGTGCAGATTCAAACTCCTGCACTCAAGCAACCCTCCTGCCTCAGCCTCTTGAGTAGCTGGGATTGGAGCTGCCACCATGCCTGGTGGTTTTGCCCTTTTATCTAACATAGTCACGTGCTGCGTAACAGCGTTCAGCCAACGATGGACTGTAGCTGTGAAGGTTGTAATACAGGTTGATGTACCGTATCTATGAAGGTGGTCTGATAAGGTTACAATACAGGTTGAGTATCACTTACTCAAAATGCTTGGGACCAGAAGTGTTTTGGATTTCATTTTGGATTTTGGAATATTTGCATTATACTTACCAGTTGTGCATCCCAAATTCAAAAATCTGAGAGCAGGGTGAGGTGGCTCACGCCTATAATCCCAGCACTTTGGGAGGCTGAGGTGGGTGGATTGCTTGAGGTCAGGAGTTCAAAACCAGCCCGGCCAACATGGGGAAATCCAGTCTCTACCAAAAATACAAAAATTAGATGGGCGTGGTGGCGGGAGCTTGTAATCCGAGCTACTTGGGAGGCTGAGACAGGAGAATCTCTTGAACCCGGGAGGTGGAGATTGCAGCGTGCCAAGATCTCACTACTGCACTCCAGCCTGGGCGACAGAGCAAGACTCCATCTCAAATTAAAAAAAAATTAAAAATGCCTCAGTGAACATTTCTGTTGAACGTCATATTGGCCCTCAGAAAATTTTGGATTTTGGAACATTTTGCATTTCAGATTTTTGGATTTGGGGTGTTCAACCTGTTTTGTATTTTTAGTGCAAATTTTTTGTGATCAGATATGTTTAGATGTACATATACTTCCTGTTGTATTACAGCTGCCTACAGTATTCAGTACAGTCATGTTTGTACAACTTTGTAGCCGAGGAGCAACATTGGGTACCATAACCTGAGTGTGGAGTGGGCGACACCATTTAGGCTCATGCAAGTACAGCCTGTGATGTTCAGACCAGCAAAATCACCCAGTGACACATTTCCCAGAACACACCGTGTTGTTACGTGAGACATGACTGCATCACGGTCCCTTTGTTAAGTTGATATATTTAGATTATCTCCATTTAATGTAAGTATTAATATAGCTGGATTGCAGGCTAACATCGTAATAGTTTTTCCACTTATACCATCTGTTTTCCTGTTTTCTTCATTTTCTGTGTGTTTTTTTTTTTTTTTTTTTTTCTGAGACAGAGTTTCACTCTTGTTGCCCGGGTTGGAGTGCAGTGGCAGGATCTCGGCTCACTGCAATCGCTGCCTCCCAGGTTCAAGCGATTCTTTTGCCTCAGCCTCCCAAGTAGTTGGGATTACAGATGTGCGCCACCACGCCCGGCTAATTTTTTGTATTTTTTTTTTTTTTTTTTTTTTTTTTTTTTTTTTTTTTGAGACGGAGTCTTGCTCTGTCGCCCAGGCTGGAGTGCAGTGGCGGGATCTCGGCTCACTGCAAGCTCCGCCTCCCGGGTTCACGCCATTCTCCCGCCTCAGCCTCCCAAGTAGCTGGGACTACAGGCGCCCGCCACTACGCCCGGCTAATTTTTTGTATTTTTAGTAGAGACGGGGTTTCACCGTTTTTAGCCGGGATGGTCTCGATCTCCTGACCTCGTGATCCGCCCGCCTCGGCCTCCCAAAGTGCTGGGATTACAGGCGTGAGCCACCGCGCCCAGCCTAATTTTTTGTATTTTTAGTAGAGACGGGGTTTCCCCATGTTGGCCAGGCTGGTCTCGAACTCCTGAGCTCAGGTGATCTGCCCGCCTCAGCCTCTCAAAGTGCTGAGATTACAGTCGTGAGCTACCACACCCAGCCTTTTCTGCATTCTTTTGAATTTGAATTTTTTATGATTCCAATTTATTTCAATATTGGCTTTATTATTTGAACTTTTTTCTAATGTTTTGAATGGTTTCCCTGGAGTGTACAATACACATCTTTAATTTATCACAGTCTACCTCCAACAAATCATTATACCACATAACATACAGTGTAAGAATCTTACAGTAGGTCCTGTCTTGTATCTTGTTTCTGCGTTTTAATTTTATATATGCTAAAACTCTACAGTATATTGGCTATTATTTTTGCTTTAAGTATTTTTTTTTAGTTTGATTAAACATAAGAATAGTTTAACCTTCATCTTAAACATATCCAGAGATCTTTATTCCTTTGTATCCAAATTTCTGTCTTTGTGGTATTATTATATTGTATCTAAAGACTTTCCAATAACTCTTTTTTTGGTAGCACAAGGCTGCTGATAATGAATTCTCTCAGCTTTTGTTTGTTTGAAAAAGTTGTTTTGTCTTAATTTTTCAAAGATACTTACTTCCAGGGACATAGAATTCTGGGTTGGCAGTTCCCCACCCCCCAGCCCTTAAAGAGGTTACTCGAGTGTGGCTTGCATGGTTTCTAATGAGACATTGGCTGAACTTGCCTCTGTTCCTTTGCATACTATATGTCATTTTTCTCTGTCTGCCACCAATATTTGCTTTGGTTTTCAGCAGTTTGAAAATGATGTGCCTGAGTGTGGTGGGTTTTGTTGTTTTGTTTTGCTTTTTTGGTATTTATTTTGTTTAGGTTTCGCTGAGCTTCTTGGATCTTTGACTTGATCTCTATTTATGTTTAAGAAATTCTTAGCCAGCTATCACTTTTTTTCTTTCCTTTTCCTTTTCCTTTTCCATTTTTTGAGACAGGGTCTTACTTTGTCACCCAGGCTGGAGTTCAGTGGCATGAACACGACACAGTGCAGCCTCAACCTCCTGGGCTCAAGCAATTCTCCTGCCTTGGCCCCACAAATAGCTGGGACTATACACTTGCGCCACCACACCTGGCTAATTTTTGTATTTTTAGTAGAGACAGGGTTTTGTCATCTTGCCCAGGCTGGTGTGGAACTCCTGAGCTCAGGTGATCCGCCCGCCTCGGCCTCCCAAAGTGCTGGGATTACAGGTGTGAGTCACTGTGCCCGGCCCACTTTATTTCTTCAGTCTTGTGTTTTTTTCTTTCTTTCTGGGATTCCTTGTACACACGTTAGATTGTTTGACATTGTCCCACAGCTCTTCAATGCCCTCCTCTTTTTTTCTCCTTCCATTTTAGTTTTAGATAATTTATGTTGGCCTTTAAAATTATTCACCAGTTCTTCCTTGTTGAGTATACTTCTGAGCCAGTCAAAGGCATTTATCTCTGGTACTGTTTGTTTCTAGCGTTTTACGCTGACGTTCTTGAAATTCCTCGTCTGTAGTACAACATTTCAGTCATCTCTGAGTGTGCTTCTGTTGATGTTTCTCTCTCTTGACAGTGGGTTCAGATTTCTCTAGTGCAAGACTTTTCAACCTCAATATTTTTGATGTGTTGGGCCAAGTAATTCTCTGGGGGGAAGAAGGGGCTGCCCTGCTCGTTGTTTGGTGCTGAGCAGTATCCCGTTGGACACCAGATACCTCCCCTATAGCTGTGACAGCCATAATCTTTCACCTGTGCCCTAGGCCATAGGGTTCGCTTCCCTCCCAGCCAGCTACCTTGTTCAGCAAGACAGAAGGATCCATGTAGGCCTCACACCAAGGAGGCTTCTGGTCTCCACCTTCCCTGCCTCCTCTGAGCACCCAGGAGCGAACCAAAGAGAAGAGTGAGCAATGGGTCTGGTTCCCTGGGGCTGCAGCTTCCAGGCTGTGTCCTGCTGGGGGAGGCACTCACAGCTGCCTGGATTGCCTTTCCTTTCTTGAGTGAGTTTGTTTTGTTTGTTTTCCTTAGAGCTAATCATTGCCTCCCTATTCATTTTTTTGTTTTCTGTGTACTTGTTATAAACCCATTCCCAAACTGATAGAATTGCATGTTTGTATTCTCAGACACATCAAGTTGCTGGATCACATATCTTCACTTTACTCTTGTCTTGGTGGTGCATAACCTTTAGTTCTTAAGACACATTGCTCAGAAGATAACTATTTTGAGCCTTTGAATTCTGAAGTGTTCTCTCTCATGTCACGGACACTGTGGCCCTCCAGTTCTCCCCTCAGAGCTGCCTCCATCTTCCATGTCTTTTTTTTTTTTTTTTTTTTGAGATGGAGTCTTGCTCTGTCACACAGGCTGGAGTGCAGTGGCGTAATCTCTGCTCACTGCAGCCTCCTCCTCCTGAGTTCAAGTAGTTCTTGTGCCTCAGCCTCCCAAGTCACTGGGATTACAGGTGCTCGCCACCATGCCTGGCTAATGTTTTTGCATTTTAATAGAGACGGAGTTTCCCTATGTTGGCCAGGCTGGTCTCAAAGTCCTGACCTCAGGTGATCCTCCCACCTCGGGTTTACAGCCGTGAGCCATTGCGCCCTGCTATCTCCCATGTCTTTGAGCATAATCGTGCTAGTGTCTCCCACAAACACTTCTCTGTCTGCACGTCTCTGTGCTCCTCGGAGTCCTGGTCTTGGCTGGTTGGCTTCAGCTTCTTTCGTCTTAGCTCACCACAGGCGAGCACCTTGCTGGACGACATGGTCTTACCGAGGAGATGGGGGTGCTGGGGTCTTACCGAGGAGACCGGGGTGGCGGGGCGTTTTGGCTACAGCAGTGCTGTTCCCACCTTTGGACTTTGTCTGTTCATGCTTGCTCGGGCAGCGTCGGGCAGAGAGGGTGCCACTGGGAAGGAAGGGAGGGGCCCCATCGGCAGACCTGAGCAGCAGAACAGCTGGGATGAGTCACAGGGGACCCCAACTTGGAGGCTTTTGTATCTCGCTCAGGAGCGGGGCCCACAGTGGAGCCCAGATCTGGTTTAAACCAGATCCAAGGAAGAGGAAGGAAGGGAGGGCATTCCCACAGCTGAGGAAAGGCTAGCCCAGGACAGCTGCACACCCCACTGTGTCCTAATAAGCCACCATGCAGAGCCTGTGGGCCCTGCAGAGCCTGTGGGCACTGGGTATTAAATTGCGCTGAGAAAGTGCTACCTGTGTTCCGCTTGATAATGGTTCTAAGGTTATATGAAGTATGATTTGTTAGCAATGCATATGGAGTTATTTATGGCTAAAATGGCATCATTTTACCCCTAGGTACTTTGCTAAATATACCAGCACACCTCTCCAAGCACAAAAGGTTATAGGGGATGGCTTGAACGAGAAGAGAAAATACTGGTAATTTTTGAAATTAGGCATGGGCACATGGGGATACATTTTACGTTTGTCTCTATTTTTGAAAGTTTTCTTAATAGAATATTTAATAAAACAGACACTAAAAAAATAGGAAACCGTTTTGTAGCGGTGGGCTTGTGTGGAGAGTAGATAGTGAGCTCTGTGGCCACCTCTGCAGAGGGTGACCCCTCACCTGCGCCAGGTGGGGTGCCTAGCTGCATGGACCTCGTCTGAGGCTCCGCCTCGCCAGCTCTGTATTTACACCAGCTCAGCCCCTGCCACCGAAGCTGGCCCTGATTCTTTAGCCTTCCAGGGTTCTGCCGGTGCGGACCCACCTTCAGGCAAGCAGGTTTGGGTTATCTCTACTTTGTGAAGTCAGTACCTGTTTCAGCTGCTTTCTGTCCTGAAAGCACAGCACCTCCCTGTGGTGGGCTCCTTTCTTGTTCTGGTCCCTCCTTCAGGATCCGGTCAGCAGTCGGTGAATCTGTACTCTGCTGTGGTGAACCCAGGGTGCCCCTCCCACCCATGGTGACCTCAGTGGGGCCACCCCAGTGCATCTGTGTTTTTCCCACCTTGTTAAAGGATTCCTTGTTTTATCTCTTTTTTCCCAACCCTAACTGGATCCCATTGTCATTTATTTGATATATCCTTCCCAGAACATCTCCTTCCTTACATTCTCCTGCCGTTCTGCCTGGACCCCCTACCCCGCAGCTCCCTTCTGTGTTTCCTTCTTACACAGCACAGAGCCAGAATCATACAGCATTATCGTTTTTATGATTGTAAAAATAATGCATGCCGATTGTAAAATAATCCAGATACTACATACATGCATGAATAAGAAAGTAAAATCACTTCTTATTCCAAAACTGAGGGAATCATTCTTAGTACTTTTGTATGTTCTCCTAGACTTCTATGTGTATAACCACATTGAATTTTTGAAAATAACTTGTTTTTCCTTTAATGTAAACATTTTTCAAAGTCAGTAGGTACAAGTGCCCTGCAGCCGCTGGTCCTGAACCAGGGAGTCACTGCAGAAGCATTTGGTGGTGGTGGTGTGGAGGGGGCATTTTTTCAGGATGTACATGCCCTGGTTCTACGCCTTTCAGGTCTTGTTCCATAGGTTTGGGGTGGGGCCCAGACTGTCTTTTAAAAAAGTTGCCTGGGTGATTCTAATGCAGCCTCATTTGGGCATCGAGAAGTCTCTTGCTGGCTTCAGGGTAGATCATTTATGCCACCTGGGCGTGCCCTGCAGCCACTCTTCTGCAGGTAGACAGGTTGGTTGTTCCTACTTTTCTGTTATTGCAAAAGCTGGGTCCTTCTAGATACATGTTTGTGCACTTAATTATATCTTCAAGTGGAGTCTTAAGAATATGTATTTGTAATTGATTCATGTCTCCAAGTTGCTTGCTGTGAAGTTTGGACAGAACTCACAGTGATGGTGTGTCATCTCTGCAGACCCCACAGATACCAGCTTTGCAGTGTGCCAGACCGAATACGAAGAATGTCAGAGGCTTATGTTGAATTTCTTTGTGTAATTTCCTTTGGGGGGCATTTGTAGTTCTTCTTTAGTGAAATGCCACTCAATTATTTGCTTATTTTTGGGGGGGCTACTTCTTGTTTTCTTATTGGCTATCAGAGAACTTTCCGTAGCAAACCTGTAAGGCTTTGTCTGGTGTGCTGCAGAGTGCCTGGCATCCTGGGTGCCCTCATTGCTTCCACCTCCACAGGCGCCTTCAAGTCCTGGTCCTCTCAGAATCCTCCAGTGACCATGTTCCCCAGTCAGGCCCCAGACTCTGTGTCCTGCTCCTTGCCTTGTGTGCAGGTTCCTCTGGCTGCCCCAGAATCCTTGGGGCTCCCACAGATTCATTGTACCGCTGCCCACTGCTGGCCTGTGATGGCCTGGACTGTCCTGCCAGGTATACGTTCATGTTTCCTGGATACCCAGCCCAGAACCCCTCTCACCCCAGAACCTTCCTTGACTTCTGCCAGAGTTGAGCAGCCGGCCCTCTGGTAGGCGCATGTGAGTGGATGTGGGCACATGTGGCCCACTGGATCTGGTGGATGTGGTCGCGTCTGGCCCCCTGGATCTGGTGGGTGTGGGCACGCCTGGCTCCCTGGATCTGGTGAGTGTGGTCGCGTCTGACCCCCTGGATCTGGTGGGTGTGGGCACGCCTGGCCCCCTGGATCTGGTGGGTGTGGGCACGCCTGCCCCCTGGATCTGGTGGGTATGGTCGCGCCTGGCCCCCTGGATCTGGTGGATGTGGTCGCGTCTGGCCCCCTGGATCTGGTGGGTGTGGGCACGCCTGCCCCCTGGATCTGGTGGGTATGGTCGCGCCTGGCCCCCTGGATCTGGTGGATGTGGTCGCGTCTGGCCCCCTGGATCTGGTGGATGTGGTCGCGCCTGGCCCCCTGGATCTGGTGGGTGTGGGCACGCCTGCCCCCTGGATCTGGTGGGTATGGTCGCGCCTGGCCCCCTGGATCTGGTGGATGTGGTCGCGTCTGGCCCCCTGGATCTGGTGGGTGTGGGCACGCCTGGCCCCCTGGATCTGGTGGGTGTGGTCGCGCCTGGCCCACTGGACCTGCTCATGTGCCGCTGCCTCCTGCAGTTTGTGCAGATGATGGGCGTTTCCTTCTCTGGGCTCCCTGTTTGTCCCCCGTGCTGAGGCGTGTAGCAGGTGCTCGATAAGTGCTTGCAAAGCCAAGCTGGCCTTGCAGGGCTCGGCTCAGTCAGCCCACACCTGCTGAGCAGCTCTTGTGTGCCTGCACTGCCCAGCGCCTGGTGGGAGGGAATGCCGGCCTCTCGTGACTCTGACATTGACCACCAGTCTTGTCTGATTGCAGTTGGGCCGGTGCACAAACAGCGTGGTCAAGTATGAGCTGATGCGCCCCTCCAACAAGGCCCCGCTCCTCGTGCTGTGTGAAGACCACCGGGGCCGCATGGTGAAGCACCAGTGCTGTCCTGGCTGTGGCTACTTCTGCACAGCGGTAAGAGCCCAGTCCGGCAGCCTCTGAGTCCTCCGCAGGCTTTGCTGTCTGCTCACTGGTGCTGGTTCCTGTCCTGTGTCCACCTGCTGTCGGGTGGTCCAGCAGCTGGCCCAGGTCTGGTGTCCGTCTGGAGGTCTCCAGTGTTCACAAGCCCCTCACCACCCCTGTCGAGCCCCAGTGCCTTAGACACCTTCACCCCCAACCCCCATTTCCCTCCTACCGCCTGGAAACCGCTTTTGGAGATGACTAGGACGGTGTGACCTGGGCTTCCAGGCCAGAGGAGGGAAGTGAGGGTTGGGGGTGAAGGTGTCTAAGGCACTGGGGCTCGAGAGCAGTGGTGAGGGGCTTGTGACGCACTGGAGACTCCAGGTGGAGGCTGTACTGAGGACGTTCATCCCCCATGACAAGGGTGTACTGAGGACATTCACCCCCCATGATAAGGGTGTCCAGAGCACACAGCTCCTGGGAGAGGTGGCAGCACCTTGCTGTGCCCTGGGCTGTTTCTGCTGGGATCTTGGGTCATCAGTTACTTCAATGTCAAACATCTGTGCTCAGCCGTGCCCAGGGCCCCCCGAGAATGGGCTGCTTCCCTTTGGAGCTCCCCTGTGTGGGCATCCTCGTGCATGTAGGGTGTGTGTGTGTGTGTGTCTGTGCGCGCACACATCTGTGTGAGCCTCTGCCTGTAAGCGTCTGTCTGTGTGCGCCTGTGTGTGTGAGTGTTTGAGTGTGAGCTTCAGGCACCCAGAGATGCCCTGCTGCCCCTTTACGAACATGGGCCAAGAGCTTCCACTTTTGGGAGACTTTCTTTGGACTTCACACCTTGCATGTCCTCCCCATCTTCAAACATCCTTTTTTTGGTTCTGCTACATCTGTTTATCTCTGGCTTTCTGCAAGAAAATGCTGTTCTTACGGCTGTGTGCCCCTCCTCGAGGCTCACCTGGGTCGCCAAACCACATCTGCTGCGCACTGCTGGGCACTGAGGCAGCTCCACCTGCCTGATGCTGTGCCCTGAGGTGCTGTCGTCTGTCCCTGTCCCTATCCGCCCTTCAGAGTAGGGGCCTTCTGGGTCCTTCTTTAGGCCTTCTCTTTGCGGGCAGCCTCAGCTTTCCTGGGCCTAGGTGGGTTGGAGGCAGCCAAGTGACCTCTGTCTGGCTTCAGCTTCTTCTCTGTGGGGCGAGAGCACCACGGGAAGCATCGTTCCTCCTTCTTAACGATGCCTGGGGCCAAGACTGGACCCCACCCCGACCCATGGCTCACTCTGCAGACCGCCCGATGTGGGATGCGGTGCCAGTTTAGTAGTACTTTATTTTTCTAAATATTAACCCCAATTAAAACAAAAATTTTTTTTTGTCCTCCCATTTTTAGGGTAATTTTATGGAGTGTCAGCCCGAGAGCAGCATCTCTCACCGTTTCCACAAAGACTGTGCCTCTCGAGTCAATAACGCCAGCTATTGTCCCCACTGTGGGGAGGAGAGCTCCAAGGCCAAAGAGGTGACGATAGCTAAAGCAGACACCACCTCGACCGTGACACCAGTCCCCGGGCAGGAGAAGGGCTCGGCCCTGGAGGGCAGGGCCGACACCACAACGGGCAGGTACCTGGCACAGGCTCTGGCTGGGCTCTCCAGTCGTCCACCTGAAAAAGTTTCAGTTGTTAACTCAACGTTATTGCTTCCTGCTGTTTTTTCCAGAAGTCTCTGAGCTGATGCTGATGCTTATGGTGATTTCTGACATTTAAGACTCTGAAATTCATTTATTGCCATTTGTGCATACGTTGCTCTCTTTCGGTTTGGTTATGTAGATCCATTTGCCTGTTTTGAACCGGTTTTCACAGCACCCCCATTGATGTAGCTCTGTGGTGTTTCTGTTGATGGCACAGTCCTGTTGGTACACAAGCGATAGACGAGTGGTGGCTGCTGCAGTCTGTGACCGAGTTCTGTGGTATTAAGGTTTGAAGGCCTTAGCTGAAGACAAAAAAGTCTAAAATAATTAGAAGTGTTCATATTAGACAGATACAATTGTCTTCCTGAAAGAGTCCAGTAGAAACAGCTGAAAAATTTTTAGAGCTCAAAAGAGTCAGTAAGAGGATCTGATAAGAAGAGATAGAAGCCACTTGCCTTCTTCCTTAGCAGCAGTTCCCTGCCTGAGAATAAAATAACAAAAGAGACCCTTTCAAAACAGCAACAAAACTTGTTACTACCCAGCAGAACAAAGAACTTAAATGTGACACTAATATAAAGAAAATAAACTTCCTTGAAGATTATTTAAAAGAGACTCAAATTGTGGACATGTTAAGGTGATTCCTTCCTATTAACCTGTAAATTTAATGCACTTTGAATCAAAATTCCAGTGGGATTTCCTTTTGTTGGGGTGGGCAGTGGACTTGATAGATTCAGCTTGAAGCTCATTCATGAGAGTGTATTTGAACACGCTGCCCAGAAGTCTAGGAAAAGTTGCCCTAGTTTTCTCAGGAAATTTGGTTCTGAATCCTGAACCGTTAAATCCAGGGACTAAGCGGACAGTAAGCAAATCCGCAGCTCTCACTTAGAAAACAGCGCTCTCGGGCAGTCAGAGTCGGAACAGGCCATGTTTCGTGTTTTCATAAACCTTTCCCCGATTTCCTCCCCTGAAGTGCTGCCGGGCCACCACTCTCGGAGGACGACAAGCTGCAGGGTGCAGCCTCCCACGTGCCCGAGGGCTTTGATCCAACGGGACCTGCTGGGCTTGGGAGGCCAACTCCCGGCCTTTCCCAGGGACCAGGGAAGGAAACCTTGGAGAGCGCTCTCATCGCCCTCGACTCGGAAAAGTAAGACCTGACATGTGATTTCAGAGATGTCTCAGAGCCTGTTTTAATCTGCACCCCGCGTTTTTCCCCATGGTGTCACTTTAGCACTTCTCAGCTTTTTGATTAATGCTGTTCGTTAGAATAATTCGTATATTTTCACACTATTTTGGGAAATTATTGTAAATTACTGTCCTCTGCATTATAGTAAGAGCAACCTCTGACACCTTTGAAGTCCTAAGTGAGGAGGCAGGTCTTGGTGAGCTTTGACAAACATTTCCTGGTTGCTGTTGGCCCTGAGCTGCCCTTAGGTCATGAGAGCAGACACTGCTTCTGCTGCCTTGACTCCGTTTCCCTCCCAGGCCACACCCCATCTGTGCAATGCGAGGGTTGGGCCAAGGGGCCCTCCAGGCTTTCCCGACAGCTCACAAAAACCCACCCCTCCTCGTCCTCCTCTCAGCATTGCCCCACCAGGGAGGCAGACCAGACTGTGGCAGTGAGGCTTGCGGTGCCTCCTCCCTGGATCTCCCCTCTGTCTGCCTCCAGCCTCGCCTCTGAGCCTGCTCTTGAAGCGACGGTACCATCTGCTGACGCCAACAGGCCCTGCTCGCTGACCAGACCCCAGACTGTTCCTGACCCACAGGCTCTGCTCGCTGACCAGACCCCAGACTGTTCCTGACCCCACTCTCTCCCCCATCCCTTGGTGATTGTGTTAGTCTGCTTTTGTGTCAATATAAAGAAATGCCCAGGGCTGGATGATTTATATAGAAAAGAGGCTTAATTGGCTCACGGTTCTCCAGACTGTACAGGAAGCATGGTGCTGGCATCTGCTCCTTGGGAGGCCTCAGGAAGCTACAGTCATGGTGGAAGGCAAAGCAGGAGCAGTAGCAAGAGACAGAGAAGGGGGAGGCTCCCAGACTCTTAAGCGACCAGATCTTGTGGGAACTGACTGAGCGGGAACTCACTCATCACCAGGGGGAGGGATGACACTAAGCCATTCATGAGGGATCTGCCTCCAGGATCCAGTCACCTTCTACCAGGTCTCACCTCCAACACTGGAGGTCACATTTCAACGTGAGTTTTGGGAGGGACAGAGGTCCACACCATATCAGTTATCAGCTTAGTCATCGAGTTAAGGTTTCAGAGCAAAAGTGCCAGTGTTCCCAGCTCTCACCGCCCAGGACATCTTCTGTAGTGCGAGCTGTGCCCTCACTCGTGACCACGCTGTGTGGGCTCATCCTGGCTGGGGCTGGTCCCGGCTGTGCTGAGCGTAGATGAGGTTCCCCTGCATCCTGCGCTGGTTCTGTCGTCGTGTTGTGTAAAAGCCTCACAGTGCGTAGTGTTCTCCTGCGGTGACTGGGAACGCAGTTTCTTGTCCGCAGTTTTTACCATGAGATATCTCGACTGGTGGGTTTGCACTTGAGCTTGTGGGGCTGGTGGGCAGACGTCTGCCGGGCCTTCCAGCCTTCAGCTTCATGTGTGGGACGCGGAGCCCCATGAGCTTGAGGGGCTGGTGGGGAGATGTCCGCCGGGCCTTCCAGCCTTCAGCTTCATGTGTGGGATGCAGAGCCCCATGCTGACTGTTGTCTTGTGCTTCCCACAGACCCAAGAAGCTTCGCTTCCACCCAAAGCAGCTGTACTTCTCCGCCAGGCAAGGGGAGCTTCAGAAGGTGCTCCTCATGCTGGGTAAGTGCCTTCCTGCGGCCCGGGCACATGCAGCCGGCCCTGTGGCACTGAAAGAAGCCGAGAGCAGTTGTTACTCCTTCCTCAGGAGGCTGGTCTCGTTTTGGTTTTCTGTTTCTGTGTCTCCGAGTTCTCTGATGAGTGAGAATAGGTTGCCCACTGGTGTTGAGGCTTTTTATGGTGTTCATATCCAGTTACGCAAGATATTAGAACTATTCTCTACGAAGTTCTAATTTTTAAAAAGGAATTGGTATGTGATTATTAAATCAAGCAGAAATAGAGATTAAGGAAAAGCAAAACTAGTGAGTTGTGGCCCTGAGATGTGTGGTGATGACGCTGAGATGTGTGGTGATGACGCTGAGATGTATGGTGATGATGCTGAGATGTGATGACGCTGGGATGTGTGGTGATGACGCTGAGATGTGTGGTGATGACGCTGAGATGTGTGGTGATGACGGCATCACTGAGATGTGTGGTGATGACGCTGAGATGTGTGGTGATGACGCTGAGATGTGATGACGCTGGGATGTGTGGTGATGACGCTGGGATGTGTGGTGATGATGCTGGGATGTGTGGTGATGACGCTGAGATGTGTGGTGATGACGGCATCACTGAGATGTGTGGTGATGACGCTGAGACGTGTGGTGATGACGCTGAGACGTGTGATGACGCTGGGATGTGTGGTGATGACGCTGGGATGTGTGGTGATGACGCTGAGATGTGTGGTGATGACGGCATCACTGAGATGTGTGGTGATGACGCTGAGACGTGTGGTGATGACGCTGAGACGTGTGGTGATGACGCTGGGATGTGTGGTGATGACGCTGAGATGTGTGGTGATGGCATCACTGAGATGTGTGGTGATGACGCTGGGATGTGTGGTGATGACGCTGGGATGTGTGGTGATGACGCTGAGATGTGTGGTGATGACGGCATCTCACTGAGATGTGTGGTGATGACGCCGAGACGTGTGGTGATGACGCCGAGACGTGTGGTGATGACGCCGGTATGTGTGGTGATGACACTGGGATGTGTGGTGATGACGCTGGGATGTGTGGTGATGACGCTGAGATGTGTGGTGATGACGGCATCTCACTGAGATGTGTGGTGATGACGCCGAGACGTGTGGTGATGACGCCGAGACGTGTGGTGATGACGCCGGGATGTGTGGTGATGACGCTGGGATGTGTGGTGATGACGCTGAGATGTGTGGTGATGACGGCATCACTGAGATGTGTGGTGATGACGCTGAGACGTGTGGTGATGACGCTGGGATGTGTGGTGATGACGCCGGGATGTGTGGTGATGACGCCGAGACGTGTGGTGATGACGCCGAGACGTGTGGTGATGACGCCGGGATGTGTGGTGATGACGCTGGGATGTGTGGTGATGACGCTGAGATGTGTGGTGATGACGGCATCACTGAGACGTGTGGTGATGACGCTGAGACGTGTGGTGATGACGCTGGGACGTGTGGTGACGACGCTGAGACGTGTGGTGACGACGCTGGGACGTGTGGTGACGACGCTGGGACGTGTGGTGACGACGCTGGGACGTGTGGTGATGACGCTGAGATGTGTGGTGATGACGGCATCACTGAGATGTGTGGTGATGACGCTGAGACGTGTGGTGATGACGCTGAGACGTGTGGTGATGACGCTGGGATGTGTGGTGATGACGCTGGGATGTGTGGTGATGATGCTGAGATGTGTGGTGATGACGCTGGGATATGCGGTGATGATGCTGAGATGTGTGGTCATGACGCTGGAATGTGTGGTGATGACGGCAGTCGATGTTTCACCTGTGCTGATCGCAGCAGCTGTGGTGTGGACAAAGTAGGCTTCAGCTATAGGTATTTTATAACAGGCAAACCGATTGCATTAGATTTCTAATACGCAAAAGCATACTTGTTAGAGAGCCTTCCCAGTGATAATTTGGTCTCTGAGCTCATAGCTTTAGGCTTGATTTCTCTGACGTTCATCGTCTCTGGGTTGAAAAGGATGATTAAGAAGCCCTTTACTGGACAGTACGTCAAGTAAAAAGAAGTGAAACTATTTGCTTTTAAAGAAAGGTTTATTTATGTTGACCAGCAGTTTTAATCATTTTGTCATGGACTTCACAGGACACCTGTGAAGGTCACCTCACTGCTCCGTTGCTCACCGTCCTCTCAGACCTCCTGGGAATTGACCGATGCTCAGGCCTCTGTCCCCGGCCTTGCTTGCTCCCCTAGGGTGTGTCTGCCCTGGTCAGCCGCCTCACTGGGCCTGGGGCGGCCATGGCCAGGCCACACAGAAACACAGAAGGAACCTCAGAGTTAGAGCAGGGTGGTAAAGGGAAGAGCGTGCCTTGCCGAGTTAGTTCTGACAGAGGGACCTGCCTGTTCAATTCCGCAGGAGACTAGCACACTCAAGTCTCAAGTCCAGAGGATGGTGCTGTGGGCGGGTTCCGGCGTGGCTCGAGGTGGCTGTTTATGTGGAGGATGGTCATTTGTGAGTGCTTGCCAGCCATCGTGACAGTCCTGAGCTGGAGTCTGTGGCTACATCTGAAATCATTAATAAAACTGTGTTTGTTCACAGTGGACGGAATTGACCCCAACTTCAAAATGGAGCACCAGAATAAGCGCTCTCCACTGCACGCCGCGGCAGAGGCTGGACACGTGGACATCTGCCACATGCTGGTTCAGGTGCGGCGGCACGGCGCCCTCCTAGGGCTCTTCACCTGCTCTCTTTTATTTTTACCAAAGTAAAATCATACCACGTTCGCGGTTCTTCCAGTGTAAGAGTTCCGTAGTGCTGTGAATCGGGCACAGAGTCAGCTTTTCTGCCCCCGAGTCCTGCAGGTGGATCAGTGCTTCCCGCTGTTTCTTCCGGCATTTACCACGGCCTTTGAGAAGAGCATGCCGCCATTTGGCTGTTTCTTGATTTGCTTTCTTTGGTTTTGGTTTTGGTTCTTCACACTCATGACGTCCCTCTGGGGGAGCCAAGCACTCGCAGAGGCACGGACGCCCCTCCCCCAGCCCCGTTGACTGGCTCCCATTTTGTTTAGATCAGATCGTGTGAGCATTTTCAAGCTGAACCACGTCGTCTACAGGGTATGTTGTGTCTGTCGTTAATCACTGGCTTGTGTTTCTGTTGGTTGAGTTGACTCTGCCACCTGCTAATTTATTCTGAACCATCTGAACGCTGCCCGCTTGTCTCTGGGTTCAGACACACGACGCTGTTTGTCCCCCTGTGACGCCCCTTCCCTGATCCCGGTGTTGGATCCCCTGTTTCTCAAGTGCCAGGTTTGAGTCTGGTGCAGTCTGACTTCTGATCCTTTGTGTGTGACCTATTATTTCTGGAGACTTTAGGAACTTTCCTTGAACCCCACTGGTCTGAAGTTGTACCTCATTGTAATGTGGGTCTTTTTAGATCCACTGGGGCATTTGGTGCATGTGCTGTGCCCTTTCAGTGCAGAAATCCACACCTGTCAGTTCTAGGAGGATTTCCTGTGTGACTTCTGTGCCCAGGTCTTCTACCTGTCTCAGCTCTGTCCTGGGACTCTCATAACTCAGGTGTGGAACCTTCCAGACCGATTTCCTGCCGTGGTCTGTTTTCTTGTCTTTTGGTTCTGCCTTCTAGGCAGCATTCTCACCTTCAGCTTCCAGCTCCTGGGGGATTCTTAACATGTGTGGTCACATTTTCAAATCCCAGTAATTCCTTTCTGCTCTTAGATAGTTCCTCTTTCAGTAGCCTCTTTTTCTTCCCTTATTTCTCTGATGGTATTATGGTTATTTTGAAGTTTTATGCTGCTGTGTTTTAGTTTTTCTTATCTAAAGGTTTTCCTCAAATGCCCAGTGATTCTCGTTTATATTTAAAGTAAACTACTGAAAAGCTGGTGGTAGCTCTTGCTTGCCGGGGGCTTGTCAGCTGTAGGGTGATCTGCAGGCCTGGCTGTTTTGTTGGGGCCCCCAGGCCCCACTGTCTGGGAAGGACCTGTCTTCTCGGACTGCACCTGTCTCTGCCTTTCTTAGGGCCAAGAAGGAGAGAGCGACGGGGCGCACCGTCTGCTGTGCCCACACTCACCCGCTGTCCAGCTGCCTCAGTCTGTCCCCCGTTTCCGGAGTCATAACTGATGGTGTTTTGTTACTATTTGCCTGGAATGATTTTTCCCTCCTTTTATTCTGACCTTTTCCCTCGTTTTTGGATATATGTATTTTAAACGTAGAACTTGATTTTTATAAATTTAGTCTAACAGTCTTGGTATTTTAATAGGAACTTTTAGTCCTTTATTTATACCTAATGTCTTATATTGTAGTTTTAATTTCTAGCTGTCTTAGTCCATTTTCTCTAGCTATAAGAGAATACTTGAGACCGGGTCATTTATAAAGAAAAGAAATTTATTTCTCACAGTTCTGCAGGCTGGGAAGCCCAAGGTCGAGGGGCTGCCTTTGGTGACTTATGGTGAGGACCTCGTGCTGTTCCCGAACACAGCCAGGAACCACGCCAAGAGGAAGATGCTCCAGCACAGCCTTGCTGTGGACCAGGCCGCCCACAGGGAGCAGGTCCATTCCTGGGGGCTGACTCCGCCTTTCAGAGAGGCGTGGCTCCATCTTCACAGCCTCGTAGCCTCTTAAAGGCCCAGCCTCAAAACCTCATTGGGGCCCCCAGCCCCGGTAAATAAATTGCATTCAGACCATAGTGCCAGCCTTTTGAAGCCAATACTTTTTTGGTCGTTCGTGCATCTTTTGAATTGGTTTTATTTCGATTTTGCCGTTTCTCTTCTCTCTGGAAGTTACAGACTTTCCACTTTTTGGTCGTTCTTGCGTCTTTTGAATTGGTTTTATTTTGATTTTGCCATTTCTCTTCTCTCTGTTAGTTACAAACTTTCCAGTTTTTGCCCCAGTGGTTCCTGTCAGTCTCACATGCAGACTTGACTTACCAAGGTCAAGACTGAATGAGATGATGATGGGGGAGCCAAGCCCTGGCAGGGGGGTGAGGGAGGGAGCAGCTGAGTGAACTGGGGTCCAGTAAGCCAGGGGTTTGTGGGGGGCTCCTGGAGGCTGAGAGGAAAGTGTGCCGTGAGAAGCGCTGAGCCGAGGTAGGCACTGGGGGCACTGGGGGCCAGCTCCATGCAGGAGGAGCCACGGAGGCTGCTGGGTATGTCAGGGAGAAGCAGAAAAGGATTCAGAGACAGTGGGGTGGCCTCAAGACGAGTCATGTGGGCTGTGGTTCATGGTGAGACCATGAGGGAAGTGGCTGATCTGGTGGGAACAGGCTTGTGGGAGGGGGTGAGGTCAGGGAGTGGGGGGTGGTCGTCCAGACACAGGCAGAGCTGGAGTGAGGGCTGGGCTGTTCAGGGCAGGAGTGATGCCAGGACGTTCATAGGTGGGGCTCTGAGGAAGAGGAAGAGCGTGGTCTGGAAGAGGCAGGAGCTGGTGTTGTGGGGCTCGAGAGCAGATGCTGGTGGAGGGCCAGGCATTCGGCTGGGAGGCCCTCTCCTCTCCTGGGAGGCCTAGTGAAGGGTGTGGCATGATTCTGTTCTGTTGCGGATGGACCTGAATGGGGATGAGTGTGCAGAGCCACGTGGGGGAATGGACCAGACAGGAACAAGGGCTGTATGAGTGCTACCCCGATGGCCCCAGGAGCTGGGCAAGGCCATGAATGTGGGTGCGCTGAGCCCGTGAGGGTGGGGTGCGCTGAGCCCGTGAGGGTGGGCCGTGCTGAGCCCCTGAGGGTGGGGTGTGCTGAGCCCGTGAGGGTGGGCCGTGCTGAGCCCATTCTCCATGTCCACTGCTGGCTGTGGAGGCTTCTTGAAGACATTCCTCCTGTGCCTGGAATTCCAGGTTGCTGGTGGTTTTCCTCAGGTCATGTAAGGAATGATGCCACTGTCTTCTGACTTCCATTCTTCCTTTTGAGAATTTAGCTTGTCACTCCTTTGAAAGACACTGGGTTCTCTTTGGCTTTCTTTTTTAAATATTAAAATTAAAACCCAAAAACATATGGTTGCATCATGCATACAGAAAGGTCCTTAAAATGTAAACATCTGGTTAACAAATCATCCTACTCTGGCCCTGACATTCGCACCCCCGTGAGACACAGCGTTGCTGGCTCCCTGGACACCTGGTGGACGCCTGGGTGCCCTCCCCGGGAACAGCAGCCGTTTTGGTCTCACCGCCCTGCAAGTGCCTCGCATAGCAGGGTTCCGTTTGTTTGCTTTTAACCTTTATGCTAACTGAGTTGTCCAGCGTGAGTTCCTTTGTGTCTGCTTCCGTCAGTCAGGAAAACAAGGGAGTGTAGAAAAGGGACATGGCTGTGGGGCTGAGTGGCCTGGCCCTGCCAGGGCTCCCTGCTGACTGCCTGTGCTCTGTGCTTGTCTGAAACGTCGTCTTTGGGGAGGCCGAGTGAGGGGAGTACAGAGCTCTTCGTTCTGTTTTACAGCCTCTTGTGAGTTTAGTGCCGTGAAATAACATGATGTATTGGGAGGAAATCATTATGTCCCTTGGTGCTGCTGTCCATGCAGTGCCCGGGGTCTGACCAGTCTGGAACTTCGGGTTAAATTCCTAGCCTGATGTTTAATTTGATAACCCGTCCTGCAGAACTTACTGTTGCTGGTCTTAGAGGGATTTCTATTTTTTCTTCCCCTTAGAATCTAAGCGGTTTTCCTGAGATTCTCCAGGAAGAGAGAGAGATTGGCTTTATCTCTAGTTTGCCCTGAATCCAAGGGTGCTGTTTCTCAGGGTTTCAGCATCTGCAGGGGTGTCTCACATCTCACACACACTCTTTGGGCAGGCTCTGGCCACACCAGTGAGGGCCTGTGGTGTCATCTCCCCCGGGCTCTGGTCTTGGTCGTGTGGAGTCATCTCTCCCGGGCTCCGGTCTTGGTCGTGTGGAGTCATCTCTCCCGGGCTCTGGTCTTGGTTGTGTGGAGTCATCTCCCTCCAGCTCCAGTCTTGGTCGTGTGGCGTCATCTCTCCCTCCGGCTCCGGTCTTGGTCTCATGTGGTGTCATCTCCCCTGGGCTCCCATCTTGGCCGTGTGGCCTCATCTCTCCCGGGCTCCCGTCTTGGTCATGTGGAGTCATCTCCCCTGTGCACAGACAGAGAAATCCATTGTGCAAAAAGTGCTTCCCTGGCAGCCGACCTGGAGTCCACCCCAGCCTTTCGCCGGTGCTGGGGACATCAGCGTTCTGGCTCCCAGGCTGGGGAGTGGCTCCGAGGATCGGTCACGGAGCCTCCTGGGTGTCCGAGCTGCCTCAAGCGCCCCGGGGTCTTTTCTGACTTGATCTGTGTTTTTGTCCCTGCGGAGGAGTCGGGAGCTGTGCCTCCATCTGCTGCAGCTCTGGGGTGCTGCTGCCCTCTCTCACCTGCTGCCCTTCGGTGTCCTGGTCCCTCGTGTTGCAAGATTTCATGCCGTGTCTGCAGTTTCTGGAGAGCACTGAGCGAGGTGCCACACGCTGCCATCCGAACTCACCACAGACACTCATGTTTTCATCGGTCTGCTCTTCTGTCATCTCTCATTAAAAAAAAATGTTGTAAATTCCTTTACTGTTATCTCCCCCACGCCCCTACCAAGACCACGTAGGGTCCAGTCTTGATTCCCTAACCCCTTTTCCTGAAAAGGTACTACCTCCTTCCCAGGCTGCATCTGCCATTCGGTGACGGCTGGTGACGGATGGATGGGTAGTGGGCTGAGAAGAGGGGACTAGGAAGGGCTATTCCAGGCTCAGCCCTGCCTCCCACAGCCTTGCCTCTGGGTGTAGGGGAAACAGAGGCATGACTGACCAGGGCCAGGGCCGTGCCCAGCTCGGCCACGGCCACACGTGGGGTAGTTAGTAAACACCATGGACTCCCAGCAAGGCTGCTGCCTGGTGTTTCGAGGCTGCTGTGGTCGCAGACAACCGCCTCGCCTTGGCTCCCTGGCAACAAGCTGGGGGTGGAAGCGGGAGGGAGGAGGGGCCTGTCTTAAGAGCCTCACAGGCTGCACCGGGAGAGCAGCCCGCCTGGGCCAGGGGCCGCCAGGTCCCCAGGGTGCCACCGAAACATCGTAGATGCTTTTGTTGGGTGACACACCCTGGAAGAGGGCGTCTAGATCCCAGCCCTGGGGGCCCTCAGGTTTCAGGGGCCACCCCCCAGTAGGCAGAGCTGGTTGACGGTGGACATTGGGGATAGGAGGTGGGTGGGGGTGCCAAGGGCATTACCACATTGGGAGTGTAGATTGGCAAGTAGGAGGTGGGCAGCTGCCCCCAGAGGGAGGCCCTGTGTCCCCCACTGGACAGCCCCCCAGGAACTGAGGTGCCCTGCAGTAAGTGGAGAGGCCAGGCCCTAGGCTCCGGGAAGAGGGTTGAGGGCCTGATGGCTCCCGCTGGCAAAGTCTCCCCCTCCACTCTCGTGGGGCCAGGAAGGGGGCAGAGGGGCCACAGAGGCCTCTCAGAGGAGGGCAGGGGTGGGGTGGTCACTGCCTTCTCCCCACTGCACCCCGTACCTGCCTGCAGAAGCTGGGCTGCTCTGTGGCACCAGCCCTGGCCAGGATGCTCCTCCCTGGAGTCCCCTAGCAGGGACTGCATGCTGAAGCCATTGCTGGGCGGTGGCAGATGACCGAGCGGCTGGTAGGACTGGCATGCAGCACTCAGGGGGCCCAGGACGTTGGCGAAGGCTCCACCCGCACCGCC
This sequence comes from Homo sapiens, assembly GCF_000001405.40. Classification (NCBI taxonomy): domain Eukaryota; kingdom Metazoa; phylum Chordata; class Mammalia; order Primates; family Hominidae; genus Homo; species Homo sapiens. The sequence continues at coordinate 137,788,363 of NC_000009.12, forward strand.
TTCTGCCAGCGCCTCAGCCGGGGTGACGCTCACGCAGGTGTAAGGAGGTTGCAGGTTTAGGGATCTTGTAGGTGAAAGGAGGTTGCAGGCGTACGGAGGTTGCAGGTGTAGGGAGATTGCAGGTGTAGGGAAGTTGCAGGTGTAGGGGTCCTTGCAGGTGCAGGGATCTTGTAGGTGAAGGGAGGTTGCAGGTGTAGGGGGCCTTGCGGGCTTAGAGGGCCTCACAGGTGTAGGGGATTGCCGTGCTGCAGGTGTCTCTTGTCCCCTCGGGGACTGGGAGAGCGACTGTGCCTCTGGGCCTGCAGGCGGGAGTCGCTGCGGGCCCAATGCCTGGGAGGCGGACCGCGATGGGTAGCCGTTGGCGGGGAGTGCTCGCGAGCCTGGGAAGGGCGCCGTCCGTCAGAGCCTCGCGGAGGGTGAGCGGCCGGCGGCTTCGACCTTGGAGTCCCAGGCTGTGTGGGACTTGGTCAGTGTCAGCCGCTCCGCTTGCGGTGAGGGTTTGGGGAGCGCGTGGGAGGTGGGTCCTGCTCCGCGTCTGCGTGGGGTCCAGGATGCAGCTGGATGGGGGGCGCGACCTGTTTCTTGGCGCTGGCAGGTCTGTTTGGAAATGCCGCCGCGCGGGTGTCGCTCTGACTCTTCCTTTTGCTCCGCTGCTTCCCTCCACTCTTAGAGCTTTCTTGGACTTTGTCTCAGTGCCCTGTGTTCTCATGGGCGGGGTCATTTCCTTCTGCTTACCCGGGTCCTGGGCGCGGTGTGGGTCTGAGGGCAACGCCCTGGGGAGCCGCAGCCTCCCGTTTCCTGTGGGCCGCCGAGAGCTGCCCGAGCCCTCCTCCCCGGGGAAGGACACCCATCGTCCCCTATGCTCCGCCCGAAGCCGTCAGCCCCTCCTGCCCTTGCACACTCGGGTCTGTCTGCGCTTCCGCCTGCGCTGCCGGCCTGGTGCTGGCGCAGGGGCGTTCGGTGCCACCCTCTCCATTGTGGGCGCACCCTCTCTTCTTTCACCAGGATTTTTGGGGTCTGGGGGAGCAGCCTCTGTGTGCTGAGCGTGCGGGCAGAGCCACAGCTCCTCTGCACAGCACGGGCCTCGCTCTCTACCTCGTTTTGTGTTTTTTTAAGCTTACTATTCGTTAAAAATTAGCTGTCGTAGACTTCTGACGCTACTTTACCTTCAGGTTTGGCAGCCGGACCTTGGCTTTGAGCTTTGGTGTTTGAAGTCAGCCATGGGTCACTGTGCGCCTCCAGGCCTCAGCCTTCTGACCTCTGACCCTTGGTCTGTGGACCCTGCGTTCTCTTTGGGGAAGCCCAGCTCCTTCCGGTCAAAGTCTCCTGAGCCTCTCACTTGCCCCTCTGTTTTGTGGTTTTTTGTTTTGTTTTGTTTTGTTTTTGTAACAGAGTTCACTTTTGTTGCCCAGGCTGGAGTGCAGTGGTGCAATCTGGGCTCACTGCAACCTCTGCCTCCCAGGTTCAAGCAACTCTCCTGCCTCAGCCTCCTGCGTAGCTGGGATTACAGGCGCCAGGCACCACGCCTGGTTAATTTTTGTATTTTTAGTAGAGATGGGGTTTCACCATGTTGGCCAGGCTGGTCTCGAACGCCTGACCTCAGGTGATCCACCTGCCTTGGCCTCCCAAAGTGCTGGGATGACAGGCGTGAGCTGCCGTGCCCGGCCTCTCCACCCCCTTAGCCGTTATGAGTTAGCCTCATTTTCCATATAGACCATTCTAGGGCTGTTTAAACATTCCTTATTTAATTGTGTTACTTTTGGTTTTTAATTACTAATAGTAAAAACAATACTATTTTCAACGTTTTTTCATAATGTTTATGTTATAAATTAAATACTAGGTCTTTGTCATCTAAGAAGTTTTTCCTCATGGAGAAAAGGTTTCAACAGCCAAACAGCTGATTGGCTTTTAGCACACAACCAATTTTAAAGTCGAGGGCTTCTTAAGTTTCAGACCAAGAAAAATTTACCTGCCAGTTAATTGGTCTTTCAAGTTTCTCCGTTTGTTTGGAAAAATGGAAACTGTTCCGGAATGCATGCTACTGGAAATCAGGATTTTCCACTTATTTTGGCGAGTACTAAATCAGTGAGAGGATGCTGTGTGGCCTGGCAGGGTGAACCGGCACCTCCCTCCTGCCTCCTCTCTGCTGAGGGGCCCCTCCCTCCCCCTTCTTTGTCTGCTTTAGAAGGTTGTCACTGTCCTCCTCATTTCTAAAGGTGTTGTCACACTCCTGAGCTATAAACATTTACTATCAAATTACCTTAGAAGTGGAATGAAATCTAGCAGAAATATTCTGCTTAGACTAAAGGTTTGATAATAATAGAATAATTATGTCTTTGAATACGTGTTTAGAAAACTCAGACATTGTTGGTCACTGAAACAGTGCAGCTCTCTTTTTTTGAGTGTGGAAGCTTGTAAGTCACTTCTCCCCAGGCGGTGGCTACCGTCACAGCCCTCCCATACACCTGAACTGTTGTTTCACTAGGCGGGCGCTAATATTGACACCTGCTCAGAAGACCAGAGGACCCCGTTGATGGAAGCAGCCGAAAACAACCATCTGGAAGCAGTGAAGTACCTCATCAAGGCTGGGGCCCTGGTGGATCCCAAGGTATGTTCCCCTGTCAGAATCAACGTCCTAGTGTGTGTGTAGACGTTTCTCAGAAAGCTGAGCAAGGGACATCCTTACTGACATCTCCAGGACTTGGGGCCTTCACACACTGACCCAGTTGTCCAGAAATAGTTCCTTCATCTCACTTTGGTTACCTGGTTTATTATTAAAAACTACTAGTGAGTGCTCACTCTCTACAGAGCCTGACAACAGACAGGTGAGCGAATGACGGGTTTGCTGTGCAGAAGGTGTTCGCCTTACAGTACATCGTCTCACCCTGTCTTCAGCCCAGAGCAATTAGGCAAGAAAAAGAAATCAAAGGCGTTCACATTGGAAAGGAAGAAGTAAAACTGCCTCTGTTCACAGATGACATGTTTTTATATGTAGAAAATCCTAAAGAATATGCAAAAATATTGTAAGCTAACAAAACCAATTCAGCAAAACAGGATAAAAAATTAACACAAAAAAATCAGTTGCATTTCTATATACTTTGAATGAAGTATTCAAAAAAGAAATTAAGAAAACGGTTTCATTTACAGTAGCATCAAAAAGAATAAAATACTTAGGAGTGAGTTTAACCAAGAAGACAAAAGACTTGTATTTGTTAGTTGAAAACTAACAAACATTGCTGAAGGAAATTAAAGAAGACCTGAATAAATAGAAAGACATCCCATGTTCACAGATGAGAAGACTGAATGTGGTTAAAATGGCAGGTGCCACCCAACAGCCTGTAGAGTCCATGGAGTCCTTACTAAAATCCTAACAGCTTTTTTGTTTTTTTGAGACAGTCTTGCTCTGTCACCCAGATTGGAGTGCAGTGGCACAATCTCGGCCTACTGCAACCTCCACCTCCCAGGTTCAAGCAATTCTCCTGCCTCAGCCTCCCTAGTAGCTGAGATTACAGGCACGCACCACCATGCCTGGCTAATTTTTGGTATTTTTAGTAGAGATGGGGTTTCACCATGTTGGCCAAGCTGGTCTCGAACTCCTGACCTCAGGTGATCCGCCCGCCTCAGCCTCCCATGGTGCTGGGATTATGAGCATGAGCCACCATGCCCAGCGCTAACAGCTTTTTTTTTTACAGATACAGAAAACTTCTAAAGTTTATACGGAGTCTCAAGAGACCCAGAGAAGCCAAACAATTTTGTGAAAGAACAGAGTTGGAGAACTCACACTTGCTGATTTCAAAACTTACTATATACGGCCACAGTAATGAAAACAGTGTGGGACTGGCATAAAGACAGAAATAGAGACCAATGGAATAAAATAAAAAGCCCAGAAATAAACGATTGCATATATGGTCACTGATTTTTGGCAAAGGTTACAAAGACCATTCAATGGGGAAAAGACTGTCTTTTCAACAGATGGTGCTGAGACAGCTGGATATCCACATCCAGAAGCGTGAGGTTGGACCCTCATCTAACACTGTATTCAAAAATTAATGGAAAATACAGCTGGGCGTGGTGGCTCACGCCTGTAATCCCAGCACGTTGGGAGGCTGAGGCAGGTGGATCACCTGAGGTCAGGAATTCAAGACCAGTCTGTCCAACATGGTGAAACCCGGTCTCTACTAAAAATATAAAAATTAGCCGGGCGTGGTGATGGGTGCCTGTAATCCCAGCTACCTGGGAGGCTGAGGCAGGAGAATCGATTGAACCCGGGAGGCGGAAGTTGCAGTGAGCCGAGATCACGCCACTGCGCTCCAACCTGGGTGACAAGAGCGAAACTCTGTTTCAAAAAAAAGGAAAACGTATGTGGATGAAAGGCCCGTACTTAAGAGCTAAAACCAGAACACTCTTTGAAGAAGACATGGGGGGAAAGCTTTATGACACTGGATTTGACAATGATTTCTTGGATATGATACAAAAGCATGATCAAAGAAATAGACAAACTTGATTAAAATTAAAAACGTTTGGCCCTGGGAAATGATGTGCAGCCGGAAAGACAGCCACCCCCTTGCCTGTCACGCACTCACGTTCGTAGGGAACCTGGCACTAAACCGTCCGTAGATGACCCGCTTCTGGGTTGGGGTTTCATGCGCGGCAAAGCAGCTCCCTCAGTACGATCTGTTGAAAGTCAGCCCCCGATCCAAGGGTTTGTAGAGATAATAAAAGGTTTTAAAATGGGGAAAAATAAGTAAACTTTTGTACATCAAAGATCATGACCAATAGCGTGAAAAGACCACCTACAGAATGAGGAAATGTATTTACAAATTATCTGATAAGAGGTTTTTATGCAGAATATATAAAGAGGTTGTACATCTCAACAACAACAGAAAATTAAACCACCCAATTCAGAAATGGGCAAAGAAGGGGCTTGAGTAGCCATCTCTCTAAGGAAGGCCCACAAGGGCCATTTCCCACATGAAAAGGTGTCCAGCATCACCAGCCACCAGGGAAGCCAAATCAGAGCCACAGGTGAGACGCACCTCAGAGGATGTGGCAATATCGGAACTCTCACGCGTTGCTAGTGGGGATGTAAACGCTGCAGCCATTGTGGAAACCAGTCTGGTGGTTCCTCAGATCGCTAAGCATAGGATTACGCTGTGATCTGTAGCAACTCCACTCCTAAGTGTATGCCACAGGCATGCAAACCAGGAACACAAAGAGATCTTCATACAACAGTGTTTACTGCAGCATTGTTCACAGTAGCTGAAGGACAGAAACAACCCAGATGTCTCAGCAGATGCCTGCGTCAGCACATTCAGTCCATCCATACGATGGGATGTTACTCAGCCATAAAAAGTAATGAAATTTTGACCTATGAACAGCATGGATGGACCTCGAGGACATTCTGCTGAGGGAAAGAAGCCAGGCACAAGGACAAATCCTGTACGATGTGACCGATAGAAGCCATCGAGAGTAGGGAGATTCATAGAGACAGAAAGTAGACTGGAGATTCCCTGGGGCTGGGGGATGGTATTTTGCCTCATGATTGTAGAGCTTTGTTTTGGGTAATGAAAAAGTTTTGGAAATAGTGGTGATTGTGAATGTGTTTAATGCCACAAAACTGTATAAAATGTTTTAAATGGCAAGTTTGGTTATATATTACCATAACAACATTTAAATTCTTAGTCTTTCATATTAATACACATTTTTCCAACAACAAAGTGATCACACTCCTCATAGTAATTCAACTCCTGCCTCATGTCACATTAAACTTTCACTGTTTTCTCATTAAATATTATTCTTTGAAACACCTAAATGGCTGTATCAATTTATGATATAATTTTACCATTTTTAGTCAAATTTGAATATTTAATATTTATCTTATTTTCAATTTTTATTATAAACAATGTTTCAGTAAACATTTTTATAGTTAAATATTTGCACATTAGGCTTCTTTAGGACAGATTTCTGGCTGTAGAATTGCTAGATCAAAGTAGGCAAACATTTGGCCAGGTTCAGTGGCTTGCTTCTGTAATGCTAGTGCTTTGGGAGGCTGAGGCAGAAGGATGGCCTGAGGTGAGGAGTTTGAGATCAGCCTGGACAGCATAGTGAGACCCCATCTCTATAAGAAATGAAAAATTAGCTGGGCGTGGTGGCACGTGCCTGTAGTCATAGCCCCTTGGGAGGCTGAGGCAGGAGCATCACCTGAGCACAGGAGTTTGAGGCTACAGTGAGCTGGATTAGCACCACTGCACTTTAGCCCGGGCGACAGAGTGAGACCCCATCTCTAAGAAAAAAAAAAAAAAAAAGCTAGAGAAAAACAGCACATTACATCTAGACAGACAACGTTATGAAATATTACTGACTTCTCATTTGAAACCAGGGAGGCAGTTTTTATTGTGCTGAAAGAAGCAAAGCCAAAAAAATGTGAACCCAGAATCCTACATCCAGTAAACGTACCCTTCAGCGAATGATGGTGAAATCAAACATGTTCGGGTAAAAAAGCAAAAGGCAGATAAGCTTGCTTGGAATCCTGAAGCTTCCAGGAGGAAAACTTAGCGCGTTGGGAATGAATGAGGGGCACCAGATGGCGGATATGAAGACATTTTTCTATTTAAATTTCCTAAAATGTGAGAGGTCATTTAAACTCAAATAATGTCATAAGGTGGAGTTTAGACACGTTTGGAAGCACAGTAAGTCTTCACTTAACACTGTTGACAGGTCCTTAGAGCATGCGACTTCTTCAAGCATTGAAGCCAGTTTACCACAGACTGATTGATCTAAACAAGAGTGAAGTTCTTCTGCCATATTCCTGGTCACAAAAACATCGGTAAGCTTCCAAATCAAGGCCAAAGTATTTCTGATATTAAACACTGAAATACATGTGAGCTGTACAGACATTTAAGAAAGATTAATACAAACAAGATAAATATTTACCCAGTTATTCCAGGTCAGGGTTGTGAGCGAACAGAGCCTATCCTGGCAACTCAGGTCACCTGGCAGGAAGCAGTCCTGGGCCAGGACACCATCCTATCGCAGGGTGCACACACACACACACACACACACACACTCTCACACTCACATACACACACAGACACACACACATAAACACATTCACTCAGACCAGGACAACGTAGACACACCCATTCACCTAACATGCGAGTCTTTGGGATGTGAGTGAAATTGAGGTACCTGGAGAAAACGCACACAGACACGGGAGGACGTGCAGACTCCACAGACAGTGGCCCCGGCTGGGAGTGGTTTTTGTTTGTTTGTTTGTTTGTTTTTAACCTCATCAATGTTATAACAAAACAACGCTGAATGAAACGATCCTATTGACGACCTGCTGTGAAATACAGGATAATAACTACCCAAAGGAGGGCAGTGTGAAAGTGGAATCACACTGTTGTAAAGGTATTTTATTGTGGGAGGTGGTACAGTATTAATCTAAGAAGACCAGTAAAGACGAATATTGTAATCCCTGGAGAAAGCACCAAGAAAATAAAACAAATAGAGCTTTTCAGGAAAAAAAAACTAGTAGAGGAAGTAAAATGTAATACTGAAAAACTGTGCAACTAGAATGCAGGAATAAAAGCAGATGGGACAAATAGAAAACAAACAGCAGAGCGACAGATGCCAACCTCACCCTGTCAGTAGTTATGCTGCAGACTCGCTCTCATCCTAAAAGGCAGAGGTTTGTCTGATGGCATCGAAAGCGAGAAACCAGCCATGTCTTCCTGCAGCACTCCTGCTTCCAACACGAAGACGCCAGCCAGGCTGGAGAAGCGCGCTTGCACGTGGCAAGCAGGTGAATCCGAGGAGAGGCAAATTACGAAGCCTGGAAGACCACAGAGGCCGCCTTTGTGATTCCAGCACGGGGAAGCGTCTTTTAAGACACAAAAAAGCACAAAAATGATTGACAAAGTTAAGTGCATTAAAATTTAAGAATTTCTCTTCAAAAAGGTGTCACAAAGGACACGAACAGGCAGTCTAAAAACTGGGGGAAGATTTTGCAATGCATCGGCCAAAGATTAATATCCAAAAATATAAAGAACTACAAATGAGGCCAAGTGCAGTGGCTCACGCCTGTAATCCCAGCACTTTGGGAGGCTGAGGCGGGTGGATCATGAGGTCAGGAGATCGAGGCCATCCTGGCTAACACAGTGAAACCCCGTCTCTACTAAAAATACAAAAAATTAGCTGGGCGTGGTGGTGGGCGCCTGTAGTCCCAGCTACTCGGGAGGCTGAGGTAGGAGAATGACGTGAACCTGGGAGGCGGCATTGGCAGTGAGCTGAGATCGCACCGCTGCACTCCAGCCTGGGCGACAGAGCCAGACTCCATCTCAAAAAAAAAAAAAAAAAGAAATGAAACCACACAGAAAAATAGGCAAAGAACATAAACGTGCAGTTCCCAGAAAAAGAAATACATGCATATGACCAACAAGCAGATGAAAACACAGGACTGAGGGACCATCTTACAGTCACTGAATTCCATACAACGTAACAGGTGGAAAAGACTGACGGGGCGGGACATAGAGCAGCAGGCAGGGTCCTTACTGGTGGGGCGCGGGGACTGCAGGCTGCCTGGCAAGCAGGGCCTCACACCAGTAGGGTCTGTGATGTGTCTGCAGGTGATATACACTGTGATCTTGAGAATTTAAAAGGGTGTAAAAACATCATTTATGGATATATGTAGTAAAGGTATTGAGATCCGTGGGAATGATGAGTAACGAATTCAGGATAGTGATAACTTCTCGGAAGGAGGCAGGAAAAGAAACCAGACAGGCGCTGTGTGGGGTGTCCCTTGGGTGGGGGTGGGCTCCAGTGTCTTGAGCTTCTGTTTGTGTGCCTGCAGACCTCACAGCTAGCTGCTGTCACTGAACCCGACAGAAGCCTTTCCTTACCTGCAGCCCCGCTCTTTGCCACCTTCACGTCTATTCCCACGGGGTTCCTTTGGCTGACTCTCAATCCCCTCACCCCACCACTCTGCCGCTCCCAGCCCTGCCCTCCTCCTGCCTGGTGTCTTGCTCTTGTGACAGCTGGCTTCCTTCACTAAGCTTCCTTTGCTGGCGTCTGTCTCTCACCTGCTTGATTCAGAAGTGCTTGCCCAAGGTCTCTGCCAGGTGCACCTGCTTCTGTCCTGAATTCTGTGACAGTCTGCCAGCAGTTAGGAGATTGTCAGCTGCACTATTCCAGCGATTAAAGACACTTGAAAATTAAGGCAGACCTTTAACAACCATGCATCATTTTGTATTCATAATAAAATTACAATTCTGAACACTAGCCGTGTGGGAACCGGGTGTGCTGGCTTTCCTTGAGGAAGGTGAGCATGCTGATTTAGCCCCAGGTAGGGGAGCAGTATGTGCAGTGATGCCTGCGAAACTCTATGACTGCTACACGGACTCCACCGAGATAAGGGGAGAAAGGTAATGAAGGAACATGGTTAAGTGGAGACAGGAACAGGGGAGCAAAGCAAAGCAAACACCTGAAGGGAGACGGTGGTGGAGTGCGTCTGCGGGCCTGTGTGAGGAGCACAGGCAGGAAGAACCCTGTGTAAGGCGTGTGGATGGCACAGCGGTGTGGGCGGCACCGGCTCCCCTGCCTCTTCTGGAGCTTCCTGGGTCTGACCTCCAACCTTGCATGTCTTTGTTTTCCTTTGAGATGGTTTGATAGGTGTGATCTATTTGGTCTCCTCAGGGAAACAGAGCTGAAAGGAAATGAGAGGGTGTTCCCAATCTGGGCATGGTGGCTCATGCCTGTAATCCCAGCACTGTAATCCCAGTTACGATGCCTACGACTCCCAGACCAAAGTGGGAGGATTGCTTGGGGTCAGGAGTTCAAAAACAGCCTAGGCAGTGTAGCAAGACCCTGTCTCTAGGAAAGAAAAAAGTACATTAGCCAGTCATGGTGGTGCACACCTGTAGTCCCAGCTACGTGGGAGGCTGAGGCAGGAGGATCACTTGAGCATGGGAATCAGAGGCTGTGGTGAGCTGTGATCGCACCACTGCACTCCAGCCTGGGCGATACAGCAAGACCCCATCTCAAAAAGGAGAGAAAGAAAAAAAAAACAAGATGTGCCCAGCAGCAAAGGAAGCAAGAGGAGGGCAGAGTCCCTGGCGTTTCCGGAGCCGTGGGGTGGGCCTGGCGCTCTTTGTGTTCCCACTTTTTGCCATCTATTATTTTAAGTTCTGTGGTACACGGACAACTATTGCTGAATCATTGACGGTGTCTTCACTGTGCCAGGCGACTGACCACTCATGGGGCCACAGGGGGCTGCACACAGCGCTTGGACCTCGGCTGTTCCCTCGGCCTCAGCCTGGGTTTCCTTGTCATTTGAGCAGGACAGTACCCCACCCGCATGGTAGACACCGGGTTCTCCTGGATCCCGCACTCAGGGCTGGCACACCAGGATCACAGGTATGGATTCTTTGACTAAGTGGCATTTCTGTTGCAGGACGCAGAGGGCTCTACGTGTTTGCACCTGGCTGCCAAGAAAGGCCACTACGAAGTGGTCCAGTACCTGCTTTCAAATGGACAGATGGACGTCAACTGTCAGGTACAGCCACCCCCTCCCCTTAGCAGTACACTGTGTGGACTGGCTACGGAAACTCACTGTTCTGCAGCTCCTGGTCCCACCCCCATTCTCCATGGCGTCCCCTCCCACGCACAGAGCCAGCTCGGGCCCTCCAGCGTCCTCTTCCACACTTAGGGCCAGCTCGGACCCTCCACAGCGTCCCATCCCACACACAGAGCCAGCTCGGGCCCTCCAGCGTCCTCTTCCACACTCAGGGCCAGCTCGGACCCTCCACGGCATCGCCTTCCACACACAGGGTTAGCTCAAGCCCTTGGGCCCTGGAGTGCCTTGTCCCCTCCCTGTCCCCTTCTTCCCTGGCCTGCTGTGAATGCTCACAGCAGGGCAGGCTCTGCACTGTGTCTGGCTGGAGGCTCCTCCCTTGCTCTCCATCAGCTGTGTCTAGGTATTACCATTTGAGGGAGGTGTCACTAGCCTCCCTCCTTGGCACCCGTCTTCCTTCCTGCTCATTGTCCGTCTCTGCCCCACAGCCAGCGCCACGGGGCAGGGTTTGCCATGCATGTGTGCTGAACCGCGGCGCCTCACACACAGGGGCCACCTGCCTCACGAGTGAATGACTGGGGAGATCAAAGAAGGGCAGGCTTTGAGGCTGCTCAGCTCAGCATGCACTGGGAGTCCCTCCTGCATGGATTGAGGCTGCTCACCATGCACTGGGGGTCCCTCCTGCATGGACCCACAGCTCTGGGATAAGTGCCATCCTCACGCTCGCTCTCACTCCTTCCTTCAGGAGGCTTGGTCCGAGTCTTTTTAGCCCAGTGGTTGCCCACCCAGTTGTTGACGCCCAGCTTCTGTGCCCTCTTGGCTGTGGCAGCGTCCCCATGGGCTGGAAGCAGCAGCGTCTGTGATATGCTCAAAGGCCCATACTCTCGCCTTTGCCCTGAGCGCCCAGAGGTCGGAGCCCCGCCTGGTCCCTGCATCTGAAGCATCCTCTGACCTCTTCTCTCTGACGTTGTACCCTCCTCCATTGAGCAGGGGGGCTGGGCTCCAGGAGGCTGCGCTCTGCTGTCCCTGCTGTGTTCCCAGTGCCTGTGGTGGTGCTGACTGTCGACCGCAGGGGAGATGTAGCTTTAATCATGAAGGCTGCTGTGTCTGTGACAGTAGGATGTGCAGGCTGACTGTCCACCGCAGGGGAGATGTAGCTTTAATCGTGGAGGCTGCTGTGTCTGTGACATTGGGATGTGCAGGTCCTTTGACGGGTGCTGGGGAAGAGGCTGAGTCTTCTGCCTTCAGAGTAGGAATTGGCCATATGACCCTCATTTTCAGAAAAGTTGCCTTTTTCTGGCTTAAAGAAAATTGCCCGGGCCCACTGACTGGACTCAGGAGTGGCAGGAGCCGCAGAGCTGATCAGCCTGGGTGGGCATTCTGCTCCCTGCCCAGGAGGAAGCAGGGGCGTCCGCCTCTGTCCACCTGTCCGTCTCCCACCCACAGTTCCCAGCTGCTGCTCTGATGGGGTCCCTGGCTCTCCTGCACGGAGCCACCATTGGAGGCTGAAGGAGGAGCAGAACCTGCTACAGCCCAGACTTCCTGCCAGCCAAGGCTGCTGGTGCGCTCCGGGTCTGGCCTGGGCTTACGAAGTTTCAGCTCCCGTGTGTGTGCCATTAGACTCGTTGCACGCAGCTGTGTTGGTGCGTCCCCAGTGAGTGGTGCCCAACTGGGAGCGGGCAAGGCCGACAGCACAGGGCATGTCGGGCAGGGTTGTTGGGCCTGGGCCAGTCCTGGTTCTGCCTTCATCCTGCGCTTGTGGAGCTACCTGGGCTGTGCTCTGAGGAAGAACTGTGGCCTCTGAAGGTTGCATTCAGGTCCTGAGTGAGACGCCTGCACGAGGGGCATGGTACCTGGGAGGTGCAGAGACCTCGGCGTGGGAGTCCTCATTGCTCTGGTGGTTGCCGGTCTCTGGAGCGATGACAGCTTTGTCCTCTTCCCTGGCAGGATGACGGAGGCTGGACACCCATGATCTGGGCCACAGAGTACAAGCACGTGGACCTCGTGAAGCTGCTGCTGTCCAAGGGCTCTGACATCAACATCCGAGACAACGTAAGTTCGTCACACCCTCCCCGGGAGCCGTGTCCTGGAGGGGTGGGGACCTCCTCCCCCAGAAGGTTCTTTTCTCAAAAGCAGAACCCTGGCACCTGGTGGCGGCTTTGACCTCTTCCTGTGGCAGCATCGGCCCGGCACTGTGCTGTGGCTGTCCTGTGCTGGATGCAGATGGGGGATGTGAGGTCCCAGCAGAGGCCACCCTCTAGGGATCTGCGGGTTCAGAGGGCGCTGCACTGCCCTGGTCTCCCTCCTGCTGCCTCACGGGGCTGTGCCTGGGCCTGAGGCTACTGACCCTGGTGCGGGTGCCACAGCACCTCTGGCTCTCCCTTTGTTTTTGTTTTTGTTTCTTTTATGGATGGAGTCTCGCTCTGTCGCCCAGGCTAGAGTGCAGTGGCGTAATCTTGGCTCACTGCAACCTCTGCCTCCTGGGTTCAAGTGATTCTCATGCCTCCGCCTCCCCAGTAGCTGGGATTACAGGTGTGTGCCACCGTGTCTGGCTAATTTTTGTATTTTTTATTTGTTTGTTTCTGAGACAGAGTCTCGCTCTGTCACCCAGGCTGGAGTGCAGTGGTGTGATCTCAGCTCACTGCAACCTCCACCTCCCGGGTTTAAGTGATTCTCCTGCCTCAGCCTCTGGAGTAGTTGGGATTATAGGCGCCCACGACCACACCTGGCTAATTTTTGTATTTTTAGTAGAGACGGGGTTTTACCGTGTTGGCCAGACTGGTCTTGAACCCCGACCTCAGGTGATCTGCCCGCCTCAGCCTTCCATAGAGCTGGGATTACAGGTGTGAGCCACTGCGCCCGGCCAATTTTTGTAGTTTTAGTAGAGACAGGGTTTAGCCATGTTGGCCAGGCTGGTCTTGAACTCCTGACCTCAGGTGATCTGCCCACCTCATCCTCCCAAAGGATTACAGGCATGAGCCACCACGCCTGGCCCCTGGCTCTCTCTTTGAAACAAAGGAAAGAAAAGTGAACATTATCATACCACGGTTTTCTAGGATGTGATTTAAGATGCTTCAGTGACAATTAGTTTTGTAAGGCCCATTTGTTTGCTCAGAAAATAGAGTTTGGAGCTGAGATAGGAGGACTCCCCAGCCTGAGAGTGGCAGCAGGTGACTGATTAACTCAAAAGGGTGTTCACTAGAAGATCTTCAGGGACCCACAAAACCAGTGGGCCTGCCAGGGGGCTGGGTGTGGCACTGGGCACGACAGCAAGGGGCGAGGGGGTACTCTGGTCACCTCCCAAGACGGGCATAGACACACTGCAGCCCACAGAGCTGTGTCCACCGTCACAGAGGGTTCAGAAGCCAGAAATGGGAGGTGCTGCAGCCCTCAGAGGTGTGTCCACCTTCACAGAGGGTTCCAGAGGCCAGAAATGGGAGGTGCTGTAGCCCACAGAGCTGTGTCTGCCTTCACAGAGGGTTCCAGAGGCCAGAAATGGGAAGTCCAGCCACAAATAAACCCACTAAATTGATAATAAGAAAGAAGATTTGACACAGAAAAAGAAGATTTCTAAAAGCACACTATTAAATCTCCAATGTGCTGAAGTCTGGTGTCTGAGGAGGGAGGGCTGACACTTCCTCTCAGAGCTTGAGAACGGCGTGGGCACGGGCCCTTGCCATTCATTGTTGGCACGGGGAGGTCTGCATTTGGAACCCCTCGCTGCATGTAAGCAGACCCCACCTCCCACCTAGAAACAGGGACCACTGGCTGTGGGCACCCGCTGCCTCCCTGCAGGCACGCAGGCCTCTCTGGAGTGACTGGTCCTGAGCTGCAGTGCCTCCTCCGTGGGCTGCAGGGCTTCCATGACTGTATCCAGGGGGTTTCTACCTCATTCCACCGGAGTTCTTTCCCACTGCGGGTTAGGATGACGGCACCATGAAGAGAGGAGCCCTGAGCCGGCAGAAGGAAGAGAAGAGGGAAGCAGAGGAGCCCTGAGCTGGTGGAAGGCTGTGGCGGGTACCTTGGAGGAAGAGAGGAGGGAAGCAAAGGCAGAGAACAAGGCAGAGGCCACCCCCAGGTGGGGCCACCTCACCCACCGCCCCCGGAGACTGCGTGGCGGGGAAGGCGGCCCTAGTGTGGCTGGTCGGCCTGCATGCCTGGGCAGTTTGCAGCCTGTCCAGGTGTCAGAGCTGTTAGCTCTCTGATGCTGGTGGCTGTTCCCCCAGAATGGAAGCATTGATTAAATTTCAAGTTTGTTATTTATACAATGAAACACTTCATTAATTTAACCACTTTATTGCTGTATAATAGGTAGGCTGCATATATTCAAAGTACACACTTGGGTGAATTTTCACCCAGAAGCCATTGTTGCTGTCGGAAGAGTGAGCCCAGTCCTCCCTCATGCCCTGATGATCTTCAGGTGATCCTCCGCGCTTCACAGCCATGCCCAGCCCACCCCTGCCACCCATTGCTGGGCTTTCTGTTGTCTGCGTGTCTCGGTTTTATAGAAAAGGGCTCTCACCATGGGCAGCTTTCCCTCGCGTCCTTAAGCCGAGATCCCCATTTTCGTTGCCTGAAGTGCCCATTGTGTGAATGTGTCTGTTTACCCTTCACCTATCAGTGGACATTAGGTTGTTTCTGATTTTTGGTGGTTACTAAGAGAGATGCTGTGAATACTCATGCCTTCATTTTTCTTGATTAAACCCCTGGGAGTAGAATGGTTAGAACATATGACAGGTGTCTAGGCTTAACATTTTCAGAGACTGCCAGTAGCCAGGCATGGTGACACACACCTGTGGTCCCAGGTACTCGGGAGGCTAAGGTGGGAAGATCGCTTGAGCCCAGGAGGTCAAGGCTGCAGTAAGCTGAGATCGCACCACTGCACCCCAGCCTGTCTCAAAAATTAAAAAAAAAAAAAAAAACCTGCCAAACTGCTTTCCAAGTGATTGTACCATCTCTAGTGTATGAGAGTGCATTCATCCGTTCTCACACTGCTATCAGGGTTCTACCTAAGACTGTAATTTATAAACAAAAGAGGTTTAATTGACTCACCCTTCAGCGTGGCTGGGGGGTCCTCGGGAAACTTAACAATCATGGCAGAAGGTGAAGGAGAAGCAAAGCACGTCTTACATGGTGGCAGGAGAGATTGAGGAGCATTGTACCACACTTTAAAACCAGCTCTTGTGAGAACTCACTCACATGAGAACAGCATGGGAGACCCACCCCCATAATCCAATCAGGTCCCTCCCTTGACACATGGGGATTACAATTCAAGACAAGATTTGGGTGGGGACACAGAGCCAACCCATATCAGACAGTCCTGGTTCCTCCGCATCCTTCCCAACACTTAGCATGGTCAGTCTTTAACTTTTATCCATTTTAATAGGTGTGTAGTGATATCTTGTGGTTTTAGTTTTCAGTTCATTTCATTTCTCTAATGACAGTTGATGTTAAGCATCTTTTTATGGGCTCATTTACGATCCATATATCTTTTTTAATGAAGTGTCTGTTCAAATATTTTTCTTGCTTATTATTGGGTATTCTGGAGTTTTAAGAGTTCATGTTCTGGATATAAGTCCTTTATCAGATATATGGTTTACAGATCTGTCTTTGGAAGTGCAGAATTTTAAAAGTTTTTATAAAGTTTGGTTTATCAACGTTTTTCTTTATTTTTAACTGGATCCTGTTTTTGGCGTTCTGTTTAAGAAATCACTGCCTAATCTGAGAACCCAAAGATATTCTCCCACATTTTCTTATACGAGTTTTATGGTTTGGGGGTTTACATTTAGGTCTGTGTTTTATTATAGTTGACTTTTGTATGTGGTGTGAGGTATGGATTGAACTTTTTTTTTTTGGCTTATGGATGCCTAGTTCAGTGCCATTTGTTGAGAAAACCATTCTTTCTACATAGAATTGACTCTGTACCATTGCCAAAAGCCAGTTGTCTGCATTTGTGAGTCAGTTACCCATGTGTTATTCCACATGTGTCAGTCATTTGCATGTCTGTCAGTCATCCATGTATGAGTCCGTCCATGTGTGTCAGTCATCTGCATGTGTGTCCACATGTGTCAGTTGTCCATGTGTGAGTCAGTCATCTGCATGTCTGTCAGTCGTCCACATGTGTCAGTCCACATGTCTGTCAGTCGTCCACATGTGAGAGTCTGCATGTGTGAGTCAGTCATCTGCATGTGTGTGTCTCTCATCCGCATGTGTGAGTCCATCATCTGCATGTGTCATTCGTCCACGTGTGAGTCGTCCACGTGTGAGTCATCTGCATGTCTGTCAGTCGTCCATGTGTCAGTCCACATGTGTGTCAGTTGTCTACATGTAAGGGTCAGTCATCTGCATGTATGAGTCAGTCATCTGCATGTCTGTGAGTCTGTCGTCCACATGTATGAGTTGGTCATCCATGTCAGTTGTCTGCGTATGTATCAGTCATCCGCATGTGTGAGCCAGTCGTCCACATGTCAGAGTCAGTTGTCCACATGTGTGTAAAGTCAGTCGTCCAGATGTGTGTGTCAGCTCCAGGGCCCTCTCTTTTGATGCATTGATCTGCATATCTGCCTTTAGGCAAGTACTGTCCTTTCTTGACTGATGTAGCTTTACAGTAGGTCTTGCAAAATCATTTTTCTCCTCCCAAACTTGATACTGCTATTCTCCTATATTTTACACATATATATGTTCTGAACACCATAATAGCCATGTAGTTATTCTGTTTAAACAGTCAGTGGTCTTTTTTTTTTTTTTTAAGATGGAGTCTTGCTCCGTCGCCCAGGCTGGAATGCAGTGGCATGATCTTGGCTCACTGTAACCTCCGCCTCCCGGGTTCGAGCTATTCTCATGCCTCAGCCTCCTGAGTAGCTGGGATTACAGGCACGAGCCACCACGCCTGGCTAATTTTTGTATTTTTAGTAGAGACGGGGTTTCACCATCTTGGTCAGGCTGGTCTCAAACTCCTGACCTCGTGATCCACTCACCTTGGCCTCCCATAGTGCTGGGATTACAGGTGTGAGCGACTGTGCCCGGCCTGGTTTTTTCTTTTTTTTTTTGGAGACAGTCTCACCCTGTCACCCAGGCTGGAGTGCAGTGGTGCGATAGCTCACTGCAACCTCCACCTCCCTGGTTCAAGCGATTCTCCTGCCTCAGCCTCCCAAGTAGCTGGGATTACAGGCACATGGCACCACGCCTGGCTAATTTTTGTATTTTTATTAGGGATGGGGGTTTCACCATGTTGGCTAGGCTGGTTTCAAACTCCCAACCTCAGGTGATCTGCCCGCTTTGGCCTCCCACAGTGCTGGGATTGCAGAAATGAGCCACCACGCCCAGCCGAGTGGTCTGTTTGAAAGACTGCAGAAGAGCTCTGCAGTTGCTCCTGCCATCCCCATCCCTGTCCCTGCCACGCTTCTCCACCTTGGTGGGCTCATGCTCCTGATGTTGCTTCCCTTCCGCTGGCCTCACTCCCTTTACCTTTTCTGTGGTGTTGGTCTGCTTGTGATGAGCTCTTGCAGCTTTTTTTTTTTGAAATGGAGTTTTGCTCTTTCACCCAGGCTGGAGTGCAGTGGTGCTATCTTGGCTCACTGCAACCGCCTTCTTCCAGGTTTCAGGCGATTCTCCTGCCTCAGCCTCCTGAGTACCTGGGATTATAGGCGCTGGCCACCACGCCCGGGAAATTTTTGTGTTTTTAGTAGAGATGGGTTTCACCATGTTGGCCAGGCTGGTCTCAAACTCCTGACCTCATGATCCGCCCGCCTCGGACTCCCAAAGTGCTGGGATTACAGGCGTAAGCCCCTGTGCCCAGCCCTCTTACAGCTCTTTAATGCCTGGAAAGTCCTTATTTTGCTTTCATCTTTGAAAGATATTCTTAGAATTCTGGATGCGTAGTTATTTCTTCCAATGCTTTAAATGGCGGTTTCCCTGGGTCCTCACCTGCAGTGTTTGCAGTGAGAAATCCAGTGCCACCACACAGTTATTTCTCTGTGTATAATGTGTCTTTTTTATATGGCTGCTTTTAAAATGTTTTTTCTGTATCTCTTGGTTTTAGCAATTGGATTTTCCTCTAAGCCTTAGTTTGTCTGTAAAGCAATTTGATTACTGAAGTGCTTTGGTGTTATTTTGTGTGTGTGCACGTAGGGTTCATTGAGCTTCTTGGATCTGTGGATTTAGGGTTTTTGACAAATTTGGAAATTTTTCAGTCATTATTTCTTCAAATAATGTTTTCTGCCCACCACGCTTTCCAGTATTCCAGCTGTGTATGTAGGAGTTCTCAGAGTGGTTCCACAGCTCACTGGTGCTCTTTTCAATTTTTAAATTATTATTTTTTCCCTCTGTGTTTCAGTTGAGCAGGTTTTTGTTGGTTTGTCTTCTAGTCCACTCATCTTTTCTTCTGCACGTGATGCTGTTGAGCTCATCCGGTCTGTGTGCTTACATTCTAGGCATTGTCGTTTTCAGCTCTAAAAGTTCTGTTGGAGTCTTTCAAACATTTCCTAACATGTTTCTACTTAACTTTCGAACCTATAGAATACAGTTATACCAATGGCTTTATTTACTTATTTATTTATTTATTTATTTATTTATTTATTTATTTGTTTATTTTAAGGCAGAGTTTCACTCTTTTGCCCAGGCTGGAGTGCAGTGGTGCAATCTTGGCCCATTGTAACCTCCGCCTCCCAGGTTCAAGCCATTCTCCTGCCTCAGCCTCCCGAGTAACTGGAATTACAGGCGCGCACGACCACGCCTGGCTAAGTTTTGTATTTTTAGTAGAGGCGGGGTTTCACCACGTTGCCCAGGCTGGTCTCGAACTCCTGACCTCAAGTGATTCCCCCGCCAAGGTCTCCCAAAGTGCTGGGATTACAAGTGTGAGCCACCTCACCCAGCCCACCAATGGCTTTAATGACCTTGTTTGCTAATCCAGCATCTGTGTCAAAGCCGGGCTTTTTGATTGACTGGGTTTTTCTCCCCATTGTGGGTCATGTTTCCTGTTCCTTTGCACATCTGGTAACCTGTAGCCGATGCCAGGATGTGGGTGGGTTTTGCAAAACTTGTATGGTGCTAAGGACTCTTCTTCGTGTGAATGTTCTTGAACTTTGTTCTGGAACTCAGTCACTTGAAAGCAGTCAGATCATGTTGGATTTTGCTTTTCAGGTTTGTTAGGTGGGTCTGGAGCCACCGAGGCAGGTCCGTCCATTGTCCTCCAGCCCACAGCCTGTAGATGGAGAGTGTGGCCTGCCTGGTTGTGGGGAAAGGCCCCGGCTTTGAGTGCACATTCTCAACAGGCTTGTGGCCGCTAGTGTCCTGCCGGATGACCCACTTCCTGCCGGAAGTGCACAGATCTCTGGAACCTCTCTTGGAGCTCTGTTTTCTGTCTGAGCATCCGGGGGCCCTGCCTGCCTACCCCCTGCGCCATGGTTGGAGCTCTGGTGGCAGTGAGCTGGGCAGCCACGGGCTCCCTCACAGACTCGCCTCTCAGGGGCACGGTCCTTCCCTGCCTGGTGTCTGGTGTCTTGACAACCATGGTCATAGGTTTTGACTGTTTTGTTTTACTCTTCTGGTTCTTTTAGGTGGGAAGGTAAACCTGTTCTGGTCTGTATCACCCCATTGTTTCAGGAGTGCGGTTGCTCACCAGTTGTAGGCCAGGCTTGTCGTAACTCAGCCAACTTCAGAAAGGCTGGGCGTTTGAACAGTCCCAGAGTGGAAGGATCTTATGTGAACTGGAAGCTCTCAAAAATGTAATTCTGGGCGGGGGGTGGGGGGGGCGCGTGGTGGCAGATCACTTGAGGTCAGGAGTTTGAGACCAGCCTGGGCAACATGGTGAAACCCCGACTCTACTAAAAATACAAAATGATGAGCTGGGCCTGGTAGCATGAGCCTGTTATCCCAGCTACTGGGGAGGCTAAGGCACGAGAATCGCTTGAACCCCAGAGGCAGAGGTTGCAGTGAACCAAGATCGTGCCAACTGCATTCCAGCCTGGGTGACGGAGTGAGACTCCGCCTCTAAAAAAAAATAAAAAATGTAATTCTGGTTATAAAATCATAAATCATTCTGATAAAGGAAAAAGAAAAGAGGCCCCTAAGCAAGCAGCCTTTTGTTCAAGGAGCTCTGAAATGTATGGAGGAGGGAAGCCAGAAACAAAGAGCAGAGGGGTGGAGGAGCCCAAGAGCAGCAGAGGCTCTTCAGGAAATCCACTGAGGCCTACACACGGAGTTCGCTTTTAGTTTTCTCTTTTAGAAGTCAAGGGAACAGTGAAGCCCATGCCGGGGGCTGGCCGTTTGTGGATGAAGATGCTGGAGACCAGGCCACTCGGTTTCTGTTCTGCTTTTTTCTTCGCCTTCACTGAGCTGGAAGGGTTGACGGTGCTGCACGGTGTGGAGTTGGGAGGGGGACTGCGTGAGAGCACAAGGGTGTCTCAGAAGAGCCCGCGTCCTTCTCTCTTGGGGGTGACCCTGCCTACCTGCAGAGCCAGTCCCTGGGATGTGGCGGCGGCCCTGCGCCCTCGGAGGGAGGCGGGGCAGAGCTCAAATGGAAGCAGAGCCTGCGGGGTGGAGACCGCACCCCTGCAGGGGTCTGCCTTGGGCCCCGAGCCTCCTCAGCCGCCGCAGCAAAGCGGTCAGTCAGGCGGGGCTTGGTTTATGGCATCTGGGAAGATCGCTGACCATTCCCGAGGGGAAGGAGGCTGCAGCCGGCGCTCCCAGACACCAGCAGAGCAGAACACACTTCAGGAACGTGAAACGCTCACGTGCTTTTAATCCAGCAATCCTGCCTCTGAGGATGCATCCTTGAGAAATAATGTAGAAAATGAAAAGCACTAAAATATTTGCTGGCATTGTATTCCAGAAATATACCAACAGACATAAACCAAGTGTTCAGTAAAGGAAAGGTCCGGAAGCTGAGTGACTGTGGGGGAAGGGTCCGGAGGCGGTTCCGATGCCGCCCTGTGTGGACCGTCGGTGATGGGTCCGGAGGCGGTTCCGATGCCGCCCTGTGTGGACCGTCGGTGATGGGTCCGGAGGTGGTTCCGATGCCGCCCTGTGTGGACCGTCGGTGATGGGTCCGGAGGCGGTTCCGATGCTGCCCCTCGTGGACTGTGGGTGATGGGTCCGGAGGCGGTTCCGATGCCGCCCCGTGTGGACCGTCGGTGATGGGTCCGGAGGCGGTTCGGATGCCGCCCTGTGTGGACCGTCGGTGATGGGTCCGGAGGCGGTTCCGATGCTGCCCCTCGTGGACTGTGGGTGATGGGTCCGGAGGCGGTTCCGATGCCGCCCCGTGTGGACCGTCGGTGATGGGTCCGGAGGCGGTTCCGATGCCGCCCCGCGTGGACCGTCGGTGATGGGTCCGGAGGCGGTTCCGATGCCGCCCTGCGTGAAAGGCGCTCCTCGCACGGCGCCAACTGGAGGAGGCCTCAGTACCTGGGAGCCTCTGGTGATGACGAAGGGTCAGGGACAGGTGGGCATCAGGCTTAGGAAACAGCGTGGGCGTGTTCCTCATTCCGTTTATCGCTGTTTTATCCCTGGGGCGATAGAGTTAGGGATACTTCATTGTTCTGATTTATATTCTTGGCTGCCTGGCAGAGTTGAACATTTTCTTATGTTTACCGTTCATCTTTTTCTTACCTACGTTTTTTATTTTCTTCTCCTTTGCACATATTTTTTCAGAATTACAGTGTTCTAATTTACTGTGTGATTATAAATCATCTATATTTTACATGTGGCACAAGTATTTCTCCAAATTTTATTTGTTTTATTTAAAAGAGGCCTTTTTTAAAGTAAAATTTTTTGTTTTTTTTTTTGAGACAGAGTTTCGCTCTTGTTGCCTAGGCTGGAGTGCAGTGGCACGTTCTCGGCTCACTGTAACCCTCTGCCTCCCGGGTTCAAGCAATTCTCCTGCCTCAGCCTCGCAAGTAGCTGGGATTACAGGTGCCCACCACCACGCCCGGCTCATTTTTTGTATTTTTAGTAGAAACGGGGTTTCACCATGTTGGCCAGGCTGGTCTCGAACTCCTGACCTCAGGTGATCTACCTGCCTTTGCCTCCCAAAATGCTGGGATTACAGGCGTGAGCCACCATGCCCGGCCCAAAATTTTAATTTAATCAAATTTGCACGTCCTTTTTTCAAATCTTTCAAAAGCATTATCCTATCCTATGACTATACCCCTGCTTGGAAATGAATATAATTTTTAAAAATACATGAAAGAAAAGTGCCTCCAAGTGTTAATATGTTGAGTGTAGGTTGATATAATTCTGGATGACCTTTTCCCTATTTTTATTCTTTACTGTGATTATGCTACTTTTATAATTATGTTATTTTTACAATGAAACAAACAAAACATGAAACGAAGTGCCTTCCAGAGTTGAGATGGGCGCTAGGTTCCCATCCGGTGACCTGTGGCACCCTTTCCACCTGGCCCTGCTGCGGACGGCCACGCATGCTCCAGAGCCTCTCCCCGGGCACATGGGCTGCAGCTGCTGTGGCCCAGCCCCAGCACTGTGAGCCAGCAGGAAGCCTGCACTGAGCTCTGGCTTGTGTCTGTTCAGGAGGAGAACATTTGCCTGCACTGGGCGGCGTTCTCCGGCTGCGTGGACATAGCCGAGATCCTGCTGGCTGCCAAGTGCGACCTCCACGCCGTGAACATCCACGGAGACTCGCCACTGCACATTGCCGCCCGGGAGAACCGCTACGACTGTGTCGTGTGAGTGCAGTGCTTCCCCCAGCGCGGGCTGGCGCTGACCTGACCTGGGCGCCCAGAGAGACCGCTTGACAGTCTTGTGTTCACACTTGGGGCGTGAGTGGACACAGGCCCTCTGTTCCTTCGTGTGGAAGTCCATCCTTGGTGTTCCACACGCAGAGAAGTGTCTTTCCCAGTCCACGTTTGAGATCAGCTGTGGTTTATTTCTGGGTTAGGGAGGATTGTCATGAAAAAATTCCCAAGTTGGAGTCTCAGACCTGATACTCCTCACATGGCTGAGGGGCAGCATGGGAACAGCCCTGCTCCCAGCAGGGACCTGCCAGCTCAGAGTCCCCGAGAGGCTCAGGGTGCCTTCTGGGAGCAGTGCCACCCACAGCCAGGGCTGGAGTTGCTGGGGGCTGTGGCACTCGCCACTCAGGGCCCTTTTAAAACTTGAGACCTTCAGCTGGGTGGTGGTGGCTCACGCCTGTAATCCCAGCACTTTGGGAGGCTGAGGCAGGCAGATCACCTGAGGTCAGGAGTTTGAGACTAGCCTGGCCAACATGGTGAAACCCCATCTCTACTAAAATACAAAAATTAGCCGGCCATGGTGGCATGTGCCTGTAACCCCAGCTACTCCAGAGGCTGAGGCAGGCGAATCGCTTGAACCCAGGAGGCAAGAGATTGCAGTGAGTGGAGATTGCGACGCTACACTCCAACCTGGGCGACAGAGTGAGATTCTGTCTCAAAAAAAACCCAAAAAACAAAAAAAGCTTGAGACCTTGATCCCATAAAGTCATCCACACTCAGGTTGTTGTTGGTGGCCTGGGATGGAGTGTGTGTTTGGCTGCTGGGGAAGGACAGGGAACTGTGGGTGCTCCAGGCACCAGCCTCCAGTGACTCCCTGGCCCCTACACATGGGGCTGTGCCCTCCCACATGTGGATCTCACGGTGGCTCAGCCAGGTTGGTCATCTGGTTGTGTGAAGCCCAGCTCCACGTACGATGACTGCAGTCTGGATGCAGTGAGCAGGAGTGGAACTGAGGACTGCTCACGCTGTGCGTGGCCCAAGCTTGGCCTCTCTCCCTCCTTGCTTCCCTTCTTATCCTTGAGGGTAAATTTGAATGAAAAATCCAAGAAAAATCAAATGCCGCCCTGGATTTTACACTCTTCCTGCTAAGAAAACAGCCTGCTGACTTTGACAGTGAATGTGGGAGAGGAGGAAGGGAATCATGTTCCTGGGTGAGCTAAAGCCCGTCTTTGCAGAGTCATTGCTGAGCAGACTTGTTCAAGTTATCTCACAGTGAATAGTGTTCCCTTTATTGTTAGTGATGACGGACATTTTATAAATCTCATCTGTATCACATTTTCAAGTCAGCTTTAAATGTTTTGTGGCCTTACATTTTCCCTTTTAGCCTCTTTCTTTCTCGGGATTCAGATGTCACCTTAAAGAACAAGGAAGGAGAGACGCCCCTGCAGTGTGCGAGCCTCAACTCTCAGGTGTGGAGCGCTCTGCAGATGAGCAAGGCTCTGCAGGACTCGGCCCCCGACAGGCCCAGCCCCGTGGAGAGGATAGTGAGCAGGTGAGCCCAGCCCCAGGACGGCTTTGTGGCAAATCAGCGGTCAGCAGGGCTTTGGGAACTTGCGGTGAAAGCTGCTCCTGAAGCCGAAACATCCCCAGGCTGCAGTCCAAATTGTCAGGGCCAGGTGTTTGCCAGCCGCCCCACTGCACGCTGTGCCACCCCCTGGGCAGAGCACGTCAGCCACCAGGTGACACCTGTCCTTTCCATGGCAGGGACATCGCTCGAGGCTACGAGCGCATCCCCATCCCCTGTGTCAACGCCGTGGACAGCGAGCCATGCCCCAGCAACTACAAGTACGTCTCTCAGAACTGCGTGACGTCCCCCATGAACATCGACAGAAATATCACTCATCTGCAGGTGAGTGACGGCAGATGAAGGGCTGACTCAGGCCAGGACATGGGACAGGCAGAAGCTTCTTGAGCCTGGGGTCCTGGGTTCTCACCACTCAGAGCAGGAGGGCTTATGGGGGGCTTCCCAGGAAGACCTCATTCTCTTTGTAGTTGCCTCCCGTGAAAGAGCTGGAAGGCAGATAAAGGTTCTGTCAGGCCCAGCCCTGGGCCCTCTCATTGCTCTTCCAAGGCTTCTTACCGACCCAAAGCAGTGGCAGGCATCTTTGTGCCTTTTTTGTAACCTCACACTCAGGGGCCCCGGTGTGGCTTCGTGCTGGGGGCACAGGCGAGAGGAGCCCTTGCGAGGCCTGCAGGACGACCTGGATCCCTGCACCTCCCAGCCCCCGGAGAGATGGGTCCAGCACATGCCAGCTTTCCCAGCCTCCGAGTGCATGCAGCCTGGTGCCCTCACTGCTTGCGCCTTCTCGAGCACTTTCCTTGTGGCTCTGCTTGTGGGCAGCTCCCTCCTCTTCCCAGGCCGGGCACTGCCCAGGCCCCCCCCCCCCCCCGCCCCCCGCCCCACAAGGTGTGTCAGGCTCTGTGTTCTTGCCTTTCCCATCGAGCATCTGGCCACAAATGCAGCCGCCGCCCAGCCCTTCACCCACCCCACGTCACCCACTGCCGCGTCGCTGCCCTGCCTGCCCCCTGTCCCTCTGTCAGGGTCCTCAGCCAGAGCTCCCTCCCACAGGCACTCGACATGTTTCTGCCTGCACAGCCTTCTCCCTAAGAGGCCACACACTCACGTGGTGCCTTTGAGAAGCACTTACCAGAATCAGGGTTAACAGAACTGGAAGACGTAGTTGTGACTGGGAGGGGAAATGGAAGGCCTGTGCCTGCACGTCTGACCCCCCGGCGCCTCTCTTCTCAGTACTGCGTGTGCATCGACGACTGCTCCTCCAGCAACTGCATGTGCGGCCAGCTCAGCATGCGCTGCTGGTACGACAAGGTGAGGGCGGCCTCGTGTGCGTGGGCTCAGGTGGTAAGTGCCGCTGGTCCGGGTCTGCAAAAACAGTGCAGGCGTCTGTGACCCCAGCGCTGTCGTGGCAGCGTCGGGAAGGAGTTGGAGGTGAGCTGGGTGTGACAGGCAGGGGAGGCACAGCGGGCACCAGCACCCGAGTCAGGGTCGTGAGCCGAGGACATGGCTGCGGATTCCCTGGGGCTGGGGTCTGCATCCTTTGTGGCTGCCTGGATGGTGGCGGGGGTGGGCAGCGTCAGCCTGGCTTGGCCCCAGGAGGAGGTGCTGCTTATGTTGTGTGTATCTGGTAAGCTGTGCCTTGTGCTTGCTGAGTGTGAGGGGTGTGAAGAGGGAGGGTGCTGCCGGGCTGGGTACAGGGAGCATCAGTGTGGGCGCTGGGCTTGAGGAGACACAGGATTGGAAGTTTCTGTTGGGTGCTGGTCCTCGGAGGAGCCCAGGTTGGAGGCTGCTGAGGAGGAGACGGGAGTGGGGAGTAGCCCTGGCTAGCAGGGGTGCAATTCAGGGGAGGGATGTCTAAGCAGAGGCGGAGAGTTCCTGGTCTCCCGAGTTCAGAGGTCACGGTGGGGGCGGAAGCCAGCATGGCCTGGGTAAAGAGACGCGAGCAGGGAGAGGCAACAGGCGTCCCCTCTGGAAGCAGACTTTGGAGGAGAGTGGACATGGAGGGTCAAGTGTTTACCCATCTGAATTAGAGGCTCCAATGGGAAAAGGATTCGTGCCAGTGAGGGCTATGGAGATGGTACGCTCAGAAAGCCACCAAGCTCATGTCCGAGTGGTGTCTTTTCAGGTGGACAGTGTTGCTGAGGGGGCGC
Source organism: Homo sapiens (assembly GCF_000001405.40). Lineage (NCBI taxonomy): Eukaryota > Metazoa > Chordata > Mammalia > Primates > Hominidae > Homo > Homo sapiens. Next base: position 137,815,348 of record NC_000009.12, read on the forward strand.
AGGAAGGAATGTTCTGAGGAGCGCCCTAATTGTTCAGAGCAGCCCCTGAAGCCGTCAAGCCAGAGTGTGCCTGGGCAGCCCTGGGCCCCGCGCCTCAGCTCACACAGCCCTGGGGGAGCATCTGCACCCAGTGCTGCTGTACCTGGCCTGGCTTCAGGGGGGTAGAAAGGGGAGCAGAGGGCTGGGTCCCTCCACAGTTGAGGATTTGCAAGGCAAGGAGGCCAGGAGTGCAGGAGGGTGCAGGAGGCCCCAACCAGCTGAAGAAAGCAGAGCAACCCAGGAGCTGGCAGCCTCGGTGAGGCTGGAGAAGCCCAGGCTGGGGGCTGGGAAGGCCCTGGGTGGACAGAAGCTGGCCCCAGGCTGGGCCTAGGGGAGCGCTCCAGGGGGTCTCCACAACCTGTGTGGGCATCTGGGTGGAGGCTTCTCATCCAAACCGTACACATGGAGTTTTTCCCTAGGTGGGTGTTCAAGTTTGGCCAGAAACCATCGTTTTTATGTCCGTTTAAGCCACACTGGGCACTTAGTAGAAATGGGTTGATGTCAGTTCAATTAAAGAGTGAGTAACCTCTGCTGGGCCCTTGCTGCTCATCTGTCCACAGGATGGCCGGCTCCTGCCAGAGTTCAACATGGCGGAGCCTCCCTTGATCTTCGAATGCAACCACGCGTGCTCCTGCTGGAGGAACTGCCGAAATCGCGTCGTACAGAATGGTCTCAGGTGAGAGGCAGCTTCCTGCCGGAGCCCCACATTCTGCTCGTATTAGCACGTATTAGCACGGAGGTCACCCCGACAGACAAGAACTTAACGTGTTTGGATGCACGCACATGTGTGTTTGCAGATAGAGCCGACAAGTTACCTGAGCCCTTTATCCTCTAGAAATGTCACTTGTGCCATAAATCACGAGTCATGCTTCCCCCAGCACAGACTTCGGCATGAGAGAAGGAGCAGGTTGTTGGGTCAGTCCAGCTAAAAGCAGAGGAACGGACTTGGCCTAAGAATTACCTTTGTTACCGAGTTCATGCGAACATTCTTCAACAGGTTAGGGCTGTCGTAGTTCTATTTTAATACTCCAGTCATTTTCTAAATATTCTCTGTTCTCTGGGCTTCCCTAACAGTGAGGTGATGTCCCAACGCTTCTCAGGCTGCGTGGACTCCTTGTTCCTGGGTTGCTCAGGACGCTCATGGAGTAAGGCTTGCCCAGCGCCCTTCCCCAGCTGGGCTTGGTCCCCTGACCGCCCAGCAGCTGCGTCTCCTTTCCCTGGATTCTGGTCTTGAGCATTTCCTCCGCAAATGTGCCCGAGATTGGAGAAGTCAAAGCTCCTCTGAGTCATAAGGGAAAGTTATGCACACTTAAATTTAGCTGAACACTCATTTTTATAGTATTGACTTTTTTGTGACCTCGATAAACTTGGTTCATGGTGAAAGGCAGTCTCTGTCCTTGGTATGGTAGAAAGGCCTGGTGGTGAGGACCCACGCCAGACAGACGCGAGGCAGACACGGGACACATGCCAGATGGGCAGACGCGAGGCACGTGGTTCTGAGGGCTCCTCAGAGGCCCACATGCCAGGACCGCCCAGCCGCCCTCCTCCAGATCTACCCGGCCACCCTCCCCCAGGCCTGCCCAACCACCTTCCCCCAGCCCTGAGAAACCCTCGACCGCCACCTCCCCTGCCACCCTCCCCCAGCCCTGAGGGGCCTGTGGGCTCCTTGTCGGGAGCAGGCTGGGCTGCAGGTGTCACCACAGCCTGGTCCAGCTATAGGCTTCTCTAGTATTAGCACCTCTGCCCCTCACAGTGCCTAGTGGCCCAGGCCCAGCTCTGTCCCCATGTTACAGATGGGGACACCGAGCCACGGCCAGGACCAGTGACTTGCCGAGGTTGTGGGCTGGGGTGCTCCTGGCTGATCCCCGGGTTCTTGGCTCCCTGAGAGTGCGAGATGCCGTGTCTGTGAGGTGCCTGCAGCATCGAACGCTTCGGATACAGAACCAGTTTTCTTCCTCATTTCAGTGACGTGGCACCAGCTGGCTTTTGCTGACCATTGTGGCAACAGGCTGAGGCTGTGGCCTGGGTTCACCACTACTCTCTATTTTTCAGGGCAAGGCTGCAGCTCTACCGGACGCGGGACATGGGCTGGGGCGTGCGGTCCCTGCAGGACATCCCACCAGGCACCTTTGTCTGCGAGTGAGTGAGTCCCTGGGTCACCCCAAGCCTGGTGTCATTTCTGGGACGGAGGCCCATCTGTGTCTGTACTTCAGGAAGCCCCTCTGGGAGCAGGCACATCCCTGGCGTACAGCAGCGTGGGGTGGGGGCCACAGAGACCCTGGCCCCGAGAACCAAGCTCGTGCTGTCCTCAGTCCTCTTGCTGCTGCCCGTAACCAGCCCAGGAGTGCATTTAAGAAGGCGTGGTCCAGTTAGGAAGGCGTGGTCCAGTTAGGAAGGCGTGGTCCAGCATGGGCAGTCATCTCTAGGGGAGGACCATTCTGGGTTCTCAGGTACCAGACCGCAGACGCAGAGCTTTCGGTATCGTTATCATCATCCTCCGGACCCTCAGCTGAAACCCCAGTTCAACCCTGGGCACACCTCTCTAAACATGTTCCCTGCATGTTCTTCTGGTGTGCCCTGCTCTTTCCCTGTGGCTGCGGAGTCTGGGCTGTGCTTGTCTGTGGGCAGTGCTCGCTGCCTTCCAGGGCCTCACCTGCACCGCACCCTCTGCAGGTATGTTGGGGAGCTGATTTCAGACTCAGAAGCCGACGTTCGAGAGGAAGATTCTTACCTCTTTGATCTCGACAATAAGGTAATGTGTTTTGTGGGGTTGGGGCCACGCAGAACTTGTGAACTGTAAAACCTGAATGTGTTTGTCCCAGTAGGGCTGGGATTCAGAAGAGAGCTCTTACTGTTGACAAGAGTGGGCTTGCTATAGACCTGCTGAGTGCCGCATTTGGAGCTGGCCTTGGTTCTGTGCCCTGCATGGATGGAGGGAGGGACCTCTGACTTGGGAGGTCCCTGAGCCTGTGCAGCCAACTGCCCCTTTCTTGTGAGAGTGGGCCTGAGACCCACCACTCCAGTCCTCCAAACCACAACTGAGAATCTTGGGTTGGGGCTTGGCAACCCCTGAGACTGCACAGAGGTGAAGGACGGGCGCCGTGTACCAAGACTGTAGAGAGGCTGAGGGGGGGCGCCATGTACCGAGACTGTAGAGAGGCCGACTGAGGGGCGCCGTGTACCGAGACCGTAGAGAGGCCGATTGAGGGGCGCCATGTACCGAGACCGTAGAGAGGCCGACTGAGGGGCGCCGTGTACCGAGACCGTAGAGAGGCCGACTGAGGGGCGCCGTGTACCGAGACCGTAGAGAGGCCGACTGAGGGGCGCCGTGTACCGAGACCGTAGAGAGGCCGATTGAGGGGCGCCGTGTACCGAGACTGTAGAGAGGCCGACTTAGGGGCGCCGTGTACCGAGACCGTAGAGAGGCCGACTGAGGGGCGCCATGTACCGAGACCGTAGAGAGGCCGACTGAGGGGCGCCGTGTACCGAGACCGTAGAGAGGCCGACTGAGGGGCGCCGTGTACCGAGACCGTAGAGAGGCCGACTGAGGGGCGCCGTGTACCGAGACCGTAGAGAGGCCGACTTAGGGGCGCCGTGTACCGAGACCGTAGAGAGGCCGATTGAGGGGCGCCGTGTACCGAGACCGTAGAGAGGCCGACTGAGGGGCGCCGTGTACCGAGACCGTAGAGAGGCCGATTGAGGGGCGCCGTGTACCGAGACCGTAGAGAGGCCGATTGAGGGGCGCCGTGTACCGAGACCGTAGAGAGGCCGATTGAGGGGCGCCGTGTACCGAGACCGTAGAGAGGCCGATTGAGGGGCGCCGTGTACCGAGACCGTAGAGAGGCCGACTGAGGGGCGCCGTGTACCGAGACCGTAGAGAGGCCGACTGAGGGGCGCCGTGTACCGAGACCGTAGAGAGGCCGACTGAGGGGCGCCGTGTACCGAGACCGTAGAGAGGCCGACTGAGGGGCGCCGTGTACCGAGACCGTAGAGAGGCCGACTGAGGGGCGCCGTGTACCGAGACCGTAGAGAGGCCGACTGAGGGGCGCCATGTACCGAGACCGTAGAGAGGCCGACTGAGGGGCGCCGTGTACCGAGACCGTAGAGAGGCCGACTTAGGGGCGCCGTGTACCGAGACCGTAGAGAGGCCGACTGAGGGGCGCCGTGTACCGAGACCGTAGAGAGGCCGACTGAGGGGCGCCGTGTACCGAGACTGTAGAGAGGCCGATTGAGGGGCGCCGTGTACCGAGACTGTAGAGAGGCTGAGGGGGGGGGCGCCGTGTGCCGAGACTGTAAAGAGGCTGAGGAGCGGCTGTGTGTTCTCGGTGACTGAGTGAAGCAGCAGTGAGCCTCCTGGATTGTGCACAGAGGCCAACAGACACGTCCCTTGTGTCCCCAGCCCACCCAATCCCCACTGCCCAGGCGCTAGAATCTTGTGTGGGAGAGAGCAGGGGCCACTCCGGGAGCCTGGTTTTGGGAGCTTTCTGAGGCTAGGGCAGTGGTGATTGACCCATCCCAGCCCTCATGTTCCCTTTACTGTAGCCTCGTTCCCATCATTGCTCTGGAATTCATCCATTGTCTATTTTAAAACCTCTTGAAACTTGCAGTAACTCCAAGCCAGTGGGGAAATAAAGGTTTTTCTCATCTCAAGCAGCAGCCACCAGACCACGGAATAAATCTTATACCTGGAGAATAGGGCACCAGGCAGCCGTCTTCATAGCAGTGGCCTCTGTGGACTGCCAACCTCAACCCCAGGCTCCGTCCCTGCAGCCACCTTCTAAGAAGTGACTGTTGGTGAAATGACTTGTGTTTCATAGAAGAGAAGCTGGGCTCTGGAAGGTCACAGTGTACAGGCATCTCCCTGTGCAGTGGGGCTGAGCTCTCAAGGGATGGCAACCTCCATGTGTGCATGCCGTGTGCAGAGTTGTGAGGCTCCTCTGCTGCGAACTGCCCATTCCAGCCTTGCTGTGGAACGACTCGCCTTCTGTGGGCTGGTGACACATATCCTCACAAAGGCTGTGTTGTCACTCGTGTGTGCCACAGATGTCGCCTTCTCTCTATGACTTTTTCATTTCCTAATGATGTCTAGGAGTGAACAGAAGTTCTTTTTTTTATTCTAGTTCAGTTTATCAGTCTTTTTCTAAATACTGGGTTTTCGTAATGTCTTAGTGATATTTTTTTGAAAACTTGAATATTTCCCAGAAACGGTCATGTTTGCTTTCACGTGGCTTCCATGTGTAGGTTGACAGCCGTTCTGTGTGTGATGTAAGATCAGACTCAAGGTTTATTTTTTTCCCATCTTGTTACCTGGCTGACTCAGCACTGCTTGTGGAGAAGATGTCTTTTCCCCAGTCAGCAGTGTGGCTCTTGTCATAGCTCAGTGTCCTCGTCCTATCAATCAGTCTGCTGACTGTTCTTGGCCTGGGCTGTGTTACCTTAATTATTTTAATTACTGTAGTTTACATCTTCTCACCTTAGAGGTTTGTTTTGTTTTGTTTTGTTTTGTTTTGAGACGGAGTCTCGCTCTGTCACCCAGGCTGGAGTGCCGTGGCGCGATCTCAGGTCACTGCAAGCTCCGCCTCCCAGGTTCACGCCATTCTCCTGTCTCAGCCTCCCGAGTAGCTGGGACTGCAGGTGCCCAGCACCACGCCCGGCTAACTTTTTGTATTTTTAGTAGAGACAGGGTTTCACCATGTTAGCGGGATGGTCTTGATCTCCTGACATCGTAATCTGCCTGCCTTGGCCTCCCAAAGTGCTGGGATTACAGGCGTGAGCCACTGTGCCTGGCTGCGCCCAGCTAAGTTTTGTAGTTTTAGTAGAGGTGGGGTTTCACCATCTTGGCCAGGATGGTCTCGATCTCCTGACCTCATGATCCACCTGCCTCGGCCTCCCAAAGTGCTGGGATTACAGGCATGAGCCACTGCGCCCGGCCTTTTTTTTTTTTTTTTTTTTTTTTTAAGAGACCAGGTCTTGCTGTGTTGCCCAGGCTGGAGTGCAGTGGCATAATCATAGCTCACTGCAGCCTTGAACTCCTGGGCTTAAGTGATCTTCCTGCCTTGACCTCCCAAGTAGGTAGGACTACAAGTGTGCACTACAATGCCCGGCTAATTTTTTTATTTTATTTTTATAGAGATGGAATCTCACTGTGTTGCCCAGGCTCGTCTCAAATTCCTAGCCTCAGGCAATCCTCCCACCTTGGCTTCCCAAAGCACTGGGATTGCAGGAGTGAGCCACTGTGCCCAGCTTCACCATAGAGTTTGTGTCTTGTTCTTTTTGGTCTTCATGTAAGTTCTGAAGTCAGCTTAACAAGTTCTACAGAAGCTCCTGTAGGGATTTGATTGGGATTGTATTAGACCTGTCAGTCAGGTTAGGGAAAAATGAGGCATTTACTACCTTGTTTACTAGTTCATGAACATGGTATATCTCTTCATTTGTTAGATCTTTCTTAATTACCCCCAGTAATATTTTATGGTTTTCTGTGGTGTGGTCTTGTATATGTTTTGTTGGATTTTTTTAAATCAAATAGGTTTTTGAAATTTTTTTCTCTTGGATCAACTTTATTGCAATTAATTTAAATACAGTAAAACAAACTACTTTCAAGTATATGGTTTTAGTTTTTACAAATGTACATCCCAGTGTAATCAATGCCACAGTCAAGATATGGAGCATTTCTGTCACCCCCAAATCCCCTGTGAGCCCTTAGTCCCTCCTTCTCCCCTGCCCATCCTGGTGGATGAGTTCCACCTGCATTCACATTTTCTATAAACGGAATCCTGTGTCCGGCTTTGCATGTTTTGTGATTTGCCCACGTGGCTACACGTGTCAGTGGTTTGTTCCTTTCTGTTGTTGGACGGTGACCCACCTGGCCTCCCTGCTGGTTTATGCCTGCTTGCCTGTGGGTGGGCCTCCGTCCTTTCCAGTTCTGCCATCACGAGGAAACCTGCTGTGACTCCCATAGACTTGTTTTTAATGGACATGAATTTTTATTTCTCGAGTAAATGGGGGTGGAGTTACTGGCTCATATGATGGGGTACCTTTAACTTTAAAAGAAACCGCTAGTTTTCCAAAGTGGTTATAGCACTTCCGTTCCCACCTCAGTGAGTGAGAGCTCCAAACACTGTGACTTAGATTTGCTGTCCTGATGCTTGATGAAGAGCCTCTTTTCATATGTGTGTTGCCATCCTTTTACTTCTTTTGTGAAGTAATTTTTAAAATTTGCCAGTTTGGGCCGGGCGCAGTGGCTCACGCCTGTAATCCCAGCACTTTGGAAGGCCGAGGCGGGCGGATCACGAGGTCAGTAGTTCGAGACCAGCCTGACCAACATGGTGAAACCCCGTCTCTACTAAAAATACAAAAATTAGCCGGGTGTGGTGGCGCATGCCTGTAATCCCAGTTACTCGGGAGGCTGAGGCAGGAGACTTGCTTGAACTTGGGAGGTGGAGGTTGCAGTGAGCCAAGATCATGCCATTGCACTGTAGGCCTGGGCAACAAGAGCAAAACTTCATCTCGAAAAAAAAAAAAAAGCCTGTTTTTTGTTGTTGTTGTTGTTTGTTTGTTTATTGAGATGGAGTTTCGCTCTTGTCGCCCAGGCTGGAATGCAGTGGCACAATCTCGGCTCACTGCAACGTCTGCCTCCTGGGTTCAAGCGAGTCTCCTGCTTCAGCCTCCTGAGTAGCTGGGACTACAGGCGCCGGCCACCATGCCTGGCTAATTGTTTTTTTTTTTTTTTTGAGACGGAGTCTCACTCTGTCGCCCAGGCTGGAGTGCAGTGACGCAGTCTCGGCTCACTGCAAGCTCCGTCTCCTGGGTTCACCCCATTCTCCAGCCTCAGCCTCCTGAGTAGCTGGGACTACAGGCGCCCACCACCACGCCCAGCTAATTTTTTGTATTTTTAGTAGAGACAGGGTTTCACCGTGTTAGCCAGGATGGTCTCGATCTCCTGACCTTGTGATCTGCCCATCTCGGCCTCCCAAAGTGCTGGGATTACAGGCGTGAGCCACCGCACCGCACCCGGCCAACGCCTGGGTAATTTTTTTTTTTTTTGAAACGGAGTCTGGCTCTGTCACCCAGGCTGGAGTGCAGTGACACAATCTCGGCTCACTGCAAGCTCCGCCTCCCGGATTCACGCCATTCTCCTGCCTCAGCCTCCCAAGTAGCTGGGACTACAGGTGCCCGCCACCACGCCCAGCTAATTTTTTGTATTTTTAGTAGAGACGGGGTTTCGCCGTGTTAGCCAGGATAGTCTCGATCTCCTGACCTCGTGATCCGCCCGCCTCGGCCTCTCAAAGTGCTGGGATTACAGGCGTGAGCCACCACGCCCGGCCCAACGCCTGGCTAATTTTTATATTTTTAGTAGAGACGAGGTTTCGCCATGTTGGCCAGGCTGGTCTCGAACTCCTGACTGCAGGTGACCCACCCGCCTCAGCCTCCCAGAGTGCTGGGATTACAGGCGTGAGCCACTGTGCCTGGCCAATTTGCCTGTTTTTTAATTGGCTGCTTGTCTTCTTGAGTTGTAGGAGCTCTTTCCATCTTCTGACTCTGATGTACATATAAATATGTGTGTGATGTGAATATTTTCTTAGTCTGTGCCTTGCCTCCTCACTTTCTTAACAGTGTCTTTCAGGAAGCAGAATTTTGAAATTCTATTACTTTCCATGTCCTAAGAATTCCATGTCTATCCCAGGATTGTGAAGATTTTCTCCTTTTTTTTTAGAAGTCTTATGTAAAAATGCAAGTTAAGGCCAGACACACTGGCACGCTCCTGTAATCCCAGCACTTCTGGAGGCCGAGACGGAGTTTGAAGCTGCAGTGAGCCGTGATCGAGCCACTGCACTCCAGCCTGGCCTGTCTCTCAAAGATGTGGGTTTGAAGTAAGGATTGAGGTTCACTTGTGTCCATGTGGACAGTTAATCCAGCACCACTAGTTCTGCTTATACCAGCTGATGGAGATCTACGTCTGGACCATGTTTTGTTCCTTTGATCTATTTGCTGATCCTCAAACAATGACACATTCTCTTGACTGATAGTAAAGCTTGGAGCCAGGTAGTGTTAGGTCCTCATACTCCTCATACTCGGTTTTTTTTTCAAAACTGTTTTGCTCCTCCATGTCCTTTGCATTTCCATAGACAATTGAGAGCCCGGGCGTCAGTACAGGCCAAGGCTGCTGGAATTTTTGCTGAGACTGCACTAAATCTGCTGGCCATTATCGCATTGAGCCTTCTGACCCTGTGTCTGTAGGTGGCCCAGCTGTCTTTGAGTTTGATATTGAGTTTCTCTCAGCAGAGCCTTGTAGCTTTTAGTATGTAGATCTTACACTGTGTTTTGTTAAATGTATTCCTAAGCACATCATACTTTTCATGTATTATAAACAGTATTGTTTTTAAATTTCATCTTCCAGTTGTTTGTTGGAAATAATGCGGAAATACTTGATTTTTTTGTGCATTGACCTTGTTAAATGTATGAATTCTACTCACTTTTTGGACTATTAGGCTTGTCTGCACATGTGGTCACGTCATGTGTGAGTAAAGACAGTTTTTCTTCTCGCGTTCTGAGCCGTGCAGCTTTGTTTTCTGGAAGGTCGGGCATAATGCTTGTTCTCTTCCCGGCACTGGGGGAAGAGGTGTCCTTACCCTGTCTAATGTTAGCTTCAGGCCTTTTGTAAATGCTCCCTGGGTTGTCAGAATTCACTTCCTTGGCTGCAGGATGAGGCCTCTGCTTCCTTGCTGGCTGGCAACCGGGGGTGCTCTGAGCTCCTAGAGGCAGCTCTCTTCTTGAAGGCCAGCAGGAGAATGTCGGGGCTTTGCCACGCTGCCTTCCTCACATTCTGTGGGCCAGAAGCAAGTCACGCTCAAGGGGATGGGTTGATACAAGGGAGACTCTTGGGGCTGCCTTAGAATTCTACATGTGTGTGGGCCGACTCCCTCTCCTCACGGGCACCTGCCTTCCCCACTCCGAGCCACGGCCACGCTGACTTGCTTCCTGCAATCCTGCCTTTTCCACAATATCATGTAAGTGGAATCACATGCCATCTGGCCTTTACCATTTCCTGGCTGGGTCATGTGTGAGTGACCTTCAACTGTATGAGAAACTGCCCAGAGGTGCCACCCTGGGCACCTCTGTTTGTGTCCTGTGGATTTGGCTGGGCCATCAGTCTTGGGTGGGAGGGCAAGTGCAGCACCAGCTGACCCATCACAGTCAGAAGCAGGAGCCCTTAGCATCTCAGAAACCCTGATGCTCTTGTATTTGAAGGAGGCATATTTTTCCTCTTGTTGCTTGATGGATAGAAATAGAGTAGGTTTTTAAAATTAACTCTTTAACCTGTGGCCTAAAGTCACCTATTAAGTGTAATGATATGTGTGGGTCCATTGTTTTGTGTGTGTGTGCCCGTGTCATCACCACGCAGGCTGCCCCGGTCCCCTTGGTTTCACTTCTCATTCTTGTCGTCTACACCGGCGGGGCTGCCCAGTGTCAGGGAGGAGGCGTGGCCTTTCAGGACTGTTTCCCGTGATGCTGTTGTGCAGGCGTCGGGATGCTTTTATCAGAATAACAAAGTTCTCTTTTCTGTCCCAAAGAGTTTCATGAATTGTTGTTGAATTTTGTTGAACATTTAAAAAAATCTATTGAAATAAGCCTATGATTTTTCTCCTTGTTCTGTTAATGTGAATATCTGATTTATATGCTATTGTTACTGGAAATAATTTATGTGTATTTTAACCATGTGGCGTCAGTGCTGTGTTGTGTGGTCAGTCTGGGTCCATAGGGGGTGGGTGGGTGGGGCGGTGTGTTCCTGTTTCTGTGCCGTCTCCTTGCTGCCATATCTCCTGCCCTGGTCTCTCCTTCCAGCATCTGGCATCTCTGTAGGTCTGTTTCTAGCATCTGTTTTGCTGCTTATCTTCTTCTTTCCCTGTCTCCTCATGTTTCTGGTTAGTTTTGTTTGAGTGCCAGACATTGTATTTTCAAACCTGCTTGAAGAAGATGCACTGGGTCACCCCGGTCCACTTCCAGGCACCAGGAGGCCTCAGAGCTAAGCTGCAGGCCGTGGCCTCTGTCACCCCAGCTGACTTTAGCCTCCAGGTGGCCCTGGTTCCTGGGGCCTGTCTCAGTCCGTTGAGGCTGCTGTAACAGAACACCATAGACTGCACAACAGACTGGTTTCTCACAGTGCTGGAGGCCAGAAGTCCAAGGTCAAGGCACCTACTGGTTTGGTTCTCAGGAGGACCCCACCGCCTGGCTCATGGAGGGACCCTGCCTTCTCACTGCGTGATAACCAGTGAGACCAAGACAGGCGGGTGGAGCCGCAGCCCAGAGGAGAGGGGAGAGCTTTGCTGGGGCTTCGAAACCACCTCCTAATGGCAGCATTGTGCACACAGGCCTGTCTCCCTGCTGATGCGGCTGTGGCCTTCACTGGCCAGGTTCCTCCTGCTCACCTAGGGCCGCACCTCCCAAACTGTCTGTGTGGAAGGGCCATTTCCATATTCCCAGTTCACTGTGGGCCAATCCTTTTGTAAAATAAGGACTGCAACTTACCAGGCTGCTTTTAAGTTGTCACATTCAACAGGCACAATACTGCTCCATCAGATCGCTGCTGGAGGCTCTCAGTTCCTTGACTCGCTTGTCATGTTGGCCGGGGGGTCCCCGCCTCCTCCCCCACACGTCTGTGCTGTGCCTTCACACCTGTTCCATGGCATGGACTTTCTGTGCTTCCTTCTCCTGTCTGGAGCCACGCCTGCCCTCACCTCCTCAGGGACATCCTGTCAGCACTCTCCACACTCCTTGATGCCCCAGAGCTGCCACACTCGCCTGATTCCTTGCCTTCCAGTCTGTCTGCAACCAGATGCAGCCAGGCCTCGCCTCCCATGAGTGTCCCTAAGTCCAGGGCAGGCTCTGGTCCCCACCCACCCGAGGCAGCAGCATCTAGCCCTGCTCCTCCCTGCACCCTCTCACTTCTCAGCCATGGACACACAGGCCCAGGTACGGTTCTTGTTCATTTTGGGGATGTGGAGAGCCACGAACACACCAAAGCCTCCTAGGTGTCTGCTACAGCTCTGACCCACGCCCGGACCCCAGACCCCAGACCCCTGTCCACCTGAGCGCCAAAATCTCTGGGTGCCAGGAAGCTTTCTGATTCTGCCTTCAAAGTATTTCCTGGACCATTGCAGTGGGCACCCACCCCTGGGTCTGCCCCAGCCCTGGTGTTGCCATCTGTTCTCAGCCTGGGGCTACAGGGACCCCAAGCCCTCTGCTTTTGGCTCAAACCTTGCACAGCCCATTCCCCACTGACTGCCCCCCTCCACTGCTGTCACAATTGCTCGCACTCCCTCATGCTGTTCTGGAGCTGTTGAACATGCCCTCTGGGATCCTGCCCACCCGCCCTCCCGGTCCTTACCTTCTTTAGGCCTTTGTTCAAATCTCCCATCAACTTGGCGCCCCAGGGAGCCCTCTCCATGGTGTGCTTGCCCGAAACCTAGGTGGAAGGTTCTTCATCAGAGAAACCTTGGAAGAGCAGCACAGGAGGGTACATTTAAAGCCCTCAGCGGTGTCCGTTCCTTTGAGGGTTCTGGGATCTGAAGCCTCTGAACCGTAGGAGCAGCTAGGGGAGGCCGTGCCCCTGTGTGAAGGGGCTCCTTGTGCCAGCCGACAGGGTGCGACGGGGTGGTCGGCCCGGCTGCCATCGTGGGAGGGACGTGGACGAACGGCACGCAGTGGGAGGCCATGGGCAAGGTTGATGGCCCATGGGGGCGGCCCCTTTGTCTCTTGGGGCTACAGCCTGTGCTGTGACCATCCACAGGCCCCAGGGGGGTGCTGGCGGGCATCAGGGAAGTCCCGGTGACAAGGGGCATCAGCAGGGGTCAGAGGGGTGTGCCCAGGAGGAGCCCCTCTGCATTCTTCAGGGTGCATGGAACCCACACCCTGTCCCCAAAGATGCCCTGGACATGCCCTGGGGTGGGGGGTGGGGGGCAGCACATGCCAGGCTGCCACATGTGTGTGTGGCCTCAGGGAGTCTGGGCTGGGTCATCAGGCATGACCATTGCCAAGGCCACATCCTGACTCTAGGCCCCTCTGGTCTGGGCAGTGAGGCCAAGCAGAGCACAGGGTCTCGAGACCCCATGACCTCTAGGGTCACGCGGAGGCTCCTGGGGTCAGACTGAGAAAGGGGCTCGTCCTGAGAAGCCACAAAGTGTGCTCCTGCGGGGGTGCGGGGTGGGGGAGGTACCACGTCTCCCGGGCAGCCACAGATCCCACACTCACGGCCCAAGTGACGCTTGGTGCAGAGCTGGAAGGTTCTCAGGGTGGGAGGAGGGTTATTTTTAACGCACTGCACTAGAGCATCTCTAAGGCCGGTGGTTCTGGACAGAAAAACCACAAAAATGAGAAGACCAGGAATAGCAAGTCCCCAGCCCTGGGGCCTCATGTCTGCAATGAGCCCTTGGTGGCTCTGAGCAGTGCCAGTTCAGCACCTTGGAGAGCTGCCGCCTCTGTGCCTCCCCTCCTGCTTGCTGCGTGGGGGCTTGTGGAGCCTGCTAGGAATCCTGGGAAGAGCCCAGATGGGCCTGGCCCTCCCAGATGGCCTCTTTTGCCTCTGGCGAAGTGAAGTGAGCACCTGTAGTGAGGTCCACTCCAAGCACCAGGCCCGGGTGTCTGTACAGAGCCCGGGTGGGGCATCCAGGCACCACGGGGAGGCCCCCGCCCTGGTCTCACAGACGTTGCCACTGGAGCTCGTGCCGTGCGCCCACTGCCACCACCTGTCTGCCACCTGCACCTCCTCACCTGCGGCAGCACTTTCTCCACACAGGTTCTTCTCTGATGCCTCTTCCCTAATTTTAAAGGCATTCAGGTCTCTTACTTAGTTAAAAAATAGAAGAAAAATGTTTTACTTCTCTGCCACTTCCTTCAGAGATTCCTTTTTCTTGCCTTTGCAATTCCTTTTTGACCACACATTGTGAAAATTTTCAGACATACCAGAAAGCAGAGAGAATCAGGAGAGTGGAGACTCCTATTCCCCCACTTGGACTTGATGGTTGTTAGTATCTTGCTTTATTTGTTTCATCCTTTTTTGCTGATACAGTGTAAAGTTAGTTACAAATGTGACATTTTACCCCCAGTGACGTCAGAGTGTGCCTGTGAATAGTGCTGCCTGACGAGATTGAGATTGCCGTCACGTGAGGTTCATCTACAGACTCCTAGTTTCCCCGATGTCTTTTCCTGGTTCGCCCCTCTGGAGTCAGCTGGGGCTGTCCCTTGTATGATACTTGGCACATCCCAGAAGTTTCTTCCTACCAGCAGCCCACACAGTGGCCTATGGGGGAGACTGGCCAACGGCCTGAGAAATCCCATGGTCCACATTTCTGTGTGCCCCCCGTGGTGTCACCTCACTTGTTCTCTTATCCCGTGTTTGCGGCCAGCTGGGAGGAAGGGCTGAGGTTTGGCGACACTCACACCGGGGCTGCTGTGTCCCATAGGGAGCTTTATGGCCACCTCGACTGGCCACCCCGAGCATCCATGCCTTCCCTGTTTATTAACAGACATTCTTCTGTTTAAATAAATAAACCTTAAACCTGGGCTTTGTGGTTACTCCTCAGAGAAAGGCAAGATCAATGCTTTATTCTTACCATTTAGTTATCAAGTTTCAGAGGGAGGAAGTAGCAGCAAAGAAATTTTGGTCTTTTTTTTCTTTCCTCTGTTTTGAGTGTTAATGTGGGCTCATGGATTTTTACTTTTTTTTTTTGTTTACATTTTTACATGTGTGTTTGATCAGTTATAGCCATTCTTATTTAATGGTCAAACTGCCCCATCTTTGGCCATGGGGAGCCCATGCAGGCGAGCCCGTCTCCTTTGGTGACACTGCTCTTCGGTACCATGTGACACCCAGGCCTCCCTTATGTTCCTTGCCCCACACTTGGAATCAGCCATTTCTCCAGGATGTCCTTGTGCTTTTGGAAGAGAAAGATTTTTAGACACTGAAATGAGACTCTGGGGTGCCCACTGCTGTCAGGGTGCCATGGGCTCTTGACTCACTTTTCAGAGGACAGAGTTATGAAGTAAATAGATTTTTAAAAATGTGTTCATGTTAATATTTCCAATTCAAATTTAACAGTGTAGAGTTTTTATCCAACTTCTTTGATTTTATATTTGCATCTCTTACAATAAAAATTTTGGTTTCTAAAATCTTTAGTTTCAAAATAGCACTCCAGATATTACCGATAACAGTAAGCACCAGTCCAGCTCCCGGATGGCATCTGCGCTTCTTTGCAGCGTCTCACTCCTTAGAACATGTCCCATGGAAGCTGGGCCCAGTCTTGTGCTTCGCGGCACCAGAAATGTTGCTTGTGTGATTGTGTCACTGGCTTGATAGGCAGTTACATTAATTTTAGTTCATTTTAAATGTTACAATTTAATTTTTTGTTTTTTGATTGTGTAAAATTTTTGCATGCTTGGGAAGTTCACACCCAGAAAAGCCTTGCTTCTCTCCATGTTCTCTGTATTCTGTTTCCTGCTGTCTTAGTCCATTCGAGCTGTGATAGCAAAACACTGTAAACCGTGAGGCTTACAAATAACAGGAATGTATTTCTCACTGCTCTGGGGGCTGGAAGTCCCAAGATGAAGGTGTTAGTAGATCTGGTGTCTGGGGAGGGTTTCCTGGTTCGTAGCCAGTGCCTTCTCACTGTGTCCCCACGTGGTGGAGGGGGTGCAGCAGTTCTCTGGGGTCCCTTTTATGAGGGCACAATTCCCTCCACTCCCATGACCTAATCGCTTTCCCAAAGCCTCACCCTAACCTTGGGGTCTCAGCCTGTGAGTCTGGTCGGGGGGCACACACATTCCAACTGTAGCACCTGCAGTAACCATCAGCAGAAATCGAGAAAAAATACTCAAGTAGATTTCTTATTCCTTCTCTTTTCTTACACAAAAAGTGGTAGAGTGTAGATAGTGCACGAGCCCTTACCTTTCTCCCGACAGGATTTGGGGAGAGTCATCATATTGTCCGTACATGGAAATCTTTCTCCTTCTTTTTGGGGCATTCAGGTTGATTTCAGCCCTTGCTATTTATCTCAAATAATGTTGCGTACAAGTCAATTTGTTTGACTTTACCTGTCATTAGGCAAATCTCTGAGATTCTGTTCATCCACCCAGTGATGGCTTCAGCAGCCAGTGAATTTCGATGTAGAATTTCCGTTGGATTCTTTTTCTGTTTCTCCGCTGAGACTTCTCATTTCTCTGATATTTTCATGCCTTGAAATCTTTCTTTGTTCTTCATTGAGGACAGCCTTAGGAGCTGCCTTGAAAATACGTGTCTGTTGGCCCAGTGTCTGGTTCATCTCAAGGCTGGACTCAGTTGAGTGTTCTTTCGGACGTGTTCGTTTCCTCAGTGTTTCAAGCGTCAGGTCCCTTGAGTTGTTCCTGTTAACATGTGGGGAGGACTCTGGTTTCTCTTCTGCGTGGGCCTTGTTTCCCTAGTGCGATTGGCTGGGCCCCTTCTGCAGGCCCGGCCTCTCTAGTGGTCCCTGTGCTTTCGCCTCAGTCCTAGGATTGGCTGGGCTCCCTCCACAGGCTCCGCCTCCTACGTGGCTGCTGCACTTCGCCCCAGTCCTAGGATTGGCTGGGCTCCCTCCACAGGCTCCGCCTCCTACGTGGCCGCTGCACTTCGCCCCAGTCCTAGGATTGGCTGGGCTCCCTCCACAGGCTCCGCCTCCTACGTGGCCGCTGCACTTCGCCCCAGTCCTAGGATTGGCTGGGCTCCCTCCGCAGAACCCCCCAACCCCACGTGGCCCCTGTGCCTTCCCTCCAGTCCTAGGATTGGCCAGGCTCCCTCCACAGGCCCCACCTCCTACATGGCCTGTGTGCCTTCATTCCAGTCCTAGGATTGGCTGGGCTCCCTCCTCAGGCCCCGCTTCCCACGTGGCCTCTGCACCTCGCTCCCGTCCTAGAATTGGCTGGGCTCCCTCCACAGGCCCCGCCTTCCACGTGGCCTCTGCACCTCGCTCCCGTCCTAGAATTGGCTGGGCTCCCTCCACAGGCCCCGCCTCCCACGTGGCCACTGCACTTTGCTCCCATCCTAGGATTGGCTGGTCTCCCTCAGGCCCCGCCTCCCACGCGGCCTCTGCACCTCGCTCCAGTCCTAGGATTGGCTGGGCTCCCTCCGCAGGCCCTCCCCCCACCCACCCATGTGGCCCCTGTGCCTTCTCTCCAGTCCTAGGATTGGCTGGGCTCTCTCCGCAGGCCCCGCCTCCCACGTTGCCTATCTGCCTTACTCCAGCCGTCCTTCTCTGGACTGTTGTCTTTATCTGGTTCTGGTCGGGCAGAGATTTGTGTCACAGACTTTGACACCCCACCCATCTTAGAAGCTCGGAGCAGCGCTGTGTGCTCTGCCAGACGAGCTGCCCCTGGTGAAAGCTGGGCCTGGCCCCTCCAGTCGGAAGCCCCTCACTCTCCATTTTGCTGCTTATCAAGACCTTCGTGTGTGCGCCGTTGCTAGTTCCGGAATTGCATTCTGCACGAGGAGGGGTCGCCTATAGATTCTTAGTCCATCAGACCCCGAAGCAGAGGCCAAAGTCCACGCCAGGTGAGCCACTCTGAACTCTGTTTCTTTGGGGTAAACCAGGAGGCAGCTTCCCGCGCCTTTGGCTTTGGGGGCTGTGGCTGGTCCTGTCCTGCGGCCGTGCTCGCCTGGTTTACTGTCTTGTCACTGCCCGCGCCGTGAAGGTTGACGGAGAGCTGCTCTCGTCCACGCCTTTACCCGCTTGTTGGTTTGGGTTTTAACCTCTTGACCTCTGAGCGTCCCTGGCTCTCTGGTTAATGTTCATGCTGGGGCAGGTTGTGGACCAGGTGTCTCTGCCGGCAGGCCCCGCCCTCTCGGAACTCGGTCCTGGAAAGCCCCAGGTGCCTCCTTCCCCGTCTGCCTGGCTGTCGTCTGTGGTGTTGCCTCTTCCCGTCGCTGGGTAACAAACCACGCCACCCACCCGCAGCTCGCCATGGCGGCCACCCACTCGGCCCAGTGTGCGCAGCAGGGGTTGGGCGTGCCGGGCCTCGGGCTGCACAGGCAGGGTGCTGCTGAGCCCAGGTCCCTGTGGTTGCGTGGGCAGCGTCTAGGTTCCTTGCTAGCTGCCGGCCGGGACCACCTACCTTACTCCCACGCAGCTCCTCCATCCAGGCCCCAGCAGCTCCAAGCCCTGGGTCTCCAGAGAGAATTGCTTTTAAAGGGGTTGCGTGGTTAGGTCAGGCCCACCCACCTCGTCCCCCTCTCTATGGTCAATTCAGAATCCATCATCACAGGCCAGTGCCAGGGGCCAGGGCCCAGGGCCATGTGGCCACCCGGAATCCTGGGCTCCTCTCCAAGGCACCAGGGTGAGGAGGACGCCTCAGTCTCTTCGGCCTCGTGTTCCACAGTCACATCAGCACCCGGAAGGGCTGCAGCAGAAGTCGTTTTCTGTGGGCAGCCTCCGCCTGACGGTCCTCCCTGGTGCCATTCGCCACTGAGTCTTCCCAGACCCTCTGGGGACTGCTCCGCCTCCTCGTCACCAAGACAGTGTGTCCCGGATGCCAGCTCCATCCCTCCCGACCCCCTCAGCCCCTGCCACTGCCTCACGGGGCTCTTGCAGCCCCGGCCTCCTTTCTCCTATTGGTGCCAGACAGCCCCATGGGTCCTCGGGTGGGATGGCGCTGTCCACATTCCACCGCGCTGGAAGCCCCATGGGGACGCCGTCAAGGGAACGGCCCGCACCACCCCCACCCCACCACAGACGGAGGCCCAGCGAGGACGGCAGGGTGCGGGGTGGGTGGCCACACAGCGAGGAGAAGGCTGGCGGAGGCTCCGCACCGCCGCCACAGGTCACTGGAGAAGGCCCCTCCTGCATGGCGGGCCTGCGCCCAACTGCAGGCTCCGGGACTGCCATGCATGGCCGTACCCGGCGAGGCCGGCGTGTCGGGGCCTTGCTAACTGCAGCCCGTGCCGGCTTCTCGCCCTGCAGGACGGGGAGGTTTACTGCATCGACGCGCGGTTCTACGGGAACGTCAGCCGGTTCATCAACCACCACTGCGAGCCCAACCTGGTGCCCGTGCGCGTGTTCATGGCCCACCAGGACCTGCGGTTCCCCCGGATCGCCTTCTTCAGCACCCGCCTGATCGAGGCCGGCGAGCAGCTCGGGTACGCACCGCCCCGGCCCCTGGCCATCTCCGCTGCCGGCGGGACGGTTTTAGGAACGGGGCTCGCATTGCTTTCCTGGGCTTGTCTCGGGTTTATGCTAGTGGTTTTCCTGTAGTTCTAAAAACTGCGACCTGGGATGCGGCACGGCAGATCGGGGTGAGGAAGCTTTGGCCTTGCCTTAATTTATCTGGCTTGTGGGAGGTGCCGGTGGGATTCGACTTGGAGCCTTGGTTCTGTTCCCTCCCCAGGTTTGACTATGGAGAGCGCTTCTGGGACATCAAAGGCAAGCTCTTCAGCTGCCGCTGCGGCTCCCCCAAGTGCCGGCACTCGAGCGCGGCCCTGGCCCAGCGTCAGGCCAGCGCGGCCCAGGAGGCCCAGGAGGACGGCTTGCCCGACACCAGCTCCGCGGCTGCCGCCGACCCCCTATGAGACGCCGCCGGCCAGCGGGGCGCTCGGGAGCCAGGGACCGCCGCGTCGCCGATTAGAGGACGAGGAGGAGAGATTCCGCACGCAACCGAAAGGGTCCTTCGGGGCTGCGCCGCCGGCTTCCTGGAGGGGTCGGAGGTGAGGCTGCAGCCCCTGCGGGCGGGTGTGGATGCCTCCCAGCCACCTTCCCAGACCTGCGGCCTCACCGCGGGCCCAGTGCCCAGGCTGGAGCGCACACTTTGGTCCGCGCGCCAGAGACGCTGGGAGTCCGCACTGGCATCACCTTCTGAGTTTCTGATGCTGATTTGTCGTTGCGAAGTTTCTCGTTTCTTCCTCTGACCTCCGAGGTCCCCGCTGCACCACGGGGTTGCTCTGTTCTCCTGTCCGGCCCAGACTCTTCTGTGTGGCGCCGCCGAAGCCACCGTTAGCGCGAGCTGCTCCGTTCGCCCTGCCCACGGCCTGCGTGGCTGGGGCCGAGTCCCAGGGGCCGCACGGAGGGCACAGTCTCCTGTCAGGCTCGGAGAGGTCAGGAGACCGACCCCACCACTAACTTTGGAGAAAATGTGGGTTTGCTTTTTAAAGGAATCCTATATCTAGTCCTATATATCAAACCTCTAACTGACGTTTCTTTTCGAGGAAGTGGCTTGGTGGGTGCAGCCCCCGCCGGTTCCGTTGACGCTGGCACCTTCTGTTGATTTTTTAAGCCACATGCTATGATGAATAAACTGATTTATTTTCTACCATTACTGAACATTAGGACAAACACAAAATAAAAAACAAAACACAGACAACGGTGCTGATTCTGGTGTGGTTTCTACTCACCACGTGAAATAAACTATCAACTGTATAAAGAGAACAAAGTGATTTTAGAATAAAATGCAGGAAAAACTTTTTTAAAGATGTTAGTCTTGTAGCGTGAATAAATTTGCCATCACCTTTTGTGTGGTGGCCTGGCAGGTCATATACTTTTTTTTGGCATATACCTTTTTAAAGACTGTAATTAGTGCAGTAACAGTGGGGTTTTTTTTGTGCAACTCTTCTAAAAACATTCATAATGCAGTCATGTTTATTTTTTTCTGTTAAAATGTTTTTGACAGTTTTAAGAGCAGTCTTTTGGCTCTGACCATTTCTTGTTCTGTTTCCAATGAAATCAATAAAAAAAAAGAAGTACTTTAAATGGGGTTTTTATTATGACACCATATTTCAGGGTCTCTGCAGAACTTGCAGGTCCCCCTGGACCCGGCCCAGCTCTCTGTCCCCTGTCCAAGGAAGTACAGCTTCCTTTTCACCCCAGATCTGTCCCCGAAGAGGGGACGTTCCAGGCAGAGGTTAGGGGAGCCTGTGCATTTGCGCACGTGTCGAATGAGTCTGTGTGTGTCCACGAATGCATCGTGCACGTGGTGCGAATGCGGGCACACTGGTGTGTGTGTGTGTGTGTGTGTGTTTGCATGTCTGTGTCTAGCGCCAGGTGCCCAGCTCTGGGCGTCATTCTGGAAGCCGACAGGGCACATCAGGTGAGTCCCACAACCAGAGGCAGAGCTGCACTTGAACAGCGAGGCCGGACAAGGGAGAGCCAGAGCCCGTCCTACTTCCTGCCAGCCATGACCCCCACTCCTCTACGGGGACCCCTAGACCCAAAGCCTCCAGCCTGCTATGTTCTCCATGCTGACTGGCCTCACTCACCACAGGAGGGCTTTTCGTGTAACCTCAGTAACACGCTCAGACACTCCACGGTTTAATACACAGAATTCACGCAGGTGTTTTTGATGCTTTTCCAGCACAGTCATAACTGCCCTGCACTTTGTGAATAGACGGCCCCAGCAGGGTGCGCGGTCGTCCAGCCTGAGGTACGAGTGCCTGTCACCAGACATTGCGCAACTGCATGAAGGACTGGGCAGGCGGACCCAGGATGGATATGGCCCACCTGTGACCCCTCTGCACAGGGCCACAGGGGAGGCCGCATTCCTCCAGGAGCCCAGACAGCCTACGGCCTTTCACGTCTGCGTCCGTGAGGAGGGGCTGTGTGGGGTGGGCTGGGTTCCCGCCAAGCCCGGGCTCAGGAGGGTGTAGGGGTCGCAGGTCACCTCATCCCAGAGGCAGTGGCAGGAGGTGACTGAGGGCCCACTGGAGCTTGAACCTCAGGCTCTGCCGGCTCCACCAGCCCTGCAGGGGGAGCAGCCCTGCCAGAGGAGCAGCTGGTACAACCCCTTCCCCTGGGACAGCCCGTAGCTGGCAGATGACTCTAATTAATTTTTGTGGCTTGAGTGTCCACCTGTTCTGCTCCGTGCCCTGGGTCAGCTGCTGGGTGTACAAACAGGTATTGGTTGAATTAAGCCAACAGCAAACTTTTTGGGTGTCACGAAGGCCCACCAGGGTGGCCCCACAACTGGGCCCTGTCACAGAAAGTTCCAGCCGTTTAAAATGAGCACCCAACACAGAGCCCACCTCACATGGTCCTGGACAGCTCTGCCGTGACCGCCTTGTCCCTAAACCAGACTCGGCTTGGGAGGAAGAGACCTTACAGGGCCTTTGCGCTGTGGGGCAGCAGCTGCACGTGCTCCGGGGAGTGCAGGCCTGGGAAGGGGGCTGAGGGGACCTGCGGCAGGTGCGGGGAACAGGCAGGTGAGTCTCACAGGGACCAGGTGGGCCGGGGCAGGGCAGGAGGCCTCCCCCTCCCCCTCCCCCTCCCCTCCCTCTTTCTCCTCTTTGGATAAATAAAAATGGAAAACCCATGCAGGTTGGCCCTCTGGTCCTGCAGCAGCCAGAACCCCTCACGTGGGCAAAGCTCCTAGCAGGTTCTTAGCCCACTTGGGCAGAGAGCAGCCTGCACCCTTGTCCTGGCCCAGGCTGTAGTCTGTGAGAGAAAACAGGCTTGTGGGGCTGGAGGGGAGGCCCCTCTGAGCTCACTGGGTGGGGGTCGGCCTGCTGAGGCACTCAGTGAGTGGACTTGGGTGTGACACTGTGGAGCCCAGGGGGCCCCAGCCGGGAAGGCCAAGGAGATGGCAGCAGTGCCCACACACAGTGGGTCCTTGTGCTTGCTGGCTCCTGGCACCCCCGCCCCCCACATGCAGGCTTGAGGGACCCAGGGCCCCTTTTTTAGCTCCTCCCCTGACCCATGGTGACTCGGGAACGTAGTTCCCCCAGGGCAGGGAACAGGGCTCAGCCTCCGGCCAGGCTCCGTCAGTCCTGGGAGTGTGAGCTGGGGCCTTCCTGGGTCAGTGCGTTCCGAGGGGGCTGAATAGGGCCCTGGGGTCCCCAGCTGTGCACACCCCCTCAGGGTCTTTTGAGGCTGGGTGGACTGAGGCCCTCCCCACAGAAGGGCAGCCACCGAAACGGATGGGTTGTGAGCAGAGGCCACCCAGGTAACTCGAGGTTGCACTTGTTTTTGTGAAAGTCACACCTACTTATTACCAAAAACTCAACGCACGAGACCTGGAAGAGGAACGTGAAACACTCCAGAAATCCCCCTTCTCACCCCCGCCTGACACGGGCGACAGCTGCGGCCCGCTGTGTTCACTCGGGCCGAGTGCGTCTCCTGTCAGGCAAGGGAGAGCAGAGCCCCCCTGGCTTTGGCAGGAGCGTCGGACGCAACGCGCGTCTGGACCAGGTGAAACCTTTGTGACGTATGTATGATATTTCTTTCGCGAAGTGCAATGACGCTGCGAAGGAGAATCCCGTACCTCATCTTTATCCATTTGTGCAATTGCCTTCTTAGGGAAGGGGTCAGAGGGCACGAATGGTGCCTTTTGAGATCGCTTACCAAAACATCACACAGAAGACGCCAGCCAGTTTTGCCTTCACTGATGTACGTCTCCCCCAGCTCTCACTGAGGCCCCCCCCCGTTGCACTTCCTGCTTTTCTAATTGTCCAGAGGGTGACTCTCACTGCAGTGTTATTTTGCAGTTTCATTGTTGATAAAATTGAGCATCTCTTCTTCTTATATTTATTACAGACTAGCCTGTCCTCCTGTGTGAATTGCCTTTGTGCAAAAATTCTGTTGTGCTGCCTATATTTTTCTTATTGATTTTTGTGAGCTCTTTATATATTGTAGTTTTATATCTATACTGAATTTAAATTTGTTATGTGGCAGAAATCTGTCTTGTGACTTCTGATTGTGTAATACATTTAGAAAGACCTTCTGCATCCCCAAATTATAAAAAAAATATGCTCCAGTGCTTGTCCTAGTTCTTTGTTTTTAGGTTTCGCTCTTGAATCCAGGTGGAATTTATTTGGTGTATGGTGTGAAATGACAATATAAATTTTTTAGGCTTTTTGTTGAGGCATAATTGGCATTTGTCAGAATGCATGGATCGAGTGCAGCTCAGTGCATTCTGACAAATGCCTTTGCCATGGGACCCACCCCTTATCAGGAGAGAGGCTGTTTCCATCCCCCAGCCAACATTCTCTCTTCCTCCCCTCTCTGGCCCTGCCCACAAGACACATCACCCATCTGATTTCTTTCACTGTAAATTAGTTTCGCCTGTTCTAGGAGTTTCTATAACAGGAACCATGCAGTGGGTTACTTTTTTTGGCCTAGCTTCTGCTCAGCGGCTTTTGCATTTATCTGTTCTCCTGTGCGTCCATGCTTGGGTTATCTCCAGTTGGGGGCTACTGTCAATAAAGCAGCTATCAGCATTCTTGTACAGGTCTTCTTGTGTGCATGTTTTTGTCAGTCGAGGGCGAATTCCTAAGAAAGGGACTTGCTGATTCCTGTGGGGAGCCCCCTGTGTCTCTGCGGCTGGCAGCATCGTCTGTCCATGCCACTCACACATGGGAGTTCTCGTTGCTTCATGTCTTCATGAATCCTAAGTGTTTCTAGTCAAATTTGACGAAGTCCAATTTATCCTTTTTTACTTTTACTTTTTTTTTTTTTTTTTGAGACGGAGTTTGCTCTTGTCGCCCAGGCTGGAGTGCAATGGTGCAATCTCAGCTCACTGCAACCTCTGCCTCCCCGGTTCAAGCGATTCTCCTCCCTCAGCCTCCCGAGTAGCTGGGATTACAGGCATGCGCCACCATGCCCGGCTAATTTTGTATTTTTAGTAGACACAGGGTTTCTCCATGTTGGTCAGGCTGGTCTCGAATTCCCGGCCTCAGGCGATTTGTCCACCTCAGCCTCCCAAAGTGCTGGGATTACAGGCTTCAGCCACCGTGCCTGGCCCTGCTTTTTCGATTAGTACTTTCTCTGTCCTAAGGTATTTTTGCTATAATGCTTTAGAGGGAAAAACAGGAAAATATCTTCTCGAATTTAGGAATATATTCTCCTGTTTCTCTCTAAGGCTTTTACAGTTTTGGATTTTACGTTTAGGTGCATGATTCATCTTAAATTCATTTTTGTGAGTGGAGTGAGGTAGAGGTCAAGAGAGATTTTTTTCCCTAGGAAACCCACTTGCTCCAGCCTCATTTCTTGATTTCTTTCTTTTTTTTGAGACGGAATCTTGCTCTGTCTCCCAGGCTGGAGTGCAGTGGTGCAATCTCGGCTCACTGCAAGCTCCGCCTGCCGGGTTCACGCCATTCTCCTGCCTCAGCCTCCCAAGCAGCTGGGACTACAGGCACCCGCCACCACACCCGGCTAAATTTTGTATTTTTAGTAGAGACGGGGTTTCACTGTGTTAGCCAGGATGGTCTCGATCTCCTGACCTCGTGATCCGCCCGTCTCGGCCTCCCAAAGTGCGTGAGCCACCGTCTTCGGCCGATTTGTTGATTTCTTAAGAGGCTTTTCCTTTTCCCCCGTGAACGGCACTGGCTCCGTCACAGAATGTCAGCGGTGTGAACCTGTGGGCTGCATCTCAGGCCTTCTCCCTACTGGTGGGTTGTTGACCTTGAGGCCAATATCTCCAAGTGTAAAATAATGATTTGTGGTGGCACTGGTCCTCCAGCCGTGTCCTTATTCCTAAAGATGACTCTTTGGCTATTTGGCTACACTAGGTCCTTCCTATCTTTATATAAATTTTAGAATCGGCATGTTAATTTCTACAAAACAGCCAGATAGGATTTTTTTTAACCTTTCAGTCAACTTTATCGAGGTATCATTTAGGGATTATTGAAGGCACCTTTCATAAGTGTTTGATGCGTTTGGCAAATGTGTAAACCCTATAACGACTACCACAATGAAGACATCATCCCCCTCGTATCGTCCACGCCACCTTCCCCCGTATCGTCCACGCCACCTTCCGCCCGTATCGTCCACGCCACCTTCCCCCCGTATCGTCCACGCCACCGTCCCCCCGTATCCTCCACGCCACCGTCCCTCCGTATCCTCCACGCCACCGTCCCCCTGTATCCTCCACGCCACCGTCCCCCTCCGTATCCTCCATGCCACCGTCCCCCTGTATCCTCCACGCCACCGTCCCCCTCCGTATCCTCCATGCCACCGTCCCCCTGTATCCTCCACGCCACCGTCCCCCTGTATCCTCCACGCCACCGTCCCCCTCCGTATCCTCCATGCCACCGTCCCCCCGTATCCTCCATGCCACCGTCCCTCCGTATCCTCCACGCCACCGTCCCCCTGTATCCTCCACGCCACCGTCCCCCTCCGTATCCTCCATGCCACCGTCCCCCCGTATCCTCCATGCCACCGTCCCCCCGTATCCTCCATGCCACCGTCCCCCCGTATCCTCCATGCCACCGTCCCCCCGTATCCTCCATGCCACCGTCCCTCCGTATCCTCCACGCCACCGTCCCCCTGTATCCTCCACGCCACCGTCCCCCTGTATCCTCCACGCCACCGTCCCCCTCCGTATCCTCCATGCCACCGTCCCCCCGTATCCTCCATGCCACCGTCCCCCCGTATCCTCCACGCCACCGTCCCCCCGTATCCTCCATGCCACCGTCCCTCCGTATCCTCCACGCCACCGTCCCCCTGTATCCTCCACGCCACCGTCCCCCTCCGTATCCTCCATGCCACCGTCCCCCTCCGTATCCTCCATGCCACCGTCCCCCTGTATCCTCCACGCCACCGTCCCCCTGTATCCTCCACGCCACCGTCCCCCTCCGTATCCTCCACGCCACCGTCCCCCTGTATCCTCCACGCCACCGTCCCCCTCCGTATCCTCCACGCCACCGTCCCTCCTGTATCCTCCATGCCACCGTCCCCCTGTATCCTCCACGCCACTGTCCCCCTCCGTATCCTCCATGCCACCGTCCCCCTGTATCCTCCATGCCACCGTCCCCCCGTATCCTCCACGCCACCGTCCCCCTCCGTATCCTCCACGCCACCGTCCCTCCTGTATCCTCCACGCCACCGTCCCCCTGTATCCTCCACGCCACCGTCCCCCCGTATCCTCCATGCCACCGTCCCCCCGTATCCTCCACGCCACCGTCCCCCTCCGTATCCTCCACGCCACCGTCCCTCCTGTATCCTCCATGCCACCATCCCCCCCAGTATCCTCCATGCCACCATCCCCCCCATATGCTTCACGCCACCATGCCCCTCTGTATCCTCCACACCACCGTCCCCCCTCCGTATCCTCCACGCCACCGTCCCTCCTGTATCCTCCATGCCACCATCCCCCCCTGTATCCTCCACGCCACCATCCCCCCATATCCTCCACGCCACCGTCCCCCGTATCCTCCACACCACCATCCCCCCTCTGTATCATCCACGCCACCGTCCCCCTGTATCCTCCACGCCACCATCCCCCCATATCCTCCACGCCACCGTCCCCCGTATCCTCCACACCACCGTCCCCCCTCTGTATCATCCACGCCACCGTCCCCCTGTATCCTCCACGCCACCATCCCCCCATATCCTCCACGCCACCGTCCCCCTCCATATCCTCCACGCCACCATCCCCCCGGTATCCTCCACACCACCATCCCCGTCTGTGTCATCCATGCCACCACTCCTGAACCCCAGACACCAATCTGTTCCTGTCAGTATAGATTAACATTTCTGTTCTGGAATTTCCTATAATTGGGTCCATGGAGTGCGCACTTCATTGCCTCTGGCTTCTTTGACCCAACATGTATTTTATTTATTTTTAAAAATCTTGGCCAGGCGCAGTGGCTCATGCCTGTAATCCCAGCACTTTGGGAGGCTGAGACGGGCAGATCACGAGGTCAGGAGATCGAGACCATCCTGGCTAACACGGTGAAACCCCGTCTCTACTAAAAATACAAAAAAATTAGCCAGGCGTGGTGGTGGGCGCCTGTATTCCCAGCTACTCGGGAGGCTGAGGCAGGAGAATGGCTTGAACTGGGGAGGCGGAGCTTGCAGTGAGCCGAGATCGCACCACTGCACTCCAGCCTGAGCGACAGAGTGAGACTCTGTCTCGAAAAAAAAAAAAAAATCTTTTTGGTGCAGGGGCACACGTGCAGGTTTGTTAAACAGGGAAACTCGTGTCATGGGGGTTTGTTGCACAGATTATTTCATCACCCAGGTACTAAGCCAAGTACCCATTAGTTGTTTTTCCTGATCCTCTCGCTCCTCCCACCCTCCACTCCTAAGTAGGTCCCAGTGTCTCTTGTTCTTTGTGTTCATGAGCCCTCATCATTTAGTTCCCATTTATAACTGAGAACATGCGGTATTTGTTTTTCTGTTCCCGCATTAGTTTGCTAAAGATAATAGCCTCCAGCTCCATCCACGTTCCCACAAAAGACATGATCTCATTCTTTTTTATGGCTGCATAGTATTCCGTGGTGCGTATGTACCACATTTTCATCCAGTCTGCCACTGGTGGGCATTTAGATTGATTCCACATCTTGGAATCGTGCTATTGTGAATAGTGCTGCAATGAACATAGACGTGCACGTGTCTTTATTAACATTTGTTGACATTTTAAAACATCAAAACAATCTCAACCTTACAGAACAGCTGCAAGTACAATACAGAAATCTTTTTTCTCTGATCTGCTGGAGAATAAATTCCTGACTTCGTACCCCATCATCCCCAAATACTTCCATGAATATTTCCTACACACAGGCGGTCCTGTGTAACCACAGCGAGCTGTCAACATCAGGACATGAACCCGCACCTCATGCCCGACGTAGGCTTCCCTTCGGTCCCAACCCCGAGCGTCGCTGAGCCTTGTGAATCTTCCTTTTCTACTGACCCATCTGACCTCTCACCTCCTCCCAGACTGCTCCTCCTCAGGTCGCTCCCCGCCAGGCTGAATCAGGCTCCAGCTCTTCTTCAGCCTCTGCTCCTCCACCCTATAACCCTTCTATTACCTCCCTCCCACACCCAGTCTGGTTAACAGTTTCGTTCTGCGACCAGCTCTCCCCCACCTGCCCAACAATTTCCTCTTAGAGAGGTGGCTGGAGCTGAAGGCATAGTCAGGGTACATGCGCCTTTTTCTCTATCAGACCTTTCCCAAATCAGCCAACGTTTAGGCTCTTTCTCATCAGACCCCACTAAATATATACAGGAATTCCGACATCTAACTCTGTCCTACAGTTTAACCTGGAGTGCCTTAAATGTCATCCTAACTTCTACCCTCTCCCCAGATGAACGGGAAAGAGTATTTTCTCTAGTCCAATCTCATGCTGACAACCACTGGCTCCAAGAGCCAGACCTCCCGGAAGGCATCAGAGCAGTTCCCTGAGAAGTTCCCCAGTGGAACTACCAGGCAGATTCCCCAGGTATAGCTAGGCGAGATTACATGGTTTCCTGCCTAGTTGAAGGGCTTAAAAAGGCAGCTTACAAAACTGTTAATTATGACAAACTTAAAGAAACTACCCAAGGTAAAGACGAAAACCCAGCCCAGTTCATGGCCCGCTTGGCAGTAACCCTTAGACGCTTTACCACCCTAGACCCAGAGGGGCCAGAGGGACGCCTTATTCTTAATATGCATTGTATCACCCAGTCAGCTCCTGACATTAGAAAAAAGCTTCAAAAATTGGAATCCGGCCCTCAAACCCCACAACAGGAATTAATCAACCTCACCTTCAAGGTGTACAATAATAGAGAGGAGGCAGCCAGACAGCAACGCATTTCTGAGTTACAGCTACTCGCCTCCGATGTAAGACAACCCACAACCACGTCTCCAGCATCCAAGAACTTCAGGACATCCAAGCCACAGCTCCCAGGGGCTCCTTCAAAACATCCTCGTGGATCTTGCTTCAAAGGCCGAAAGCCTGGCCACTGGGCCTCAGAATGCCTGCAGCCCGGGATTCCTCCTAAGCCGTGCCCTGTCTGTGCGGGCCCCCACTGGAGGTTGCATTGTCCCCCAGGATTCCTCCTAAGCCGTGCCCTGTCTGTGCGGGCCCCCACTGGAGGTTGCATTGTCCCCCAGGATTCCTCCTAAGCCGTGCCCTGTCTGTGCGGGCCCCCACTGGAGGTTGCATTGTCCCCCAGGATTCCTCCTAAGCCGTGCCCTGTCTGTGCGGGCCCCCACTGGAGGTTGCATTGTCCCCCAGGATTCCTCCTAAGCCGTGCCCTGTCTGTGCGGGCCCCCACTGGAGGTTGCATTGTCCCCCAGGATTCCTCCTAAGCCGTGCCCTGTCTGTGCGGGCCCCCACTGGAGGTTGCATTGTCCCCCAGGATTCCTCCTAAGCCGTGCCCTGTCTGTGCGCGCCCCCACTGGAGGTTGCATTGTCCCCCAGGATTCCTCCTAAGCCGTGCCCTGTCTGTGCGCGCCCCCACTGGAGGTTGCATTGTCCCCCAGGATTCCTCCTAAGCCGTGCCCTGTCTGTGCGCGCCCCCACTGGAGGTTGCATTGTCCCCCAGGATTCCTCCTAAGCCGTGCCCTGTCTGTGCGCGCCCCCACTGGAGGTTGCATTGTCCCCCAGGATTCCTCCTAAGCCGTGCCCTGTCTGTGCGCGCCCCCACTGGAGGTTGCATTGTCCCCCAGGATTCCTCCTAAGCCGTGCCCTGTCTGTGCGCGCCCCCACTGGAGGTTGCATTGTCCCCCAGGATTCCTCCTAAGCCGTGCCCTGTCTGTGCGCGCCCCCACTGGAGGTTGCATTGTCCCCCAGGATTCCTCCTAAGCCGTGCCCTGTCTGTGCGCGCCCCCACTGGAGGTTGCATTGTCCCCCAGGATTCCTCCTAAGCCGTGCCCTGTCTGTGCGCGCCCCCACTGGAGGTTGCATTGTCCCCCAGGATTCCTCCTAAGCCGTGCCCTGTCTGTGCGCGCCCCCACTGGAGGTTGCATTGTCCCCCAGGATTCCTCCTAAGCCTCCTAAGCCGTGCCCTGTCTGTGCGCGCCCCCACTGGAGGTTGCATTGTCCCCCAGGATTCCTCCTAAGCCGTGCCCTGTCTGTGCGCGCCCCCACTGGAGGTTGCATTGTCCCCCAGGATTCCTCCTAAGCCGTGCCCTGTCTGTGCGCGCCCCCACTGGAGGTTGCATTGTCCCCCAGGATTCCTCCTAAGCCGTGCCCTGTCTGTGCGCGCCCCCACTGGAGGTTGCATTGTCCCCCAGGATTCCTCCTAAGCCGTGCCCTGTCTGTGCGCGCCCCCACTGGAGGTTGCATTGTCCCCCAGGATTCCTCCTAAGCCGTGCCCTGTCTGTGCGCGCACCCACTGGAGGTTGCATTGTCCCCCAGGAATCCTCCTAAGCCGTGCCCTGTCTGTGCGCGCCCCCACTGGAGGTTGCATTGTCCGACTCACATCGTCGCGGCTCCTAAAGCCCCTGGAGCCCAAACCCAACGTTCTTTGGCCGACTCCCTCCCAGATCTCCTCGGCTTAGCAGCTGAAGACTGACGCTGCCTGATCGCATCCCCTAGGAAGCCCCCTGGATCATCACGGACGCCGAGCTTCGGGTAACTCTTATGGTGGAGGGTAAGTCCATCCCCTGTTTAATTGATACGGGGCCTACCCACTCCACATTACCTTCTTCTCAAGGGCCTGTTTCTTTGCCCCATAACTGTTGTGGGTATTGACGGCCAGGCTTCTAAACCCCTTAAAACTCCCCCACTCTGATGCCAACTTGGACAACATTCTTTTATGCACTCTGTTTTAGTTATCCCCACCTGCCCAGTTCACTTATTAGGCTGAGACATTTTAACTAAATTATCCGCTTCCCTGACTATTCCTGGACTACAGCCACATCTCATTGCCACCCGTCTTCTCAACTCAAAGCCTCCTTCATGTCTTCCTCTCGTATCCCCCCAACTTAACCCACAAGTATGGGACATCTCTACTCCCTCCCTGGCAATCGATCACATGCCCATTACTATCCTATTAAAACCTAATCACCCGTACCCTGCTCAACGCCAGTTCCCATCCCACAACAGGCTTTAAGGGGATTTAAGGGGATTATCACTCACCTGCTACAGCATAGGCTTCTAAAACCTATAAACTCTCCTTACAATTCTCCCATTTTACCTGTTCAAAAACCGGGTAAGTCTTACAGGTTAGTTCAGGATCTGCGCCTTATCAACCAAATTGTTTTGCCTAGTCACCACGTGGTGCCCCACCGTACACTCTATTGTCCTCAATACCTTCCTCCACAACTCACTATTCCGTTCTCGATCTTAAAGATGCTTTTTTCACTATTCCGCTGCACCCCTCGTCCCAGCCTCTCTTTGCTTTTACCTGGACTGACCCTGACACCCATCGGTCCCAGCAGCTTACCTGGGCTGTGCTGCCGCAAGGTTTCGGGGACAGCCCTCATTACTTCAGCCAAGCTCTTTCTCATGATTTACTTTCTTTCCACCCCTCTGCTTCTCACCTTATTCAATATATTGATGACCTTCTTCTTTGTAGCCCCTCCTTTGAATCTTCTCAATGAGACACCCTCCTGCTCCTTCAACATTTATTCTCCAAGGGATATCGGGTATCCCCCTCCAAAGCTCAAATTTCTTCTCCATCCATTACCTACCTTGGCATAATTCTTCATAAAAACACACGTGCTCTCCCTGCCGATAGTGTCCGACTGATCTCTCAAACCCCAACCCCTTCTACAAAACAACAACTCCCTTCCTTCCTGGGCATGGTTGGATGCTTTCACCTTTGGAAACCTGGTTTTGCCACCCTAACAAAACCATTATATAAAGTCACAAAAGGAAACCTAGCTGACCCCATAGATCCTAAATCCTTTCCCCACTCCTCTTTCCATTCCTTGAAGACAGCTTTAGAGACTGCCCTCACACTAGCCCTCCCTGACTCATCCCAACCCTTTTCATTACACATGGCTGAAGTGCAGGGCTGTGCAGTCGGAATTCTCACACAAGGACCGGGATGATGCCCTGTAGCCTTTTTGTCCAAACAATTTGACCTCACTGTTTTAGGCTGGCCATCATGTCTCCATGCAGCGGCTGCTGCCGCCCTAATACTTTTAGAGGCCCTCAAAATCACAAACTATGCTCAACTCACTCTCTACGGCTCTCATAACTTCCAAAATCTATTTTCTCCCTCACACCCGTCACATATACTTTCTGCTCCCCGGCTCCTTCACTCTTTGTCGAGTCTCCCACAGTTACCATTGTTCCTGGCCCGCACTTCAATCCGGCCTGCCATGTTATTCCTGATACCACACTTGACCCCCATGACTGTTTCTCTCTGATACACCTGACATTCACTCCATTTCCCCATATTTCCTTCTTTCCTGTTCCTCACCCTGATCACACTTGGTTTACTGATGGCAGTTCCACCAGGCCTAATTGCCACTCACCAGCAAAGGCAGGCTATGCTATAGTATCTTCCACATCTATCATTGAGGCTATCGCTCTACCCCCCAACTACCTCTCAGCAAGCCAAACTCGTTGCCTTAACTCAAGCCCTCACTTTTGCAAAGGAATTATGCGTCAATATTTATACTGACTCTAAATATGCCTTCCATATCCTGCACCACCATGCTGTTACATGGGCTGAAAGAGGTTTCCTCACTATGTAAGGGTCCTCCATCATTAATGCCTCTTAAATAAAAACTCTGCTCAAGGCCGCTTTACTTCCAAAGGAAGCTGGAGTCCTTCACTGCAAGGGCCACCAAAAGGCATCAGATCCCATCGCTCAGGGCAACGCTTACACTGATAAGGTAGCTAAAGAAGCAGCTAGCGTTCCAACTTCTGTCCCTCACATCCAGTTTTTCTCCTTCACATCGGTCACTCCCACCTACTCTCCCACTGAAACTTCCACCTATCAGTCTCTTCCCACACAAGGCCAATGGTTCTTAGACCAAGGAAAATATCTCCTTCCAGCCTCACAGGCCCATTCTATTCTATCGTCATTTTATAACCTCTTCCATGTAGGTTACAAGCCACTAGCCCGTCTCTTAGAACCTCTCATTTCCTTTCCATCATGGAAATCTATCCTCAAGGAAATCACTTCTCAGTGTTGCATCTGCTATTCTACTACTCCTCAGGGATTATTCAGGGCCCCTCCCTTCCCTACACATCAAGCTCAGGGATTTGGCCCTGCCCAGGACTGGCAAATTGACTTTACTCACATGCCTCAACTCAGGAAAATAAAATACCTCTTGGTCTGGGTAGACACTTTCACTGGATAGGTAGAGGCCTTTCCCGCAGGGTCTGAGAAGGCCACCGCGGTCATTTCTTCCCTTCTGTCAGATATAATTCCTCAGTTTGGCCTTCCCACCTCTATACAGTCCAATAACAGACCAGCCTTTATTAGTCGAATCACCCAAGCTGTTTCTCAGGCTCTTGGTCTTCAGTGGAACTTTCATACCCCTTACCGTCCTCAATCTTCAGGAAAGGTAGAATGGATTAATGGTCTTTTAAAAACACACCTCACCAAGCTCAGCCTCCAACTTAAAAAAGAGGACTCTGTCAAGGATAGAGCCCAAAAACTCACCAACCAAGCTGAACCCCCTTGGACACTCTCTAATTAGACGTCCTGGGTTCTCCCAATTCTTAGTCCTTTAACACCTATTTTTCTCCTTTTATTCAGACCTTGTGTCTTTTGTTTAGTTTCTCAATTCATACAAAACCACATCCAGGCCATCACCAATAATTCTATACAGCAAATGCTCCTTCTAACAACCCCACAATATCACCCCTTACCATAAAATCTTTCTTCAGCTTCATCTCTCCCACTCTAGGTTCCCACGCTGCCCCTAATCCCGCTCGAAGCAGCCCTGAGAAACATCGCCCGTTATCTCTCAATACCACTCCCAAAAAATTTCACTGCCCCAACACTTCAATACTATTTTATGTTATTTGTCTTATTAATATAAGAAGGCAGGAATGTCAGGCCTCTGAGCCCAAGCTAAGCCATCGTATCCCCTGTGACCTGCACGTATACATCCAGATGGCCTGAAGCAACTGAAGATCCAATTGAAGAAGTGAAAATAGCCTTAACTGATGACATTCCACCATTGTGATTTGTTTCTGCCCCACCCTAACTGATCAATGTACTTTGTAATCTCCCGCACCCTTAAGAAGGTTCTTTGTAATTCTCCCCACCCTTGAGAATGTACTTTGTGAGATCCACCCACTGCCTGCAAAACATTGCTCCTAACTCCACCGCCTATCCCAAAACCTATGAGAACTAATGATAATCCACCACTCTTTGCTGACACTCTTTTCGGACTCAGCCCACCTGCACCCAGGTGACATAAACAGCCTTGTTGCTCACACAAAGCCTGTTTGGTGGTCTCTGCACACAGACACGTGAGACAAGTTCCCGATGGAGGAGTACTGAAGTCTCCTGGGATAATAGTTGGTGTGTCTGTTTCTCCTTACAGCTCTATCAGCTTCTTCTTCACATATTTCGACATGTTGGTGTTAGGCACACACATGTGCAGGATTGTTATGTCTTCTTTGAGAATTTACCCTGTGATCATTATGTAATGTCCTTCTCTATTCCTGATCACTTTTTCCTTCTGAGGTCTGTCTTCTCTGAAATCAACATATCTCCTCCAACTTTCTTTCGATTAGTGTTAGCATGGTACGTCTTTCTCTATAGGTTTAGTTTTTAAATTACCTGTGTCTTTATATATTTAAAATGGATTTCTTATAGACAACATGTGGTATGCTTTTTTTTTTTTTCGTAGTCTCGCTCTGTCTCCCAGGCTGGAGTACAGTGGTGTGATCTTGGCTCACTGCAACCTCAGCCTCCTGGCTTCAAGCAATTCTCCTGCCTCAGCCTCCTGAGTTGCTGGGATGACAGGCACGAGCCACCACACTTGGCTAATTTTTGTATTTTTAGTAGAGACGGGGTTTCACCCTGTTGGCCAGGCTGGTCTCGAACTCCTGACTTTGTGATCCACCCGCCTTGGCCTCCCAAAGTGCTGGGATTACAGGCGTGAGCTACCATGCCCGGCCAGTATGGTCTTTATTTATTTATTATTATATTTTTTAAGACAGTGTCTCACTCTGTTGCTCAGGATGGAGTGCAGTGGCATGATCTTGGCTCACTGCAACCTCTGCCTCCCAGGCTCAAGCAATCCTCCTGCCTCAACCTCCCCAGTAGCTGGGACTACAGGCACGTGCCACCACACCCACCTAATTTTTTGTATTTTTAGTAGAGACAGGTTTTCACCCTGTTAGCCAGGATGGTCTTGGTCTCCTGACCTTGTGATCCGCCCGCCTCAGCCTCCCAAAGTGCTGGGTATGGTCTTTTTAAAAATCCATTTTGACAATCTCTGTCTTTTGATTGGTCTGTTTAGACTTTTCCCATTTGAAGTGATTATCGATATGATTGGATTGATACCTACTATGTTTCTATGTTTGTAACTCTTTCTATTTATTGTAGTTGTCCTTTGTATTGTCCCCCTTTTTCTGCCTTTCTGGGTGTTGTTGCCGTTGTTTTAGACACAGGCTCTTGCTGTGTTGCTCAGGCTGTTCTCAAACGTCTGGGATCAAGTGATGCTCCCGCCCTGGCTTGCTTTGTCTCCTCTGGCTATGTTTTTCTCTTATCTTTTATCATGCCTTGTATCTTTTTGTTGAAAGCCCCACATGAGGTATTGGGTAATAGGAATTGAGGTCAACTGGCCTTTAGCATGAGATTTTATGTTAATCTGGGTAGTAACTGGGCTGTGTTTAAGGTTGACTGTAGCTATATGTGTCAGGGACTTCAATTTCCTTTAGTATTTTTGTTTTTATCCCCTGTTGTCTCTTGGTTTCCTTAAAATCTTCTTAAATAGAATCTTCACTTTGTAGCTGTTTCAGCTGTAATCCACAGATATCACACTGGAGCCCTGCTGATATAGTGATAACGTATAGGGAAAGGGGAAGCATTATGTAATCCTGTGATTAAATCTCTGTCTTTCTGTGTCTCTGTGTTCCAGGGCTGTGAACTTCAAAGTGTTTGTCAGCTTTTTCTCCCCCTTAGGTGAGACAGGAAGACTAACGGGGAATAGAGTTGTGTAATTCCTTTCTCCCAGATAGATAAGGCTCTGATAAAATCTTTTTCCCTGCTGAATAGGGCTTTGGTATGAAAAACATTCTGGACATATTCCATGTGCTGATGAGAAGAATGTGTATTCTCTCCCTGTTGGATGAGTTCTTCTAGAATTGTCTATTAGGTCCATTTGGTCTGTAGTGCTGTTTACTTATTTATTTATTTTTTTTTTTGAGACAGAGTCTCACTCTGTCACCCAGGCTGGAGTGCAGTGATGTGATCTCGGCTCACTGCAAATTCTACCTCCTGGGTTCAAATGTTTCTCCTGCCTCAGCCTCCTGAATAGCTGGGATTACAGGCGTGCGCCACCACACCCGGCTAGTTTTTGTATTTTTAGTAGAGATGGGGTTTGACCATATGGGTCAGGCTGGTTTCGAACTCCTGCCCTCAACTGATTCACCCACCTCGTCCTCCCAAAGTGCTGGGATTACAGGCATGAGCCACCACGCACCTAGCCTGTAGTGCTGTTTAAATACAATGTTTCTTTGTTGATTTTCTGTCTAATTGATCTGTCCAGAGCTGAGAGTGGGATGTTGAAGTCCTAACTGTTATTGTTGGAGTTTATCTCTCCCTTTATACTATTAATAATAATAATGTTTGCTTTATATACCTGGGTGCTCTGGTGTTGGGTGTGTATATATTTACAATTGTTATATCCTCTCGCTGAACTGATCCCTTATCATCAGCTAATGACCTTCTTTGCCTCTTTCTTCAGTTTTTGACTTAAAGTCTATTTTATCTGATGTAAGTATAGCACTCCCACTCACTTTTGGATTCTATTTGCATGGAAGATCTTTTTCCAATCCTTCACTTCTAGTGTATGTATGTCTTTACAGGTTACTTGAGTTTCTTAAAGGCAGCATATAGTTAAAAAAATTTTTTTTTGGCCAGGCACGGTGGCTCACGCCTGTAATCCCAGCACTTTGGGAGGCTGAGGTGGGTGGATCATGAGGTCAGGAGATCAAGACCATCCTGGCTAACAGGGTGAAACCCCGTCTCTACTAAAAATACAAAAAAATTAGCTGGGCGTGGTGGCGGGCGCCTCTAGTCCCAGCTACTCAGGAGGCTGAGGCATGAGAATGGCGTGAACCCAGGAGGTGGAGCTTGCAGTGAGTCAAGATCGCGCCACTGCACTCCAGCCTGGGTGACAGAGTGAGACTCCGTCTCAAAAAAAAAAAAAATTTAATCCATTCAACCAGTCTATACCATTTAATTGGGGGAACTTAATCTGTTAGCATTCAAGGTTATTATTGACAGGTGAGCACTTACTTCTGTCATTTTGTTAATTGTTTTCTGGTTGTTTTGTATATCCTTTGTTCTTTTCTTATTGTTTTTCTTTGTGGTTTGGTGGTTTTCTGTAGTACTGTTTTGATTCCTTTCTCTTTCTCATTGTGTATCTGCTGTACTGTAGTACTGTTTTGATTCCTTTCTCTTTCTCATTGTGTATCTGCTGTACCAGTAAATTTTATACTTTTACATGTTTTCATGATGGTCATTATTGTCCTAGGACTCCCATAAGCAATTCTTGCAAGGCTGGTGTAGTGGTAACAAATTCCCTCAGTTTTTGCTTATCTAGGAAAGACTATTTCTCCTTCATTTCTGAAGGATAACTTTGCTGAGTATAGAATTCTTGGCTGGCAGGTTTTTTTTTTTTCTTTTAGCCCTTTGATTATGTCATCCCATTCTCTCTTGGCCTATAAATTTCTGCTGAGAAATCCGCTGTTAGTTGAATAGGGATTCTCTTATGTGTGACTTTATACTTTTCCTTTGCTGTTTTTTATAATTCTTTCTCTTCCACTTTTTCTTTTTTTAAACAGGTTCTTTCTCTGTCACCCAGGCTGGAGTGCAGTGGTGTGATCATAGCTCAGTGCAGCCCTGAAATCCTGGGCTCAAGCAACCCTCCCACCTCAGCCTCCCTGGGACTATGGGTATGCACCTGCTAATTATTATTATTATTTTTTAGAGATGAGATCTCACTATGTTGCCCATACTGGTCTTGAACTCCTGGCCTTAAGCAATCCTCCCACCTTGGCTTCCCAAAGCACTGGGATTGTAGGTGTGAGTCACTGTTCCTGGCCTTCTCTTCCACTTTTGACAGTTAGAGTATAATGTGCCACTGGGAGTACCTTCTTGGGTTGACTACATTTGAGAACTCTTGAACTTTCCGGTTCTGGATGTCCATATCCTTCTTTTCAGCTATTATTTCATTAAATAGGTTTTCTATGCCTCTTCCAATCTCTTCTCCTTCTGAAATTTCTATAATGTGAATATTTCTTTGCTTGATGGTATTGCATTGGTCCCACAGACTTTCTTTATGCTTTTTCCATTTTCTTCTTCTTCTTTTTCTTCTTTTTCTTTTTTAATGGAGTTTTGCCCTTGTTGTCCAGGCTGGAGTGCAATGGCATGATCTCAGTTCACTGCAACATCTGCCTCCTGGGTTCAAGTGATTCTCCTGCCTCAGCCTCCCGAGTAGCTGGGATTACAGGCATGCACCAACACGCCTGGCTAATTTTGTATTTTTAGTAGATAACGGGGTTTCTCCATGTTGATTAGGCTGGTCTCGAACTCCTGACCTCAGGTGATCCACCCACCTCAGCCTCCCTAAATGCCGGGATTACTGGCGTGAGCCACCGCGCCCGGCCTGCTTGCTTTCTCGGTTTCACTTTTTCTTTCTCTCTCTTTCTCCCTCTCTCCCTCCCCCCTCCCTCTTTCTTTCTTTCTTTCTTTCTTTCTTTCTTTCTTTCTTTCTTTCTTTCTTTCTTTTCTTTCTTTCTGTCTCTCTCTCTTTCTTTCTTTCTTTCTTTTTCTTTTCTTTCCTTTTTGTCTCACTGGGTAATTTTATAAGATTGAAGATTTTAAAAAATCGAAACAGGTCAGGCGTGGTGGCTCATGCCTCTAATCCCAGCACTTTGGGAGGCCGAGGCAGGAGGATCACAAGGTCAGGAGTTCGAGACCAGCCTGGCCAACATAGAGAAACCCCATCTGTACTAAAAATACAAAAATTAGCCCAGCGTGGTGGCAGGCGCCTATAATCCCAGCTACTTGGGAGGCTGAGGCAGGAGAATCACTTAAACCCAGGAGGCAGAGGTTGCAGTGAGCCAAGATCGTGCCAATGCATTCCAGCCTGGGCAATAAGAGCAAGACTCCATCTGAAAAAAATAAATTAATTAATTAAAACAAAATTTTTTTGAGACAGGGTCTCATTCTGTTGCCCAGGCTGGGGAACAGTGGCATGATCACAGCTCACTGCAGCCTCAACCTCCGCAGGCTTAGATGACCCTCCCACCTCAGCCTCCCGAGTAGCTGAGACCACAGGTGTGCACCATCATGCCTGGCTAATTTTTGTATTTTTTGCAGAGATGGGGTTTTGCCATGTTGCCCAAGCTGGTCTCAAATTCCTGGGCCCAAGTGATTCACCTGCCTTGGCCTCCCAAAGTACTGGGATTACAGGCATGAGCCACCACACCCAGCCCCAAGAAAACTTTTTTGAGATGGAATTTCTCCATGTTGCCTAGGCTGGTCTTGAACTTCTGTGCTCAGCCTCCTAAGCAGCTGGGTTTACAGGAACACAACACTGTGCCTGGCTCACTGGGTTATTTCACAAGGCCTAGCTTCAAGTTCAGAAATTATTTCTTCTGCTTGTCTAATCTGTTGTCAAAGCTCTTGATTATATTTTTTATTTTATACACTGAATTCTTTAGCTTCAAGATTTCTGTTTGGTTCTTTTTTATGATATCTATTTTTTTGTTACATTTCTCATTCAGATTTGATTTTGTTGAATTGTCTATCTGTATTCTCCTGTATCTCACTGAGTTTTCTTAAGATCATTATTTTGGATTCCTTTTCAGGCACTTCATAGATTTCCTTTTCTTTCAGGTCTATTTGTAGAGAACTATTGCGTTCCTTTAGAGGTGTCATGTTTCCTTGCTTTTTCATGTTTCTTGTGTCCCTATATTGACATCTCTATGTCTAGTGGAAGAATTGCCTCTTCCAGTCTTATGGAGTAGCATTCATAGGGAAACTGTTTTCTGTAGATGTGTCCTATAGTGTCAGTTAGGTGGGATGCTTTGGCTTTGGCTCTGGGCAGTAGTGTAGTCTCCATGTGATTTCTTTAACTGTAATCAACACCCATAGTGTCTGCAAATGCCTCAGTGGCATAGACTGCAGCTCTATGTGGAGAGAGGGCATGGCTTTTGTGGAGAGAGGACATGGCTTTTCTAGGGATGGAAGTCACTGGGCAGGCTGGATTTTAGGCCCTAGAGGAGCACATGCAGGGCACAGCAGGCCCATTGGTCATGGAAGTGGGGTTCCTGGTGGTGGTGGCAGGTGCAGGCAGGCTGATCCTCAGACTATGGGGGTGCATGCAACACATGGCAGCTCTGCCATTCAAAGGGGTGGGGTTTCCAGTGGCAGTGGGCACTGATTGGCCAGTCCTCAAACCCTCTGGGGTGTGTGCATCAGTTCTCCCAGTCTTTGGGGCAGCCTTCCTGCTGTGCTGGACTGCTGG
Organism: Homo sapiens; assembly: GCF_000001405.40. Taxonomy (NCBI): domain Eukaryota; kingdom Metazoa; phylum Chordata; class Mammalia; order Primates; family Hominidae; genus Homo; species Homo sapiens. The sequence continues at coordinate 137,856,697 of NC_000009.12, forward strand.
TTCCTTGGGGGTGCAGGGTGCTGTGTGGGCTCAGGAGCTGCGTGATGGTTATACCACTGAGTCTAGCTGGGGTCCTGGCATTGCAGCCTTGTATGAGGGTATGATGGGATGGAAGTGGGGCCTCATGGATGTGGAGATGCAGGGGCTATTGGCCCTTAGGGCAGAAGGCACTCCAGCAGTGGCTGTCTTCTCAAAATGGCAATGTGCCATAGCAGCTTGGGTCCCTGGGAGTGCAAGGGGCATTGTGTGTTGGTTCTCCAGAGCAATGCAACTATGTGGACTCCTGGCAGCTCCCTCTACTGGGCTCAGGGCCTGTGAGGACTATGGGGCTCTCCTGTAGCTAGCATTGTAGACATCCACCTTGGTAATGGGGACTGCTGGGGATCTACCACTTACCTTTTCCCCATAATGGGGAGTCTGTTGTGGGTCTAAGCTAATCCTGGACAGATGCTTTGCTTCCCTATGTTGCCATCTGGAATTTACAGGGGGGTTTTGTTTTTTCCTTGCTGTATTTCAGTGTCCTCCCTTAGATATCCCACTCAAAGTGTAGTTATTTATTTGATGTTTTGGCTCTTCTTTGTGGAGGAGATGAGCATTGAGTACCTCTAGTCAGCTATCTTCCAGATCACTCTAGGAGTATCTCAAAATGGTTACTTCTACCCTCCCCCCTCCCCCACCCTTGTTAGAAACATGAGGAGTTTCTCTTGGCTCTTTACTGTCGGAATCTGGTGAGACTCCAGGAGGTAAAAGCCACAGAAGTATAGAGGGGGTGTCCTAAGACTGAAACCCCTAGAAGTTTCTCACTCTTGTGCTAGTCTACATGCTGCAATTTTTCAACATGTAGCAATTTTTCAAAGTTACTATTAAGTGTTCGTACCAGTTTATGGCTCCAGCAGCTTCTGATCCAGGTAAGCTGATCTCAACAGTGATTCTTTGTACTTGCCTGTACTTCCAGATTTCATGGTGGCAGTTTGTCCTGTGACCTTAATTCTCTGATAAGTTCAAGAAAAGTAATTTATTTTAAGTTTGTTCAGCTTTTTAAATTATCGTACTAAAGAGAGAGATGACAGCTGGGCGTGGTGGCTTACGCCTGTAATCCTAGCACTTTGGGAAGCTGAGGCGGGCGGATCATGAGGTCAGGAGATAGAGACCATCCTGGCTAACATGGTGAAACCCCGTCTCTACTAAAAATACAAAAAATTAGCCAGGCCTGGTGGCAGGCGCCTGTAGTCCCAGCTACTTGGGAGGCTGAGGCAGGAGAATGGCATGAACTTGGGAGGCGGAGCTTGCAGTGAGCCGACATTGCGCCACTGCACTCCAGCCTGGGCGACAGAGCGAGACTCCGTCTCAAAAAAAAAAAAAAAGAGAGAGAGAAAGATGACTTCTCAATATCAATAAATTTGAGAATAAGAAAACAGGTATTTTCTATTTATACACAAATTTACAATTTCTGGTGCTCCTTTATTCCTTTTTGTGGATCCATATTTTCAACTTGTGTCATTTTTCTTTAGCTCAAAGAACTTTTGAAAATATCTCTTTTAGCATAGATTTTCTGGCAGTAAATTATCTTACCTTTTGTTTGTTCAAAAGTATCTTTGTTTTGCCTTTGTTTTTAAGGTTACCTCTGTGGGTCTAGAATTCTAAGTTGGCTGATTATTTCCCCTTTTCAGCACTTGAAAGATGTAGTTCCACTGCCTTTTGGATGAGAAATCAATGAATGTTCTGCAGTGTCACATTTTCTTTTTCTTTTTTTTTTTTTTTTTTGAGACTGAGTCTTGCTCTGTCACCCAGGCTGGAGTCCAGTGGCGCAATCTCAGCTCACTTCAAGCTCTGCCTCCCAGGTTCACGCCATTCTCCTGCCTCAGCCTCCCGAGTAGCTGGGACTACAGGCACCTGCCACCACACCCGGCTAATTTTTTGTATTTTTAGTAGAGACGGGGTTTCATTGTGTTAGCCAGGATGGTCTCAATCTCCTGACCTCGTGATCCGCCCACCTTGGCCTCCCAAAGTGCTGGGATTACAGGCGTGAGCCACCGCGCCCGACTTTTTTTTTTTTTTTTTGAGATAGAGTCTTGCTCTGTCGCCCAGGCTGGAGTGCAGTGGTGTGATCTTGGCTCACTGCAACCTCCACCTCCTGGGTTCAAGTGATTCTCTTGCCTCAGCCTCTCAAGTAGCTGGAATTACAGGTGCGCACCACCACGCCTGGCTAATTTTTGTATTTTTAGTAGACACGGGTTTCGCCATGTTGGCCAGGCTGGTCTTGAATTCCTGACCTCAGGTGATCTACCCACGTCGGCCTCCCCAAATCACATTTTCTGTTAAACCTATCCAGTGAAGTTTTTATTTTAGAAATAATAACTTTCAGCTCTAGACATTCCATTTGCTTATATTTTATAGCTTCAACTTCTCTTTTGAGATTCAGTCTCTGTAACCTCTTCATGTTTATGTTTTCCTTTAAAATCTTTTTTTTTTTTTTGAGACGGAGTTTCGCTCTGTCACCCAGGCTGGAGTGCAGTGGCACTATCTTGGCTCACTGCAACCTCCACCTCCTGGGTTCACACCATTCTCCTGCCTCAGCCTCCCGAGTAGCTGGGACTACAGGCGCCCACTACCATGCCTGGCAAATTTTTTTTGTATTTTTAGTAGAGACAGGGTTTCACCGTGTTAGCCAGTATGGTCTGGATCTCCTGACCTCGTGATCTGCCTGCCTCGGCCTCCCAAAGTGCTGGGATTACAGGCGTGAGCCACTGTGCCCAGCCCCTTTTTTTTTTTTTTTTTGAGACGGAGTCTTGCTCTTTCGCCCAGGCCATGGTGCAGTGGCACTATCTCGGCTTACTGCAAGCTCCGCCTCCTGGGTTCACGCCATTCTCCTGCCTCAGCCTCCCGAGTAGCTGGGACTACAGGCACCCGCCACCGCACCTGGCTAATTTTTTGTATTTTTAGTAGCGAAGGGGTTTCACCGTGTTCGCCAGGATGGTCTCGATCTCCTGACCTCGTGGTCTGCCTGCCTCGGCCTCCCAAAGTGCTGGGATTACAGGCGTGAGCCACCGCACCTGGCCCTTTTTTTTTTTTTTTTTTTTTTTTTGACAGAGTCTCACTCTATCCCCCAGGCTGGAATGCAATGGTGGAATCTTGGCTCACTGCAACCTCTGCCTCTTGGGTTCAAGTGATTCTCGTGCCTCAGCCTCCCAAATAGCTGGGATTACAAGTGCATGCCACCATGCCCAGCTAGTTTTTCATATTTTTAATAGAGATGGGGTTTCCCCATGTTGGCCAGGCTGGGCTTGAACTCTTGGCCTCAAGTGATATACCTGCCTCAGCCTCCCAAATTGCTGGGATTACAGGCATGAGTCACTCTGCCTGATCTCTTTTAGAATCTTTAAACATATTTGTAATAGCTCTTTTTATTCTCTCTCCTTTTTTTTTTTCTTTGAGATAGAGCCTCACTCTGTCACCTCGGCTGGAGTACAGCAGTGCAATCATAGCTCACTATAACCTTGAACTCCTGGGCTCAAGTAATCCTCCCACCTCAGCCTCCTGAGTAGCTGGGACTACAGGCATGCATCACTACACCTTGCTCATTTTAACGTTTTTTATAGAGACATGGCCTCACTTTGTTGCCCAGGCTGGTCTCAAACTCCTGCCTCTAATGATCCTCCTGCCTCAGCCTCCCAAAGTTCTGGGATTATAAGCACAAGCCACTATGCCCAACCCCTCCTTTTATTCTCTATATTGTAATTCTGTCATCTCTGTCATACCTGGTTTCATATATGTTTACTAATTTATCTTCATTTATGTCATGTTTCTCCACCTCTTTGCATGTCTAGTAATTTTTGATTGAGTGTTGGACAGTATGAATGCTATGTTACTAAGTGTTTGGATTTGTCATCTTCCTTTTATTGAGTTTTGTTTGTTAAGTAGTTAATTTACTTGTAGATCAACTTGACCCTCAAGTCTTCTCTAAAAGTTTTGTTAGAGAAGGTCTCAAGTAGGCTTTATTCTATGGATAACTTAGGTCTACACTTGAGGCATGGCCTTTCTGAGTTTTCCGCTGAATGGCCAGAGTTTTCAGCAATTTTTCTCCACCCTGACTCGTCCTGCGTGAGCTGAGGTGACTGTTCAGGTCAGAGCTCCTCTGCAGATTTTCTTTGCCCCACTTTGTGGAGTCTCACTCTACACATGCCCAGCTTCATATTCAGCCAAAGACTCAAGGGGACACCTATGCAGATTTCTGAAGCTCTTTTGCTGTGTGGCTCCTTCTTTTTTGGCAGTCTGCCCTTCAAATTCTGCCTCCTTTGTTGCCCCACCTTCCACCCTCTGTCCTGTAATCTCAATAGGAGGATTGGACTTCCTTTGGTATCCTCCTCCTCAGGCTGTGGTTAGAAAATTGTTCCTAGAGAGCCAGGCAAGGCAATTGTGAACAAAAAAATGACATTTTAAGAGAAAAAAAAGGAAAAAACAAAACAAAAAGACTTGTTTTTCTTTCTTCAGGGATCAGTGTCATGTACTTTCTGTTTCCAATATCTGCAAACAGTTTTATATATTTTTATCCAGTTTTATGGTTTATGGCAGGAAGATTATCTAATAGTAGTTACTACATCATGGCCAGAAGCAAATACATATAAAAATTCCCTCCCTCTTCTTTCTCTTTCTTTCTTTTTTCTTTCTTTCTTTCTTTCTTTCTTTCTTTCTTTCTTTCTTTCTTTCTTTCTTTCTTTCTTTCTGTCTTTCTTTCTTTCTTTTCTTTCTTTTCTTTCTTCTTCTTTCTTCTTTCTTTCTCTTTCTTTCTTTATTTTCTTTTTCTTTCTTTCTTTGTTTCTTTACCTTTCTTCCTTTCTCTCATTCTCTCTCTCTCTCTTTTCTTTTTCTTTTTTTTTTTTTTTTTTGAGACAGAGTCTTGCTCTGTCACCCAGGCTGGAGTGCAGTGGCACAATCTCAGCTCACTGCAAGCTCCACCTCCCAGGTTCAAACCATTCTCCTGCCTCTGCCTCCCAAGTAGCTGGGACTACAGGCACCCACCACCACACCCAGCTAATTTTTTGTATTTTTAGTAGAGACAGGTTTCACCATGTTAGCCAGGATGGTCTCAATCTCTTGACCTCATGATCTGCCTGCCTCGACCTCCCAAAGTGCTGGGATTATAGGCATGAGCCACTGTGCCTGGCCTCCTTTTTTCTTTTCTTTTCTTTTCTTTCTTTCTTTCTTTCTTTCTTTCTTTCTTTCTTTCTTTCTTTCTTTCTTTCTTTCTTCCTTTCTTTCTTTCTTCTTTCTTTCTTTCTCTCTCTTTCTTTCTTCTTTCCTTTTTCTTTCTTCTTTCTTCCTTTCTCTCTTTCTCTTTCTCTCTTTCTTTCTTTCTTTTTTGAGACAGGGTCTCTCTCTGTTACCTAGGATGGAGTGCAGTGAAGCAATCACAGCTCACTGCAGCCTCAACCTCCTGGTCTCAAGCAATTCTTCCCATTTTAGCCTCCTGAGTAGCTTGGACTATAGATGCGCACCACCATGACCAGCTAATTTTTGTATTTTTAGTATAGATGGGGTCTTGCCGTGTTGCTCAGGCTGGTCTCGAACTTCTGGGCCCAAGTGATCCACCCACCTCAGCCTCTCAAAGGGTTGGGATTACAGATGTGAGGCACCATATCTGGTCCATTTTCTTTTAAATTGAATGCCAATACTAACTTGTTGAATACCAATTCCAACAACATTTGTTGAATAATCTTTCCTTTCCTCACAAATTTTAAGTCTCATCTACTAAATTTGTGTACACACACACCCGTTTTCTTCTATGGCACTATTCTATTAGTTTTTTCTCTTCATACATGTATCCTAGTTCTTTATGATTTTATGTTTTAAATATTAAATAGAAAAAGTTTATTGTAAATATGATACAGAAAGAAAGAGTTAAAATTCCATTATTTCCAATGTCTTCCTTAGGTTAATCACTGTAACAGTTTCATGAATATGCTCCCAAACATTTTATATAAAAATATATCGACAAAAAGAACAATACCTAACACTTATTAAGCTTTTACTGTTTTTTGGTTTTAGGTTTTTTTTGAGACAGTCTCGCACTGTCACCCGGGCTGGAGTGCAATGGTGCAATCTCGGCTGACTGCAACCTCCGCCTCCTAGGTTCAAGTGATCCTTCTGCCTCAGTCTCCCGAGTTGCTGGATTACAGATGTGTGCCTAGCTTTTTTTTTTTTTTTTTTTTTTTGAGATGGAGTCTCGCTCTGTCGCCCAGGCTGGAGTGCAGTGGTGTGATCTCGGCTCACTGCAACCTCTGCCTCCCGGGTTCAAGTGATTCTCCTGCCTCAGTCTCCTGAGTAGCTGGGATTACAGGTGTGCGCCACCACGCCCAGCTAATTTTTTGTATTTTTAGTAGAGACGGGGTTTCACTATGTTGGCCAGGCTGGTCTCTAACTCCTGACCTCGGCATCTGCCTGCCTTGGCCTCCCAAAGTGCTGGGATTACTGGCGTGAGGCCCCGCGCCTGGCCAAGCTTTTACTGTTTAACATAGTTTCTAGGCACTGTTCTAAGTGCTTTACAAATATGGACTCCTTTACTTCTCATAATAACCCTATATGGTGGGGATTACCCTCTCCTTAACAGATGTGGAAACAGACATCGAGGATCATGCCCCGGGTCATACAGCTAGTCAATGGCAAAGCCATGATGTGACGACGTGGCAACCTGGCTCCAGAGCCCAAACCTCCTGTTGCTTCTTCATTCCCACAGATGGTCTCACTGGGCACCATAAAGCTTCTAAGCCTTTGGCTGCCTAAAACGTCCCATTGCTGTGTCATTGCAAGTTCTTTCATGACTGCGTATGTCTTTCCCAGTGAGGCAATTTGTCACCTTCTTTGCCTGTTTTTGGTTGAATCATCTTTTTATTGTTCATCTTAAGCAGCTCTGTGGATGTCAAGAAAATCCACTCTTAGTCGCATGGATTGCTAATATTTCAAAGGTGTTTATTTACTTTGCTTATGATTTTTTTTTTAATTAGCCTTTGAGTGCTTTTTTTGCTTCTGTCTTACAAGAATTTCAAATTTTTCTAGAATCCAACTTACCAGTGTTTTCCTTTAATGTGGTGGTTCTTAGCCCTGGCTATGCACTATACACAGGCTTTTATGTTTACAAAGCTCCCAAGTGATTCTCCTGTGCCACTGCCCTGAGGCTTCCTCTACTTTAGGATTACAAAATTCTTAGCTCTTTTTGTTCTCCTTGGTAATTTTACTTTGTATTTGCATCAACCTATCTAGAATTTGTGGTCTTTTTTGATTGTTTATTTGTCTGTTTTTAGACAGAGTCTTGCTCTGTCGCCAGGCTGGAGTGCGCTGGCACCATCTCGGCTCACCACAACCTCCAATTCCCTGGTTCAAGTGATTCTCCTGCCTCAGCCTCCCAAGTAGCTGGGATTATAGGCATGCACCACCACGCCCAGCTAATTTTTGCATTTTTAGTAGATACGGGGTTTCACTATGTTGGCCAGGATGGTTTCGATTTCCTGACCTCGTGTTTTTTTGAGATGAAGTTTTGCTCTTGTTGCCCAGGCTGGAGTGCAATGGCACGATCTTGGCTCACTGCAACCTCTGCCTCCTGGGTTCAAGCGATTCTCCTGCCTCAGCCTCCCAAGTAGCTGGGATTATAGGCATGTGCCACCACGCCCAGCTAATTTTGTATTTTTAGTAGAGACAGGATTTCTCCATGTTGGTCAGGCTGGTCTTGAACTCCCGACCTCAGGTGACCAGCCCACCTCGGCCTCCCAAAGTGCTGGGATTACAGGTGTGAGCCACTGTGCCCAGGCTATATACCATATGGTTTAATTATTGTCACTTTATCATACATTTTTATATGGTCGGAAAAGTCCCTCTTGATTTTTTTCTATGCTGTACTCAGCATTTCATTTATCTGTTCTTTCAGATTAGCTTTGTTATGAATATTTCTATTTCCTTGCACCCATCTTTTTACACTCCCATTTCTCCAGGGGAAAACGTCCAGAAACAAATGAATCCTCAGGTCTGGAACTCAGGAGAAGACTCTGGACTGAGCTATGGATCTGGAAACTCCTGAACAGAGCAGTGGTTCCAAGCTGGAGACGATTTTGCACCTGGGGGACGTCTGCAAGGTCTGGAGACAGTTTGGGTTGTCACAACCGAAGGAGTGCTATGGCACTTAGTGGGATCAGGCAGGGATGTTGTTAAACACTGTACAGTGCACAGGACAGCCCTCCCCAACAGAGTTCCTGGACCGTACATGTTAATGGTGCTGGGGCTGAGAGGCCACTGATGGACTCGTGGAGCTGGCGAGGCGGCCCTGGAGTCTGTGGCCTGTGAGGGAAGCGGGAACCTCTGAGGGAGTGCAGCGTTCAGCAGCATCCACCCATCCAGCCACGAGGCCTGGCAGAGGGGTGGGAGAGGAGGTGGACCTGCCGTAGACCCCACAAGCCTGTCAAGGAGCTGGGACTTGGAGTGAAAAGGAGAGCGACGTGGTCAGAACTGTGCCTTAGAAAGACCACTCTGGACACAGAGAGGGGGCTGGGGAGAGGCGAGGGCTGCATGGTGCTGTGGCTGCCTGCTGGAATGGCAGGCTAGGCCATTGTGGGCAGCAGTGAGGGAAGGGGTGATTCGGGAGCTGGAAGAGGCAGGACAGGGCAACGGGCTGGACTTGATGGGTGAGAGAAGCTAGTGACCTTTGGCATGTAGCAAACAGTTCTCATGCCCTGCCACCAGCATCATGCCAGGGCAGGCTGGGCTCTCACCCTCACAGAATGTCCCATGAATAATTATGTAACTAAAAGTGCTGTGTGTTGCAGGTAGCAACTAACCGGGGCTGGTGGCGTGGGCAGTAAAAAGAATTTACCAAGACTGTTGTAGGTAAAGAAAGGCAGATTTATGAGAGAAAGTAGGAAAATACGTTGCAAGAAAGCAATGGGCAATCACCAAGAGAGGCGCTGGCAGCAAGAGCTGAAGGCGTGCTGGGGATTTTATAGGATGGGGCTTGTGCCGGAGAGGGCCATGTGCAGTGCTGATAACGCCCAGGTTGCAGGGAGCTAACGCGTTTTTCTATCAGCCGAGGATCTGGTGATAACTGGGCGTAGGAAGATTGTGATTTGTCTGCACGGGAGGGCCGTGTGTCCTGGACCATGAAGAAAGGCAGACTCACAGCTTCTCCGCTCTCTCTGTTGCTTTCCCCTGGTCCCACCAGTCTGACTCCTTTCCCTCATTAGGACTCCGCAGCATGGACACCATGAAGGGAGGCAGAGCCTGTGACAGGAACGCTCAGCCAGGGAGGCTTCTCTGATGAGGGCCAGAGCTGTCCAGGCCAGGCCTGGGGGGACAGACGCACATTCACGTTCAAGGTTTTATTTGAACATGGTTTCAATGAATCCTCTCAATGTTTTGAAATTGCAACTTAGTTTCAGTCGTCTACAAAACCTTTGCTCCCCCGTAGCAGCACCCCCTTTATGTTGTTATTATCACAAATTACATCTTGACACACTGGGCCACCAGCAGGACTTATAATTATTGTAATAGGCAGTTGTCTCTTTAAATTGCAAGGCACTTACAGCGAAGGTGCCTGCATGCTCCCTCTAGTCCCCCAGGGAAGCAGCCCGAGCCCCTGGGAAGGGCCAGGTATTAACTTGCCAGACATCGCAGCTCATTCCAGGCTCCCAGCCACTCTTCCGTCAGTGGATTCCAATTCTGAAAATCGGCTCATGTCCAGAAACAGCACGGGAGTGTGACTTCCTGCTGGGGCAGCCCCTCAGCCCCTGCCCTCTGTTGACTCTTACATGTGAAGCTTCCCCCTTGTTGGCCACTGGTTTCACCCCTCAGGGCACCGTGCTCTGTTACCACCCCCTGTTACTGCCCCCAAGCCCCTCGGTGGCCGCCTGCCTCATCTTCCCCACGGGGATTAGGGAGCCCGGCTCTGTAGCTGCGTCTCCCATCATCAGCACAGGCTGCAGAGGGGGAACCCCTCGACTCTCCCACCCTCAGCACAGGCTGCAGATGGGGAACCCCTCAACTCTCCCACCCTCAGCACAGGCTGCAGACGGGGAACCCCTCGACTCTCCCACCCTCAGCACAGGCTGCAGAGGGGGAACCCCTCGACTCTCCCACCCTCAGCACAGGCTGCAGACGGGGAACCCCTCGACTCTCCCACCCTCAGCACAGGCTGCAGACGGGGAACCTCTTGACTCTCCCACCCTCAGCACAGGCTGCAGACGGGGAATGCCTCGACTTCCTGGTGATGCTGGTGTTCTCCCTAGGGCTTCCTGCACACCCACCTCCCTCCACCCCATTCCTTCCTCTACCAGCTGTCAGAGAACTTGAGGGTTTCTGCTTCACTGTGAGCTGGCTACCACTTTTTTCAAGGCTTTTAAGAGCCATTCCAAGTTTTCCCCACCTCCTGGGTCCTGAGAAAGTGCCCCACTGCAGCAAATGCTTCCAGACCCTTGGTCAAGCTCCTCACTCTCCCATCCCGGGACTTCTCTTCTGCCCCAGCTGAGGCCATCAACCAGTTCTTGCAATTACTTAGCTGTGCAGCCCCTTTCTCCCTTTTTAGGCTTAGCACCCTGCCCCTTCCCGTTGGTCTGTGCTGGGATTTAGCCCTCGCAATTGGCCTGGCAGGCAGGTGGGACAGCTCCTGAGGCGAGCACTTGCTTCCTGGTGAGACAGGTGATTCCGTAACATCTCCAGCACAGTAGATGTGCTCACCTTTATGGGGCAGGAGGACCTGTGCACTTCCAGAGGTTCCAGAGGACTGGAGGGTCCTCATCGTTACATCTTTGGGACCCAGATTTTCCCCAGGGGACCCTTACTTTCTACCTTTGCAGAGCTGACCCACCGGTGGCCCTTCACTCTGGTTAAGTGCCTGTTTACCTCTGTGGTAGAGGCACTCCAGTCTCACACCGAGCTTGGTAACAGTTCTCAGGATGTCGGTATGGGGAACCAGCCCGCTGTCCTGTCTTTGTTGGTTTGGTTGCTCCCCACTCCCAGTTTTTCAGGGGCCTGCATCATCCCACCAGCCACAGCGCTGTGCTCCACCGAGATATTTTCCCAGGTCATCACTCATGAAGCTCCCACCGTGTGCCAGGGACCACCGGACCTCCCAGCCAACCAGGACAGCAGCCTCTGCACCCTTTGGGTGGTGGGCAGGACAGTCCCAGATCCTCTCCTGATGCCACTTATGTTAGTCCAGGTCTTCCAAGATGCAGATGGGATAAAGGTATAAGGATTTGGTTAGATTTTATTAGATGATGAAGGCTGAGTGTGGTGGCTCGTGCCTGTAATCCCAGCACTTTGAGAGGCCAAGGTGGGCAGATCACTTGAACTCAGGAGTTCGAGGCCAGCCTGGGCAACATGGTGAAACACCGTCTCAACAAAAACAAACAAACAAAAATTAGCCTGGCATGGTGGTGTGTGCCTGTAGTCCTTGCTACCTGGGAGGCTGGAATGGGAGGGTTGCTTGAGTCCAGGAGGTGGAGGTTGCAGTGAGCCGAGATCATGCCCCTGTACTGCAGCCTAGGTGATGGGAATGAAGCCCTTTCAAAAAAAGAGAGAAGATTTTATTAGATGATGAAGATTAGATATTGTTGTTATTATTAGAGATGAAGCATGGAGGTAGCTAAGAAACTTGGAAGAGCTTCAGAATGTGAGTAGCTCTAACTTCCAGAGAGGAAGAGAGGGAACGAAGGTTGACTGGGAGTGACCTAGATCACTAAACAACCTAAGGAAGGTTCAGGAAAGCTGCCAGGGAGTTCTTGAGCCAAAGAAGTGTGGCCTCAGCACAAATGCAGAGACAGATTCTGAGCACAAGAGCTGAGGCCATTGGTCATGACATTCCCATAGTTGGAGGCCTATGAAGCACACTTTCAAGGAAACTGCAACTGTTTAAAATAACAGTAATGTCCTATGTGTGTTTTTTTTAAAAGAAAGGCTGAAAGTTAATTAGCTCATCATCCACCCGAAGAAGCAAAATCAACCTAAAACAAGAGGTATAAAGAGAAGCACTAATTAGATAGAAACTAACATGCACTGGAGACAATCAAACCAAAACTGGTTCTTTGGCAACACTAATCAGAATGGCAACCCTCTGGGCAGGTGGGGAAGGGGGAGCATAAATAAACAATTTAAAGGTAGGCCAGGTGCAGTGGCTGACACCTGTAATCCCAGCACTTTGGGAGGCTGAGGTGGGAGGATCACTTGAGCCCAGGAGTTGGAGACCAGCCTGGGCAACATAGCAAGACCCTGTCTCTGGAAAAAATTTAAAAACTAGCTGGACATGGTGGCATGCACCTGTGATCCCAGCTACTCGGGAGGCTGAGGTGGGAGGCTGGCTTGAGCCTGGGAGGTTGAGGCTGCAGTGAGCTGAGATTCTACCACTGCAGTCCAGTCTGGGTGACAGAGCAAGACCATGTCTCAATAAATAAATAAATAAATAAATAAATAAATAAAGTGGACACAGCCATAGATATAACATAGATTTAAAAGATAATATGAACAATTTTAGGCCAATACATTTCTAGAAAAATATAACTGCACTAACACTGACTCAAGAGGAAATAGAGAACCCGAATAGTCTTATAACTCTTAAAGAGATAGAATCAGTAATTAAAATCACAAACAAAACATCAGGCCCAGTCAGTGAGTTCCACTGAACTTTCAAAATATAAATTCCCTATAGAAATGCTCTCTAACTCATTTACAAGGCTAGCATAACCTGGATATCCAAACCTGATGAGAATAGTGCAGTGCACAGCTGCAAAAAGTCTAGACAAGTTATTGGTAAACCAGATCTGAATTGTACGCAAAGATGATTATGTTTGATTTACCCCAGGAATGACAGGTTGGTTTAACTTTAGGAAATCAGTTTATGTAAGCCATTCCCTTAACACATAGAAGGAGAAAAATTAGGTCATTTCAATGCAGAAAAAGCATTTGACAGAATTTATCACCTATTCGTGAGAAAAACTCCTAGAAATTAAGACTAGAGGGGAACTTTGTGACCTGATGAACGGTATCTTTTGAACAAAAAAAAAAAGAACAGGCCTGGCGCAGTGGCTCATGCCTGTAATCCCAGCACTGTGGGAGGCCAAGGTGGGCAGATCACCCTGAGGTCAGTAGTTCAAGACCAACATGGCAAAACCCCATCTCTACTAAAAATACAAAAATTAGCCAGGTGTGGTGGCACGCGCCTATAATCCCAGCTACTCAGGAGGCTGAGACAGGAGAATTGCTTGAACCTGGGAGGTGGTGGAGGTTGCAGTGAGCTGAGATAGTGCCACTGCACTTCAGCCTGGGCAACAGATCGAGATTTCGTCTAAAAAAAAAAAAAAAAAAAAAGAACATAACAGGCCGAGTGTGGTGGCTCATGCCTGTAATCCCAGCTCTTTGGGAGGTCGAGGCAGGTGGATTACTTGAGGTCAGGAGTTCGAGATCAGCCTGGCCAACATGGTGAAACCCCATCTCTACTAAAAATACAAAAAAAAAAAAAAAAGATAAGCCAGGCATGGTGGCACACACCTATAATCCCAGCTACTTGAGAGGCTGAGGCAGGAGAATTGCTTGAACTCTGGAGGTTGAGGTTGCAGTGAGCCAAGATCATGCCACTGCACTACAGCCCGGGCAACAGAGTGAGACTCTGTCTCAAAACATGAAAATAAAAATAAACAAAAGAATATAATAAACATCATATGTAAGTATGAAAGGTTGAATGTATTTTATTTAAGATGAGGAACAGGACAGGTTCCCACTATCACATTTCAGTACATCTTTGTACTTACTTGCATTGTGAGTCTCAGCTAGCACAGAAAGATAAGAAAAAGAAATAAAAGCTATAAGAATTGAAAAAGAAAAAAAGTATTGTTTTTGTATATCTATATAGAAAACAGAAATCTAACAATAAGTTATTAGACTCAATCAGGAAATTCAGAAATGTTGCTCTACATAAAATCAATTTACAAAATAACTGGGTTTCTCTTTCTTCCTCCCCTCCCCTCCCCTCCCCTCCCTCCCTTCCTTCCTTCTTTTTCTTTTTTGAGATGGAGTTTCGCTCTTGTTGCCCAGGCTGCAGTGCAGTGGCACGATCTCAGCTCACTGCAACCTCTGCCTCCCAGGTTCAAGCGATTCTCCTGCCTCAGACTCTCGAGTAGCTGGGACTACAGGCACATGCCACCATGCCTGGCTAATTTTGTATTTTTTGTAGAGATGGGGCTTCTCCATGTTGGCCAGGCTAGTCTCGAACTCCTGACCTCAGGTGATCCTCCCGCCTTGGCCTCCCAAAGTGCTGGGATTACAGGCGTGAGCCACCGCGCCCGGCCCAAAATAACTGGGTTTCTAAACGAGTGACAGAAAATGCAACTTTAAAAATGGAATCCTTCACAGTAGTGTGAAAAACATGAAACACTTAGAAATAAATAGAGTATAAATGTTCAGGACCTTGTTGGAGAATATTATAAAAGTTTATAGGATAAACTAACGATGACCCTAATAATTAATACATATGTATTGCATAAGGATTGAAAGCCTCAATACCAAAAATGTATATTTCCCCCAAATTTATCTATTGATTCTATATAATTCCTGTCAAAAGTCCACTGTGTGCATGTATATAACCTGACAAGTCGATCCTAAAAATTATAAGGGCAAATAAAGGGTCAAGAATAGCAAAAATTTGTCCAGGCGCAGTCGCTCACACCTATAATCCCAGCACTTTCGGAGGCTGAGGTGGGCGGATCACCTGAGCTCAGGAGTTCCAGACCAGCCTGGGCAACATAGCCAAGCCTTGGCTCTATAAAAAATACAAAAATTAGCTGGGCATGGTGGTGCACACCTGTGGTCCCAGCTACTCGGGAAGCTGAGGTAGGAGGATTGCTTGAGCCCGGGAGGTGGAGGCTGCAGTGAGCTGAGATTGTGCTATTGCACTCCAGCCATTGCACTCCAGCCTGGGCGACAGAGTGAGAGCCTGTCTGAAAAAAAAAAAAAAATTCAAAGAAGAACCCAGGTAGAGGCATTAACCTTTTAATAAGACTTTTGTAATCAGTGCAGGGAGTATTGGCCCAGAGCAGGTGAAGAGTTCGTCTGAGCAGAGCAGAGAGCAGACAGTTGGGGCCCTTCTGTGAATGGTGTCATGACAATTTAATTATATTAAGATGATGAAAATGGCGCCTGCCTCACATCATACAGAAAAATCATTTGCAAGTGGTTTAAAATAGAAAAAGCAAAACTGCACAAATTTTAGAAGAGAATATAGGAGAATCTATTCTCAAATCTCCCAAAGAATCTCTCACAACAATGAACAAAGGAAGAATTTCCTAGGATTCAAAAAGCACAAAACATAGGGAAAAGCTGGATATATTTCGGTTACAGTATAATGAGGAACTTCTACATATCAAAAGAATCATGAAATAAGCAAAAGACAAATCACAGAGTGAGAGAAGATACTGCAACTATACACATCTGATGGAGGATTTGTGCCCAGAACATGTAAGGACTTCGACAAGTCAATCAGAAGGAGAGACAGAATCCAGTTGAAAAGTGGGTGGAAGATTTGAACAGGCGTTTTGGCAAAGGGGAAGACGTGAATGGGCAAGGAATGTGAGAAAATGCCCTACTCCATTAGTGAGCAGGAAAAAGCAGATTAAAACAGAGTGAGGGACCTGAAATGCCTACCAGACTGACAAAAACATGAAGGCTGATAACACTAGAGTGTTGGAGACAATGCCAAGCGAGCTAGGGTCTGTGTGGTGCTGCGGGACGGTCATCGCTGCACTTCGGGCCCTAAGTTAGCAGCATCCAGTGAGGTCGAGAGGCACGTCCCATGGCCCAGCAATTTCTCTCCTCGGGTTAGACCTGCAGGCTCTTGTCCAAGCACCAGGAGAATGACATTAAATGTTCATTGGAGAATTGAAATGGCAGGAATTGGACAGCAGCACAAATCTCCGTCAAAGTAGAATGGATCAATAAATTGTCACACGACAGACTAACATATGTGGTGAAAACAAGTGATTCACAGCTACACCCAACAACACAGTGCGCTGCAGCACCACAGGACGACAGCTTAGCTCTCTTGTGTGAATTTCAAAAGCATGGGACTGGGCGAGGTGGCTCACACCTGTAATCCCCGCACTTTGGGAAGCCCAGGTGGGCGGATTGCCTAAGCTCAGGAGTTCGAGACCAGCCTGGACAACATGGTAAAACCCTGTCTTCTATGAAAATACAAAAAATTAGCCAGTTGTGGTGGCGCACTCCTATAGTCCCAGCTACTCAGAGACTGAGGCACAAGAATTGCTTACACCCAGGAGGTAGAGGTTGTAGCAAGCTGAGATGGCACCACTGCACTCCAGCATGGGCAACAGATCGAGACTTTTTATTTTTTTTAAAAAGAAATGAATTTCAAAAGCATGTACAACTGCACAATAAATTGCACGTAGATGTACAGAGAGAAAGGGAACGGTGAACACAAAATTCTGGACAGTGATGACCTCTGAGATGCGGAAGTCCGGGAGGGGCTGCACCGTGCTTGGATGCTGGGATCCTCTGTGTCTTCCACAGAGCCCTAGTGCCTGTTATTATTTGTAGAATTAAATGTTAATTATATAAAAAGAAAAAAACCCTCCTAGTTCTCCTCCCCGCTTCCCCATAAGGGGACCCAGCACACAGTGACAGAGTTGAGATCTACAGGGGACATCGCAGGAACAACTGAAGAGGTGCTGGGCTTGCAGGTGCTGTGCTGGGAGGGTGGGGTGCAGGAGCCTAGTGTGGAGGGCGGCCGGGGTGTGGCTACAACCACCACCTCCCACCGCAAGGGCTGTGACCAACTTTGGGACCCCTGGAGGAGTTTCTGGGGAACCAGAGTGACACCAGTCTGTCCAATTTGTGACCTTCCCCAGTGGCGGGAGCCTGGGTGGGTGTCTCTGGAGGTTCCAGATGGGAATTCTGCCAGGTGAGAAAGAGGGTGAGGGAGTGAGGGATGGGGGTGGGGGACAGGGGGCAGCAGAAGGACTCTGAGGTTGGAGAGGGATGGGGGAGGGGCTGTGAGCAAGTGTGCTGGAGGGTCCGGAGGAAGATGGGACCCTCGAGGGGTGACAAGCTCGCTGGTCGTTGGCTTAGACACTGCAGCAGTGCCCACCACGCAGCCTGTCCTGGACTTAGTCACCCCCAGCTCCAGACTTGTCAACTCTACACATTTCTCTTGTGGATTCTCTTCCCTATAGCCCTGGATGAGCATTTCAAACCCTCTCCTCCCTCGCCAACCTGCAAATGCCCCCTTCTCACTCTCAGTTGCTTGTTTTGTTTCTTGTTTCACTGAGAAAGTAGAATAATCACAATAAAACCCTCATCCTCCCCCAAATGAATCCTCCAGCCCACCTGTGCCTGCAATCGTGCGACCCGCTTTTCTTTCCCTGCCTCGAGTGAGCTGTCCCAAGTCTGATGCCCTCTTGCCTGGACGAGGCAAGACACTCTTTTTCTTGCATCAGCAATTTTTCTTTCTGTTGAGTCATTGCCATCACATACGAAGTCCAATAATATCCCCTACCTTAAAAAACAAACAAACAAAAAACTCCTTAATGCTGCATCTGTGTTGTTCCCTGTCTCACTGGACAAGCTGTCTACACCTGCTGTAGGGACTTCCTCACCGAACGAGCTGTCTACACCTGCTGTAGGGATTTCCTCACCAACCGAGCTGTCTACACCTCCTGTAGGGACTTCCTCACCGACCGAGCTGTCTACACCTGCTGTAGGGACTTCCTCACCGACCGAGCTGTCTACACCTGCTGTAGGGACTTCCTCACCGACCGAGCTGTCTACACCTGCTGTAGGGACTTCCTCACCGACCGAGCTGTCTACACCTGCTGTAGGGACTTCCTCACCGACCGAGCTGTCTACACCTGCTGTAGGGACTTCCTCACCGACCGAGCTGTCTACACCTGCTGTAGGGACTTCCTCACCGACCGAGCTGTCTACACCTGCTGTAGGGACTTCCTCACCGACCGAGCTGTCTACACCTGCTGTAGGCACTTCCTCACCGACCGAGCTGTCTACACCTGCTGTAGGCACTTCCTCACTGGACGAGCTGTCTACACCTGCTGTAGGCACTTCCTCACTGGACGAGCTGTCTACACCTGCTGTAGGCACTTCCTCACTGAACGAGCTGTCTACACCTGCTGTAGGGACTTCCTCACCGACCGAGCTGTCTACACCTGCTGTAGGGACTTCCTCACCGACCAAGCTGTCTACACCTGCTGTAGGGACTTCCTAACTGAACAAGCTGTCTACACCCGCAGTAGGCACTGCCTCACTGACCGAGCTGTCTACACCCGCTATAGGGACTTCCTAACTGAACAAGCTGTCTACACCCACAGTAGGCACTGCCTCACTGACCGAGCTGTCTACACCCGCTATAGACACTTCCTCACTGACCGAGCTGTCTATACCTGCTGTAGGGACTTCCTCACTGAACGAGCTGTCTACACCTGCTGTAGGCACTTCCTCACTGAATGAGCTGTCTATACCTGCTGTAGGGACTTCCTCACTGAACGAGCTGTCTACACCCGCTGTAGGGACTTCCTCACAACTCATTCTCTTCAATCCGCCCCACTCGGGCTGCTCCTCTGTGGAAACTGCTGTCCGGGTGATGGGCACCTCTGTCTTTCCACTCTGATGGCTGAATGTCGGTCCTCATCTCTATGGACTACACGCACTCCTCCCTCAGCTCCGGGACAGGGCACTCCCCCGACCCCCCACAGCCCTGGCTGCTCCTCCTCACCGGCTTCATTCTTGGGGAGTGGCAGCATCCTCTGTCTCTGACTTCGGTCGCTTCCTCGGTGGTGATGCATCAGGCAGGATGACACTTGCAAGGGACCATCTACCACAATCTGTGCGATCTGTGCAAGGCGCAGGGAAGTCCCAAGGGCCAGGATTCACCATGCCTGCGTGATGCCATCCCCCGCTGGCAGGAACAAGGGGAGGACGCAGGAACTGGAACTGGAGAGAGAGAAAGGAGAGTGGTGGGTGCCTGACAGGGCCGGAGCTTCAATTGAGGTGCACAGCCAACCCTCGGTGACCTGGCAGGAGGAAGTCAGGGGAATAGTAGACACCTTGGCCTTGCTCTTTCCTTCCCTCAAGGGCCTTTGGTGCTCCTGTTGGGCTAGCATAACCAGAAACCACAGGTCAAGGAACAGGCTGATGTGGCTTTCAAAGGCCAGCTCCAGCGTCACGCAGCACGGAGGGAAGGGCAGAGCAGATGTGGCGAGCCCAGCCTCCAGGCGCAGGGCTGCAGCAGTGGCCTCTCGTCTTGGCATCCCTCGAGAAACTCCACCCCTGCATAGCATCTCCACTTCTGTCCCCAGTAGGCAATTCTTAATTTCCACCCTGTGACTAACAAGCTCTTCCCTCTGTCTTCCCCATCTCGGCAAAGGGCATCCCCCTCGACTCAGTCACTCAGACCAAAAATGAAGAGCCTGTGTTTCTATCTCTCCTTCACATTTACACTGGACGCACTCTCTCTAAGAGAAAGAGGCACTGCTCATGGCCCCCATGTTCAAACCACATCATCTCTCTCTGTGCTGCTGTCAAAACCCCTCCCTGGGCTCTGATTTTTCTCTGTGACAGGCCAGTTGGCAGCCTCCCCGACAGCCTTAGCACCTGCTTCCCAGCTAAGCGAACCCTGATTTTGTTTGGGGCAACTATGTGCTCGCCTAGTGGGGGCTGGCCATCCTGGTCCACTTTGACACATGTTCACTTTCCCACCCTGTTAAAGTCAGGGCCGGCCACATGGCCCATGGCCTAACGGGGTTAAAGAGACACTTGCAGGGGGAGCCTCTGAGAAGCTTTTCCTTTGTTAGAAAAGAAAATCGTAACCTGATTCACAAAGTGGTCATCCTTTGTACACCTGCCACTTCCTTCCCGTTTGAGATGCTGGTGTAGCGGTGTGATGCCCTGTGCTATGACAGCCACCCTGGGGCATGAGGCAACAGGCAGGAAGGCAGAAAGTGTATGTGGGGATTTTGGAGGGAGGAGAGATGGTGGCTTCGTATTCAGTGAGATCACAATGGCATCGTGCAAGCTGCTGCTAGCTGGGAAGCGGGTTGTTCGCCTCTGAATGCATCCTAAGTGATTCAGCACCCCAGCCTCCTGCAGTCCACACTCCACACGGCAGCCCGAGGGACCCTTCAGAGGCCTACGCGCCTCTGCTCGGAACTGTGCGGACTGCCTCCCTCTCAGAAGGCGCAGCCCGCACCCGGCCTCACTCTGCACTCAGCGCCTTGCGAGCGAGCTTCAGGTCCGAGAGGGTCCCTTGTTCCCGAAGGTCTCCCCGACCCCGGGGCCGCCTTTTTGGAGGTTGTGAGGACCCACGGGCCTGCACGAAGTGAGCGCTGTGTAAATGGTTGCTGTGCTTTGTACAAAACGGTCAGCTCCGTGAGGGCAGAGCTGGGAGCCCAGGACAGGCCCGGCCCGCGGTGGGCGCTCAAGGAGGCCTGGGGAATGGCAGTGACCGTGACAGGTTCCCTAACGGGGCGTGGCCTGCAAGGCGGTCAGAGGCTTCTCTGAGCTGAGATCCCGGAGCCAGCCCCGTGCGTGGAAACAGCAGGTCCCGCACCCGGGCTGGGGGCCCCCGACAGAAGCGTCCGCGTGGCACCAAGGCCGCGAGCCGAGCGCACCCGGAGGGTTGGGAAGGCCGGGGACCCGGCGGGGACGGGGCGGGCCGGCCCAGGCCTGGCGCCCAGCTCTGGGCTGCAGCCCCAGGGCTGGTGGCGCCTCCGGGCGGAGCGAGGGGTCCGTCTGGGCCGAGTTTGAGGAGCCGAGGGCACCCAGGGGCGGTGCGGCCGGCAGAGTGGGCTCCGGGGACGGCCCGGGCTGGCGCTGAGCGGCCGTCGAGGACCCACAGGCTCGTCCGCTCCTGGGCCCGGCCCAGCCCCGGGGTGGGAGGCGCGGGGCGAGGGAGGCGCAGCCGGAGGGGCCGGGGCGGGGCGGGGGCGGCCGCGGGGCGGGGCCGGCGCGGCAGGGTGGGCGGGGCCGGCGCGGATTGGCCGGGCCCCGCCACGTGACCGGCCCCTTATAGGGCGTGGCGCGGGGCCGCGGAGTCGGGTGAGGCGGCGGCGGCTGCGGCGGTGGGGCCGGGCGAGGTCCGCTGCGGTCCCGGCGGCTCCGTGGCTGCTCCGCTCTGAGCGCCTGGCGCGCCCCGCGCCCTCCCTGCCGGGGCCGCTGGGCCGGGGATGCACGCGGGGCCCGGGAGCCATGGTCCGCTTCGGGGACGAGCTGGGCGGCCGCTATGGGGGCCCCGGCGGCGGAGAGCGGGCCCGGGGCGGCGGGGCCGGCGGGGCGGGGGGCCCGGGTCCCGGGGGGCTGCAGCCCGGCCAGCGGGTCCTCTACAAGCAATCGATCGCGCAGCGCGCGCGGACCATGGCGCTGTACAACCCCATCCCGGTCAAGCAGAACTGCTTCACCGTCAACCGCTCGCTCTTCGTCTTCAGCGAGGACAACGTCGTCCGCAAATACGCGAAGCGCATCACCGAGTGGCCATATCCTGCCGGGCGGGGCCGGGCGGGGCCGGGCGGGGACCGGGGTGGGGGCCGGGGCCGGGGCCATCTTCCCGGTGGCCGGGAGGGCGCGACCTGGGGAGGCGTCGGGAGACGGGCGAGGGGGGTACGGAGCGCCCCAGGGCCCCTCGGAGCGGCGGGTGCGGGAGCATTTCCGTGAGTGCGGCGGGCGCGGGGCGGAGCCCCTCTGCTCCGGACTCGTCCCTCCGCACGCCGGGTCCTGGGGATCCTGGTCGGTGCACAGTGCGCGGCTAGCCTGGAGGGCACCGAGGGCGAAGCCGCGTCCGTGCAGGTGCGAGCGCTGTGGGGACGCGGCCGTGCGCGCGCCTGGCTGCAGGTGCCTGCGTGTGCGGGCTGAGCTGGAGCCTGGCGCTGCGCGTGCGTGCGCTCGCGATGCGGGCTACATGCATGTTCACGTGCCTGTGTAGGTACATGTGGCTGCGTGTCTGGAGGGAGCAGCGTGCGCCTGCGCGGGGTCTCCCTCCAGCCTCGCCTGGGGGCGCTCGGCCCCCTCCCCTCGGGGCCCTGGAGTCGGGCGGAGCCGGGCCGGAGGCGCTGTCCGCGGTGCTGACGGCCGCCCGGGTGTGCCGAGGGGCTGGCGGCCCAGACTGCGGAGGCCCCGCCTCGCGGCCGCCCCTAGGGATGGGGGCAGGGAGTGAGGGAGACCAGGCCGCTTCCGCCAGGAGAGGGGCTCCGGACCCAGTTGTCTCAGCCCCTCCGGAGACGGCCTAGCGGTGGCTGCTGCACTGGGCTCTGCTGGCGTCGGCCTCGTGTTTCCCTCCGTGCGGCGTCTGCCGGCCAGTCCTTAACTCACGCACTCCATTCGAGTATATGATCCTGGCCACCATCATCGCCAACTGCATCGTGCTGGCCCTGGAGCAGCACCTCCCTGATGGGGACAAAACGCCCATGTCCGAGCGGCTGGTGAGTGCCCGGCTGGGCCTGAGGGCAGGGTGGTGGGGAGGCCGCGACTCCACTTTCCTTTATGGTCTGTGCCTGAGAACAGCTTCCTCGGGCAGGGTCGTCTGGGCAGTGCCCCTCGCGTCTGAAGGAAAAGGTAGGCCTGGCAGATAACACCTTCCTCGAGGGCCAGGGCAGCTGGGGTCACCGGCTTAGCCCTGGGCGTGGCCACGTTAGCCCTGGGCCAGTCTGCCCTGTGCCACGAGCTACTCCTGCACCTCAATGGCTGTCCTGGCTTTCGGCGCTAGACTTTGATCCAGAAAACCATGTTCTAAACTTGGGGTGGGGAAGGGGCATTCATGTCTTCGGGAAGGTCAGCTCTGAATGCCATGTGTGCCCTGCTGGGCTGAGATGGGCTTTGGCCTGGATGTGGGAACCCTGAGCCTCATCCTCCAAGTTGTCTTGTGCGGGCCTGCTTGGAACCTCTTCTCCAGTGGGCCTCACCATCCTGTGGGAAGCATTCCTTCTCAAACATTCTGAATCATTTTTACCTGTCCCCAGATTCCAGCCAAGAGGCCCCCGTGGTAGCCCCCATTGGAGCATAGAGTCTGTGTGAGTCAGGGTGCCAGGGCAAGGTCTCCGTGGCTCAACAGGAGGCAAGGTGGAAGGCCAGCCCTGTGGGGTCTCTGGAGGGGCTGGGTCAGAGGAAGGGCAGCATTTTGGAGGTGAGCAGTTTCTGAGGTCAGAGCATGTCCCCCAGCCCCCACTCTTCCCTGATGCCTGGCCCCATGTCTGGGTTCCGAGTGTGCCTAAAGACTGGAGCCTCCAGGTGAGCAGAAGGCAGAGCAAGTGGGGGCCCAGGGGGTGCGGGGCCAGAGGCGTCCAGGAGACGGCCTCTCTGGGGTGTCAGGAGCTGCTCCCTCTTCCCTTAAGCCTGGCTTCCGCCCCCACTAGCATCCTGAGACAAGAGCTATTCAGACTTTAGCCCTGAAACTGAACTCCCTTTGAACCTGGGCCACCGCAGGCCCAGGAGTGCAGAAGGGGAGACAGGGAGCCTGTCCTGGAGGTGAGGCACCAGGAGGTGAGTTATGGGTGGCCGAGGTGAGGAGGTCTTAATGGAGCACAGTCTGGAATGCCCAGTGGTCTGGGTTACGGCCGGGTGAGGAGGAGGAGCATGGACAGCCCAGCCACACCATGAGGCAGGCGTGAGTCATGGTCCCTGTGGGGGACTTGGGCAGGACCCTGGTGGGGCCCATTGCTTTCTGGAGGCTGGAGAAGAGGGTGAGCTTGAGAGGAAACAGGCAGAGAGCCTTGAATGCCAAGTCACAGGAAGGAGGGCAGGGCCAGGGTCAGAGGGACGCAGGCCCAGGAGCCAGGCCGGGGCGGGGGCAGGGAGGATCAAGCTGTCTTGCCCTGCCAGGCAGTGGGTGTCCAGCCTTGCAAGTTCCTGCCTCGCAGGTGTGGGAGGGTTTACTTTGTGGTCATAGGTTGGGGAGGACACTTCTAGGAGTGGCGAGCTAACCTGTTGGGAAAACTGCAGAACATGCCCGCCCTGAGCCAGCCTAGAGGTCTGGGGAGCTCTTGACCAGTCCCAGTCCCATGTGCAGGCCCAGCCATTGATGTCCCCTGGGATGGAGGGGAGGCTGTGCTGCTGCCCACAGAGCAGGCCGAGGCTGGGTGGTGCAGGGGCAGCCCCTCAGTTGTCTCCCAGCCTGGCCCTGGGCGAGGCCTCCCTGGTTCCCTGCCTCTCGGGGCTGTTTCCCACCTCCCCGTCGACTCTGGAGCTACCTCGAGCCAGGCCCCAGCTTGCAGTGCAACACCAAGCTGCCTGCACACCCATCCCTCCCACCTAAGCCAGCCTTCAGCCATGGGCTGGGCAGGGCAGAGCTGTGAGGAGAGGGCTCGGGCTGGGGGCTCCTTCCCAGCTGAGGGTGCTGGCTGGTCCTTCCTAGGCGTCGGGCCTGTTCTCTTTTTCACCAGGAAGTTTCCTGTGAAGATCTCTGTCTGCTGCGGCCCCACTGTTCCCCTGGGGCAGATGGTCAGCAACCCCACCCCTTGGGAAAAGGGGTCCCTCCTAAACAAATCAGACCAGAAGGCTCGAGGCCAGGAAGAGCATGGGCGAGTCAGCACGGGTCATGATGGACCCTTGGGTGCTGGTAGCTTCTACCAGGTACTGCCAGCCAAGCCTTGGGCCAGCTCCACCACAGGACAGGAGGAGCCCAGGCTGAGTAAGGTGGGAGTCAGATGCGGAGAGCCCTCGAGAGCCTGGCTTCCTGGGGAGGAAGGCACAGGCTGTGGAACTGGTGGCACTCACCTCACCTGGCAGCTCTGTGGCAGCCCAGCAGCTGCTTCTTCCTGTGACTTCCACAGTCCTGAAGACGAACCCTCAGGGGAGGCCCTTGAAGCTGGTCTCCTCTCCCCACCCCTTCACCTGCTTCCTAAGGCAGCAGCCCTGGAGTGCAGGTGTCCGACACCCCCATGCCAACCCTGCACATGCAGCTCCCTCAGCCCAGCTTCCCGGGCTTGCCTTGCACAGGGCCTTTCCCTGCCAGCCCCACGCGTGTGCTCACGAGGAGTCTTTGGGGTCTCCCTAAGCTCCACACAGCCCCATCTCCACCCTGTTTGCTGCTTCCAGCTCGGCACTGGTAGGGCCTGGCTCTGCTCTCTCATGTCCAGTAACTGTTGGCTGGAGCTCAGCCTGGGGTGCAGGAAAGGGATCTTTTTAGGATCAGCTGTCTTCATTCCTTTGGCTGCTCTGTTCCCTCCACCTGGATCCCTTTCTCAAAATCGAGCTGTGGAAGCCTTGCCTGCAGGCGCCACGCCCTCTGGGAGGCTCCCTGCGGTCTGAGCCCAGGGTGGCTCCCAGCTTCAGGCTCAGACTGTGGCTGGCTGCCTCCAGGGTCCTCACAGATGTGGCGGTCGTCGCTCAGCACACTCAGGGCTGAGGTTGTGCTTCTCATTTCTGTTGTTTTCTGCCGAGATGTGCATGTTCTGGTTACCCGGGTGCATGTTGAATGCATAAACGGGGCCTGGACTGAGTTCAAGAAAGCCTGAGCTGTATCCAGGCAACCTTGTGCAGGTTCCCACCCAGAGGCTGCTGTGGCCTCTGCCTGGCTCCTGGGCATCTCTGTGCCTCTGTCTCCCACATGTTAGAATGGGGATGACCTCATGGGGTATTAAAGGGCCACCCTAGTTGATAAAGGAAAAACTACCTGATAAGCACCCACAACTAGTACTGTTACATCACTGTCTTCCCCGAAGCAAGGCCCACTGCATGGTGCTAGCAGGGAGATTGGGGCCCCACTGTGACGTGGGCAGAAGCTGAGATGCCAGGGTGGGAGGCACGAGGGGCCTGCAGGCATGACTGGGATGTTGCTGCTGTAAACAGTGGTGTCCCCATTAGGGGACATGTGCAGACAGCAAGCAGGCTCAGTGATGGGAATGGCTCCTTGGAGAATCTGCAGGGTGTTGGGGGCAAGGTGAGGAGGGTCAGACCCTCACGATAGCTGTGGCCTGCACATGGTGGGGTGGGGTCCTCACCAACCGTCTCTGCCCGCTACTACACCGGGTAGGGGCCAGGGGTGACCACTGTTCTGCGCTTCTCCTAGGACGACACGGAGCCCTATTTCATCGGGATCTTTTGCTTCGAGGCAGGGATCAAAATCATCGCTCTGGGCTTTGTCTTCCACAAGGGCTCTTACCTGCGGAACGGCTGGAACGTCATGGACTTCGTGGTCGTCCTCACAGGGTAGGCAAGCTGAGGCCAGGAGGCCCAGCGTGTGAGGCCCGGGCGTGTGCTCTCTGAAGCTCAGTTGCGCCGTGGAGCTGGGGCAGCTGCAGTCCCCTCACTGGGGTCCCCTCACAGCCCTGCTGGAGATGAACGAATGTGAGACAGTCTGTTTGCCACCCTGTGTGCTATGGGGGTGCTTCTCCCAGGGGTGCCAGTGCTGTATTTCTCGCTGACGGATCACAGTGACCTGTCCCCAGGAGGCGCTGGCTTGCAGAGCGCACAGGCCAGGGGCCACCAGCTTCCATGGCTGGCCTGAGCCAGCATGGTGCCTGTTGGAGGTGGCTTTGCTGCCCAGGTGAGGGGCTTCCTAGCGAGGAGGAGGGCTGGACTTCTGGCCTCACCCAAGCCTGTGGTCTGGGAGGGGCACTTGGCGGTTTGAATTCTGTGCCTGCCTGAGACGCTCACCTGTGGTGTCCACCTCGCTCAGAGCCCTTGTGCTGCCTGGGATGAGGCTGTGTGTGTCGAGTGCTTTCACAGTTCCTAGTGCCAGGAAGGTGCTTCGGCAGTTTCTCCTCAACCACTTACCCTAACAACAGCTTGTGATTGCCAAAGTAACCAGCACATCTAGAAGATGGACCCAAGGGGCCTGGATGGGAGCTCAGGTCCAGTGCTCTGCACCCCACCCTCCAGGGTGTTAACTCCCCAACCTGTGCAGTGGGCACTGTGAGGTCCCCTTTCCTGCTTCCCTGACTGGCAGGCGGAAGGCTGGGCTGGGCTGCTGTGGCTCTGGTGTGGAGAGTGGTGGCTGGGGAGTGAGTGCTTGGGGAGTTGCCCCCACAGAGCCTGTTAGCACTTCAGTGTCAGAGGCCCTGTGCTGGGCCAGGGACCACTGTCTGCTCTTTCCTGAGCCTTATGGTTCCGAGGCTCAGAGCCCAGATGGAAGAGGAGGGAGCAGGCCCCACAGCAGGCGAGAGCTCTCCTTCCAGAGCCCCATCCTCACCCAGTGACTGCCCCAAGATGCCTGGTGCACAGGAGGGTATATGGAGGGGTGTTTGGGCTGGTGGCAGAGGAGGAAGGAGATGGCTGTGGAGTCCTCGAGTCTGGGGCTCATGCCTTCAAGGTTCTGTGTGTGTGAGGAAGAAGCAGTCGGCTACATGGCCTCTGGTCTCTTGGGTGAGGCCCTCAGAGGGAGCCTCGCATTGCCTGCCTGGATCCCGGGGTGCTGCCCCCATCTGCTCTGCCTGCTCCTGAGCCTGGGGCTGGCCCCTGCTGGGTGAGAGCAGCATGTACAGAACTGGGCTTGGGGGTGTCGCATGGAAGGCTCAGCCCCCAGAGCTGTCTGGGCTTGGGAGTGTCACACAGAAGGCTCAGCCCCCAGAGCTGTCTGTGATGTGCTGGGCACAGCAGCATTGAGGTGGATTCTGTGCCTTTCTGCAGCACGGCCCTGGGGTAGAATTTATGGAAGGCCCTGTGGGGGTCTGTGGCTCCACGGCCCTGGGGTAGAATTTATGGAAGGCCCTGTGGGGGTCTGTGGTTCCGCTAGCAATGCCCGTTGGGGGCTGGGGTGGGAGGTGGCTGGTGGAGAGTGTGGCCTCTCAGAGGACTGGGCGCTCCCACATCCAGTGGGCACTCCCAGAAGCAGCCCAGGAGTCATGGTAGCTGTTTACCCCTCTCTCTCCCTGTGGACCCAAGTCCCTGAGGACAACGGTGCCTTATTTTTTTCAGGAGGTCCCTAGAGCCTCACTTGGAGTGGGCACCCAGGAGGGGCAGTGTGCCTCTGCTGAAGTAATGAATTGTTGGGGTGTAAGCAGTGCTGGGGGGTGCGGGCCAGCGGGCAGCTGGGTAGAGGTGGCAGCACCCGGCCTCATGGGGCGCTGTCCATGGTGCTGAGTGTGTCGGCCCTTGAGGGCCAGGAGAGGAGGCAGGAGGAGTTGCACCAAGCCATGGGCAGGACCCCTGGATCTCCCAGCACACATAGACTGGGTCCAGGGCTGCTCCTCCTTCCCCTCCCCTTCTTCCCCCTCCCCCTCCTCTTCCCGCCTCCCTCTTCTGTTTCTCTTCATCTCTCTCCCTCTCCCTCCTCTCCCCTCTTCCCCCCCCCCCTCCTCCCACTTTGCCTGTCTAGCCCTTTGTCTCCTCTCCACGCTCTCTGTCTCTGGCCCTCTTGGTGTCTTGGTGTCTCTCTGCCTCTCCCTCTTTTCTTCTGCCCCTCTTTCCCTTGGCTTGGGCACGTCTCTGCTCGCCTGTGTCTGCAGCAGGGCCTGGGCGTTGCTGGGGTGGCTCCCAGGTTCCTCTGCCTCCACACGTCTTCCCTCCAGGCAGCCTGGGTTGTGCAGGGAACCCCGGGTTGGAGGTGATCTGTGTCCCACGGGGCCACATGCTGGCTCCAAGTCACGGGAGGGAGCCGCTTTGCTGCTCTCGTGTGGGGCACCTGGGGACACGTGAACCCCTGTGTGCGTATCTGTGTGTGGAGGGGGCTGGGTCTGCTGTGCGGCGAGTGCTGGTCCATGGGGAGCCCAGGGAGGAACCCTCACCTCACCCCTGTGAGCCAAGGGCCTGTGGGTAGTGGGCGGTATTTCTCATTAGTTTGTTGTTTTTAATTAGAGTTGATTTAATTGGTGCTCAGAGGGTTGGAGGGAGAGGCAGACACCCTGGCCTGTTGCTTGGCAAAGCCTTGAGCACCCTCAGAGGCCAGCTGGGGCCGCTCTGCTCCTGAGGCTGGTGTGGAGCTATGGAGGAGGCCCTGGGTCCATGCCTCCTGCTGCCTGGAGAGGCTCTGAGCCTCCGTGTTCTCACCTGGGAGGGAAGGCGGGCGCTCTGTCCCCTTGTCTCCGCTTTGCTTCTCTCCCAGGACTTTGGGGCACCCTTTGTTAGCCTGCGTGAGTGCGTCTGGGCTGTGGGGGGGCTGTAGTCGGCTGTAATGCTGCCGAGCTCCTGCTGCCCTGGGGAGCAGCTGTGGGGCCTGGGCTGGGGTACTGTGAGGATCATCAGAGTGTGCTTCTGAGAAACCCTAGGCCTGTGAGGGCTGCTGGCAGCTTCCTGCTCTTGTGTGTGCCCAGGGCCTCCAGGCCCTCAGTTCCCAGCCATGCTCTTGACTGGGTCAGCCCATGTGTGGCCACCTGGAACTCCTCTGACTCGCTTGGGCCGGGGTGAGGTCACAGTGGCTGGGTCCCTGCCACAGGACTCTGCCTCCTTTCCAGGAGGGCTCCTGGCGCCTGGCCGTCTCCTGTGGTCGTCTGAGTGGATCATTTGCCAAGAGAGATTCTGGGCCCAGGAGTGAGGCTTCCCTTCCCCGGCTTCCAATAACACCGTGCTACCAGGGTGGGGTCGGGGCTGAGCCGGCTCCCCACACAGAGTGGGCCTGGGGTGAGGACAGGGGTCCGGTTGTGTCTGACATGGGGGCCTCCAGCAGTTCACTCCAGCAAGAGCCCCACTGAGTGCTAGGGCGCAGCTCTTAAGGACCTCAGGCCACGGGGAGGAGGTGGGAGGAGGCGGGAAGGCCACCACTTCCCTGCCTTCGTCTGCCTTCCCGTCCATGCCCCATCCACCATCCTGCCCTCTGCTCAGCTCTCTGGCCCTGTGTCTGTCCAGCCAGGTGGGCAGCCCTGCTGCCAGCCCTCCCTCCACCTGTTCATCATTCATTCATTCAGTGTTCATGGAGCCTCTGCCAGGTGCTGAGGACTCAGGAGTGAAGGAAGACAGCTGAACCTCTGCCCGGTGGCCCATGTTCTGGGGACAAGACACCTCCCGGGCCTGGTCTCTTTGCAGCCTGGTGTGGTGCACAGCGGCATAGGCGTGCCCCAGAGAGCAGTCGGCGGGTGGACGGATGACCAGAGAGCAGTCGGCGGGTGGACGGATGAGTGGATGGTGATGAGTTGCGGCATGGGCGTGCCCCAGAGAGCAGTCGGCAGGTGGACGGATGAGTGGATGGTGATGAGTGGCGGGCTTTTTTTCCCCACATATGAAATGAGATAAAGCATGCAGGGTGCAGGCCTGGAGGTGCCACTTTGCATAGGGTCATCAGAGGAAGGACTGGAGAGCGTGAGGGGTGAGCCATCTAGCAGCCTGGGAAGAGGTATGGCTGGAGGTGGTGATTCGAGGGACATGGGTGTCCCAGTCATCTTCAGAGCTTGAGACCACCCAGGATCCCCAGGGAATGGGAAGTGTGGAGGAAGAGCTGCCCTGTGATGGAGACCAGGGCACCTGGACTTACAAGTGGCAGCTGGCGGTGAGGTTGGCGGAGCAGCGGAGGTGTGCCTGGCGTAGACGGTGTTCTAGGAAGGAAGAGCATGCAGAGGCCTCTGCAGAGGCCACGAGAGGACCCAAGGCTGTGCACTGCGCCCCGTGGGTCTGAGGCAGGAGCTGGTCCAGCCATGTGGTGGGGGTGAGGGCTTGCTGGGAATGGGAGGAGAGGGGTTGTGGTGGGCACCTGTAGGCAATGCTTGTCTTTTAGAGAGTTTTGCAGCAAAGTGAGGCAGAGTGACAGGGGCAGGGGCAGGAGGGAGATGGAGGCCAGGAGAGTTTTATGAAGTTGGGGGTTTGCAGCCCGTCCATGCCACGTGCATAGTCCAGGAGGGAAGGACAAGTGGACAGTGTGGACAGAAAGGGGACAGCCCTGGAGCCGTGAGGGAAGCAGAGTCCAGGACCTCCGGGAGTGCGGGCCTGTGCATCTGCATAGACCAGCAGATGCAGGAAGGGTGGCGTGGAAGTCCTCTAACTGTGTCCAAGTTTCCACTGAATTTGGAAGCACGTCCATCAGCCAAGGTGGGGTGCGAAGTGAGACAGAGGGAGAGGGAGCGAGTGAGTGAGTGCGTGGACTAGAAGCCCCTCCATCCGCTGCCCCAGCCTCTCACTCCCCCTGCCCCACCCTCCATCCACCCCTTCTTTGTCCCCTTGTCATCCATTCACTCATTCCTTAGGAAGGGGCTCGTCGAGCGCAGCTACTACCTCCTCGTCCCTGTTCCAGTTGCTGGGGACACAGTAGTGCACAACACAGGCCGTTCCTGCCCTCTCAGAGGCTGCGTCCTCCTGGGCGAGGCAGGCAGTGAGTGTTGCAGGGCAGTCGGGGTGTAGTGTGTCCTTCCACTGGGGTGGGGTGGCCCCTGGGGAGCAGCTCCAGCAGGGGAGAGGCTGGGAGGGTGGCGGGGGCAGGGGGGCCTTGGCTCGGGCGTTGGAGGGCTCTGAGCACAGGTGTGGCCCAATTGACTCGTGATGGGTGCTGGGGGCACAGTGTAGACGGTAGGGAAGGAGAGTGGGAGCCGGAAGCAGTGATCCAGGTGGGAGTGGTGAGGGTTTGTACCAGGGAGTGGCGCTGGAGAACGGGGCAGGTGGGCTCTGACACCCAGAAAAGGTAGAGCCCACGGGAAGCCCCGTGGTGCCTCCGGAGTCTGTCACCCATCGGCGCAGGTGCCTTTCCCCTTCCGTGCCCCAGCCAGTCTCACGTGCATCCACGCTCCCAGTCCTGTCCCCACGTCACTGCCTCTGCCCTCCCGGGCCCCTCAGGAAGCCCCTGTCAAGCCTCTGGCCCTGTGGGGCTGGTTGCACCTGGGGGTCAGGGACATGGGCAGGGCCCCCAGAACCCCAAAGCCCTGCGCGTCCCCACCCCTGTTGTGGCTCCAGCCTGGTGCTACCCTCCATGGCCCTTGGGGACATCAGAGAAACACATCCTGGCTCAGGCAGGTGGCTCTCCGGGGGAGCTTTCCAACCACGGCTTCTTGTTTTAGTCTAAATTAAACTGGGATTTCTTTCCAGGACATGTAATTAGAGCCCAGCTTTCTCCCTGGACCCGGCCTCCTGTGGGTTGAAGAGAGGGTGTGTGGGTGTGTGGCCGCTGCACCAGGAGGGAGTCTGGTCAGCGGAGCTCAGGGGCCGAGGCACTGCTGACCCTGAGCTTCCTGGGCAACCACTGTGGCCTCCTGTTCTTTTGGGCTTTGTGGACGCAGGCCGATTCAGATGGTGGCAGGCACTTCTCAGGGAGAAGCCAGGCCCAGCTCAGGGCCCCACAGAGGGTCCCCATGGGCAAGGAGGGTCCACCCAGGGGAGCAGCAGCCCATGTGCAAGTGTGCGGCTCAGGGATGACCTGACGCTGTGTCTGAAAACAGGTGACAGCCCAGAGACGCTGCCTTCCCGCAAGGCGACCTGACGCTGTGTCTGAACACAGGTGACAGCCCAGAGACGCTGCCTTCCCGCAAGGCGACCTGACGCTGTGTCTGAACACAGGTGACAGCCCAGAGACGCTGCCTTCCCACAAGGCGACCTGACACTGTGTCTGAACACAGGTGACAAGAGACACTGTGCCCGAGGGGCCAGGACACGTTGGAGCATGGACCGAGCTGGGTGTGTCCGTGCTGTGACGGAACTCTTCTGCCACAGGCTCTGCTTCAGCCTGGGGTCCTTGGACTGCAGCCCTGCGGGAGGTGCAGCACCCCGACCTCCAGTGCCGGGTCGGGCTGGGGTTTGCCAGACATTCTCTCCCTTTCCCTACCAGAGTCTGGAAATGGCCTTTGTAGGCCCTGACCCTCCCTCCCTCACCCCTAGTGTGGCTGGAACCGGTGGAGCGGGGGCTGAGTTCTGACAAGTCCCTGGAAAGCAGGGAGAGCCCCCGTGTTCTGGGGCTGGGGCTGGGATCACTCCAGGCATTGCCTGACTGGGGGCTCCACAGCCCCCCTCGTGTCAGTGAGAACCCACCAACTCCACCCCACAATGCAGGGCCCTGGCCCACGTGCAGTCCATGTGGTGTGGCTGTGAGGACCAGGTGGGGCGGTGGCGGGTGGCTGCTGATCTAGGACCCTGTGACCAAGCTCTGGTGCCCCTTCCTGACAGTGGCCTCCCATCGGGCCTCCATGTCCGTGGGGACAGGCCTGGCAGCCATGCTGGGGATGTAACAGCCTGAGAAGGTGCTGCTCTGATAGGGTGGGATCCTGGCCCCCTCTTCAGCACACGCCCCTGGCTGGGTCCTTATGGAGGGCCTGGCCCATGCCCCCGCTCTCTTTCTCTGTGTCTCCCCCCTCCCTCTCTGCCTCCTTCCTGCATTTCAGGGTTCTTAACACTCTCCTGGACTGGGGGGCAGAACTGGGCCCACTGAGAGCCCCCAGGGTCCCCTGATTCTGTGCGGGGTGAGGGTCCACACTGCCCGGGCATGAGACCTGGGGCTTGGCTGTGCTGTGCTTGGGAGGCTGACCCTGGCCTTGGGCTCCAGTCCTGTGGGGTCTTCTCTGGGGTCTCCGCGTCTCCATGTGTGCTCTGCTGCCTGAGGAGCCCAAATCCAGAGACTCCCTGGATAGAAGCAGCGCGGGGCTGGCTCACTGGATGGGCATCGGGCCAGCGTTGCAGACGTCTGGGGCCTCTCATATGCCCGCCTGGCATAGCCGACCCAAGGGAGGGTTGGCCTCTCTGCGGATCTTTCACCATGGGGACTGGAGAGCTGAAGGAGCCCAGGGCTGCCCTTGGATACCGCAGACTTTCCCAGGGGGACGGGGGACATGGGTGGGAGATAAGGAAGGGAGGTTTCAGCTCAACCCAGAGAAGGACTTTCATCATTCATGGGGGTCTGGGCTGCTGTCCTCAGGCAAGTGGGGACTGGACCAGGTGGTCTGTCCTTTACTCATATGTCCCTGATATGGGCCAGGTACTTGCTGGGCACGATGGAGCCAGGGCCCTTCCCCCCAGGGTGCGTGTTCTGCCAACGGCAAAGTCCCCATGCCACAGGATCCACTCTGTGCTCCAGGCCTCTCCTCTCGACGGTGACTGCAGGCCGGGCTCCAGGGATGGGCGGTTCTGCAGGTGTGCAGAGTCCCCCTTACGCAGGTGTGCACAGAGTCCCCCTTACACGCCTTTCTCTTCAGGGGTCCCACCAGGAGGGTCAGTCGGAGGCTTGATTTCCTGCCCCAGCAGCTGGAGGGGTGGGGGTCCAGGGAGAGTGTGGTGGGGACAGTGAGCGGCAGAGCTGGAGGCCGTGAGGCTGGGGTGAGCTGTGTGAGAAGCCTTGAAGGTCACAGTTTGGGGAGTCTCAGCCCAGGACCCAGCTCTGAGGGGACAGTTCGGGAGGGATGGGGCAGGTGGGCAGGGCGGCCTGGGGGCCTGGGACTGGCCATGCTCGTCTCTCTCCGTGGTGCTGATCTTTCCAGCTCTGCCTGTGGGTGGGGGATGGAAGGGAGGGACACAGCTGTGTGGTGTCGGGGGCACACGCCCACTCCTGGGACCATGGCTGGCCTGTGCGTGGCCAGGCAGGTTGGGCTCTCAGGGCGCATGGCTACTTTAAATTTTGGGTCTGTGGCTGTTGGGCTGATGGAGCACAGCCAGGGATCTGAGATGGGCTCTAAACTTGCTGTCAGTATTTAAGAAGGAACTTTCACGCAAAAACCTGTGTTTTCATCTTGCTTGGGAGAAGTCCCTGGAGCCCCCACTCTCTCTGGAGCAGCTGCCTCTGGATCTGGGAGGCTGGGCGGGCAGTGCCGGGCTGGCTGTAGAAGAGCCGCCCCTCCTGGGGGCTGGCCTGTTCGAAGCCGTCCGTGGCCTCCGGTCCAGGCTCGGGCTCCAGGTGCTCACTGGGGCTGCTGTGTTCCAGTGCCCTGGGGGGTCCCAGGCCTGTGGCGGCTCGCGAGGATGGCTAGGCTGGTGTGGTGCGGTGGCTGGGGGACAGGGGACCTGCATTCTGTGCAGATGCACCCACAGAGGTCACAGGGGTTCAAGTTCATACCCCGGGAGGGTGGGAGCCTTGCTCCTGTGGGCACGTGGTGGTGGACACCCCTTCCTGCTCTCCTTCTCCTCCTTCACACTGGAGCGGCAGAGTTGCAGATTCACACTGAGGTGAGGATGGTTGCTAATGGCTTCTCGGGCCCTGGACTAGAAGAGGTGAGAAGGCAGGTGCTGGCTGTGGGGCTGTAGAGTGGAGGGGCCTCCACCCTGCGTGCCTGTGTGCAGCCCCACACGTGCTGAAGCATCTCTACTCCAGCCAGACGGACGCTAACGCAGATTCATTCCTAGCAGGTCACATGGTAGCACCCCCCACCCAGTCCCTGCCCTCTTCACGACCCTGCTGTGAGCTCCTTTCTCCAGGGCTGGGCAGGCCCTTCTAGCCAATGCCACCCTCCCTGTCTCCCCTGAGAGCACAGGAGCCTGGTGAAAAGGGCCTTGCGCCTTGGTCCTCCTCACTCAGTGTGCGGCCTCTGTGTCTTCTCCACTCCCACCCCTTCTTCCCCACCAGGCTGGCCTCTCTTTGCCCTCCTCCCTCCCCGAGAAGTTTCCCTGCTGGCTCACCACAAAGCCCAGCCTCTACTGACAGGCTCATTCCCTTGAACGACTGGACACTGGTCTGCTGGGGAGGCTGGAGCAAAGCAGCACAGCCGGGCGCTGCAACAGCAGACATTTCCTTCTCAGTCCTGGAGGCTGGAGGTCCAAGATCAGGGTGTTGGCAGGATTGGTTTCTGGCGAGGCCTCTCCTCCTGGCTGGCAGATGACTGCCTTCTTGTGGTGGGCGGTGCTGATCCGATGGACCCCAGACCCTGGGGCAGGCGGGATGCAGGGCCAGGCCTGCGGGGTCCACTGTGGCCATGTGGCTGTTGCTGGTGCATCATTGCATCGTGAAATGGTTAGATGGTTTGATGTCTGCAGAATCCGCCATAGTTCTCCCCCTTTCCTCTGACTGTGGGTCCTTTCTCACGCTTCTCTGTCATCAGCCTCTGGGCCTGACAACACAGCTGCACTGGAGCCACAGGCACCCCGAAGGGGCCAAGGGTGGGACCAGGTGAGGAGGAGGGGCACTGTGAGACTGCAGGCAGGAGGGACGTCCCCCAGCACAGGGCAGCCTCCCGTCCAAGGGTGGGGGCTCCTGAGCACCACCTCCTGCTCTGCCTGCCGGTCCCACCCCAGCACCTGCTGTCTTAAAGCCTTGCTCTGGGAGTACAGCGTGTGGGGAGGGAATGGTGTCCCTGTTCCCATCACGGGCCTACTCAGCACTGGGTGGAATTCGACACTGCAGGCAGACAGGCAGAGACTAGAGACCAGGAGCAGCAGGTGGGGTGGCCGCCGTGTTTCCATTGGCATGCATCAGAGGTGCGTGGGCTCCCAGAGCCCGACAGGCCTGAAACGCCCAGACACACAGATACAGGGACACACGGGAGGGGGGCCGCCATGGCACTCCGTGTCTCGCCTGGTGCTGGGCTCTGTGCCATCTCCAGTGAGGGGCTCTCTCCAGGAGGGCAAAGGCCCCCCACCCTCCCAGGAGGTGCCTTTACTCCACGGACTTGCCAGGATCCACAGCCTGGGACCGTGGGCATGTGGGTGAAGGCCCGGTGCACAGCTGCTAGAAGTGAGCAGCACAGCTCCTGAGACATGAAAAGGTAAAAGAAAAAATAAAAGCTGGCCCTTTTTTTTTTTTTTTTTTAAAGCTGACTCTTTTGTGAGGTTTATTATGTGCTGGCTGCTGTTTTAATAACAATAATTTTATAAATCCAAGAACTAGACGCTGATATTAACAACTCCCCCCTTTAAAAAAAAAAAAAACACTGGGTGCGGTGGCTCATGCCTGTAATCCCAGCACTTTGGGAGGCTGAGGTGGGCAGATCACGAGGTCAGGAGTTCGAGACCAGCCTGACCAACATGGTGAAACCCCATCTCTACTAAAAATACAAAAGAATGAGCCGGGCAAGGTGGCACGCGCCTGTAATCCCACTTACTCAGGGGGCTGAGGCAGGAGGATCGCTTGAACCCAGGAGGCGAAGCTTGCAGTGAGCTGAGATCGCGCCATTGCACTCCAGCCTGGGCGACAGAGTGAGACTCTGTCTCAAAAAAAAAAAAATGAAACAAAATAAAATAAAATAAAATAAAGGTTTTATTTTGAGCTAATTATAGATTCATAATAGGCAGTTGTAATAAATGGTATAGAGAGAGCAGTGTACTCTTTACCCAGTTCCCCCAAAGGAAACCTCTTAGGAAACTGTAATAGCAGGGCCACGGTCTCATGACTAGGTGCTGAGATTGACACAGGGCCCAGAACAGCCCGTCCCGGGAGGGCCCCTCATGCTGCCCTTCTATGGCTGCACCCACCTTCCTCCTACTTACCTCACCCACCTTCCCTTTACTCGCTGGCAACCACTCATCTGTGCATTTGTATAATTTTGTCATTTCGATGATCTTAGATAAATGAAGTCATACCTTTGGATTTGCCTTTTTCACCCATTTGCTTCATGAAATACTATGAACAAAGCTGTATACACATTCATGTACAGGTTTTTGTGTAAATATAAGTTCTCACTTCTCTGGGATAAATGACCAAGAGTACAAAGAGTACAATCATTAGGCCATGCTGTAGTCACATTTTTAGTTTTTTAAGAAACTGCCAAACTCTCAGCCAGAGTGGATGTCCCGTTTCACATTTCCAGCAGCACAGGAGCCGTCCCTTCTCCACAGCCTCGCCGGCACGGGGGTTGTCTCTGTATTTTTTTTTTTTTTTTTTTTTTGATTCTGATAGATATGTCGTGATCGTTGTGGCTTTGATCTGCATTTCCATGATATTGGACGTCTTTTCATGTGGTTCTCTGCCATCTGCATATCCTTTTATTTTTTTTCAGATGGAGTCTCGCTCTGTCATCCAGGCTGGAGTGCAGTGGCTCTATCTCAGGTCACTGCAAGCCCCTGGGTTCACGCCATTCTCCTGCCTCAGCCTCCCGAGTAGCTGGGACTGCAGGCGCCCGCCACCACGCCCGGCTCATTTTTTGTATTTTTAGTAGAGACGGGGTTTCACCGTGTGAGCCAGGATGATCTCGATCTCCTGACCTCGTGATCCGCCCACCTCGGCCTCCCAAAGTGCTGGGATTACAGGCATGAGCCACCGTGCCTGGCCCTACATATCCTTTTAGTTGAAATGTGTCTTCATATATTTTGCTCATATTCCAGTTGGATTGTTTGATATTAGTCTATTGCTTGATATGTGGTTTTTCAGATATTTTTTCCTACTCTGTAGCTTTTTTCTCCCATTTTCGTAACAGAGACTTTGCGCAGCAAAACTTTTAAATTTTGATGAAGTCCAATTTGTCCGTTTTTCCTTTTGTGGATAAGGCTTGTGGTGCGAACTCTTTGCCAGCCCTAGAGCGTGAAGATTTTTCCCGTGATTCTCTTTTTCTAAAAGTTTTGTTATTTTACATTTTACACATATCAGCTGTGAGGTTTAGGTTGAGGAGTTTGTTTTGTTTTTTGCCTGTGGGTGTCCAGTGGCACCAGCACCATTTGTTGAAAGGGCTGCATTTCTTCCATTGAATTGCTTTTGTGCTTTATCAAAAACCAACTGGGCGTGCTTGTCTGGACCTATTTCTGGGTTCTTTATTCCGTTCCATTGATCTGTGTGTGTCCCTCGTACCACACAGTCCTGATCACGGTAGTTATGTAATAAGGCTTGAAACTGGGTAGTACTTACTCCTCCCAATTTATTCTTTTTCTTTCAAATTATTTTAGCTATTCTAGGTACTTTGCCTTTCATATACATTTTAGAATAATCTTGTCAATATATACAAAAAATCTTGATATATAAAAAAAATCAGTTTCAAGCCAGAATTATATAAAACCTGTATGTTAGTTTATGAACATTTTTACTATGTTAAGTCTTCCAATCTAGGAACATGGTATATTTCTCCATTTATGTAGATCTTTGATTGCTTTCATCGGCATTTTGCAGTTTTAGGGATACAAGTCCTGTACATGTTTTGTTACATTTACATCTAAGTATTTCTTTTATTTTGTGTGATTATAGATGGTATTGCATTTTAAATTTTGGTATCTGTATGTCCATTGCTAGTATATAGAAAAACCATAGATTTCTATATGTTTATCATGCTAAACTAACTTAGTAGTAGTTCTAGGACAATTTCTTTGGAGATTCTCTGGAATTTCCTATGTTGACAAACACGTCATCTGCAAAGAGGAACAGCTTTGTTTCTTCTCTTAAAACCTGAATGCCTTTTCTTTTCTTACCTTATTGCATTTACTAGAACTTCTAGTACTGTGTTGAAGAGTGGTGTGGCGAGAGAGGCATTGTTACTTTGTTCCAAATTTCAGGAGGAAAACATTCTGACTTTAACCATTAAGAATAATGTTAGTGGCTGGGCGTAGTGGCTCACGCCTGTAATCCCAGCACTTTGGGAGGCCAAGACAGGCAGATCACGAGGTCAGGAGATCGAGACCATCCTGGCTAACACGGTGAAACCCTGTCTCTACTAAAAATACAAAAAGTTAGCCGGGTGTGGTGGCAGGCGCCTGTAGTCCCACCTACTCGGGAGGCTGAGGCAGGAGAATGGCGTGAACCTGGGTGGCGGAGCTTGCAGTGAGCCGAGATTGCACCACTGCAGTCCAGCCTGGGGGACAGAGCGAGACTCTGTCTCAAAAAAAAAAAAAAAAAAAAAAGTTAGCTGTAGGGTTTTGTAGTTGCTCTTTATTAAGTTGAGGCAGTTTCCCTCTGTTCCAGTTTTCCAGGCACTATTATAGTAAATGACTGTTAGATTTTATCAAATGCTTTTTTTGCATTGGTATGATCATGTGATGTTTCTTCTTTAGGATGTTAATACAGTGGATTACAGTGGTTGATTTTTTGAGTCTTGAACTAGGGATACATCCCTGGAATAGACATGGTTGTGGTATATAATTCTTTTGATATTGCTGAAGTCTATTTGCCAATATCTTGTTAAGGATTTTTACATATGTATTCATGAAGGCTATTGGTCTGTAGTGTTTTTTGGTACCGTCTTTGTCTTGTTTTGATGTCAGTGTGATACAAGCTTCATAAAATGAATTTAGAAATGCTCTCCCTCTTCTATTTTCTAAAAGCCGTTGTGTGAAAACGGAATTAGTTCTTTAATGTTTGTTAGAAAAATCTACAGTGAATCCAACTGGCCCTGGAGATTTCCTTTTTGGGAGCTTTCAAGTTACGCATTCACTTTCCTTACGAGTTATGTGGATGTTCAAATGATCTGTGTCATGTTGGGTCCGTCGTGTGAGTTTGCATTTTCTGAGGAAGTGGTCCATTTAGTCCAACTCGTTGAATTTATGTGTGTAGAGTTGTTCACAGTGTTCCCTCATTGTCCTTTTGATGTCTGTAGGGTTTGTAATAGCTCGTTTCATTTCTTATATTAGTAATTTTTGTCTTCTCTTTTTGTTCCTGTGTGTGTGGGGCTTTTTCTTTCCGGTCAGTCTTGCTGGAAATTTGTCAATTATGTCAGTTTTTTTTCCCAGAGAGCCAGCTCTCTGTTTGTATGGTTGATTTTCTCTTTTTTGCTTACTATTTCATTTATTTCTGCCCTTATTTTATTACTTCCTTCATTCTGTTTGATTTGAGTTTATTTTACTCTTCATTTTCTCTGTTCTTGTGGCAAGAGCTTAGACTAGTGATTGCAGTTTTTGTTTTTTTCTAACATATACATATAATACTATAAATTTGCTTCTTAGGTTGGGTGCGGTGGCTCATGGTTGTAATCCCAGCACTTTGGGAGGCCAAGGCAGGTGGATCACCTGAGGTCAGGAGTTCAAGACCAGCCTGGCTAACATGGTGAAACCCCATCTCTACTAAAAATACAAAAATTAGCCAGGCGTGGTGACGGGCGCCTGTACTCCCAGCTACTCAGGAGGCTGAGGCAGGAGAATCACTTGAACCCGGAAGGTAGAGGTTGCGATGAGCCGAGATCGTGCCACTGCACTTCAACCTGGGCAACAGAGCAAGACTCCGTCTCAAAAAATAAAAGGAAAAACAAAAAGTTTGCTTCTTAGCACTACTTTAACTGTATACTACACATTTTAATATGTTGTATTTTCGATTTAATTCAATTCCGTGTATTTTATTTTGTGTTTTTATCATTTTAATCATTATTATTATTATTATTATATTTTTGCAGCGATCTCAGCTCACTGCAACCTCTGCCTCCTGGGTTCACACCATTCTCCTGCCTCAGCCTCCCGAGTAGCTGGGACTATAGGCACCCACCACCATGGCCAGCTAATTTTTGTATTTTTAGTAGAGATGGGGTTTCAAATGAAATTTTATTTACCCACATTTTTACTCTTTCCATTTTTCTATCTTCCTAATGGCCAACAATTAAAATAAAAATAATATTCTTTCTGTTTAGATAAATTTCTTTAATTATTCTTTCAGGATAGGTCTGCTGGTGACAAATTCTCTTAATATTTATTCACCTGAGAATGACCTGATTTCCCCTCCATTCCCCAAAGATATTTTGCTGGATATAGACATCTGGGTTGACAATTCTTTTCTTTCAGCATGTGAAAATACTGTGCAACTGCCTTCTGACCTTCATGGTTTATGATGAGAAATCTTCTGTCAGCTGAGTTGTTTTTCCAAATAGAAAAGGTATTATGTTTCTCTGATGCTTTCAATAATTTTTGTTTTTAGTTTTTGGAAATTTGACTGTGATGCATCTTGTTTTGATTATCTTTGAGTTGATCCTGTTTGGGGTCCCCTCAGCTTCTTGAATCTGTAGGTTTATTTCTCTTACCAAATTTGGCAAGTTCTCAGCCATTATATCTTTGAGTACTTTTTCAGTCCTGCCTTCATTCTCCTTTTTTTCTGGAACTCTGATGATACTAATATTATGGTTCCATAGTTCCTTGAGGCTCTGTTGTTCTTCTTCTTCTTGTTTTTTCTTTCTTTTTATTTTTTGAGACAGGGTCTTAATCTGTTGCTCAGGCTGGAGTGCAGTAGCATGATCATGGCTTGCTGCAGCCTCCACCTTCCAGGCTAAAGCAATCCTCCCACCTCAGCCTCCCGAGTAGCTGGGACTACAGGCACATGCCACCAAGCCTGAATACTTAAAAAAAATTTTTTTTTTTTTTTTTGAGATGGAGTCTCCCTCTGTCACCCAGGCTGGAGTGCAGTGGCACGATCTCAGCTCACTACAAGCTCCACCTCCTGGGTTCACGCCATTCTCCTGCCTCAGTCTCCCAAGTAGCTGGGACTATAGGCACCCGTCCCCATGCCCACTTAATTTTTTGTATTTTTAGTAGAGACGGGGTTTCACCATGTTAGCCAGGATGTCTCGATCTCCTGACCTCATGATCCGCCTGCCTCAGCCTCCCTAAAAATTTTTTTGTTGAGATGGAGTCTAACTATGTTGCCCAGGCTGGTTTAAAACTCCTGGACTCAAGCAGTCCTCCCGCCTCAGCTTTCCAAAGTGCTGGGATTGTAGGTGTGAGCCACCCTGCCTGGCCTTCTTTTTTCTCTCTTTCTTTCTTTTTTTTTTGTCAGTTGGAGTCTCTCTCTGTTGCCCAGGGTGGAGTGCAGTGCTGCAATCTCAGCTCACTGCAACCTCCGCCTCCTAGGTTCAAGCAATTGTCCTGCCTTAGCTTCTTGGGTAGCGGGATTACAGGCGCGCTCCACCATGCCAGGCTAATTTTTGTATTTTTTTTTTTAGTAGAGGTGGGGTTTCACCATGTTGGCCAGGCTGGTCTCGAACTCCTGATCTCAGATGATCCACCTGTCTTGGCCTCCCAAAGCGCTGGGATTGGGATATGCTTTCTTAACCTCAGTTTCCTTCTCTTACAAAGAACTGTGTAGTCTGCCAACTCCTGAGGGTGTCATGAGAGTCCCTGGCTTGTAGTAATGGCTCACCGCTGTCGTGTGTGTGCTTGGGGTTGGGGTTCCCCGCATGCCATGCCTAGCTCTTCTTCTCCCCTGTCCTTGCTTTGGAGCAGGCTAGGTGGCTCCCACTTCTTGGCCTGTTAGAGCAGGGACTGGGGTGGGGAGGCCGAGGGGATGCTGTGGCGTCTTTGGCCGAGAACTGCCGGCTCTCTCCATGGCAACTGCAAGCAGGCTTCTGGGTGAGAACCAGTGCCTGGAAGGTCAGTGACAAAGCAGATCCTGGAGATGGTGCCTCCCCTGCCAGCTTGGCTCCCATGTAGAACCAGCCTGAGAGTAGTAAGCAGTCTCCCTGGACTGGGCCTGACTGGCACCTGACCCACCTGCCCCGGCCCAGGGACCCCCGCACCTGTGCAGGATTTGTGGTCTCCCCTGGCTCAGCGCAGACCCTCTGAGGGGCTGGTCCAGGTTGATGGGGCGTGGGTAGGGCTCTGTGCCACAGGGACGGGGTACAGGGGCTGGCCAGCGTGGGCCAGATGCATGGGGACAAGGGAGCATCCATAGTTTCTCATAGAACATAACAGCTCTGAGTCCCCAGTCACCTCTGCCAGCTCTTGGCATTTTCAGAACTGGGGGGTCCTGTGGGGTATGGCTGGGCTGTGAAGTGTGGAGGTGGCTAGACCAGGCCTGACTGGGGTGTGCCCCAGAAGCTCCTCACAGACGGCTGTGGAAAGGCAGGGTGCCCCCCTGGCCCACGCGGAGGGTGTGTGAGGTGCCCCCCTGGTCCAGGTGGAGGGCGTGTGGCTGGGACCTAGAGTCTGGGGGATGTGAGGTGAGTTTTGGGTTAGGGTTAGGGGGCCCAGAAGAAGCCTGCAGCAGTGTGGTTCCAGCCTTCCTCCCCTCTGTGGGGCTGGGAGCACTCCCCGACCTTGGGTGCCAGAGTGAGGGCGGGTCTTTACATGTGTGACTGCTGTTGTGTCTCTGCTGTGTGTGTCTGCGCCGTGTGTCTCTGTGTCTGTGTATGTGTGTCTCTGTGTCCGTGTCTGTACTGTGTGTCTCTGTGTCTGTGTCTGTGTGTCTCTGTGTCCGTGTGTCCATGTCTGTGCTGTGTGTCTCTGTGTCTGTCTATGTGTGTCTCTGTGTCCGTGTGTCCATGTCTGTGCCGTGTGTCTCTGTGTCTGTGTATGTGTGTCTCTGTGTCTGTGTGTCTGTGCTGTGTGTCCCTGTGTTTGTGTATGTGTGTCTCTGTGTTCGTGTCTGTGCTGTGTGTCCCTGTGTCTGTGCCGTGTGTCTCTGTGTCTGTGCTGTGTGTCTCTCTGTCCCTGTGTCTGTGTGTCCCTGTGTCCTTGTGTCTGTGTGTGTACCGTGTGTCCCTGTGTCTGTGTGTCCTTGTGTCTGTGCTGTGTGTCCCTGTGTCTGTGTCTGTGTGTCCTTGTGTCCGTGTGTCTGTGTGTGTACCGTGTGTCCGTGTGTCTGTGTCTGTGCCATGGTGTGTCTCTGTCTGTGCCTTGTGTCTGTGTGTCTGTGCTGTGTGTCTCTGTGTCTGTGTCCCTGTGTCCGTGTCTGTGCTGTGTGTCTCTGTGTCCGTGTGTCCGTGTCTGTGCTGTGTGTCCGTGTGTCTGTGCTGTGTGTCTCTCTGTCCCTGTGTCTGTGTCTGTGTGTCCTTGTGTCTGTGTGTCTGTGTCTGTG
The DNA here is from genome assembly GCF_000001405.40 of Homo sapiens. Classification (NCBI taxonomy): domain Eukaryota; kingdom Metazoa; phylum Chordata; class Mammalia; order Primates; family Hominidae; genus Homo; species Homo sapiens. The sequence continues at coordinate 137,901,128 of NC_000009.12, forward strand.
CTGTGTGTCTCTGTGTCCCTGTGACTGTGTTTGTGTCTGTGTGTCTCTGTGTCCCTGTGTCAGTGTCTGTACTGTGTGTCTCTGTGTCTGTGTCCCTGTGTCTGTGTCTGTTCTGTGTGTCTCTGTGTTCCTGTGTCTGTGTCTCTGTGTCTGTGTGTCCGTGTCTGTGCCATGTGTCCCATCCCTATGTCTGTGCCGTGTGTCTCTGTGTTCCTGTGTCCGTGTGTCTGTGTCTATGCCTGCGTGTCTGTGTGTCCCTGTGTCCATGTCTGCAACCTCCACCGCCCTCCCGGGTTCAAGTGATTTTCCTGCCTCAGCCTCCTAAGTAGCTGGGATTACAGGCGCATACCACCAAGCCCAGCTGATTTTTGTATTTTTAGTAGCGATGGGGTTATTATTATTTTGCATTATTTTGGTGATACAGATTGTCAGAGTGGACTGGGTACAAGTGTTTAAACATTTCATGGCTCCTGAGACATTTTGCCAATTTGTTTTCCAAATGGGATATATAAGTTTGTATTCCACCAGTTCTGTGTACATCATTAGGGTTTTTTTGTGATTTTTTTTTTTTTTTTTTTTTGAGACTGAGTCTAGATCTGTTGCCCAGGCTAGAGTGCAGTGGTGCGATCTCAGCTCACTGCAACCTCAACCTCCAGGGTTCACATGATTCTCCTGCCTCAGCCTCTTGAGTAGCTGGGACTACAGGCACCCACGACTACACCTGGGTGATTTTTTGTATTTTTAATAGAGACGGGGTTTCACCATGTTGGTCAGGCTGGCGTGGAACTCTTGACCTCAAGTGATCCACCCGCCTCGACCTCCCAAAGTGCTGGGATTACAGGCGTGAGCCACTGCATCTGGCCTAAATCATTAGTTTTAATGTCAGCTTTGCCACCACTGGATATATTTTCTTGTTATATCCAGTGTTTTATATCCAGCTCTTGTTAATTTATTCAATATAAATCTGTACCTTGTTGTCCTTTTCCATTACTGATGAGTTTGAGCATGTTCACACATTACTAAATGGTGTTTACTTTTGTGAGTTGTCTCTGGGGTTCTTTGCCATTTCATTTTGGAAATTTCTCCATTAACGTTTATTGAGTGCACACTGCCTACCAGGTACTGTGCCTGGCCTGGAGCTAAGAAGGAAAACACTGCTTCCTCCTGGAGAAGGAGAAACTAGGGGTGGAGTGAGAGGTCCCACTGGCTCCTAGCCCCTCCCCAACACCCCTCCTCTCCAAGGCAGCTGTTGCCTCCTTGCTTTTCAGTAGGATTTTTCTAGAGCCTAAGGCTTCAGGGCGTAGAAAGTACCCAATACTTGTGTTGGTATTTAATACTTGTTAAGTTCGCATGTGTGTGTTGTAATTTCCTTTTTTCTATTGTTGTTAATATAACATCTTTAATTTAAATACCTCAAAGTTGTTTTATTTAGTATTTGTTTACATGTCAGCAGAGGATAAACATTTTTCTTTTCTGTTTACAAAAAGTAACTGATTTTCTTACTTTATGACACACACTGCCACCATCCTGTGATATCCACTGTTAATATTTTGAGCTATTTCCTTCCTTCCAAGCTTTTTCGGTGTGTAGGTTTTTAAATACACAATTGATATCACCCTCCAGGGCTACTGCGGGCACCCCCCTCCTGTCGTGGGCAGGCCACCTGGTGCAGCTGTGCCGGCTGGTACAAGATGCAGGGTGAGGGCCCCACGAGTGCTCACTGCACACAGATGTCTCAGCATCTGATGTCCCGGCAACCCCCACTGCCGAGTGTCCTCTGAGGAGACGATTCTGCCTTGTGGGCAGAACTCTGTCAGATTCCTCTTGTCAAGCATTTGGGTTATTTCCTATTTTGCTTTTGTAGATAAACCAAAACGCATACCTATATCTTTAGACATCTCTGATTATTTCCTTGGGACAAATGCCTAAAAGTTGGATGAGCTTTGTTTTTCCTGTAAATTATACTATTAAAAAACTCTTCACCGGTGGCTCACGCCTGTAATTCCAGCACTTTGGGAGGCTGAGGCGGGCGGATCACGGGGTCAAGAGATCGAGACCATTATGGTCAACACGGTGAAACCCCGTCTCTACTAAAAATACAAAAAAAAATTAGCCAGGCATGGTGGTGCGCGCCTGTAGTCCCAGCTACTCGGGAGCCTGAGGCAGGAGAATCACTTGAACCCAGGAGGTGGAGGTTGCAGTGAGCCGAGATTGAGCCACTGCACTCCAGCCTGGCGAGAGAGCGAGACTCCATCTCAAACAAACAAAAACCCTTCACCTTCTCATCACTTGGTCGTGCTCTGCTTCGACTCATACGCATCAGTGGTCTCTCTCTGTCCGTGCCTGTGGTCTCGTTGTGTAGCTCAGAGGAGGGGTTTAATGTCTCATGAAGCCAGTCCCGTTCTCCTTGCTTTTCTTCTTTGAATCATTTTTTAACGTTTTGCCTACTTAGTTTTCCAGATAGATTTTGAGATCATTTTGTTGTAGTCCCAATAACCCCGCTGGGATTTTGATTTATCAGAATCTATAAATTGATTTCAGGGGAATCAAGTTTAGAAATAAATATATATTCTGTCTGTCCATCCAGGAATGTAGTATGTATGAAAATTTATTCAGCTCTCCTTTTTTTTTTGTAAATAGATTTTGTAGTTTCTTTATAAAAGTCACCTGCACTGTTAAAGCTATTCCTAAGTGGTTTGTATTGATTGGCGGCATTTCGATTGAGGCATTTATTTTGTTGCATTTCCTGGCTGTCCCTGTCTGGTGTCACTGCTGGCTTCTGGTGTTTGTCCATCCATCAGGCTGCTGGTTCTGGGTGCCAGTGCACACCCCTTCTGGGTAGAGCTGGGCAGCGCTTTGTTTGCTGATGGGCTTGGACCGAAGTTTTGGTTGTGATTACGGTACCTGGAGGTTGCTTTTCCTGCCAGTTTTTTCCTTTCTCTCATTGGTTTGATCTCATCATCCTGTGCTTTTGGGTTTTGTGCTGCTTTCTGTCTTTTTTGGAAGTCGGGAGGGGCACACAAACCAGAAGGAAGCTTTTCAAGCTGATGCTCTGGACCACTGGGGCTCACAACTTGGGTGAACATCAGAATCATCCTGTAAGGCATGTAAAACCCAGAGTGCTGGGCCCTGCCCTCTGATTTCTGAGTTCTTTCTGGGAAAGAATTAGCATTTCTTTCTTTCAAAATATGTATATATATTTTACTATTTCTCTCTCTCTCTCTCTTTTTTTTTTTTTTTTTTTTTTGAGAGGCAGGGTCTTGCTCTATCACTCTGTTGCCCAGGCTGGAGTGCAGTGGTGTGATCATGGCTCACTGCAGCCTCAACCTCCTGGGCTCAAGCCATCCTCCCACCTTAGCCTCCTGAGGGTGGAACTACAGGTGTGTGCCACCATGCCTGGCTAATTAAAAAAATTTTTTTTTTGTAGAGATGGGTCTCATATGTTGTCCAGGCTAATCTTTAACTCCTGGGCTCAGGCGATCCTCCCACCTCTGCCTCTCAAAGGGCTACGATTACAGGTGTGAGCCACTGCACTGCCTCCGCCTCCCCCCTCCTCCTGCTGTCCCCTCAAGAATTTGCTAATGGTCTGCCAGGTGATGCTGAGGCTGCTGGGAGATCCTGGGTTGGTTCTTAACCAAGTTCCTGGGAGTTTTATCACTGTCTGCCATCGGTGATCATTTTATCTATTTTTTTCCTTATTTCCTATTCATGTCCTACTATGTTGGTGAGAACTCTTAAAACAACATTAAATGAGAATTATGGTGATACTTCTTATTTTGTTATCTGACTTGAAGAAAATCCTTCATGATAAATGTGGGTTTGTTAGTACTCTTGAGAATGGATTTTGTGCGTAGAAAATATTTTTCAGAAACTAGTTTCTAAATGTCAACATTCAATTTTTAAAGTTAGAAATCCAAAAACGTTGGGTTTTTAAAAGCTTTTAGGGGCCAGGCGTGGTGGCTTATACCTGTAATCCCAGCACTTTGGGAGGCCGAGGCGGGTGGATCACGAGGTCAGGAGTTTGAAACCAGCCTAACCAGCATGGTGAAACCCCGTCTCTACTAAAAATACAAAAATTAGCCAGGTGTGGTGGCACGTGCCTGTAGTCCCAGCTACTTGGGAGGCTGAAGCAGGAGAATCGCTTGAACCCAGGAGGCGGAGCTTGCAGTGAGCCGAGATTGTGCCACTGCACTCCAGCCTGGGTGACAGAGTGAGACTCTGTCTCAAAAAAAAAAAAAAAACTTTTAGATTCAACTTATGAAAAATTATATTTGTAAATTTAGCAATTTTTAACATTCATTTTCAAGAAGATTTTAAGTAATGTTTTATCCTATTTTATAAACTTAAGTTAGACATTTAAAATTTTGTTTATAAATTTACTGTAACTAGACCTTCCTAAGTACTTAAGTATTGTATGTTGAATAAATTAAAGTGTAAATATGGTGAGTCATAAATTTGCTTCAATGGTTCAATACTTTCTATAAATTTATTAGGTTTTCAACTTAAAATTACAAGTCTCAATCAGTTCCATTGTATATTTTAAATTCAAATCACAGGGCCAATGTAATGCTAAATACAGCTTCATATGGTCTGATAAATTCTTCATCATAACTCAAAAAATATTAATTCGGAAAATCTGATTTCCACAAACATTGCTACATTTAATTCTCAGCCTTCCTGGGGTTAAATATGCTGGTTCGCTGAAGACACTGTCACCTCCCGACAAGTGAATGGAGGTGTCCTGCCCTTGTCCTAAGACACTGTCACCTCGGACCTGCCCTTGTGCCCTCTGGGCTGCCTCATCACATTTGCTGGCTGGAATGGCTGGAATGTAGACCAGATTTTTTCCTGAAAAATACTAGTGGACTATGGCAAGGGCCTCTCCACTCAAATGCTGGAGGCCTCAGAGGCCCAGTGGGCTGCAGTTAGGTTGTAATTTATTCCAGAGGCTGCTTACACCACTGGAGCGGATTTTGTGTTTTTATGGCTCTCAAGATTATAGAAATGTCCAGCCTGGGTCTACACAACTTTGAATTCTTCGTCAAAAAAGAAGAGATGTTTTCCGGCCCCAGAGGATTATAGCAACTCCTCCTTGTTAAAATGCGTTTCTGTCTTTCATGTCTTTGGCTTGCCAGGGTGACTCCTAAGGCCGCTTTGCTGACATTTCAGGATTTGTCAGAGAGCGTCCTGGTGCCTGGGAGACAGAAAAGCTATAAGGTGAAGGGAGGGAGAAACTTTTCCTCCTATGTAATTTGTCTTACTTGGGAATGGAATTGGAGCTTTGCAGGAGCTGTTCACTGTCTGGGTCATCTGTGTTTCCAGTCTCGGTCTTGCTGACTCCATGCCCGTGTGTTGTGTTATTGAACATACGTGTTCCCCTGCATGTCCATGTGTTGTCTTATTTAACATACGTCTTTCTCTGCATCCCCGTGTGATGCCTTATTTAACATATGTGTGTCTCTGCATCCCTGTGTGATGTCTTAACATACATGTTCCCCTGTATGCCCATGTGATGTCTTATTTAACATACGTGTTCCCCTGCATGCCCATGTGATGTCTTATTTAACATATGTGTTTCTCTTCATCCCCATGTGATGCATTATTTAACATACATGTTTCTCTGCATCCCTGTGTGATGTCTTTTTTAACATATGTATTCCTCTGCATGCCATGTGATGTATTATTTAACATATGTGTTCCCCTGCATGCCTGTGTCTAGTCTTATTTAACATACGTGTTCCTCTGCACTCTCCCCTGGTCTGCATTTCTCTGTACATTGGGAGTTAGCTTGGGAGATTTTTCTTAGAGAACTAAAATATTACAGATGTGGTTGAAGTCTTCTGAATACAGTCCCCCAGTCAGATTCTCTTCTCTTTCTCTTTTTCTCCCTGTGGGAGCAGGTGTCCTGATTTGTGTTTATCCTGCCAGGGCACGTGGGTGTGTGGGCATTCCACCTTTCGCTGTGTGTGTATCCATAAATGATGTAGCGTGTGAGTGTGTCTGTGTATTCACACACAGATATATGATTATTTCACAGCTCTCCTCTACCCCTTAACATTATTTTAAACATTTTTCCATGTTAACGTGCATAGGCTTATTTAGTTTTACATGCTCATTCATTTTTAACTGTGGAATAATATTCCATTGTGTGCATTTGCCACAGTTAATTTTTCTGTCTTCTTGTGAAAGGCATTTTTATTTTCCTTTCTTACTATTACAAACAGGGCTACCCCAGAATGTGCCTGGGGTGTGGTTAGAAGTGGTTTCCTGAATCCTGGGGATGCTCATTTAAAACTTTCCTAGAAGTGGCCAAATACTCTCCAAAACGATTCTACAGTTCTCTCTTCCAACACATCACCAGGCTTTAACACTGTGTGCTAAATGTAGGATGTCAAGTGGCAGCTCTTCGTTATTTTAATCTGGATTTCCCTGATTGCCAATCGTTTTGAGCATCTTCTTCCCTCTTGTAATTTGTTGATTTTTCTGATTAGTTATTTGTATTTTTCATATGAATTTGTAGAAATTTTTTCTACATTCAGAAAACCAATTCTTTTTCATTTTCTTTATGCTGTCTTTTATGGTGTGGTGTTATTTTATCGTAGTCACATTTATTAATCTATTACTTTAGTCTTAAGTCATCCTTCCTTACCTCACCATCACTGAGCTGTTCTCTTGTATTTTTTTGCAGCTTTAGAGTTTGCTTTCCATGCTTAGGTCTTTGATACACCTGGAATTTATGTGTGAGTGATGCTTCCTCTTTCTGCCGACGGGTGACCTGGTTTTCCAACATCATTTGGCGGCTGCTCCACCCTTTTTCCATGATTTGGAACGGCGCCACCGCCTTTGTCAAACACCCGGTTTCATACGTCAGGCCTGTTTCTGGCTCTCGTTCTGCCCCATGCCTTCCCTGTCCAATCCACAGAGTATTAATTATTTTAGCTTAACAGTAAGTCTTGGGGAGTGAAGCAAGAGCTAATTTCCTGGTTTGTTCTTCAGCATCGCTTGACTGTTCATGGCCCATTGCTTGTCCATGTGGATGTAAAGATGAGCTTGTTAAGTTCTACCAGGGTTCTGCTGAGGTCTTTTATTAAAAACAACTTTACTGAGGCTGGGCGCGGTGGCTCACGCCTGTAATCCCAGTACTTTGGGAGGCTGAGGCGGGCGGATCACCTGAGGTCAGGAGTTCGAGACCAGCCTGGCCAACATGGTGGAACCCCGTCTCTAATAAAAATACAAAAATTAGCCAGGTATGGTGGCGAGTGCCTGTAATCCCAGCTACTCGGGAGGCTGAGGCAGGAGAATCGCTTGAACCCAGGAGGCGGAGGTTACAGTGAGCCAAGATCACGCCATTGCATTCCAGCCTGGGCGACAGAGTGAGACTCCGTCTCAAAAGAAAAACAAACAAACAAACAAAAAAAACCTTTAAGATATAACTTAACACACCATATAATTTTCCCATTTAAAGTGTACAAGTCAGTGGTTTTGGCATATTAAATTTTTAATTATTATTATTATTTTTTTGAGAGGGAGTCTTGCTCTGTCGCCCAGGCTTGACTGCAGTGGTGCGATCTTGGCTCACTGCAAGCTCCGCCTCCTGGGTTCACGCCATTCTCCTGCCTCAGCCTTCCGAGTAGCTGGGACTACAGGCACCTGCCACCATGCCTGGCTAATTTTTTTGTATTTTTAGTACAGTCGGGGTTTCACCATGTTAGCCAGGATGGTCTCGATCTCCTGACCTCGTGATCCGTCCGCCTCGGCCTCCCAAAGTGCTGGGATTATGGGCGTGAGCCACCACACCTGGCTAAATTTTTAATTTTTAAAAATTGTGGTAAAATATGTATAACATGAAGTTTTCTGTTTTAACCTTTTTTTTTTTTTTTGAGACAGAATTTCGCTCTTGTTGCCCAGGCTGGAGTGCAATGGTGCAATCTCGGCTCACTGCAACCTCCGCCTCCTGGGTTCCAGCGATTCTCCCACCTCAGCCTCCCGAGTAGCTGGGATTACACGCATGCACCACCACGCCTGGCTAATTTTGTATTTTTAGTAGAGACGGGGTTTCTCCATGTTGGTCAGGCTTGTCTCAAACTCCTGACCTTAGGTGATCCACCTGCCTCAGCCTCTCAAAGTGCTGGGATGACAGGCGTGAGCCACTGCGCCCGGCTTTGCAATTTCCAATTTTTTTATTGCCCCAAACAGAAACTTAGTGCCTATTAAGCAAGAACTCCCCACTTCCCTTCCTTCAGCCTTGGCTTAGCGCTAATTTACTTACTGTCTCTATGAATTTGCCTCTTCCAGGTACCTCATGTAAGTGGGAGCGTATGTTATTTGCCCTTTTGTGTCTGGATTATTTCACTTAGAATAATGTTACCCAAGTTCATCCATGCTGGAGCAAATGCAGCATTAGAGCGTCGTTCCTTTTGTGGAGGAAGAACAGTTATTCATGTGCATGCCCCACATTGTGCGCACACATTCATCAGGTGATAGACATTTGTGTTCCTCCCCTCTTCCGGTTATTGTGAGTGACGCTGCTATGAGCGTTGCTGTCTAAGTATCTGATTGAGTCCTGCTTTCAATTCTTTTGGATATATAGCTAGAAGGGGAATTGCTGGATCTTATGTTAATTCTATGTTTAACTTTTTTTTTTCATTTTTAGTTTTTTTTGAGATGGAGTCTCACTCTATCACCCAGGCTGGAGTGCAGTGGCATGATCTCAGCTCACTGCAACCTCCACCTCTCGGGTTCAAGTGATTCTTGTGCCTCAGCCTCCCAAGTGGTTGGGATTACAGGCCCCCATCACCATGCCTGGCTAATTTTTGTATTTTTAGTAGAGACAGCATTTCACCATGTTGGCCAGGCTGGTTTTGAACTTCTGACCTCAGGTGATCTGCCTGCTTCGGCCTCCCAAAGTGTTGGGATTACAGGTGTGAGCCACCGCGCCTGGCCAATAATAGCTATCTTAGTGAGTATGAAGTGGTATTTCATTGTGGTTTTGATGTTTACTTCCCTAATGATTAGTGATGTTGAGCATCTTTTCGTGCACCTATCGGCCATTTGTGTATCTTCTTTGGAAGAATGTTCATTCAAGTCCGTTGCCCATTTTAAAATTGAGTTGTTTTTATTGTTGTTGAGTTGTAAGAGTATTTATATTTTCTGGATATTAATCCCTTATTAGAGATATGATTTGCAGATATTTTCTCCCTTTCTGTAGGTTTCTTTTCACTTTTTGATAGTGCCCTCTGGTGCAGCAGCCCCCAACCTTTATGACACCAGGCACTGGGCTCATGGAAGACAATTTTTCCACAGACCAGAGGTCGGGGGATGGTTTTGGGACGATTCAAGTGCGTTATTACATTTATTGTGCACTTTGTTTCTATTATTGTTACATTGTGATATATAATGAAATAATTATACAACTCACCATAATATAGAGTCAGTGGGAGCCCTGAGATTGTTGTCCTGCAACTAGACGGTCCCATCTGGGGGTGATGGGTCAGTGACAGATCATCAGGCATAAGATTCTCATAAGGAGCGTGCAACCTAGATCCCTCACATGTGCAGTTCACAGTAGGATTCATGCTCCTATGAGAATCTAATACCACCGCCGATCTGACAGGAGGCGGAGCTCAGGCAGTAATGCTCGTTCGCCTGCCGCCACCTCCTGCAGAGTGGCCTGATTCCTAACAGGCCACAGAACAGTACTGGTCTGTGGCCTGAGGGTTGGGGACCCTTGCTCTGATGCACGGAACTTTTTACTTTTGATGAAGTTCAATCTAATCTATTTTTTCTTTTATTGCCTGTGCTCTTGGTGTCATATCCGAGAAATTATTGCCAAATCCAATGTTATGAATATTTTCCCCTATGTTTCTTCTAAGAGTTTTCTAGTCTTAGCTCTTATATTTAGATCTTTGATCCATTTTGAGTTACTTTCTGTATTTGGTGTAAGGTAAGGGTCCAACTTTATTCTGCTTGGTTGTTGAAAAGATCATTCTTTCTCCACTTAATGGTCTTGGTACCTTTGTTGAAAACCAGTTGACATATATGTGGGGGTTTATTTCTGGGTTATTATTCTATTCCGTTGATCTAGCTAGTTTTAAATTTTCTACCTTTTCTACCTGTTTTTGTTTAATAGTTTACTGTTTTTATCTGAACAAAATTCCTCTTTCAATAGTTGATCCTGCTGAATGTCTTCCCGTAGCATTGGGCTTCCTCAGGTAACCTGGCATTTTGGTTTGAATAGAAGGGTTTTTATTGTCCTTTTTTTCTTTTTTTATTTTGAGATATTTATCTTTTCTTTATTTATTTATTCGAGTCGGAGTCTCGCTCTGTAGCCCAGACTGGAGTGCAATGGCGCAATCTCGGCTCACTGCAACCTCTGCCTCCTGGGCTCAAGCAGTTCTCCTGCCTCAGCCTCCCGAGTAGCTGGAATTACAGGCATGCGCTACTGCGCCCAGCTAGTTTTTGTATTTTTTTTTGTAGAGACGGGGTTTCACCATGTTGGTCAGGCTGGTCTCGAACTCCTGACCTCAGGGGATCCACCTGCCTTGGCCTCCCAAAGTACTGGGATTACAGGCGTGAACCACTGTGCCCGGCCGATATTTATCCTATTTTTGACCCCCAGTTCTGTCTCAGATTTTGTCTGTTACGGCTATGTGTTTGGAGCGGGTGATCACAAAGCCTTCGCCAAGAACCCTGGATGCGCGTTAGAGGCAGAGCCAGCAGGATTGTTGGTGACCCGGACGTGGCATATGAGAGAAGGACCGGAGTCAGGGATGAAGTTTCAGGTTTGGTTTAAACAATAGGTGACTGGTGCGATCCGCTGAGGGGAACAAAGGGGGAAGGAGCAGGACTGGAAGTAAGAATAGAAAGTTTCTTAGTCACTGTGATGTAACAACTCTGAACTTTAGAAAAAAGGTACATCTTTTATACTTGTGTTAAAGTGAAAAAAATAATTCTTTAGTTGTGTAATGTTTCATATGCTTTTTAAAATACCCATATGGAACTGTTAAAAAGGCAGTTGTATATATGAGCCTAGAGCTCCAGGTCTGGATTAAAGATACACACTTGGGAATAACGGACATGCGTGATACTCAAAGCTATTGGGTAGCTCCTACATGGAATGAGCCTTGGGGCACCCTCGTTTTGAATCTCTGGCAGAGAAGGCAAAGCTGGCAAAAGAAACTAAGAAGGAGCCCCCAGGGAGTGGGAGGAAAACAGGAGAGAGTTGGCCTAAGGCAAGAGACCACACCCTTTAAAGGAGACTTGACCGTTAGAATTGGCAAGAGGAAGGCTTGAGGTAGCATTTCAGTGGAGAGGTGGGTGAGAACCTGGCTGGAGAAAGCTAATGAGAGAGCTCAAGATAAGGAAGTGGTGAGACCGAGGATTGACACCATCCGTGAGTTCTGATGGGAAGGGAACAGAGAAATGCTCTGTGGTAGAAGGCAGATATGGGATCTTTAGTTTTGTTCTTAAGATGGGAGATACTGGGATATGTTTTTTTGCTAATAGAACTGACCACAGTGTCTTCCTCATTCCACCTTTCCAATACCCCACTTCCCTGTCTTCCTGAGATAAGGGAAAGAATGGTGGTATATGGGGGTCGGTTCAGGAGTCCCTCAGGCTCCATCCTGCTCCTGCTCTCAGTCTCCACTCCTCTCAGAAGGCAGCTTGAAGTGCAGCTGGGGTTGGTTAGGGGATATGGGTCAGCCTTAAACTCAATTGGTAGACAGATTTCCTGCCATGCCAGGGGCCAAGTGTCTATTCAGAGATGGTGCCTTTGAACTGGAGGTTTGGTCATGTGGGTGATTGTGAACATTCCTGTGAGCGCTTCTGGATTCAGTTCCTGCCTCCTCTCACCTGGCAAGCCGCTCTGTGCTGGCCCTGTGGTTGGACAGTGGGGGGACACAGGTGCTGGCCCTGTGGTTGGACAGTGGGGACACAGGAATGAAGGTGTCACTGCTCTTGGGAGACATGACCCTGGTGGTGGGAGGAGTGTGTCCTCTTCCAGGCTCAATGTGGAAACCTTTACTTCCCTTCTTCTCCTTGTTTCTGCCAGGATCCTTGCCACGGCTGGAACTGACTTCGACCTGCGAACACTGAGGGCTGTGCGTGTGCTGAGGCCCCTGAAGCTGGTGTCTGGGATTCCAAGTGAGTCCAGCGAAGACAGGCCCAAGCCGGCTTGGAGTAACAACCTCCTCTCCTACCCTCACCACGGACATGGCCATGGCCATGGTTTGGCTTTGGTGACTCTGAGCTTGCCACTTTTGACCCCAGGGAACCAGGCAGGAGGAAGGGAGGAGCAGGCCTTTTTTGGCCTGTCACACCCTCCATGAAAGCCCACAGGGTGATGCTGTTATTTTACCCTGACCTGGCTTCCCTAGATGGAAGCTTTGTTCCTCCTCACATACTCTGTCACATTTCAGCATTTTGCTTCTTTTTCTGAGGGTAAAGAATGGATGAGAGGTTGACCAAGGTGGTGGGGAAGGATGCCTGAGAAAATGTGCAAAAGCTGCAAAGGGCCACTTGTCTCTTGGCTCAGTCTTGTCAGGGCCACTGGGGACTGAGGCCAGCCTTAAGACATGCTCCTGAAGTGGGCTGCCCACAGAGCCTGCCATGAGCAGGAGGATGGCCAGGGTGACCTCATGAGCCAGTGACCACCTGGACCCCTATTCCTTCAGCCCAGTGGAAGTCTGGTTTTAGGTTTACCTAAGGGCCTGAGTGGACATGGAACTAGAGCTGTGTCCTCCTGAGGCCACTGAGGGAAGACCCGTGATTGGCTCCCTGTTCTACCCTGAGACCTTGCCAGGCAATGGTTCTGGCCCATATCCAAGTGCTGGGGCCAGACTCGAAGGGGAGGGGTCAAGGTTTACAGGCTCCTCTGCCCAGTTCCTCACATGCTGTATGGCCAGTGGCAGAACATTCCCAGGGGCAGGTCTTTTTTGCCTCACTTTCTCCCAAGGAGTTGGGTCTGTTAGGAATACCTGTACTTCTCCCCCAGGATCCCCTGCTCTTCCCTCCCAGGGTCCCCTCCTCTTAGCTCCCAGCATTCTCTGCTCCTTCCTCCCAGGATCCCCTGCCCTTAGCTCCCAGCATTCTCTGCTCTTCCCTCCTAGAATTCCCTGTTCTTTCCTCTCAGGATGTCCTCTGACTTGGCTCTTCCTTCTCAGGATTTCATTCTCTTTCCTCTCAGGATTCTCTGTTGCCCCACCCTGAGCCCCACTCCCCACCCCAGACTTCATACCCTGACACCCCCACATCCCACTCCTCTGCCTACTTTGAGACACTTCTCAGTCGACTTCTCTCTAGGACCTTATGCTTTGTCCCTAGGACTCTCAGCTCTGCCCTACACAAGCACTCTCTGCCCCTCTGCGCCTTAAGGGGCTTCAGCTCTATCCTTTGCCCTTGCAAGCACTCACTGCTTAGCACCTTGCTGTCCCTGCTAGGTTCCTGCTGTTCTGTCCCTGCCCCCACCAAATTCCTTGCCCTACCCTGCCCACGTTGCTTCCTGACCTGCCCTGTTCTGGCCCCAGGTTTGCAGGTGGTGCTCAAGTCCATCATGAAGGCCATGGTTCCACTCCTGCAGATTGGGCTGCTTCTCTTCTTTGCCATCCTCATGTTTGCCATCATTGGCCTGGAGTTCTACATGGGCAAGTTCCACAAGGCCTGTTTCCCCAACAGCACAGGTGAGGCCAGGCAGCACCCTCCAGCACAGGCAAGTGCCACGGATGCGTTCATCCAGGAGATGGGCACTGTTCTAGGTGCTAGAGGGGCCTTCTTGGTGCCAGATACATGAGGTGGAGCTGACATTCTAGTGGGGGACATAGACGATAGCCTGATAAACACAAGTAAATAAACACAGAAATATAATAATTATCGATTGTAGTAACTTTTGGGAAGAAAACAAAAAGGTATTTGAAATAGAATAATTTGGGGCCTGCTTTACAGAGGGGCCCAGGAGGCCAACTCTGCCAAGGTGACCGTCGAGCAGCATCTGAATGCAGGGAGATTGGAGCCGTGTGGCCACCTGGGCAGAACTTCAGTTACCAGTAGTAGTAGTAGTAGGTGCAAAGGCCTATGGTGCGGAGCAGCGAGAACAAGAGGAATCATGTGGGCTTCATGGCCCTGTCTTATTCTGAGAGAAACGGGAAGACAGTGGAGCGCTTTGAGTGAGGTGTGGCATCTTCTGATCATTCGGGCTGCTCCTGGGAGTTGAGTAGAAGATCTCAATCCAGCAGAGGTGATGGTGGCTGGGGCCAGGGTGTTGTGATAGAGGTGGTTAAAATGGGTCAAATTATGGGTGTATTTGTAGGTAAAGCCAACAGAATTTTCTGAGAGTCTATATGTGGGGGTAAGAGAAACAGAAGAGTTAAGGATGAAGCTAAGGTTTGTGGCTTGAACTACAAACTTAGTAAAGGAGAAAACCCAGCCGGCGGTGGCTCACCTATAGTCCCAGCACTTTTAGAAAAAGGTTTTACTAGAATTTAGATCGTTCGTGATTTTAAAAAAAAAACAAAAACCTTTAATCCAACTGTAAATAAAAGAGAATTTTCTTAAATCCCTGCAGATTTCCTGCAAATACCATACCTCAACTAAGCCTTGAGAGCTTTCCCTTTACAGTCAAGAACAAAAGCAAGTCACTTCTAGTCCACGTAGCATTTGTAGTCATGGCCAGGTCATGAGACAAGAAAAAGAAAAAGTTAAAAAAAAAAAAAAAGAACTGGAAAGGAGGAGATGAAACTCATTATTCTTAGTCTTCTTTACCAGCATTTATCAAGATATTTGGACAGAGAGGAATAAACTTAGGTAGTCAGTTTTGCCTTCTAAACCTGGGAGTATTTGCTTTCCAGCTGAGCAACTCCACAAAATTTCTCCTATGTTGATAGATATTTTCATGTGTTGTTATACAATTTTTTTTTTTTTTTTTTTTGAGACGGAGTCTCACTCTGTTGCCCAGGCTGGGGGGCAGTGGTGCAATCTCGGCTCGCTGCAACCTCCGCCTCCCAGGTTCTAGCAATTCTCCTGCCTCAGCCTCCCGAGTAGCTGGGATTACATGCCCATGGTGCCACGCCCAGCTAATTTTTTGTATTTTAGTACAGACAGGGTTTCACCATGTTGCCCAGGCTGGTCTCGAACTCCTGAGCTCAGACAATCTGCCCACCTCAGCCTCCCAAAGTGCTAGGATTACAGGCGTGAGCCACCGTGCCTGGCCTGCATTTTTTAAAAATATTTTTTTTCGGCCTTTCATTGAGATTTTTGAGAGTGAAGGGGGTAAACGTGCTGCTTGCTATCTTGTTCCAGAGATTAGCAGTGGTTTTCTGGTCTTTCTTTAACCCCTCTTTCTCTGGTCCCTGGCTGCCTGCTCGGTTTCAGCACAGTAGAAGGATGTCCGCCCTGTAGGGTCAGTGCAGCGAGACCTGGGCCAGGAGGTCTCCAGCCACCCTCCGGGTACATGTTCGGTTGGTTCCAGATCATCCTGCCTGACAGGCACCAGACTGCACAGTGGCTGAGTCCAGCTTGGGACTGGCCAAGGGCCTCAAGTTAGATCTGCGTGTCAGGAGGATATTGCTGGCAGTTTGGCTGTGAGGGAGAGGTACAGTCAGCGTGGCAGTTTGGCTGTGAGGGAGGTAGTTTGGCTGTGAGGGAGAGGAACGGTCCTCGTGGCAGTTTGGCCGTGAGGGAGAGGTACAGTCAGCGTGGTGGTTTGGCTGTGAGGGAGGCAGTTTGGCTGTGAGGGAGAGGAACGATCAGCGTGGCGGTTTGGCTGTGAGGGAGAGGAATGGTCAGGGTGGTGGGAAGAATGGGAGGTTAGGAGTTTGTTGTTTTTAGTTTTAAGATGAATGGGCTGTGAGCCCACCATCAAGTGATGGTGGGCAGGTTCCAGTAGGAGGGAGAGGCCAGCCGTTACTCCCTGAGTTGGTCACTCGTGAGCTCGGGGTCAGCAAGAGGCGATGCCTGATGCAGATTCGAGGAGGGATGGTGGGAAGTTGAGGGAGAGTTTCTGTTGGTGGCTGGTTCCTGCCCACCTGCTGTGAGCTCTCCAGAGCCCAGGAATCCTGGTGGGGATTGGAGAGCTTGGTATTTCTGAGCTCAGGGTCTGCTTCATTCTCCTTCTTGCAGATGCGGAGCCCGTGGGTGACTTCCCCTGTGGCAAGGAGGCCCCAGCCCGGCTGTGCGAGGGCGACACTGAGTGCCGGGAGTACTGGCCAGGACCCAACTTTGGCATCACCAACTTTGACAATATCCTGTTTGCCATCTTGACGGTGTTCCAGTGCATCACCATGGAGGGCTGGACTGACATCCTCTATAATGTGAGTGGCGTCTTGGCCCTGGGCCTGAGGGCAGGCCCTGGACCTCCTGAGCTGGTGCCTCTGGGGGTCCATTTAGGGGGGCCCTTCTGACCTCAGAGCCTCTGCCCAGCCCTAGGCTCCTCCCTGCACCCCTAGGATGAAATGCAGGCTCTTTCCGGCAGACGCCCCACCCAAGGGTCCACCACAGGCAGCCTCAGCTCAGACTCCTGAGGTGGGTCCTCCTGGAGTTGACTCCTTCGTGAAAATGAAGCAGAAGGCTGACTGGTGGAGGTCAGAGAAGAAAACTCCAGAGGAGATGCTGCTGTTTCTGTTGGCAAGGACGATAGTAGCACTGCTAGCTGCTCTGGGTTAGGCCCTCTGGGAAGTGTTTTATTCCTGTTGACTCCTCTCAGGAACCTGTTGCACAGATGATGAGGCTGACTTGTGGAGAAGCTGACTAACTTTCTCCAGCCCGAGGACCATGGGCAGCTGTTGCTGTGCCACCCCTCTAGGGTCTCTGTTGGAGTTGAGGGACAGTAGGGCTGCTGGGCCTCCCGTCCCCAGGCTGCCCGGCGAAGGTGGTGAACCGCGGAGCAGGGCCGAGGCCCCCAAGACCTTCCTCGGTCACGCAGGGATTCTTAGAGTGGAGCCTGTGGCTTGTGCATTTGTTTCCTTCATGCCGAGTCTGTCTGGTCCTGTTTCCTCTTTGGTCTCCTCGCTCTCATCAGGATGCCGGCCTGTCTCTGCAGTTTACGGCAGCCTGGATTTGGTGGCCATGATTGAAGTTGAGTATAAGGCTTGGGGGGGGTGCCTGATGGCCCAGCTCCCTCACGTTGCCTCTGCCTGGGTCCCTTCTTGGTGGAGTCTCCCATCCCCCCACCACCGACTCTTGAGCAGATCTGCCTCTTTATAGGAAGGCCTCTGCTGCTGTCTGTCCCCTCTGTGAGTCCTGTGAGCTACCAGGGCATGAGAATAATTAAGTTAGTACTTGAGGGGCTGTGGAAGGTGGAGAAGGGTCAGGCGCCTGTGGGTCAGGAATCTGGGAGGGGTGCTAGGTTTTGAGTAACTAGAGGATGTGTTCCCCTCAGGTGCTGTCAGGGTGGGGAGGGGGCCGGAGTGCAAGGTGCTTTCACCTAGAGCTTGTTACTTGTGCCCTGGGGTGAAGCTTGGTCCACGTGTGCCTGGGAGCCTGTGCCTCTCTCCCCAGCCTCCAGCAGCTGTGCTCATGAGGGCTGGTGGCATGATGGTGGACAGGTCCTGGGGAGAGACTGGGGCCCTTTGCCCTGTGCCTCATGCGTTCATGGAGATAGGGCTGGGCATTCAGCAGGCATTTGCTAAATGCTTATTGAGCTCGTTTATCAAGCTTCTTGAACAGGCAGATGGCAGATGAGGAGTTAAGGAAAAGCCAGCACAGGGTCCATGTGAACCAGATTCCTCCTCGAGTGGGAGTCGTGTCTGATGACAGGCTTGTGTGATTGAGGGAATGAGGAACAGGACAAAGCCGGTGATGAGGAGCTTGGCTGTTCTCTCTCTGTAGCCAATCAAGGAACAATTCCCACAAAGACAGACCCTAAAAATAGCTCTGAGCTGGCTGCATTCCTGCTGGCCCCACCCAAATGAAGGACTGTGTGACCAGGTCTCCACAGCCCTCAGTGTCCACTGGGGCTTGGCCAGGGGCCGCACATGACTCAGATTCTTCTGCCTGGGTCTCTGCCTCCCGCAGGAGGGGATGGGCAGGAGCCCCATCCTGGGGCAGGCAGCACTGGCCAGGAGGGGCCACAGAGGTTTCAGCCAGCATGTGTTTCAGTAGGACCCAGTGAGTGCTGGCTCCGCTTACACAGTGGTGAGCAGAGGCATTCGACACGTAAGGGCATGGACAGTGGCGAGTGCCGTGAAGAAAACAGAAGAGGTTGAGGAGCAGGCAGTGACGAGGTACAGGGTACTGGGAGGGCAAGGCCTGGTGAGGTCTAGAAACCAGACATGCAGATGCTACAACACCTTGGAAGCTTGGCCGGGGCAGCAAGATGCAGTCATGGCAGTGCCTGGGGCTGGCGCCACACAAGGCCCCAGAGCAGGTAGCCAAGAACCGACCAGTCCGCTCCTCCACACTAAGGGCATACAGGGTCGGTCACTGGAGATTAGACAGGAGTTTTGAAGAGGATCCTTTGGAGAGAGCGAGAGCCCGCCCCTCACCTCCAACCCAGTGAGAGGGACTTTTGTGGCCCCTCGGATATACGCTCCTTCAAGCAATGACATCTGGGTTCTTTGTGGGCGGAAGCCCACGGCCTGCAGTAGGGGTGGAGGCAGAGAGATGGAAAGCTCAGTCCGTGTTGGGAGCAGGAGTGGGGGTGTGAGCAACAGCGGGCAGCCAGGACCGGGTGAGTGATGGGGTCTCAGAGTGGATTGCTGAAAAGCTGGTGGCAGCGGGTGGGGCAGCGTGGGGGCACTCCAGCTTGAGGAGAAATGGCTTTGTCTGTGCCTGGAAAAGCAGGCGGAGTCAAATGGAGCTTTGGGAGAACACACGGATGAGCCTGGGGAGAGACGAGTCGGCAGTAAATTCCTGTTAGGTCCAGAGAGGTGAGATCATCTCAGGACAGCACCGCACGAGGAATAACAGCTGTCCCTTCTCCCTCCCCTGCTGTGATAGTGCTGGGTACAGGGGAGCAAAGAGGGGCCGTGTCTTTCTCTTCCACTGAAAGCAACCAGCTGTGGCAGGCCAGCCAGCGAGAGTGGGTATTGTCATGGTGAAGCATGTCAGTTTGATGGCCAGCTGAGACTGAGACTGGACACTTTCTTTTTTTTTTGAGACAGAGTCTTGCTTTGTCTCCCATGCTGGAATGCGATGGCACGATTTTGGCTCACTGCAACCTCTGCCTCCTTGGTTCAAGTGATTCTCATGCCTCAGCCTCCTAAGTAGCTGGGATTACAGGCACGAGCCACCCCATCCAGCTAATTTTTGTATTTTTAGTGGAGACAGGGTTTCGCCATGTTGGCCAGGCTGGTCTTGAACTCCTGACCTCAAGTGATCTACCTGCCTCAGCCTCCCAAAGTGCTGGGATGACAGGCATGAGCCACCACACCTGGCCTGAACACTTTCAACTGCCGAGTTGAAACTGTATTTTCCACTTGAAAGTGGCTGTAGAACTTCGCCTTACCCAGGAGCTGTCAGAATGGTCATGGGCTTGTCCAAATTATCATCTAGGGGCATGGGAAGGATTTCTCCAATGACCATGTTTGGAGGCGCAGTGGAGGTAAATCATGTTGCTTTATGATTATGCACGTATGCTTTGCTTATGTTCATTGTACTAGTTCCGTGAAGATCCAAGTTTGAAAGTGTTCAGATCCATAGCTGCATTTTGATGCTAGCACAAACAGGCCTTGCTCATAGAGTGGATGTGAGAGAAGGAGAAGTCTCAACGATGATGTGACTTGAGGCACTGAGAAAGGTGATGCCATTTACTAAGAAAGGGAGAATCGGGAGACACGAATTTACTTAGTTTTGTTATAGCAGAGGGTGGTGGCGGAACTCCAGGATTCTGTTTTGGCTCTGCAAAACTTTAGATAACTATTTTCATACAAGTGGAGATCTTGGGTGTGTAGGTGGGTGTTTGAGAGGGAATTCAGAGGGAACAGCAGGCTGATGAGCATTTGAAGTACTTGACTCATGGACAGTGTTTAAAACTATGTGAGAGGATGAGATCACCTGGGTAATAAGTGCAGATGGAGAAAAGAAGGCCCAAGGCTGATACTGGGGAGAATTCCAGCACTCAGAGGTCCAGTAGGAAAGCAGGAGCCACGAAAGAGATGGGGCTGGAGCTTTTAAGGGGGCAGGAAAAACACCACGACCACACAGCATCCCGGGAGCAGAGTAAAGCGTTCGGAGAACATGGTCAGCACCACGGCCGCGCAGCATCCTGGGAGCAGAGTAAAGCGTTCGGAGAACATGGTCAGCACCACGGCCGCGCAGCATCCTGGGAGCAGAGTAAAGCGTTCGGAGAACATGGTCAGCACCACGACCGCACAGCATCCTGGGAGCAGAGTAAAGTGTTCGGAGAACATGATCAGCACTGCAGCCGCGCAGCATCCTGGGAGCAGAGTAAAGCGTTCGGAGAACACCATCAGCACCGTGACCGCACAGCATCCTGGGAGCAGAGTAAAGCGTTCGGAGAACATGATCAACACCACGACCGCACAGCATCCTGGGAGCAGAGTAAAGCGTTCGGAGAACCTGATCAGCACCACGACCGCACAGCATCCTGGGAGCAGAGTAAAGCGTTCGGAGAACACGATCAGCACCACGACCGCACAGCATCCTGGGAGCAGAGTAAAGCGTTCGGAGAACACGATCAGTACCGCGATCACACAGCGTCCTGGGAGCAGAGTAAAGCGTTCGGAGAACACGATCAGCACCACGACCGCACAGCATCCTGGGAGCAGAGTAAAGTGTTTGGAGAACATGATCAGCACTGCAGCCGCGCAGCATCCTGGGAGCAGAGTAAAGCGTTCGGAGAACATGGTCAGCACCACGACCGCACAGCATCCTGGGAGCAGAGTAAAGTGTTCGGAGAACACGATCAGCACCGCGACCGCACAGCATCCTGGGAGCAGAATAAAGCATTCGGAGAACATGATCAGCACCACGACCGCACAGCATCCTGGGAGCAGAGTAAAGCGTTCGGAGAACATGATCAGCACCGCGATCACACAGCATCCTGGGAGCAGAGTAAAGTGCTCGGAGAACATGATCAACACCACACCGCACAGCATCCTGGGAGCAGAGTAAAGCGTTCGGAGAACATGATCAGCACCACGACCGCAAAGCATCCTGGGAGCAGAGTAAAGCGTTCGGAGAACATGATCAGCACCACGACCGCACAGCATCCTGGGAGCAGAATAAAGTGCTCGGAGAACATGATCAGCACCGCGATCACACAGCATCCTGGGAGCAGAGTAAAGCGTTCGGAGAACATGATCAACACCACACCACACAGCATCCTGGGAGCAGAGTAAAGCGTTCGGAGAACATGATCAGCTGGGCCAGATGTTGCTGGAGGTCAAGGAAGATGGGAAGCCCGGACTGTTGCGTTTGATAAGAGGAAGGTTGTTGGTAAACTTGGCAAGGGCGGTCTCAGTGGTGGGACAACGCCCTGGAATGCGTGGGTTACAGGGAGGAGGAGGTGAGGAAATCAGGGTGGCAACCGCAGATGACTCTTGGAGGGAGCAGAGCAGTGGGAAGTAACTGCAGGGAGACAGGGGTTAAGGGAATGGGCTTTTAAAAAATTAAACTTTTAATTTAAGATAATTGTAGATTCACATGCAGTAGTGAGAAATACAGAAATAGCTCATGCATCCTTTACCCTTTTCTCCCAGTGGTGACAACCTGCAAAACTATAGTCAGGGTCACAGTTAGGATATTGATGTTGATACATCAGTATCAATGATGTTGACACAGTGAAGACGTAGAGCATCTCCATCCCTGCAGGGGTCCCTCCTGCTGCCCTTTTGTGGTCACACCCGCATCTCTCCTGCCCTCGCCCCCTCCTTAATCCCCGGCAACCACTAATCTGTTTGCCATATCTATAATTTAGTCATTTTGAGAATGTTACGTGGACAAAACCACACCAAATGTAACCTTTTGGTACTGGCTGCTTTCACTCAAACAAAATTCTCTGGAGGTTCACCCAGGTGTTGGTAGCATGTTTCCTTTTACTGCCAGGTAGTATTGAGTGGTGCCAGGTGTCAATTTGTGGTGCCAGGTAGTATTCCGTGGTGCCAGGTGGTATTCCGTGGTGCCAGGTGGTATTCCGTGGTGCCAGGTGGTATTCCATGGTGCCAGGTGGTATTCCGTGGTGCCAGGTGGTATTCCATGGTGCCAGGTGGTATTCCATGGTGCCAGGTAGTATTCCGTGGCTCCAGGTGGTATTCCGTGGTGCCAGGTAGTATTCCGTGGCTCCAGGTGGTATTCCGTGGCACCAGGTGGTATTCCGTGGTGCCAGGTAGTATTCCATGGCTCCAGGTGGTATTCCGTGGCTCCAGGTGGTATTCCGTGGTGCCAGGTAGTATTCCGTGGTGCCAGGTGGTATTCCCTGGTGCCAGGTGGTATTCCGTGGTGCCAGGTAGTATTCCGTGCTATGGCTGTACCATGGCTTGTTTAACCGTTCACCTGTGGAAGCTTCCAATTTGGGGTTATTATGAATAGAGTTGCTGTACACATTTTTGTGCAAACATAAGTTTTCATTTCTCTGGGATAAATGCCAAAGAGTGCAAATTTCTAGGTATAGTAGTTGCATGCTTAGTTTTTTAAGAAACCAAAGCTTTTCCAGAGGGCTACACTCTTTTACATTTCCACCAGTGGTGTGTGAATAGTTCAGTTTTTGTGCATTCTGGCCAGTGTTTGGTGGTGACACTTTTTTATTTTAGCCATTCTGATAGGGGTATAGTGACACATCACTGGTTTTAATTCGCATGTCCTAACAGTGAGTGGTGTTGAGCATCTTTCTGGACTTATTTGCCATCTGTGTATCTTTGGTGAAACGTCTCTTCACATCTTTTGCCCATGTTCTGTTTGAATTGTTCTTTATATATTCTAGGAACTGGTTCTTTGTCATATATATGGTTTGCAAATATTTTCTCCTAGTCAGTAGCTTATCTTTTCATACTTTTCACCTGGTCTTTCATGGAACAAATGTTTTTAAAATTTGATCGAGTCCAGTTTATCAATTTATCCTTTTGTGGATTGGGCTTTTGGTGTCAACTGTAAGAACTCTGCCTAGTCCTGAATCCTGAAGATTTTCTTTTTTTTTTTCTAAAAGTTGTATTGTTTTATATTTTACATGTAAGTTTACAATCTATTTTAGGTTAATAAAAGTGTGAGGTTTTTGCCTGCCTGCCTTCCTTCCTTCCTTCTTTCCTTCCTCCCTCCCTTCCTTCCTCCTTCCCTCCCTCCTTCCCTCCCTCTTTCCCCTCCTCCTTCCTTCCCTCCCTCCCTTCCTTCCTGTAGCTCCAACACCCCTTGTTGAAAAGGCTGTATTTCCTCCATTGAATTGCCTTTGTACCTTTGCCAGAAATCAGCTGGACATATTTATGTGGGTCTATTTCAGGTCCACGTGTCTTTCTCTCTGCCAATACCACGTAGTCTTGCTTATTGTAGTTACCTATATGTTTTGAAGTCAGGTTAGACTGATTCTTTCCATGTTATTCAGTTTGGGAGAATTGACATCATTACTATGTTGGATGTTCCATGTCCAATCAGAACATGTTATTTCTCTTCATATATTTAGATCATGTTTGATTTCTTTCATTAGCATTTTGTAGTTTTCAGCATACAATATACATTTTGTTAGATTTGTAGCTATTATGTTTTCTTATTTTCTTTGAATGATTCTAATGTGTTTTGAGCACCCCTGGAGAAACTGGTGTTCTAGTACTAGAGTGTCCAGCAACCCTGCCCTCACAGGGGATGAAAGGAAGCGGACCTTGGTGTTGACAGTGTACCCTTCATGGGATACTTGGATTACTTGGCAGGCAGCCAGTGCCTGGTTGTCCCGCCTGTGACCAGGGGGTTCCTGATACAGGAAGCTTGTTTATACTGGCAGACATCCTTGTGGCTCTTGTCCGACCCGTGTCTGGTTTGTGCCTGACCAGCATTGCAGTGTTGGGAGCCCATCCTAGTTCCCCAGGGAAAACCTGGCCAAGGGTAGCCCTGGTTCTTCAGATGGAAGGCACACATTCAGTCACCACCACAACAGGAAATAAGTTCAACGATGTATTACCTACAGATCGGCAGGGAGGGCACCGTGAGTGGGGAGCGCCATCCTCCCTCCCCAGGTTATCTGAGGCAGTAATGAAGAGTCAGAGAGGTATAGGGGGAGGCAACTGGCCATGCTAGGGAATAGGGTGTGGGTCCCTTTAAATTTGTGGGCGAATGCCTGAATGGTCTGTTTAAAGGAGGCAGCAGAAATGTGTAGTCTGCTAGGTGGGAGAGATGCCTCTAAGTTCTTATCTCTGGCCACGTTTTGGGTGTGGTGTTCTAACACCTAGGCAGCAACCTTTGCTATGTTGTTCCCATTAGAAAATGGTATTGTATTTTAAATTTCAGTGTCCATGTGTTCATTGCTAGTATATAGAAATACAATGGACTTTTGTATGTTGATCTTGATCATTCAACCTTACCAACTCCCTTATTAGTTCTGGGAGATTTTTTTGTAGATTCCTTGGGATCTTCTATGTTGATAATCATACAATTTGCAAACAGAAACAGTTTATTTCTTCTTTTGGATCTGCTTTTTTTTTTATTGTGCTAAAATACCGATAACATAAAATTTACCATCGTAACCATTTTTTTTTTTTTGAGATGGAGTCTTGCTCTGTCGCCCAGGCTGGAGTGCAGTGGTGCAATCTCGGCTCACTGCAAGCTCCCCCTCCCAGGTTCATGCCATTCTCCTACCTCAGCCTCCGGAGTAGCTGGGACTACAGGCACGCGCCACCATGCCCAGCTAAGTTTTGCATTTTTTTTTTTTTTTTTTAGTAGAGACGGGATTTCGCCATGTTGGCCAGGATGGTCTTGATCTCCTGACCTCATGATCCGCCCACCTCGGCCTTCCAAATTGCTGGGATTACAGGCGTGAGCCACTGTACCTGGCTTCCTTTTTTCCTTTCTTTTTTTTTTTTTTTTTTGAGACGGAGTCTCACTCTGTCGCCCAGGCTGGAGTATAGTGGCACTATCTTGGCTCACTTGCAAGCTCTGCCCCCTGGATTCAAGCGATTCTCCTGCCTCAGCCTCCCGAGTAGCTGGGATTACAGGCACCTGCCACAGTGCCCAGCTAATTTTTGTATTTTTAGTAGAGATGGGGTTTCACTATCTTGGCCAGGCTGGTCTTGAACTCCTGACCTCGTGATCCACCTGCCTCAGCCTCCCAAAGTGCTGGGATTACAGGTGTAAGCCACTGCGCCCAGCCACCTCCTTCCTTCTTAAGGCTGAGTAATATTCCATTGTATGACATTTTGCTTATCCATTCCTCTGTCAATGGACCATTGGGTTGCTTCCATGTTTTAACTCTTACGAAGAGTGCTGCCATGAACATGGTTGTATAAATATCTCTTTGAGACCTTGCTTTCAATTCTTTTGGGTATATACCCAGAAGTGGAATTGAGGGATCATATGATAATTACATTTTTAAGTTCATGAGGAACTGCTGTATCGTTTTGCACAATAGTTGTACCATTTGACATTCCCACCTTTTGGTGGGAATACACATGCATTTCCATTTCTGCACATCCTCACCAATACTTGTTAATTTCTGTGTTTTTGATAGTAGCCATTTTAATGTATGTGAGGTGGTATCTGCTTGTAGTTTTGATTTGCATTTCTTTAATGATTAGTGATGTTGAGCATTTTTTCTTGCACTTATTGGCCATTTGCATGTCTTCTTTGAAGAAATGTCTGTTGGAGTTCCTTGCCCATTTTTGAATCTGTTGTTTTGGTTGTTGTTGAGTTTTAGGCATTCTCTGTATATTCTGAGTATAATCCTTTTCAGATATATGATTTACGATTTTCTCCCATTCTATGTGTGCCCTTTTTACTGAATTGATGGTGTCATTTGATGCACAACATTTTAAAATTTTCATGCAGTCTAGTTTGTCTGTTTTTTCTTTTGTTGCCTTTACCTTTGATGTCATATCCAAGAAGTCGCTGTCAAATCTAATATTGTGAAGCTTTTGACCTATGTTTTCTTTTAAGAGTTTTACTTTTTTTAGGTCTCACATTCAGGTCTTTGATCCATTTTTTATTTAATTTTTGTATATGGTGTTAGATAAGGATCCAGCTTTCTTCTTCTTTTTTTTTTTTTTTGAGACAGAGTTTTGTTCTTGTTGCCCAGGCTGGAGTGCAATGGAACCCGCCTCCTGGGTTCAAGTGATTCTCCTGCCTCAGCCTCCTGAGTAGCTGGGATTACAGGCATCTGCCATTACGCCTGTCTAATTTTTGTATTTTTAGTAGAGACGGGGTTTCTCCATGTTGGTCAGACTGGTCTTGAACTCCCGACCTCAGGTGATCCGCCCACCTCGGATTTGCTGAAAAGACTGTCCTTTTACCATAAAATGGTCTTGACGCTCTTGTCAAAAATCATTTGGCCATATATGCAAGAGTTTATTTTGGGACTCTGTATTCTATCCCCTTGGTCTGCGTATCTCGATCTATGTGCGTAGCCTTATGGCACTGGCTAGAAACTTCAGCATTATGTTGAGTAAGAATGGCGAGAGCTGACATATTTGCCATGCTCCCAATCTTAGGAAAAAGCATTTGATCTATCACAATTAAGTATAATGTTAGCTGTACGGTTGAGTTGTTGTTTTTTCTTTTGAGGTAGATGCTGTTTATCAAGTTGGGGCAGTTCTACTCTATTCTATTCTTACTTTTCTGAGAGTTTTTGTTTTGAATGGGTGTTGAATTTTGTCACATGTGTTTTCTGCACTGATATGATCATGTGAGTTTTCTTCTTTAGTCTGTTAATATGGTGAATTACATTGATTTTTGAATATTGAACCAGCCTTGCATTCCCAGAATAAATCCCACATGGTCATGGTACCTAATTCTCTTTATGTGTTGCTGAATTGTATTTGTTAGCATTTTTACTAAGGAGTCTTACACTTATATTCATGAGGGATTTTGATCTGTAATTTTCTTGTCTTTTTTTGTTGTTGTTGTTGAGACGGAGTCTTGCTGTGTCACCAGGCTGGTGTGCAGTGTTGTGATCTTGGCTCACTGCAATCTCCGCCTCCAAGGTTCAAGGGATTCCCCTGCCTTAGCCTCCCAAGTAGGTGGGACTACAGGCACCCACCACCACGCCTGGCTAATTTTTTGTATTTTAGTAGAGACAGTGTTTCACCATGTTGGCCTGGATGGTCTCGATCTCTTGACTTTGTGATCTGCCTGCTTCAACCTCCCAAAGTGCTGGGATTACAGGCGTGAGCCCCACCGTGCCTGGCCTATGATTTTCCTTTTTTTGTATTGCCTTTGTCTGGTTTTGGTATCAAGGTAACACAAGCTTCATAAAATAAATCAGGAAGTATTTATTCCTCCTCTGTTTTCTGGAAGAGATTGTATAGAAATGTGTTATGTCTTTTAAAAACGTTTGGTAGGATTCTACTGTGAAACTCTCTGGGCTTAGAAATTTCTTTTTGGAGATCTTTTTTTTAAATAACACTTTTGCTGCAATATAATCTGTGTACCATAAAATTCACCATTTTAAAGTTTACAGTTTACAGTTCAGAGTTTTTTGTATGTTCAAAAAGTTGTGCAGCCATCATTGTTATCTAATTTTAAGCATTTTCATTAACCAAAAAAGAAGCCCTGTATCCATGAGCCATCAGTCCCTATTTCCTTATTCCCACAGCCTCTGGCAAGCACTAACCTTTCTGTCTCTGTAGATTTGTCTATTCCAGACATTTTATATAAATGGAATCATACAATCGGTGGCCTTTTGTGTTTTTACATCCACGATGAAGCAAGTATTGGTATTTTTTTGTCAAGTATGATTTTGTTGTGTATTTATAGCATATTTTATTTATATTTCATGAGTTGATGGACATTTAGATATTTCCACTTTTAAAAATTATGACTAATGCTGCTATGAACATTCTTGCACAAGTTTTTGCAAGGAATATGTTTTCATTTCTCTTGGGTATGGACCTAGGATTGGAATTACTGGATCATAGAACTCTGTGTTTAACCATTTGAGGAACCACCAAACTGTTTTCCATAGTGGCAGTACCATTTTATATTTATACCAGCAGTGCACAAGGGCTCCAGTTTCTCTGCATCCTTACCAGCATTTGTTGTCTGTCTGAAATTTTAACCATCAGGCCAGGAGTGGTGGTTTATGCCTATAATCCCAGCACTTTGGGAGGCTGAGGTGGGAGGATCACTTGAGCCCAAGAATTTGAGACCAGCCTGGGCACCATAGCAAGACCCTGTCTCTACAAAAACATTAAAAAGTTAGCCAGGCATGGTGGTGTGTGCCTGTAGTTCCAGCTACTCGGGAGACTGAGGTGGGAGGATCACTTGAGCCCAGGAGCTGGAGGCTGCAGTGAGCCAGGATAGCGCCACTGCACTCTAGCCTGTGTAACAGAGGGAGACCCTGTCTTTAAAACAGTAATAATAAAACTAAAAAATAAGACAATTTTCACCATCTTAGTGGGCATGAAGTGGTATTTCTGTTCAGTTTTGACTTGCATTTCTAAAGTGACTTATTTTTATTTTTGGGACAGGGTCTTACTGTGTCACTCAGGCTGGAGTACAGGGGCATGGTCATAGCTCACTGTAGCCTCAATTTCCTGGGCTCAAGTAATCCTCCCACCTCAGCTTGGGAGAGTAGCCAAGACCACAGGTGCACACTGCCAAGCCTGGCTAATTTTTAAATTTTTTGTAGAGATGAGGTCTTCCTGTGTTGCCCAGGCTGGTCTCAAGCTCCTGGGCTCAGGCGATTCTCCCTCCTCAGCCTCCGAAGTAGCAAGGACCACACGCGCATGCTACCATGCCTGGCTAAGTTTTTAAAACTGTTTTTTTTTGTAGAGGTGGGGTCTTGCTATGTTACCCAGACTGGTCTTGAACTCCTGGCCTCAAGTGATCCTCCCACCTTGGCCTCTCAAAGCTCTGGGATTACAGGCATGAGCCACCGCATGCAGCCATTGTTGAGCATCTTTTATGAGCCTATTCATCACTTGTATATCTTCTTTGAAGAAATGTCAGCTGGGCGCAGTGGCTCACGCTGGGGGTTTAGATGATTATTTAGACTTCCTTCTTTTGTGAGGTGGACATGTAGGTCTATATGTTTTCCTCTGGCACTGCTTTAGCTGTGTCCTGCAATTTGATGTGTTGTCTCTTCACTTTCATTCAGTTCAATGTATTTTTAAATTCCCTTGAAATTTCCTCTTTGACCTATGAGATTATTATATAGAACTGTCTTGTTTACTTTGTGTTTGGAGAGTTACCTGTTATCTTTCTGTTATTAATTTCTAGTTTGATTCTATTGTGGTGGGAGAATACACTAAACTGAAAGAATTTTAATTTTAAATTTGTTGACGTTTGTTACATGGCTCGGAATATGGTCTATTTTGATATTTATTTTGTGGGCACTTGGAAAGAATGTATATTCTGCTGTTGTGTGCTGCATGTACAGATGTTGATTGATTCTTTTGGTTGATGGTGTTGTTGAGCTCTTTTATATCCTTGCTGGTTTTCTGTCTATTCTACAAATTGTTAAGAGAGAGGTGTAGAAGTCTCCAGCTTTAATTGCAGATTTGTCTGTTTCTCTTTTCAGTTCTGTCAGTTTCTGTATCACTTATTTTGCAGCTCTGTTGTTGAGTATACACATATTTAGACTTGCTATTTTTTTTTGATGGATTGACCTTTTTATCATTATATACATGTTTCCCTGTGTCTCGGGTAATTTTGTTTTACTGGGAGGTTTGCTTTATCTGATATTAATCTAGCCACTCCAATTTAAAAAAATTAATCTTTGTATAAATCTTTTTTTATATTTTTACATTTTTTTGGAGACAGTCTCACTGTCACCCAGGATGGAGTTTAGTGGTGTGATGGTGTGCAATCTCAGCTCATTGCAGCCTCACCCTTCCACACTGAAGGAATCTTCTACATTAGATGGTATTATCTGGGGAGGGTCTTGACTACGAGTTGTCCAGGTTCTTGGCGGTTTGAACAAAGAATTGCACAAGATGCACAAAGCAACAAAGGAATGAAGAAATGAAGAAATGAAAGCACAGATTTATTGAAACAAAAGTACATTCCATAGTGTGGGATCGGGCTCGCGTAAACGGCTCAAGAGCCCTGGTTACAGAATTTTCTGGAGTTTAAATACTCTCTAGAGGTTTCCCATTGGTTAGCTGCTTACACCCTGTGTAAATGAAGACCAGGCCCTCTACCATTCTGATTGGTCATGGGAGGCGACCAATCAGGTACTTTCCATTTTTCGTCTGCGATACAGTGGAATGGGGGGCGTTGCAAAGGGAGTAGCCTCTTCTTTTGTTACTTGGATGTGGAGAGGTGGAGTTTTCCTTTTGATTTAGTTCTAGGAAGTCAGCACAAATCGGCCTTAGGTTCCTTGCCTCCAGACCCTATTCTCCTGCCTCATTTCCCCCGAGATGTGATCCCCATCATCTTTATAGGAGGCCGAGGGACTGATGGTTTTTTCTTCAGTAACTGCTTCATGCTGATTTGGGCACAGTTCCTACCTATTGGGGATCATGGAACTCTCACCCTGCTCTGTCTAGTGGAGACATGGTAGTTGCTGGATGGCCAGGGGTGGTGTCTTTACCTGGAACTGGCTGGAAACCTTGTCTCATGATCATCTGAAGCTTGATGGTCTCTGGGCGAGAGGAAATGAATTTGTTTAAGAGATTTAATGAACATGGTCCAAAAACCAAGGCAAATATAGTCATTAGTGATGGGCCGGCTAGAGGAAGGAGCCATGCACCTCAACTTAGCATTTCTGACCAGGAGCCCCATGACTCAGACAGCTGTTGTCGTATCTTAGGGGCCCAGTCAGCTAATTTCCAGGCGGCATCCCTTACTAATCCTGATTAGTTGACATAAAAACAGCATTTTTCCTCTAGAAAAAGACATAAGCCACCTTTTTAAGCAGTTAGGAGATCCAGTCCCCTTCAATTCTGTAAAGTGACTGCTGCCAAGGAGTCTGTCTGATTTTGTATGGCGACGATACTTTGGGCAGTGTCTTCTGAGCTTTCCATAAAATCTCTGGACAAGTTAGTGATAGGATAGGGAGATTGCAAGCCTGCTAACTCCCGTTTCTACTCTTGCTGTTCTTCCTAACCCAACCAAAAGGGGTGTGAGTTGGATGGCTCATTTGTGTCTGGTGGTTGCAGTTAAAGGTATAGTGAAGAATTGGTTGTTGGGAGCTACATTAATTTTGGGAGCTAAATAACAAGTTACAGGTTCCAGTCCAGTTGGCTGGTAAATCTAAGTAGGAACTGGTCCCGCACGGGAAAAAGGCTCCTTGTTTTTCAAGACAGAACTTGTTTTCTATGGTGAACACATGGGCTAGCTTGTTGTTTTCACTTTCCCATATGGTTGAGGTCTTTGCTAAGGTGGCCCTGGTTAAAGGCTGGAAAGGATCTTGGGAAGTATCTTGAGTTGCCCCAGCAGTTCTCTTTTCCCAGTGGAGGTAGTTAGGCTTAGTGTCCAGTAACAATCACCCAGAGGTATTTTCATACTGGGGAACCAAAAGGCAACTAGACGTCTCAGGATTAGTACATTCTTCACAAGGGAAACCGTGAATGCAGCTAGTGGGCCTGCCTCGACCATACTTAGGCTGTCCATCCTTTAAAGCCCTTAACCAGGGATGGTTTCCATGAAAACCGTACAGGTTATCTAAATGATGCGGTTTGGGTAACTGTATAGCTTACGTAATCGAGTGAAGGATTAACTTCCAGGGTGTAGTTGCATTGATGACTTTATTTTATCTTTACTTTTATTTATTTATTTATTTATTTATTATATTTTTTGAGATGGAGTCTCTCTCTGTCGCCTAGGCTGGAGTGCAATGGTGCGATCTCAGCTCACTGCAACCTCCACCTCCCAGGTTCGAGCGATTCTTCTGCCTCAGCCTCCTGAGTAGCTGGGACTACAGGCGCGTGCCACCACGCCCGGCTAGTTTTTTGTATTTTTAGTAGAAATGGGGTTTCACTGTGTTAGCCAGAATGGTCTCAAATCTTCTGACCTCATGATCTGCCTGCCTCGGCCTCCCAGAGTGCTGGGATTACAGGTGTGAGTTTTTTGTATTTTTAGTAGAAATGGGGTTTCACTGTGTTAGCCAGAGTGGTCTCAAATCTCCTGACCTCATGATCTGCCCGCCTTGGCCTCCCAAAGTGCTGAGATTACAGGTGTGAGTCACCGCGTCCGGCACATTGATGACTTTTCAAGGTTCCAAGGACCGGACCAGAATTTTCGCTTCTGTTAATACAAAGTGGCACCTGCAATTTTAGCTCTGTGTACATTTATATTGGGCCCCAAATTGGTTTCTGAGGGGATGCAACTCCAGAAAGGTTGCTCAGATGGGATTGGAGTAGGTTTACTGCTTATCCTGTCATTGTAACCCTTGTCATTTCCATGATTTTGAATTCATGTATGTCATCCAGGCTCATTAGTTTGAAGAGAGTTCCTCCTTTGTAGTTAGGGTGATAGGTCATTTCCTTAAGGGCCCAAGATTGGGCTGGGATCAGGATGGCAGTATATTTAGATGATGATGGAGATAAACAAAACCAACAGTCCTTTGCCAGGGCTGGGCTGGTGGTATTTAAGTCTTTGTGTTAAATTTAAAGTTCTTAATAAATACCCAGAATCCACTAATTGCTGGAGGGGTAAAGGGAAGCTCTGTTGTGAAATAAAGCTGATTGCTAGTAAGACATGGTTCCTGTATACACAGGCTGTGGGTGACCATTATGGAACAAAAAAAAAATTACTTATTTGTTATTTTGTCCTATAGAATGGGAACTTCAGGGGGTGGATACCTATGCTGTCAGGAATGCTTGTTATAAAAATGAATTGAAACACTTTGGTTAATTATTACAAAGGAAGTGATTCCATCCATTTTGAATAAAACAAATTGTAAAAATATAAAAAATAGCTACCAATATCCAGCTTACGATAAGTATGCAACAAAGACACCAAGGAAAGTTGGTAGGCATTTACTTATTTTTCGGCTGTCTTTTAAACAGGTACTTCACTGTTCCCACAGGTTCACAGGTGTAGTGGCTGATAGGAGCTTCAGGTTCCAGGTCCAGGGCTTCAGTTATTGCAGGCTTGACCCTGGAAAGATGGATCCAACTACCTAATCCTAGTACTTTGACCACAGAAGGCTTGTCCAGCACCACTGAAAATGGTCCCTTCCATTTGGGTTGCAATAGTTGAGCAGGTGATCCCTCTTTCCATGTTTTAACAAGTACCTGATTTCTCATTTTGGAGATCATGGCAGACGGGAGGCAGGACTAGATTGCAGTTCCCACTCGGATGGCCAGAGCAGCCTGTGGAGGATTGTATCGTGAACTTTTGCTCCAGAATGACTGCAGAAATAAATCAGGAAAGCCGAGAGAACCCATAGACCCTCTGAAGGAAGCGGATTGCTCCAGCAGGACCTGGGAGATACCCAAAATACTGTGCTGGTATCCACAGCTGAGAGACCCACAGACAGTTCATATCACAGGACTCTGTGCAGACAACCCCTAGTACCAGCCCAGAACCCGGTAGACTTGCTGGATGGCTAGATCCAGAAGAGAGACAACAATCACTATAGCTCAGCTCTCAGGAAGCCACAGCTCTAGGAAAATGGGGAGAGTACTACCTACATCAAGGGACCACCCCATGGGACAAAAGAATCTGAACAACAGCCTTGAGCCCTAGACCTTCCCTCTGACAGAGCCTACCAAAATGAGAAGGAACCAGAAAACCAACTCTGACAATATGACAAAACAAGGTTCCTTAACACCCCGAAGAAATCACACTAGCTCACTAGCAATGGGTCCAAACCAAGAAGAAATCCCGGATTTACCTGAAAAAGAATTCAGAAGATTAGTTATTAAGCTAATCAGAAGGCACCAGAGAAAGGCAAAGCCCAATTTAAGGAAGTCAAAAAATGATACGAGAAATGAGGGGATAAATTTTCTTTTTTTTCATTATACTTTAAGTTCTAGGGTACATGTGCACAACGTGCAGATTTGTTGCATATGTATACCTGTGGCATGTTGGTTTGCTGCACTCGTTAACTCATCATTTACATTACATATTTCTCCTAATGCTATGCCTCCCCCATACCCCCCACCCCATGACAGGCTCCGGCGTGTGATGTTCCCTGCCCTGTGTCCAAGTGTTCTCATTGTTCAATTCCCACCTGTGAGTGAGAACATGCGGTGTTTGGTTTTCTGTCCTTGCGATAGTTTGCTCAGAATGATGGTTTCCAGCTTCATCCATGTCCCTACAAAGGACATGAAATCATCCTTTTTTATGGCTGCATAGTATTCCATGGTGTATATGTGCCACATTTTTCTAATCCAGTCTATCATTGATGGACATTTGGGTTAGTTCTTAGTCTTTGCTATTGTGAATAGTGCCACAATAAACATATGTGTGCATGTGTCTTTATAGTAGCATGATTTATAATCCTTTGGGTATATACCCAGTAATGGGATCACTGGGTCAAATGGTATTTCTAGTTCTAGATCCTTGAGGAATTGCCCACTGTCTTCCACAATGGTTGAACTAGTTTACACTCCCAACAACAGTGTAAAAGCGTTCCTATTGCTCCACATCCTCTCCAGCACCTGCTGTTTCCTGACTTTTTCTTTTTTTTTTTTGACGGAGTCTCACTCTGTTGCCCAGGCTGGAGTACAGTGGCATGATCTCGGCTCACTGCCGCCCAGGCCGGAGTGCAGTGGCACGATCTTGGCTCACTGTCGCCCAGGCTGGAGTGCAGTGGCACGATCTCGGCTCACTGCAGCCTCTGCCTCCTGGGTTCACGCCATTCTCCTGCCTCAGCCTCCTGAGTAGCTGGGACTACAGGCACCTGCCACCACGCCCGGCTAATTTTTGGTATTTTTTAGTAGAGACGGGGTTTCACCGTGTTAGCCAGGATGGTCTTGATCTCCTGACCTTGTGATCCGCCCGCCTCGGCCTCCCAAAGTGCTGGGATTACAGGCGTGAGCCACTGCGCCCGGCTGTTTCCTGACTTTTTAATGACCGCCATTCTAACTGGTGTGAGATGGTATCTCATTGTGGTTTTGATTTGCATTTCTCTGATGACCAGTGATGATGAGCGTTTTTTCATGTGCCTGTTGGCTGCATAAAGGTCTTCTTTTGAAAAGTATCCTTTGCCCACTTTTTGATGGGGTTGTTTGATTTTTTCCTGTAAATTTGTTTAAGTTCTTTGTGCATTCTGGATATTAGCCCTTTGTCTGATGGGTAGATTGCAAAAATTTTCTCCCATTCTGTAGGTTGCCTGTTCACTCTGATGGTAGTTTATTTTGCTGTGCAGAAGCTCTTTAGTTTAATTAGATCCCATCTATTTCGGCTTTTGTTGCCATTGCTTTTGGTGTTTTAGTCATGAAGTCCTTGCCCATGTCTATGTCCTGAATGGTATTGCCTAGGTTTTCTTCTAGGATTTTTATGGTTTTAAGTCTGACATTTAAGTCTTTAATCCATCTTGAATTAATTTTTGTATAAGGTGTGAGGAAGGGATCCAGTTTCAGCTTTCTATATATGGCTAGCCAGTTTTCCCAGCACCATTTATTAAATAGGGAATCCTTTCCCCATTTCTTGTTTTTATCAGGTTTGTCAAAGATCAGATGGTTGTAGATGTATGGTGTTATTTCTGAGGCCTCTGTTCTGTTCCATTGGTCTGTATCTCTGTTTTGGTACCAGTACCATGCTGTTTTGGTTACTGTAGCCTTGTAGTATAGTTTGAAGTCAGGTAGCGTGACGCTTCCAGCTTTGTTCTTTTTGCTTATGATTGCCTTGGCAATGTGGGCTCTTTTTTTGGTTCCATATGAACTTTAAAGTAGTTTTTTCCAATTCTGTGGAGAAAGTCATTGGTAGCTTGATGGGGATGGCATTGAATCTATAAATTACCTTGGGCAGTATGGCCATTTTCACAATATTGATTCTTCCTATCCACAAGCATGGAATGTTCTTCCATTTATTTGCGTCCTCTTTTATTTCATTGAGCACTGGTTTGTAGTTCTCCTTGAAGAGGTCCTTCACTTGAGGGGGTAAATTTTCAATGAAATAGAGTGCATAAATAAAAAACAATAAAAACTTCAGGAAACAATGGATGCACTTAGAGAAATGTAAAATGCTCTGGAAAGTCTCAGCAATAGAATTGAACAAGCAGAAGAAAGAACTTCAGAGCTCGAAGACAAGGTTTTTGAATTAACCCAATCTAACAAAGGCAAAGAAATAAGAATAAGAAAATATGAACAAAGCCTCCAAGAAGTCTGGGATTATGTTAAACGACCAAACCTAAGAATAATTGGCGTTCCTGAGGAAGAAGAGAAATCTAAAAATTTGGAAAATGTATTTGGGGAAATAATCAAGGAAAACTTCCCTAGCCTTGCTAGAGACTTAGATGTCCAAATACAGGAAGCTCAGAGAACATCTGGGAAATTCATTGCAAAAAGATAATCTCCCAGGCACATTGTCATCATATTATCTAAAGTTAAGATGAAGGAGGCTGGGTGCTGTGGCTCACACCTGTAATCCCAGCACTTTGGGAGGCCAAGGTGGGCGGATCACCTGAGGTTGGGAGTTTGTGACCAGCCTGACCAACATGGAGAAACCCCGTGTCTACTAAAAATAGAAAAAATTAGCTGGGAATGGTGGTGCACGCCTGTAATCCCAGCTACTCGGGAGGCTGAGGTAAGAGAATCGCTTGAATTTGGGAGGCGAAGGTTGTGGTGAGCCAAGATCGCACCATTGCACTCCAGCCGGGGCAACAAGAATGAAACTCTGTCTCAAAAAAAAAAAAAAAAAAAAAAAAAAAAAAAGACAAAGGAAAGACTCTTAAGAGCTATGAGCCAAAAGCACCAGGTAACCTATAAAGGAAAATCTATGAAATTAACAGCAGATTTCCCAACAGAAACACTACAAGCTAGAAGGGATTGGGGCTCTATCTTCAGCCTCCTTAAACAAAACAGTTATCAGCCAAGAATTTTGTATCCAGCAAAACTAAGCATCATAAATGATGGAAAGATAGTTTTTTTCAGACAAACAAATGCTGAGAGAATTCGCTACTACCAAGCAAGCACTACAAGAATTGCTAGAAGGAGCTCTAAATCTTGAAACAAATTTTCAAAATACACCAAAATGGAACCTCCTTAAAGCATAAATCCAACAGGATTTATATAACAATAACAATTTTAAAAACCCAAGGTATTCAGGAAACAAGTAGTATGATGACTAGAATAGTATCTCACATCTCAATATTAATGTTGAATGTAAATGGCCTAAATGCTCCACTTAAAAGATACAGAATGGTGGAATGCATAAGGATTCACCAACCATCTGCTCCCTTTAAGAGACTCACCTAACACATAAGACTCATAAACTTAAGGTAAAGGTGTGGAAAAAGACTTTCCATGCAAATGGACACCAAAAGCAAGCAGGAGTAGCCATTCTTATATCAGACAAAACAAACTTTAAAGCAACAACAGTTAAAAAAGACAAAGAGGGACATTATATAATGATAAAAGGCCTTGTACAACAGGAAAATATCACAATCCTAAATATATATGCACCTAACACTGGAGCTCCCACATTTATAAAACAATTACTAGTAGACCTAAGATATGAGATAGACAGGCCAGGCACAGTGGCTCATGCCTGTAATCCAGCACTTTGGGAGGCCGAGGTGGATGGATCACCTGAGGTCAGGAGCTTGAGACCAGCCTGGCCAACATGGTGAAACCCTGTCTCTACTAAAAATACAAAATAGCCAGGTGTGGTGGCAGGCTCCTGTAATCTCAGCTATTTGGGAGGCTGAGGCAGGAGAATGGCGTGAACCCAGAGGTGGAGGTTGCAGTGAGGCAAGATAGTGCCATTGCACTCCAGCCTGGGTGACAGAGCGAGATTCTGTCCTAAAAGAAAAAAAAAGAGAGAGAAATGAGATACACAGCAACACAATAATAGTGGGGAACTTCAGTACTCCACTGACAGCACTAACAGGTCATCAAGGCA
This sequence comes from Homo sapiens, assembly GCF_000001405.40. Classification (NCBI taxonomy): domain Eukaryota; kingdom Metazoa; phylum Chordata; class Mammalia; order Primates; family Hominidae; genus Homo; species Homo sapiens. The sequence goes on from NC_000009.12 coordinate 137,939,168, forward strand.
GAAAGTCAACAAAGAAACAGTGAATGTAAACTATACCCTGGAACAAATGGACTTAACAGGTATTTACAGAACATTCTAGCCAACAACTACAGAATATATATTCATCAGTGTATGGAACTCTCTTCAAGATAAACCATATAAATAGGCCACAAAATGAGCCTCAATAAATTTAAGAAAATTGAAATTATATCGGGCACCTTCTGAGACCACAGTGGAATAAAACTGGAAGTCAACTCCAAGAAGAACCCTCAAAACCATGCAAATACATGGAAATTAAATAACCTGCTCCTGAATGATCATTGGGTCAAAAAATGAAATCAAGACGGAAATTTAAAAATTCTTCAAACTGAGGCCGGATGTGGTGGCTCACACCTGTAATCCCAGCACTTTGGGAGGCTGAGGCAGGTGGATCACGAGGTCAGGAGATCGAGACCATCCTGGATAACATGGTGAAACCCCGTCTCTACCAAAAATACAAAAAAAAAATTAGCTGGGCATGGTGGCAGGCACCTGTAGTCCCAGCTACTCAGGAGGCTGAGGAAGGAGAATGGCATGAACCCGGGAGGCGGAGCTTGCAGTGAGCTGAGATCACGCCACTGCACTCTAGCCTGGGCAACTGAGCAAGACTCCGTCTCAAAATAAATAAATAAATAAATAAATAAATAAATAAATAAATAAATAAAAAAAAATAAAATTCTTCGAACTGAATGACAGTAGTGACGCAACCTACCAAAACCTCTGGAATACAGCAAAGGCAGTGCTAAGAGGAAAGTTCATAGCCCTAAATACCTACATCGAAAAGTCTGAACGAGCACAAACAGACAATCTAAGGTCACACCTCAATGAACTAAAGAAACAAGAACAAATCAAACCCAAACCCAGCAGAAGAAAGAGATAACCAAGATCAGAGCAGAACTAAATGAAACTTAAACAAAAAAACACAAAAGATAAATGAAACAAAAAGCTAGTTCTTTGATAAGGTAAATAAAATTGGTAGCCCATTAGCAAGTTTAACCAAGAAAAAAAGAGAGAAAATCCAAAGAAGCTCAATTAGAAATGAAATGGGAGATATTACAACTGACACCACAGAAATACAAAAGATTTTTCAAGGCTACTGTGAACACCTTTACCCATGTAAACTAGAAAACCTAGAGGAGATGGATAAATTCCTGGAATGATACAACCCTTCTAGCTTAAATCAGGGAGAATTAGATACCCTGAACAGACCAATAACAAGCAGTGAGATTGAAATGGTAATAAAAAAATTACCAACCAAAAAACTCCAGGACTAGATGGATTCACAGTAGAGTTCTATCAGACATTCAAAGAGAATTGGTACCAATCCTATCGACACTATTCCATGAGATAGACAAAGAGGGAATCCTCCCTAAATCGTTTTATGAAGCCAGTATCACCCTAATATCAAACCTGGAAAGGACATAACCAAAAAAGAAAACTACAAACCAATATCCCTGATGAACATAGATGTAGAAATCCTCAACAAAATACTAGCTAACTGAATACAACAGTATATCAAGAAGATAATTCACCATGATCACATGGTTTTCATACCAGGGATCAGGGATGGTTTAACATACTCAAGTCAATAAATGTGATACACCACATAAACAATTAAAGACAAAAATCACATGATCATCTCAATAGATGTGGAAAGAACCTTCGACAAAATTCAGCATCCTTTATGATTAAAACCCTCAGCAAAATCGGCATACACAGGACATACCTCAATGTAATAAAAGTCATCTATGACAAACCCACAGTCAACATAATACAGAATGGGGAAAAGTTGAAAGCATTCCCTTTGAGAACTGGAAGAAGACAAGGATGCTCACTCTCACCACTCCTCTTCAACATAGTAATGGAAGTCCTAACCAGAGCAATCAGACAAGAGAAAGAAAGAAAGGTTATCCAAATTGGGAAAGAGGAAGTCAGACTGTCGCTGTTTGTTTGCTGATGATATGATTGTTTACATAGAAAACCCTAAAAACTCCTCCAGAAAGCTCCTAGAACTGATAAAAGAATTCAGCAAAGTTTCCAGATACATAATTAATGTACACAAATCAGTAGCTCTTTTATATACTAACAGTGACCAAGCTGAGAATGAAATCAAGAACTCAACCCCTTTTACAATAGCTGCAAAACAAACAAAAAACAGAAAGCCAAAAAACTTAGGAATATACCTAACCAAGGAGGTGAAAGACCTCTACAAGGAAAACTACAAAACACTGCTGTAAGAAATTATAGGTGACACAAACAAATGGAAACACATCCCATGCTTATGGATGGGTAGAATCAATATTGTGAAAATGACCATACTGCCAAAAGCAGTCTACAAATTCAATGCAGTTCCCATCAAAATACCACCCTCATTCCTCTCAAATTTGGAGGCATCACATTACCCAACCTCAAACTATAGTATAAGGCCATAGTCACCAAAACAGCATGGTACTGGTATAAAAATAGGCACATAGGCCAATGACAGAATAGAGAACCCAGAAATAAACCCAAATACTTACAGCAAGCAAAAAGATAAAAGTGGAGAAAGGACACACTATTCAACAAATGGTGTTGGGATAATTGGCAAGCCACATGTAGGAGAATGAAACTGAATTCTCATCTCTTACCTTATAAAAAATCAACTCAAGATGGATCAAGGACTTATCTAAGACCTGAAACTATAAAAATTCTAGAAGATAACATTGGAAAAACCCTTGTAGACATTGGCTTAGGCAAGGACTTCATGACCAAGAACCCAAAAGAAAATGCAACAACAACAAAAAAGATAAATAGCTGGGACTTAATTAAATCAAAGAACTTTTGCACAGCAAAAGAAACAGTCGGCAGAGTAAACAGACAACCCACAGAGTGGGAGAAAATCTTCACAATCTATACATCTGAGAAAGGACTAATATCCAGAATCCACAATGAACTCAAACAAATTAGCAAGAAAAAAAATCCCATCAAAAAGTGGGCTAAGGACATGAATAGACGATTCTCAAAAGAAGATATACAAATGGCCAACAAACATGGAAAAATGCTCAACATCACTAATGATTAGGGAAATGCAAATCAAAACTACAATGTGATACCAGCTTACTCCTGCAAGAATGGTGGTAATAAAAAAATTTAAAAATAATAGATATTGGCATGGATGCGGTGAACAGGGAACAGTTGTACACTGCTGGTGGGAATGTAAACTAGTACAACCAGTATGGGAAACGATGTGGAGATTCCTTAAAGAACTAAAAGTAAAACTACCATTTGATCCAGTAATTTCACTAGTTGGTGTCTACCAAGAGGAAAATAAGTCATATGAAACAGAGACTTGCTCACGCATGTTTACAGCAGCACAATTTGCAATTGCAAAAATGTGGAACCAACCCAAATGCCCATCAGTCAACCAGTGGATAAAGAAACTGTGATATATATATGATGGACTACTACTCAGCCATAAAATGGAATGAATTAGTGGCATTCACAGTGACCTTGATGAGATTGGGACTATTATTCTAAGTGAAGTAATTCAGGAATGGAAAACCGAACGTCGTATGTTCTCACTCATAAGTGGGAGCTAAGCTGTGAGGATGCAAAGGCATGAGAATGACACAGTGGACTTTGGGGACTCAGGAAGAAAGGGTGGGGTGAGAGATAAAAGACTACAAATTGTGTGCAGCATACACTGCTTGGGTGATAGGTGCACGAAAATCTCATAAATCACCACTAAAGAACTTACGCATGTAACCAAACACCATCTGTTCCCCAATAACCTATGGAAATAAATTTTTTTTTAAGTACCTTATCTCCTGGCCTGATTTTGGGTTGCTGGTTAGTTGCCAGTGTGGGGAGTCTTTGAGTTTCAAACTTTTTTTTTTTTTTTTTGAGTTTCAAACTTTTGTAAAGCCTGCTGAAATGGTCCCAGGTTAACTAGGTATTTCACTAAAGTGGCTGTTTCTGGATCAGTATTTAGATCATTAGTTAAAAATGGCCTCCTATATAACATTTCATATGGGCTCATATTAATTTTTGCTCTGGGGAAATTATGGACTCTTACGAGAGCTGTGGACAGCAAGTTGACCCAAGTTTCTGATGTTTCCTGACATAGCTTAGCTAACACCCATTTTAGAGTTTGATTAGCTCTTTCCACTTTTCTAGAGGATTGAGGCCTCCATGCTGAATGTAAATAGTATTTGATTCTGAGAGCCTTAGCAACCCCTTGAATTATTTGAGAGATAAAGAACGAGTCATTATCACTTTGGAGGCTTTGAGGTAACCCAAACTCGGGAAATAGTTCTTTGAAGAACCTTCACAACTTCATTGGCCTTCTGTGTTTTGGTGTAGGGTAAGCTTCAATCCAGCCAGTAAAGGTATCTGTAACCTGCACGGACCTTGGGGGACTGAACAAAGGATGACGAATGCGGGAATAAAGATAAAGACAAAGAGTATATTTGGAAGAAGGGGTCAGGGGGCTCCTTGCTTCTAGTGAACAAGGGCCCTGAGCTTTACACAGCCCTCCGTATTTATTAGGCAAAAGAGATAGCGAGAAGAGGAGGGGGTGGTTGTCAGCAGGCAGTTTGATTCACAGCAGGCTTGCAAGACCGCATTCTTTGAACAATAGGCTCTAGATGTCCCAGTAGGTAACCGCAATGAGCACGGTGCCAGGGAGTGATTGCCCTCAGCAAACCTCCTGGTTGCAGGCACAGTCATGAGTTTGCCCACATCCTGCTTTCATGATAAACAAGTTTGCTGTTTGATCATATAACCTCCAGTGGAATACTGAGTTGGTCATGTCTCTCTGGCCTTCAGCTCCCTACAGGTGTCTATTAGTACTAACAAATCTTGTATCCTCTACAGGCTGGCATTGTCCTTATGGCCCTTTGGGTTTCCTTTGCGTGCTCTTTGGGCATTCAGGGCATTGCCAGTGATGGCTGTCATAATTTTTGCTTGCCATTTTTCTTTACTCTGTTCCCCTTTTCCTTCCTTCATGATTGTTATACATCATGAAAGCAATATCAAGAAGCTGATTTTGATTAGTTTGTGGGCCCATCTGTAGCTTTTGGAGCTTATATCTAATGTCTGGGGCAGATTGGATTAGTATATTTTTTAAAGGCTTCCTCCAGTCTGCCATGAAACATGGCTGGATTTTCTTTCTTGCCCAGTGTAACTTCCTTTACCTTATCATAATTTACTGCCTTATTCTCTTTCTCTTCCTCCAAGGAGAGCCTCAAGAAACTTAGCCTGGTGGTTCATTCCCTCGGGTGTGTTATAGTCCCAATTAGGATCAGTAATGGAGATTATGTCTGGGCCTAAGTGATTGCCCTGAGAGTTTCAAGGAAATAAGTCATCTGCTTCCTGGCGGGCAGCCTCAAAGATTTGTTTCTTTTCCAAGGGGCTGCAATAGGTTGCTAGAATGAATTGAACATCTCCCCTGAGAGATCAAAGGCTAAGGTCAAAGTTTGGGACCCATCTCCAAATTCCTAGGGTTCTCAGAATAGCTTCCTAGCTTTTCTGTATGTTGTTTTATATCAGTTATAGAAAAGGGGGACTGCACTAGGACTGGCCCCTCAGCTCCTGCTACTTCCCTAAGGGGTAGCAGGGCTGGAGGGGGAGATTGTTTCTCTCCAAATATGAGGAGGACTTAGCTGGAACCCCGAATTTTGCTCTTGGGTTTGAGCCTCAGGAGCACTTGGCAAGGAGTTATACAGGGGTGGTTGCACTTCCCTCTGAGAGACAGGTGGCCTTTGTAAAAGGGGGTCATCTACAATATCTAGTTCTGCCTTAAGACCTTCCTTTTCAGGGCAGGTTCCAGGACTTTTGCAGATTGTTGGGTTTTGGTATAGGGCCATGAAGACCTGTACGTATGGGATTTCTGACAATTTACCCTGCCTTTTGCAAAACAGGTCTAATTGCAGGATGGTGTTGTAATTAAGACTTCCCATGACCACCAATTATTCCTGGCTGTCCAGCTGATATTGGGGCTATACAGTATTATAGTAGAAAATCAGACGTTTTCTCCTTAGATTGTCAGGGTTCAACTGATTCCAGTGGTTGATGATGCAGCCAAGCAGGGAATCAGAGGGAATGGATGGAGAGTTGCCCACAGTGGTCTGGAAGAGAGAAGAGGACTTTCAAAAGTGGAGGTCCTACTAGGTGACCCAGATTTTACCTGGGGTGGCCATCTGGAAAAACTCTGGGTCTTGTCTGCGGTTCCCAAGGGCATCCCCACCTCTGGGGCCCCATCTTAGTTTGTCAGATATGTCTGACCTTAGATGGGTGCCAGCACCACTTTGGAACGGTTCCCTTCACAATCAGTGGCCCACTATGAGTTTCCTCTTGTCCCTGGCTGAAGGCCCCGACTTCTAGCATCCTTATAATTTGATAAGGCCAAGCTTTTAACTTCAGCCAATATGTTCATACACAGAATCTCTTTTACAATTAATTTTCATAAGCCTACAACTTGTTCAAACCTTTGGATTTTTCCTATACCACTTAAAACAATCCTTTAACCCTCTAAACTTAGGCAACATAAATTATACAACATTTCTTGCATAATTTCACTTTCACAAATCTTTTTCACGACTTACCCAGATCATCTACGACATGCTTGGACTTTGTTACTTGTCCTAAACATCCCTATTTTATTTCTTTACTTTTATTATTATTATTATCATATTCCAGGCTGGAGTGCAGTGATGCCATCACAGCTCACTGCAACCTCCGCCTTCCAGGTTCAAGCAATTCTGCTGCCTCAGCCTCCCAAGTAACTGGGACAACAGGCGTGCATCACTGTGCCTGGCTAATTTTTTTTATATTTTTAGTAGAGACAGGGTTTCACCATATTGGCCAGGCTGGTCTCGAACTCCTGACCTCGTGATCCACCTGCCTTGGCCTCCCAGAGTGCTAGCATTACAGGTGTGAGCCACTGCACCCAGTCATATCCCTCTTTTAAAACAACAGTCATTTTACTTTAGGACAAGAATTTACCATACAAGATGCCTTTTTATATAATATAAAATCTCTTTTATGTATAAACTTCTTTGCATAGCTAGGGGGCTAAGTGGGTTTCTTTTGTCCTTAGCCAGTCGAATAGATCAAGTAAGAGAAGGGGTCAAAATGCCTAGGAGACATTATCTTTTGTCTTTACTAGCTAACTCTACAGGAGAATTTAGCATAAGAAAAGAGGGTTTAAGTTCCCTGAAATGTGTGAATTCCTCCTTGACAAGCTGCCACTGCCAATTGTGTCACACGTAGGGATCAGGGAGTATAACCAGGAAAGACAGAAAAGAGTCCTTCCCCCTTCCAGGCAGGGCAGCTATCCCTATCATTCCTCGGCCTTCAGGTAACACTGGAGAGTGGCCCCAGCAAGTTGCCCTCAGTTACTGGGGAGCTACTAGGAAATGACTGCTGAAAAACTGAGAAAAAAAAAAAAAGGGAAAGGACTCAGGTCCCTCATGTGAACCAGGCAGTGGTGGTCAGGTGCTTCCATATGGATACCTTTCAGTCTCTCCGTAGAGTGGCCCCAGCCAGAGACCTGCAGTTGCCTCCATGCTTAGGTGCTCTCTGTCAAGTGTCCTGAGTTGGAAAGAGAGACAGAAAATGCTTCCCCTGTATGGAGCAGAGAGGAAAAGGGAAAATGAGAAGAAAAATAACTCCCAAACTTTGGGCTTGCCTCCTGGCTGGCTTGCCAAAATACGTTACCGGGGGGGTCTTGACTATGAGTCATCCAGGTTCTTGGCATTTTGAACAAAGAATTGGACAAAATGCACAAAACAACAAAAGAATGAAGCAGTGAAAGCACAGACTTATTGAAACTATGCTCCACAGAGTGGGAGTGGGCTCAAACAAGTTGCTCAAGAGTGTTAGTTACAGAATTTTCTGGAATTTAACTACTCTCTAGAGGTTTCCCATTGGTTACTTGGTTACACTCTATGTAAATGAAGACTGGGCCTGCTACCAGTCTGATTGGTTGCAGGAGGCAACCAATCAAAGGCTGAAGTGAAGTTATAAAGTTAAACCCTATGCTAATGAAGACTTGGCCCACGAGCAGCCTGATTGGTTGTGGGAGGTGACCAATCAGAGGTACTTTCCATTTTTTCATCTGTGACACAGTGGAAGGGGGGTGGGCCGCAAAGGGAGTAGCTGCTGTTCTTTTGTTACTTGGATGTGGAGTGGTGTTTTCCTTTTGATTCAGTTCTAGGAAGTCAGCACAAATCGGCCTTAGGGTCCCTGCCTCCAGACCCTATTCTTCTGCCTCAATAGTACTATAATTTTTGCTTCATCTGTCAAACATAATTTAAAAAACTCAAAAGGAGAAACAAATCCAGTTACCTATATTTTTACACTTTCCATTTTTCTTCCTTCCTTCCTAATAGTGATTCAATTTTTACTCATTTCCTTTCTGTTTAGAGACCTTTCATTATTCATTTTTTCTTAGGAGAGTTCTGCTGGTGACAAATTCTCCTGGTTTCCCTAGTTTTTCATTTGAGAATGTCTTGATTTCCCAAAGGATATTCTTGGTGGGTATAGGTGTCTGGGTTGACCGTTCTTTTCTTTCAGCACCTGAAAAATATTATGCCACTTCCTTCTGGCCTCCATGGTTTCTGATGAGAAACCATTTGAATTGTTTTCCCCATATAGGTATGGTATCATTTTTTTCTGCTGCGTTCAAGATTTTTTCTTTGTCTTTAGTTTTCAGAAGTTTGGCTATAATGTGTTTGCCTGGGGTTTGCTGAGCTTCTTAAATCTGTATGTTTGTGTCTCTTGCTAAAGTTGAGAAGTTTTCAGCATTCCTTTTTTTTTTTTTTTTTTTTTTTGAGATGGAGTTTCACTCTGTCACCCAGGCTAGAGTGCAGTGGCACAATCTCGGCTCACTGCAAACTCCGCCTCCCAAGCTCAAGCGATTTTCCTGCCTCAGGCTGTGGAGTAGCTGGGATTACAAGCATGCACCACCATGCCTGGCTAACGTTTGTATTTTTAGTAGAGACAGGGTTTCGCCATGTTGGCCAGGCTGGTCTCGCACTCCTGACCTCAGGTGATCTGCCTGCCTCGGCCTCCCGAAGTGCTGGGATTACAGGTGTGAGCCACCACGCCTGGCCGTATTTCTTTAAATACTGTCAGCTTTGTCCTTTTTCACCTGTCTTTAGTGCTCTGATGACATGAATATCAGATCATTTGTTATAGTCCCATGGGTTTTTGAGGTTCACTTTTCTCTCCTTATCAGAATGGATAATTCTATCGTTCTTTGTTTTCTTACTGTTCACTGATTCCTTCCACATCCCCTTCATTCTCTTGTTATGCATTTTCATTGAGATTTTCGACTTTTTTTTTAGCTCTAAATTTTCCCTTTGGTTCTGTAATCCAAAAAGTTATCAGAGACAAGTCTCAATCAATTCAGAATTTCATTTTGGCAAGGTTAAGGACATGCCCAGAATAAAAAAAAAACACTTTGGAGAAAGGTATTTGGTGTGTTTGTGGTGTGTGTTGTGTCTGGTGTGTGTGGTGTGCATGTGTGTGTGTCTGGTGTGTGTGTGGTGTATGTGGTGTGTGTAGTGTGTGTGGTGTATGTGGTGTGTGCCTGTATCTGGTGCATGTGGTATGTGTGTGGTGTGTGTGTGTGTGGTGTGTGCATGTGTGTGTGGTGTGTGCACTTGTGTCTAGTGTGTGTATGTGGTGTATTTGTGTCTAGTGTGTGTGGTGTGTGTGTCTGATGTGTGTGGTGTGCGTGTGTTTGTGGTGTCTCTGTGGTGTGTTTGTGTATGGTCTGTGTGGCATGCATGTGTATGGTGTGTGTCTGTTGTGTGTCTGGTGTTTGGTGTGTGTATGTGTGTTTTGTGTGTGTGGTGTATACGTGTGTGGTGTGTGTGTGGGTGTGAAGTATGTGTGTAGTGTGTGTGGTGTGTGTGTGGTGTGTGCATGTTTGTGGTGGCTGTGTGTCCAGTGTGTGTGTGTGTGGTGTATCTGTGCATGTGTGTGGTGTGTGCGCTTGTGTGTCCAGTGTGTGTGTATGGTGTATGTGTGTCTGGTATGTGTGGTGTGAGTGTGTGTGTGGTGTATGCATGTGTGTGGTGTGTGGTGCGTGTGTGTGTCTGGTGTGTGTGTTTGCGTGTCCTTTGTGTCTGGTGTGTGTGGTGTACGTATGGTGTGCGTGTAGGTGTGTAGTGTGTGTGTGTTTGGTGTTGGTGTGTGTGGTGTGCATGTGTGTGGTGTGTGCGCTTGTGTGTCCAGTGTGTGTGTATGGTGTATGTGTGTCTGGTTTGTGTGGGGTGTGTGCGTGTGTGTGTGTGGTGTATGCATGTGTGTGTCGTGTGTGGTGCATGTGTGTGATGTGTGTCTGTGTGTGATGTGTGTCTGTGTGTGTGTGTGGAGAGGGAGATTTATCATGAGGAACTGGCTCATGTGATCACAGAGGCTGGCATGTCCACATCTGTGGTTCTGCCTGGCGGGCTTGTGTGCTGTCCACACATGGAGAGCTGATGATGCAGTTCCCGATGGCGGTGGCCGGCAGAGGTGAAATCCAGAGGCACCTGCTGGAGACTTTTCCCTTACCCAGGGGAGGGTTGGTCTTGAATGTGGGTTGAATGAGGTCCACCCCACATTACAGAGAGCAGTGGTCTTCACTCTGTGGATTAAAGTGATAATCTCATCTCAGAGCACCTTTGTAGAAGTATCTGTAAGGTACTGTCAAGTGTACTTGACCAAGTATCTGAGTACCCCGTGGCCCAGCTAAGTTGACACAACATTAACCATCACAGCATCTAAGAAATTGGTGCTCTTCTTGGTTCTTAGTATGACAAGTGAGTTTCAGTTGAAAACTGGCCATTTTTGGCCTTTCAGCATGGGACCTTGGATCTCAGTTAAGCATTCTGCGTTGGCTGTCAGGGAAGGAGGAGGGCTGCTGTCTTGTTGCCGGTGAGTGCAGAAGTCTAGGTTCCCCACTTGGCATCTGTTGACTTATGGTAGCGTGTTCTCCTTACTGCTGGGCGGGGGTGGCCGGTCTGGCTCCCCACCATGCCTCAAGGGAACTTTCCTGGCTGGGAGGGTTAGAGGTGCCTTGTTCTTGTTCTCCACGTGATTTCTGCACACTGTGTGTGGGTGGGCGGCTTTGTGACTGCTGGATGGTGGTAAAAGTCCTGGCTGCACAAGGCCCTTCTGATAGCTCCCTAGCTGCAGGGGGTGCCCCTACTGCCTGTGTAAATGGAAGTCAAGGTGTCCCGTGTGGTCTTCACTAGTACCGCGGAGGTGGGCTTGGGCTGGGGGGCCGTGATAACCCCTGCTGAGGAGGAACGTTCCACTTCCTACTTGGCTTTCTCTGACAGCACCCCATGGAGGGTGAGGGGATTCGGATGCCTCACTGCAGTCTAGGTGCTCCTCTGGGTCTTTGCTGGAAGGGAGGGATGGAGATGGAGCCAGCGTTTTCTGTGAGTTGTCTGAGAGCTCCCTGTCCTGCTAGGCTGCCTTGGTTAGGGAGAGCTGGCTTTTGCTGGTACTTTTTTTGGTCGTCTGTGCCCCTTGGGCATTTCCAAATTTTAGGCTTCAGCAGCTCCAAATGTGGGATATAAGAGGCAAGAAGAAAACCCCAGAAACACACCTTATATCCTGGGGTCCTAGCTAGTCTGCTCTATTTTCTCCATCTTTCAGAGTCATTCTATATTTGCTTTATGAATAATTTTCAGTATGTTAATTCCACCTAGTGGGAACAATATGGCAGAGTATGTCTGCTCCATCTTCCCAGAAGTGGAAGTCCTGTTTTTTAAGATGAGAGGAATTAGAGCCAGTTGGCTACTGATGGGAACACTCCACTGGGGAGGGAAATTGCGGGAGCCAAGTGCTTGAGCAGGTGAGAGGGGCTGAGGCTACAGCAGCGATATCTCCTTTTTCTCAAGAAGGGAGGACAGGTTTGAGGGTGTGCTTGTGGGAAGTTGGTGGCTTTGGTGGCCACTCAGTCCACAGATCTGAGCTGCATGTGAGTCCGGACAGAGGTGTGGTCTAGTGGTTCATATTCTAGGAACATGAACTGCAGCTGGAGCTGAGATTCTGAATGTCACTTCTGGTTTCGGATCCAGGAATCTCAGGGGCCAGCCTGGAATCAGTGTCCAAGGGTCAGGAACCACGAGCTTCAGTCCATGCAGGGGTGGAGGCTGCAAATCCGCCAGGCTGGCAGACACTGGAGGGCAGGAATGCCAACAGCAGCACCTGGAGATCAGCGCCCGCTGCAGGGCAGTGCCCCAACTGTCCTCCTGCCTCTGTCTTGGTGGAGTCCATCCCATGTCTTGTGAACTGCCTCTGAAGAGAGGCGTCCAGGAACGGGACTAGGGGCTGCCTCCCTTGGCACCCACCACCCTCCTGGTTTCTCTCCAGCACCAGACTTGCAGGGAGAAAGAGGTTCTCTACACCCCTTAGCCACATCCCCTGGGAATGCATAAAAATGAAACAACTATGGAATCAAATTGGGTTCAAAGGAGCGCACCCTTTTGTGGGCTGTGCTATAAAAAGCAAAAGATCTGGGAAAGAAGGTCCCTCTTTGCTTTCAGCTATTCAGATCATGCCTGAGTGCTGGGCGCTGTCTCAGGCCAGGCATGTGGTGAAACTGAAAATGCAGATGGGCCCACTGTTGCCTCTCAGCTGTGGGAGCTGCTGCATGTGGACTTGGGTCTGATGTGGACTTGGGCCTGTGGGCCCCCTTCAGGAGGACATGGCTTTGGAGCTGCCCAGGATGTCTGGTAGCCAGGGAGGTGTCTGGCAGAGGTTGGGTGCTCATGCCACCTCGGGGCATCCACACTGCTGTGGCTCCCTGGGCCTACTGCTTGGCTTTTGAGTGTTGCCAGGCAGTGGCTGGCAGCACTGAGTGTCCCTGGTCCTCTGGGAGCTGCAGTCCAGAGAGAACTCTGCCAGCAAGGGCACGTCTGCCTGTGGGTGCTGCCTGGACTCCAGCCCCATGCTTGGACCTCCCTGTGACTGGCCTCCCCACTGCCTGGACCCTACCAGGTGTGTGCTTCTGAGAAGGAGGCCTGTTGGGGGCTGGGGGTGCTCCTGTGGCCGGGACTGTGTTTTGTCCCTGTCCTTCCTCATCTCCCTCTCCTTGCTTCCAGACAAACGATGCGGCCGGCAACACCTGGAACTGGCTCTACTTCATCCCTCTCATCATCATCGGCTCCTTCTTCATGCTCAACCTGGTGCTGGGCGTGCTCTCGGGGTGAGAGACCATGTGGGGGATGTGCAGGTGCCCCTCTGTGTTCTCAGCTGAGGGGTCAACAGGGGCACGTGTGACACTTGGGGTGGGGGCCTGGCCCATGGGTGCCCTCTGTGGTGGTTGCCCCTGGTGTTCTGGGTTCTGGTAGCCCTTCCTTTGTGCCACCATCCTGACCTGTCCTTGATCAGCCTCTCGGCCCCTTATCCCTGTCATACCCCTGGCCTTTCCGTGGTCTCTGCCATGGGAGAGTAGCTGCCACTACTCATCTGGGTAGACAGGAGGTGTGGTCTGTAATGGGAGGTTGGTCTGGGGGGATGGGAGGTGTGGTCTGTAATGGGAGGTTGGTCTGGGGGGATGGGAGGTGTGGTCTGTATTGGGAGGTTGGTCTGGGTGGATGGGAGGTGTGGTCTGTGATGGGAAGTGTGGTCTTGGTAGATGGAGGTGTGGTCTGGGACAGGGTTTCTGAGCAGCCTCTGTGGCCACAGAGAGCCCCTCTGTTACTGTGGTGAGAAATAACTGGGGGCACCCTGATCTCTGTAGCAGTCACCACTGGGCTCGCCACCCTGGCCCTGACTGCTGGTGTCCACTTCCTCTCAGGTCACCTCTTTGTGCCAAGCTACTCCAGGGGATGGTGAGAGAGAGGGCTCAGGGCTGGGGGTCCATGCTGGAGAAGGTGGAGAAAGAGTCCTCTCTGGGAGTGGGATGTGGTAGGCGGGCATGGCCAGGTGGGCCTGTGGGCACACAGCCCCTCCTGTCCCACCCTGGGGCTGAGAGCTGAAGAGATGCCATGTATGGGGCCTGACTGGGTTTGGTATTTGGGGCTCCTGCCCTACCACAGGGCAAGGAGTTGTGCTAGGAAGGAGGTGGAAGGCATCAGGCCTGCCTGGCTTCCTGCTCCCACCTTGGCCTCAGCTCCCCAGTGAGGCTGGAGGAGTACATCTCCCCTCTGTCCTCACTATGATCCCTGCTCAGGCCCACGGCTCCGAGCCAGGCTGGGGATAGAGCCTGGTGAACCTGGGAGTTCTGCCACGCTGAGCAGGACAGGAGCAGCCAGAGTGGGGATGGCTGGAGCCGAAGCCTCTGGGCTCCAGCAGGAGATCGTGCCCTTGGTTTTGGCCCTGTCCTGTAAAGGGTGTGATTGTCATTAGCAGGCCTCTCCAAAAGCCTCCATGGGAACCAGCAAGCGACCGGCTCACGGGATGGAAATAGAACTCCTAGCCTGGCGGGGTAGCTGGCGGAGGCTTGAGGCTTGGAGGAGGCACCGGGGGAGGGACATCTCAGCTGAGACCCCACTGGGGGACTAGGAATGAGCCAGGCTAAGGAAGGAGGAGGGTCTTTCAGGCAGAGAACAGCTGGGGTGGAGGCACAGTGGACAGAAGGTTGTGGCCTGTGTGTTGCAGAGATGCTTGGAGCTGGAGTCAGAGGGTGTTGTGGGGAGAGGGCACAGGGGCTGTCAGGGGGCTGGCAGCCACCAGGCTTGTGAGGTGCCTGGGCTGTGCTGAGGGTGCTGCCTGGTGCCAAAGGTGCTGAGAACGCTGCCTGGTGGGAAGCCTGGCAGGAGCATAGGTGGGTTCAAGGGGAGGCAGGAGAGCAGCCTGCTCAGGGCTTCCTTCTGCATCCCTCTAGGGAATGTGCAGAATAGCCTGAGGGGCTGGAGGGGAGGCCCAAGGCAGGGCCTGCACGGTATTTCCCACTCCTTCCCCACTGTGAGGATCCTGGCCTCTGGGGAGAATGGGATATGTGATGTTCCTCCCATCAGCGCAGCTGAACCCTCCCTCAGGCCCACAGGCCCAGCAGAGGGCCCCCAAGCCAGGGGCTGGCACCCCCCATGTGGGTCCTGCACCCCGGGGTGGCAGTGGTGAGAGGCCGCCTTCCCAGCCTTGCTCTGTGGGAAAAGCCGCGGCTCTGCCATGTCTGGGCGAGAGCTGCAGGAGGGGCCAGCTTGGGGCCAATTCGGCATCTCTCTCTCCATTCCCAGAGCTCCCATCCTCACAGCATCCCAGAGAAGCAGAAGAGGTGGCCCCTGTCCTGCCTCTTCTCACCCAGCGAGGACAGAAGCTCAGGGAGGGCTGGCCCTGCTGCCGGCCACTGCGTGAGAAGCAGCTGCTCTGTGGAGGGGGCCAGACTGCTGGGGGGAGTTGCTGCTGGGAGCTCTCAGATCAGTTCAAGCAGTGATGTCCTTGCCCTTCCCCTGCCCCCCAGGCCCTCTCATTCTCAGGGCATGGCCACAGGGATTGGTCTGGGTGGGGAGGCCACAGTGGACCCTGCCTTCCTGTAGATTTGGGACTTGGGATGCCCAGATGGGAGGGTGCACCTGGGCAGGCCTGGTCACCTTGCACTGCCTGGGCTGTAGCAGCTCAGTGCCTAGCGGACACTGGCCCTGCGCCCAGGGTCAGTCACGGTCAGAGCCGGGGATTGTTGCACCGGGGCTGTGTGTGCTGGGAGTCATACCTGCCACACCCACTCCACCAACTCAGAAGCTTGTGTGTGTGTGTGTGTGTGTGTGAGAGAGAGAGAGAGAGAGAGAGGGGGAGAGAGAGAGAGAGAGAATGGCTTGCTTCTGGCACTGTGAGCCTTAAAGCTTGGCCAGGAGGCTGGGGCTGGGCTGGGGATGCTGAGCTGGAAGGGCAAGTGTTCTCTGCTGGTCACCATGACGGCTGTGAAGGCTCAGGCGGGGCTGGGGTGAGATGTCGGGGGCCAATGACAGAAGGTCTCCTCTCCTGCTCACTGTGAGCCTCAGAGGCTTGGTTGAGGAGGCTACGTGGACTCTGCGGTATTACCCTTCTGCCTCTGGCCTGCCCTGACCCAGTCCCTTCTTCCCTGTCCCTGTCTGTCCCTCCCACTTCCCACAGAGGCTTTGCATCTGAACCAACAGAGGAAGCAAAGTGAACGTTCTCCTCTGGAGAATTCTCGCCAGGAGCTCTCTGGAGGACAGCAGATAACAGAGCCTGGCACAAGGGGAGGGAGGAGGCGCATGCCTAGGTTGCTGTAGGCAGGGGCTGTGAAATTGTCCCTGCTCTCTAGAACTGCCCCTCTGGGGACCAAGGCACCGTCCCTAAGTGCCACGGGAGTCTGAGGATGGAGGGCCACCTGGGCTGCTCATGGAGGCCCTCTGGGTGCCCAGGGAGCTGTCTGGTGCTCTGGAGTGCTCATCTGGAGTGCTCAGGTTAGAAGAGGCCTGGGTGGCAGGGGCCTGCCTGAAGCAGCAGCCTGCAGCCTGCGTCTCCTGTCCCAGGCTTTCCCTGGTCCTTTTTGTCTCTGGGGCTGCACACCTGTGGGGCTTGCACTCACCTGATCTTGCTTTTCCGGCCCCTGCATGGTAGGGAGTTTGCCAAGGAGCGAGAGAGGGTGGAGAACCGCCGCGCCTTCCTGAAGCTGCGCCGGCAGCAGCAGATCGAGCGAGAGCTCAACGGGTACCTGGAGTGGATCTTCAAGGCGGGTGAGGGCCCGTGGGAGCCACTGCACTCCTGGCCGGCCACTGTTAGTTCTCTGTCCCCAATTCTGCTCTGCTGCCAGCTGGGGTGCCCTGGCTGCTGGGTAGAGCCTGAAGGGATTTTGTAGTGAGCAGAGTGAGAAGGGATTTCTCTCTAGCTCACCCAGGGGCCTGGCACCAGGCAGCCATATGGCTCTGAGGACAGTGGCCTTTTAAATGGAGGACTCTGCCATGGCCCAGCCTAAAGCTGGTCTCTCCCCATTAGTGTCAGCCAAGTCCCTTCTGTGCCCTGACTCTGGGTTTTGTCAAGCCTGGACTCCCTCCCCTCGCCCCAGGCCAGCACTCTTTCCTCCACATGGGGCATCCACTCACACCTCCTAAGGTTTCCCAAGTGCCTCTTCAGAGATGAACTCGCCTGTGGCACAGCTGTTCTCAGGGAAGCGACGTGTGGGTAGGGACGGGCAGACACAAGGCGGCTGAGTCCTCTTCACAGGGGACTGTCTGTCCCTGTAGAAAAAGCTCAGCTGTGGGCCCTGCTGGCTTCTGGAAGTCTAAGAGCTGATAAGGCAGCCAGGTGCAGTGGCTCACGCCTACAGTCCCAGCACTTTGGGAGGCCGAGGTGGGCGGATCACCTGAGGTCAGGAGTTCAAGACTATCCTGGCCAACATGGTGAAACCCCATCTCTACTAAAAATACAAAAATTAGCCGGGCATGGTAGCACGTCCCTGTAATCCCAGTGGGGAGGCTGAGGCAGGAGAATCGCTTGAACCCGGAAGGTGGAGGTTGCAGTGAGCCGAGATTGTGCCACTGCACTCCAGCCTGGGTGACAGAGCGAGACTCCATCTCAAAAAAAAAAAAAAAAAGAGCTGAGAAGGCAGGGCCTTCCAGACAGAGATGTGCCTCTGTCCTGGGGCATTCCTGGGGTCAGGAGGGCTCTGACCTGAGGCTGTGTTCCCCTCGCAGAGGAAGTCATGCTGGCCGAGGAGGACAGGAATGCAGAGGAGAAGTCCCCTTTGGACGGTAGGTGGCACTTGCTGGTACTCCTGTGTGGTGGAGTGCTCTGGTGGCCACGTGGGTGGTGACACGTGCCTGCTTGCATGTTTCACGCGAAGTGCTCTTGGCAGTGCCAGGCACCTGCACAGCCATCACATGAACACAGACTAGGGCCATGGTGTCTGACCCTGGCACCTGACACAGGCCCACACTGCAGGTTTAAACCGAGCTGTGTCTATCCCCAGGGCTTGGGGTGCTGCTGCTCCCAGAGACCATGGGAGGGCTCATGGCACAACCTGGGGCCATGAGAGGGAGCCCGGGCCCCACTGCTGTGGTTGCTGGCACTAGTTACCAGCATAGCTGCAGCAGCAGGAAGGCTGCCCTCTCTGCACACCCACCGCTCAGGTCAGGGCCAGACAGCATGGGCACTTCCGTGGCAATCTCAGCCGGCCCCATGCCTGCGGCTCTGAGCAGGTCTATGCTGTCCCTGTTGTAGTCCTGGCCTTGCCCCAGATGGACGTTTCCTGGTCTCCCTGGTGGCCAGGCCTCCCCACTGGCCTCATTTTGGAAGAAAGGGAAAGCGGGGACCCCTCACCCTCAAAATTCCTTGTCCCTTCAGCTCTGGGGACTGGGAGGGACCCAAGGGGGCCCACAATCATCCGGCCTCAGCCCCAGTTCAGGACAGGAGCTCAGGAGAGGTCACTGGTCCCAGGGGGAGGGTGATCCCATGCCCCGCTGAGGCAGGTGGCCTGAGGGCTGCAGCTCAGGCAGTCTCTCCCATCCTTTGTTTAAAGCAGTGCTGAAGAGAGCGGCCACCAAGAAGAGCAGAAATGACCTGATCCACGCAGAGGAGGGAGAGGACCGGTTTGCAGATCTCTGTGCTGTTGGTGAGTCTCAGGGTGTCCCTCCAGCTCTGCCAGGCTTGAGCTGGACATGGAGTGCATGCTCCGCTTCCCCTGCTACCCAGCCACTGTTGGACGCCCCTTCTTGCCCAAACGCCTGCAGGCTCCTTTCAGACAGTTTGCTGCTCCTGGCTTTGTGACCCCCATGTGGACATAGGGCCCTTAGCCATATCCCAAGGCTGGAGGACTCTATAGGGCCACCTCTCTCTTCAGCCCCTGTCTCTTTTTCACTTTCTGGACCTGCTGCCTCTGAGGCTGTTGTGTCATCCCCTACCTCTCAAATAGTACAAGGAACATTCTGGTTAATTTATCCAACAGAGCTGTGTCGGTTCCCTTCCTCTCTATCTGGTACCAGATTCTGGTTCCAGAAGTGCCTGGGCCTTGCTTCATTTTGAGACACCAAGTCAGATCCAATCTGGACTTCCTTGCTGTACAGCAGTCTGTGAGTGGACCAGATTTAGAAGATGTCTACCATTATATTGTTACATGTATGAGACAGAACTCTTTAATAAAACAGGAAACACACACACACTCATGCGTACACACACATACACTTAAACTGGACCTTTTCTGTCCTCACTCAGCACTAGGAAACTCCTGTTAACAACTTCCAATGTACCCTTCCCTATTTCTCCATGCTCACCTCAGATAACACACACAAACACTCATACATCCACACACAAATATGCATGTAGAGTTTTGGAGTCTTCTGTTACAAAAATGATTTCATACAAACTTTTCTCACCAGTCCCTTTCCTAATCTGCTCCTAATCAATTTGTCTGATTCTAGCCCCCCTTGTCGGGTGCAACCTGGCGTTGCTGATGTGGAGTCACTGGAGTTGTTCAGTTGCTCGTCTGCTGATCGTCTGCTGATGGCCATTTATTTCTAGTGCTTTTATCTCACTATGAAAAATACTGCCCCCAAGTCTTTGTGAATGGCTGTCCTTCCTCACTAGTGCTTTTCTCTGTGGGGCAGATTCCCAGGAGCAGGTGCTGAGGGTAAGGGTGTGGTACTGTTCAGAGTTCTGTGCGACCCCACATTCCATCCACAGTACAGGCCAACCTTCGCCCTCATCCAGTGCTATGTGACGGCTCCTTTTGATTTTTCCCAGTTTGAGGCCAATTTGATGAGTGTAGAGTAATATTTCTTTGGCACTACAATTTTCCTTTCTCCTACTGTCCGTGATGCTGGCCCTCTTTCTAAATGTTTGTTCCCTGTCTGGACTTGGCCTTTGGTGACTCTTCCCATATGCTATACAGTTTTCTAGTGAGTTTGTTTGTAAATTATTTTGTATTTATTTTGACAATAATGAGATACCAATGTATATCATAGATCTGAATGTTTTATCATCTTATAATTTTATTTTATTTAATTAATTTTTTTTTGAGACAAAAATTTCGCTCTTGTTGCCCAGGCTGGAGTGCAATGGTGCAATCTCGGCTCACTGCAACCTCTGTCTCCCAGGTTCTAGTGATTCTCCTGCCTCAGCAACCCGAGTAGCTGGGATTATAGGCATGCACCAACTGCCCAGCTAATTTTTTGTATTTTTAGAAGAGACAGGGTTTCACCGTGTTGGCCTGGCTGTTCTCGAACTCCTGACCTCAGGTGATCTACCCACCTTGGCCTCCCAAAGGGCTGGGATTACAGGTGTGAGCCACCACACCTGGTCCATCTTATAATTTTAAACAATTTATTATATGATTGTGGTAGCTAAATAGTTTCCTTCTATTGCTATTTTATCTAGAGTTTTTATTCTGATTTTGTAAAATGAATTGAAGAGTTAAAATGTCTTCATCTATGGTTTGGAATCCTTTAAATAACACTGGAATTATCTTTTTTTATAGATGAGATAAAACTGTGAATCTATATAATCCAAAAAAGAAAAAAAAAAAGGATTTGGACCAGTGTTGTGACTTAGGCTTTGTTAGGAAATCGCCCCGTTCTCAGGGTGTTGGGATCCCTTTCTGTGGCGCTGTGCACCGGCTCTCTGGCGATTCTCTTAACCTCGCCTGTGTCGAGTGCTTGTGCCTCATTCAGCAGATGTCTATCCAGTGCCCGCCACGTGCCAGCAACGGAGGCATGGGGGCCGCGACACTGGAGAAACTCCTAATAAAGGCCCTTCATCATTGGAGTTTCCGTCCAGTGGGGGCATCAAACAACAAATAAGATAGTAAGGAAAATAGGCCGCATGCCAGAGCCCCTGTCCGGAGGAGGAAGAGGTCAGGAAGGCAGGAGTGGAAGCGTGTGGAGGGGGGGCGGTGCCAGAAGTTCATGGCCATAGAAGGCCTGAGGAAAAAGACTGCCTTTGAGTAAAAGAGTTGCAGGAAGTGAGGACGCCTGAGGGACGCCGGGGCGGGGGAGAGGGGAGGTTGGCCTGAGGGAAGCCAGGGGAGGGGAGGTCAGCCTGAGGAACTACTCTCAGGCCGACCTGGAGAGAGAGGGGAGCTTGGCCTGAGGAACGTGTGTGGCGGGGAGGGAAAGTTGGCCTGAGTGAGGGGGAGGGGGAGGGAAGGTCGGCCGGAGGGAAGCCGGGAGAGGGGAGTTAGGCCTGAGGGACACCCGGAGAGAAGGGAGGTCCGGGGAGAGGGGAGGTCGGTCTGAGGGACACGGGGCGTGGGGTGGCGAGGTAGGGGAGCGGGAAGGGGAGGTTGGCCTGAGGGACGCGGCGGTGGGGTGTGGGGGAGGTTGGCCTGACTGGGGGGGAGGGGGAGGGGAGGTCAGCCTGAGAGACGGAGGGGGAGGGGAGGTCGGCCTGAATGAAGGACACCCAGGAGAGGGGAGATGCGAGACGCCGCCAGGGAGGGGAGGTCAGCCTGAGGGATGCCCAGGGGAGAGAGGGGAGGTCAGGGGAGAGGTGAGGTCGGCCTGAGGGACCTCTGGGAAAGGACATTCCAGGCAACGAGTGCCAAGACCCTGAGGCAAGGCTGTGCTTGGCACCCAGGTGTGGAGAACGTCTTGGAGGCCAGCGCGGCTGGAGTGAGGTGCCATGGGCTGTCGGTAGCGGTCGAGGAAACCTGAGAGTCAGACAGGCTCACTTCCAACCGGGACCCCAGGCCGCCCTGGTGGTTTGCAGAGGGGTGACACCCTCTGGCTTCTGTGGTATAAGGGTCTCTCTGGAGACTGTGTAAAGTGTTCCTTTTTCTCCACAACCTCTCCATCATGTTTGTTTTGTTTTGTTTACTTTTTAATAATAGTCATTCTGATTGGGGTGAGATGATATCTCATTTTGGTTTTGATTTGTATTTCTCTAATAATCAGTAACGTTGGTTTTTTTTCATGTTTGTTGGCCACACGTATGTCTTCTTTTGAGAAGTGTCCGTTCATGGCCTTTGCCTACTTTTTAATGGGGTTGTTTGTTCTCTCAGCACCGTTTATTAAGTAGGGTATTCTATTTAATAATAGGGAATACATCCTAGCTTTATTCCTAGGTATTTTATTTTTATTTTTTTGTGGCAATTGCAAATGGGAGTTCATGCATAATTTGGCTCTCAGCTTGCCTGTTGTTGGTATATAAGAATGCTGGCGATTTTTGAACATTGATTTTGTATCCTGAGACTTAGCTGAAGTTGTTTATCAGCTTGAGAATATTTTGGGCTCAGATGATGGCATCTGCAAACAAAGATGGTTTGACTTCCCTTTCTATGTAAATACCCTTTATTTCTTTATCTTGCCAGATTGCTCTGGCCAGAACTTCCAATACTATGTTGGATAGGAGTGGTGAGAGACATCTTGTCTTGTGCAGGTTTTCAAGGGGAATGCTTCCAGCTTTTGCCCATTCATGATGATATTGGCTATGGCTTTGTCATATATGTCTCTTATTATTCTGAGGTATGTCCCTTTAATATCTAGTTTATTAAGAGTTTTTAACATGAAGGGATGTTGAATTTTATTGAAGGTCTTTTCTGCATCTATTGAGATAATCATGTGGTTTTTGCCTTTAGATCTGTTTATGTGATGAATCACATTTATTGATTTGGGTATGTTGAACCAACCTTGCATCCCAGGGATGAAGCCTACTTGATTGTGGTGGATAGATTGTGGTGGATAAGCTTTTTGATGTGCTGCTGGATTTGGTTTGCCAGTATTTTGTTGAGGATTTTTGCATCAATGTTCATCTAGGATATTGGCCTGAAGTTTTCTTTTTTTGTTGTATCTGTCAGGTTTTGGTATGAGGATGATGCTGGTCTCATAGAATGAGTTAGGGAGGAGTCCTTCCTTTACAATTGTTTAGAATAGTTTCAGTAGAATTGATACCAGCTCATCTTTGTACCTCTGGGAGAATTGAGCTGTGAGTCCATCTGGACCTGGGCTTTTTTTGATTGGTAGGCTATTTATTACTGCCTCAATTTTAGACCTCATTATTGGTCTTTTCAGGGATTCAATTTATTCCTGGTTCAATCTTAGGAAGGTGTATGTGTCCAGGAATTTATTCATTTCTTCTAGATTTTCTAGTTTATGTGCATAGAGGTGTTTATAGTATTCTCTGATGGTTGTCTGTATTTCTGTGGGGTCAGTGGTGATATCTCCTTTATCATTTCTGATTGTGTTTATTTGAATCTTCTCTCTTCTCTTTTTTTTTAGTCTAGCTAGTGGTCTATCTATTTTATTAATTTTTTTTTTTTTCAAAAAACTAGCTCCTGTTTTCATTGATTTTTTTGATGGATTTTTCATGTTTTCTATCTCCTTCAGTTCAGCTCTGATCTTAGTTATTTCTTGTTTTCTGCTAGCTTTGGGGTTTGTTTGCTCTTGGTTCTCTAATTCTTTTAGTTGTGATGTTAGGTTGTTAACTTGAGATCTTTCTTTTTGGTATGGGCATTTAGTGCTATAAATTTCCCTCTTAACACTGCTTTAACTGTGTCCCAGAGATTCTGGTATGTTATATCTTTGTTCTCATTAGTTTCAAAGAACTTTTTGATTTCTGCATTAATTTCATTATTTACCCAAAATTCATTCAGGAGCAGGTTGTTCATTTTGCATGTAGTTGTGTGGTTTTGAGTGAATTTCTTAATCTTGAGTTCTAATTTGATTGTACCATGGTCTTAGAGACTGTTATTATTTCAGTTCTTTTGCATTTGCTGAGGAGTGTTTGACTTCCAATTATGTGATCAATTTTAGAGTAAGTGTTGTGTGGCGATGAGAAGAATGTATATTACGTTGTCTTTGGGTGGAGAGTTCTGTATATATCTATCAGGTCCACTTGATCCAGAGGTGAGTTCAACTCCTGAATGTCTTTGTTGATTTTCAGTCTTGATGATCTGCCTAATATTGTTGGTAGGTTGTTAAAGTCTCCCATTGTTATTGTGTGAGAGTCTAAGTCTCTTTGAAGTCTCCAAGAACTTGCTTCATGAATCTGGGTACTCCTGTATTGGGTACATATATATTTAGGACACTTAGCTCTTCTTGTTGAATTGAACCCTTTACCACTATGTAATACCCTTCATCATCTTTTTTGATCTTTGGTGATTTAACGTCTGTTTTGTCAGAAACTAGGATTGCAACCCCTACTCTTTTCTGTTTTCCATTTGCTTCATAAATTTTCCTCCATCCCTTTATTTTGAGCCCATGTGTGTCTTTGCATGTGATGTGGGTCTTTTGAAGACAACATACTGATGGGTATTGGTTCTTTAACCTGCCTGCCATTCTGCGTCTTTTAATTGGTGCATTTAGCCTATTTACATTTAAAGTTAGTATTGTTATTATTATTATTTTTTGAGACAGTCTCACTCTGTCGCCCAGGCTGGAGTGCAGTGGCGTGATCTCAGCTCACTGCAACCTCCGCCTCCCAAGTTCAAGTGATTCTCCTGCCTCAGCCTTCCAAGTATCTCTGGGACTACAGGCATGTGCCACCACACCTGGCTAATTTTTTTGTATTTTTAGTAGAGATGAGGTTTCACCATGTTGGTCAGGCTGGTTGAACTCCAGACCTCAAATGATCTGCCTGCCTCGGCCTCCCAAGGTGCTGGGATTATAGTCGTGAGCCACCATGGCCCGCCTAAAGTTGGTATTGTTACGTGTGGATTTGATCCTGTCATCATGATGCTAGCTGGTTATTTTGCAGAGTTTTTATGTAGTTTCTTCATAGTGTCACTGGTCTGTTTACTTCAGTTTGTTTTTGCAGCGGCTAGTAATGGTTTTTCCTTTCCATATTTAGTGCTTCCATTAGGACCCCTTGTAGGGCAGGTCTGGTAATAACGAATTCCCTCAGCATTTGCTTGCCTGAAAAGGATCTTATTTCTCCTTCACTTATGAAGCTTGATTTGGCCAGATATGAAATTCTGGATTTGGAATTCTTTTAAGAATGTTGAATATTGGCCCCCAATCTCTTCTAGCTTGTAGGGTTTCCACTGAGAGGTCCACTGCTAGTCTGATGGGATTCCCTTTGCAGGTGACCTGGCCTTTCTCTCTGGCTGCCCTTAACATTCTTTCCTTCACTTCAACCTTAGAGAGTCTGATGATTATGTGTCTTGGGGATGATCTTCTCATGGAGTATTTTACTGGGGCTCTCTGCATTTCCTGAATTTGAATGTTGGCCAGTCTTGCTAGGTTGAGGAAGTTCTCCTGGATGATATCCTGAAGTACATTTTCCAACTTGTTCCAATCTCCCTGTCTCTTTAAGTTATCCTAATCAGTCATAGATTCAGTCTCTTTACATAATCCCATATTTCTCAGAGGTTTTGTTCATTTCTTTCCACTCTTTTTTCTCTGTTTTTGTCTGCCTGTCTTATTTCAGAAAAATTGTCTTCCAGCTCTGAGATTCTTTCCTCTGCTTGATCTGTTCTGCTATTAATACTTGTGATTGCATTGTGAAGTTCTTGTAGTGTGTTTTTCAGCTCTAACAGGTTGGTTATGTTCCTTTCTAAACTGGCTGTATTGGCTATCAGTTCCTGTATTGTTTTATCATGATTGTTAGCTTCTTTGCATTGGGTTACCACATGCTCTTATAGCCTCATAAGTGAAGTTCATTATTACCCACCTTCTGAAGCCTACTTCTATCATTTCAACAGTCTCAGTTTCAGCCCAGTTCTGAGCCCTTGCTGGAGAGGTGTTGTGGTCATTTGGAAGAAAAGGGGCACTCTGGCTTTTTGAGTTTTAAGCATTTTTGTGTTGATTATTTCTCATCTTTGTGGGCTTATCCACCTTTGATCTGTGAGGTTGCTGACCTTTGGATGGGGTTTTTGTGTTTTGTTGTTGTTGTTGTTTTCTGTTTGTTTGCTTTCCTTTTAGCAGTCTGGCCTCTCTTCCCTAGGGCTGCTGCAGTTTTCTGTGGGTCCACTCCAGAGCCTAGTTGCCTTGGTTTTCCCTGTACTTGGTGGTATCGCCAGTGAAGGTCGTGAAACAGCAAAGATGGCATCCTGCCGCATCCTCTATAAGCTTTGTCCCAGGGGGTGCTGACCTATTGCTGGCCTGAATGTGCCTGTAGGAGGTGGCTGGAGACCCCAGTTGGGAGGTCTTACCCAGTCAGGAGGAATGGGATCAAGGACCCATTTAAAGAAGCAGCCTGACTGCTTTTTGATAGAGCAGCTGTGCTGTTTTGGAGATGCCTTCGTTCCCTGATCAGTTTGAGCTTTCCAAGTCCCACAGGCTGGAATGGCTGAGAAGCCTGAATGACCAAAGTGGTGGCCTGCCCTGCCCCTCCTGTGTCCTGTGTTTAAAAGATATTGGATTATAGGTATATTTATTAAAATCAAGTCTATTGGCCGGGCGCGGTGGCGCATGCCTGTAATCCCAGCAGTTTGAGAGGCTGAGGCCAGAAGATTGCTTGAGGCCAGGAGTTTGAGACAAGCCTGGACAACATAGTGAGATCCCACCTCTACAAAGAAATTAAAAACTTAGCTGAGCATGGTGGTGCATGCCTGTAGTCCTACTTCATTTTATTTATTTATTTATTTATTTATTTATTTATTTATTTATTTAAGACAGAGTCTAACCCTGTCGCCTAGGCTGGAATGCAATGGCATGATCTCGGCTCATTGCAACCTCTGCCTCCTGGGTTCAAACGATTCTCCTCCCTCAGAGGGATTACAGGCACCCACCACCACGCCCAGCTAATTTTTGTGTTTTTAGTAGAGACAGGGTTTCACCAGGTTGGCCAGGCTGGTCTTGAACTCTGACCTCATGATCCGCCCGCCTTGGCCTCCCAAAGTGTGGGGATTACAGGCGTGAGCCACTGTGCCCAGCTCATTTTATTTTTTATGAAGTTCCTCTTGTATTTCTAGTGACTTTTGTTTATATATTTAGTCACTGTATAGTTTGGGCAATATAAAGTTTATGATTGTTACATCTTCTTCCTAAATTATGCTTTATTTCATCACACAGTACCTTCTTAATCTGTGCAGTTCCTCTGCTGGACAGTTGCACCTTGTCGACATTGAATGTCATTGGTTCTACTTTTTGTTGCTATCACTGGTTTTGGTTTTTAACTTGCATTTGCCTGGTACCTTTCTTTTCCTTTCATTTCCAGCTCTTCTTTATCATTTTAAGTGTTCTTGTAAATTGTATTTACCTGGGTTCTGCCTTTTAAATTTTTTTTTTTTTTTTTGAGACAGAGTCTTGCTCTGTTGCCCAGGCTGGAGTGCAGTGGCGCGATCTTGGCTCACTGCAAGCTCTGCCTCCCGGGTTCATGCCATTCTCCTGCCTCAGCCTCCTGAGTAGCTGGGACTACAGGCACCTACCACCAGGCCTGGCTAATTTTTTGCATTTTGTTTAGCAGAGACTGGGTTTCACCGTGTTAGCCAGGATGGTCTCGATCTCCTGACCTCGTGATCTGCCTGCCTCAGCCTCTGAAAGTGCTGGGGTTACAGGCGTGGGCCACTGTGCCTGGCCAAAATTTTTTTTATTTTTTATTTTTTTAATGAGACGGAGTCTTGCTCTGTCACCCAGGCTGGAGTGCAGTGGTGCGATCTCAGCTCCCTGCAACCTCTGCCTCCTGGGTTCAAGCCATTCTCCTGCCTCAGCCTCCCAAGTAGCTGGGACTACAGGCACGTGCCACCACGCCCAGCTAATTTTTTGTATTTTTAGTAGAGAAGGAGTTTCACCATGTTAGCCAGGACAGTCTCGATCTCCTGACCTCGTGATCCGCCCGCCTTGGCCTCCCAAAGTGCTGGGATTACAGGCGTGAGCCACCGCACCCAGCCAATTTTTTAAAATTTTATTTATGTATTTAAGAGACAGAGTTACGTTGCCCAGGATGATCCTCCTGTCTCAGCCTCCTGAGTAGCTGGGACTATAGGTGTGCACCACCATGCCTGGCTTGGTGGTTTTGCTTTTTTTTTTTTAAAAAAAAAACCCAGTTGTATGGTGTCTGTTTCTAATGGTAACGGGTGAATCCAGTCTCTCCATTTAGTATAATGTTTGACTCTATTCTTCATCCCAAGTTCTGCTGCTTTAATCGAGTTGCTGTTTATTGCTCCTCTCCTCCCTTGCTTATTTTTACTCTCTAATTCTTCTGTTCCACAAAAGGTTGCCTTCCCTTCCCTGCTCTCATAATTGTCAACGTACCTCTTTACTGTTTTTGTTTCTTTAGCATCTTTAGTACCAAGATGTACTAGTTCCATCACTCAATTGGTCTATTTCCCTTTATTCTGCCTCCACCCATACCCAGTAAGTCACAGCCTTTCCAGTACTTGCCCTGCCTCCGCATCCTGGTTTGAGGGTGTTCACTTTTCATTCTTGACTGTCGCCCGTCCCTTCAGACTGCCCCCACAGGCTCCCCTATGCCCAGGGGCCCTCAGCTATCATTCCCGTGGCCCGCTCTCAGAGCCCTAACCTCAGTCACCTAGGTTTACCTTAGCATCTTCTCTTCTCTTCAGTCCTTGCTCACTGCAGGACTGTCTCCTCCGTTTTAACTCTGTCCTGTCACTCGGCTGCTCTCCCCTGAAATGAATGGGGGTGTTGGTGGTGGCTGACTCTTCGAGTTCCTGTGTACTCTCAGGTGCCCTTCCTTGTTCCCCACTGAGGAGCGAGATCCAGGCTGCTGTGCCCACTGCAAGTGTCTCTCTCTCTCATTTCCTGTTGCACATGAGGCATCGGACACTCGGATGCTTTTCCTTTGTCAGTGACTTGCTCTCTGTCTGCCCCTCAAACTGCAGGCTCAGGGCCCCTCTGGCGCGGAGTGCTTCCCTCCGTTTGTCTCATTATTCTGTCTCCTTTTCTTGATCTCCTGCATCTGGAGCCCCTCCTGTTTCACGTGGTGTTGCTTGCTCTGCTCCTGTCAGTCCATGCCCTCTTCCTTGAGCTCGCGTTCACCTCCACGTTGGAGATGCTGCTTGCGCTTGACTGAACTCCCCTTTTTTTCATCTGCTGAGTGGTTTCCGAAGAGAATTTTATTTCTTCTCTAAAAGTTTTTTTCTCTCTCTTTTAGTTTTGTTTTATTTTGAGTTATGTGTTGCTATACTTGGATCTCTGGGCCTTTGTTGACTTTTCCTTCTGGGTACCCAGCAGACACCGAGGATTCACTTACATTCAGGACCCACTGGCCTCCACTGTTGGTTCAGGGTGGGCTTGGGGCCTGGGGCCTGGTGGGGAGGAGACGAAGCCGTGCTTGAATCTCCACATTCTCAGCACTGCTTGGTGCCCTCGACTGCCTTCTGCCTGAGGACTGGCTGTGTCACCACCCCAGGCTTGCCCATAACCCGTGTCACCCTGTCGGCCCTGACGCCTTGTCAGCTGGTTGAGCCCCGCTGAGCTTGGCCCTGTGCTGTCTCACTGAATCCCACACCACCTTGTGAGGTACAGGTGACTGTGCTCTGTTTTCAGTTGAGGAATCTCCAGGCTGCGTGATGTGCACGAGGGCCAGGGGTGACAGCCATTAGGGCCTCCATCAGCTCGTGCTTTAGCCTCACGTCACTTTTGTTGCCCCCAGTGGCAAATACAGCAGCTGCACTGGAAGGAAACACTTTCTTGTCTGTCTCCCCACTGTCCTCTAGAAGGGTTATTGAGAACAGGGATGGATGTTGGTCATTTTGTGTTTTCTGGGCTTTGGTCAGGGCCTGGCACAATTTGTACACATTTTTTGAACAAATGGGGGTTACCCAGGACTAGCAAAGAGTCTGCCTTAGGGCACAAGAGAAAGAAATCTAAGTATTTGCAGCAGTCAGGCCCTATTCTCAGCAGTACTTCACTGTGTCATCATTCATAGGTTAATGTAATATGGAATTTCTCCCTAGCTTGAAGATGTCCTATCATTTTTCTTGAAATAAGCTTTTTCATTATAAAGAATATATGCTAATTAAGTGAACCCTGGAAAATGCAGGAAGCTGAAAAGAAGCCCAGTCTCTCTTGGTTTTCCCAAAGCTGTGATTCCAGAGATGTTTCCGCGTTTCCTGTAGACTCTCTGCTTTTACTGGAGCAGACTGGAGTCCACAGTGGCTGCTTGCTGTCCTTAGGGACCTGTGCCTCATCCCCGGGGAACAAATGCATCTGTCTTGGGTGCTGCTGGGGTTGCTGAGCTGGGATGTGAGGGGCTGCACCCAGCTCTCCCCCAGGGCGTCTGGATCAGGAGTCCCTCTGTTAGGTCTTGCTCAGTCCCCTGGCTCTGGCGCCTCTGGCTTCTCTAAAGTCGATGTTTACAGCAAGGAACTGGTGGACTTTAAGGGCAATGTCTGGGGAGTGTGGTTCTGTGCAAATACGGCTGTTGGCATGACTATGGTTGTGCCTGTGACAGGCGAGGATGTGTGTGGTTGTCTTGTGTTGTGTGCACAGGAAGATGTGTGTGTGTGGGGGGCTGTGGCCCATTGTGAAAGGGCAGCATTTCTATGAGGCCTTTCTCATAGCAGAGGCTGACTGGTTCTTACTGGCTGGTGGGGATGGCCACAGAGTCCCCTTTGGAGAATTTGTTGCTTGTCTTCCTGGCCACGTGTGTGTGCAGACACAGTGGGTTTACATGAGTCACGTGTTCTCTTTCCCTCCTTCCCAGAGTGGCCCTGTTTGTGTCCACAGGTGTGTGCCTCATGTGCACTGAGGAGTGTGTCTGTGTGAGCATCTCATTGGATCTTCAAAAGTGAGCGTGGTCAGGCTGGATGTGTGCTGTGAAGCATGTGCGTGTGTGACTCCTGTGTTCCTGCACAACTGTGTGTGGGTGCATGGGGGGTTCAGAGTGTGTGGGCTTGTTCTGTGCACAGCTCTGCCTGTGTGTGTGCCCCTCCTTATCTGCATTGCACACCTGCCTCCCTCCTGCCCTACTGCTGCCTCTGTGGGGAGTGGTCATCCCTGGCCTTCAGCAGGGCTGGCCACATGCCACTGAGAGCCTGGGTGTGCACATGTACACACATGTGTACAAACACACAGAAAATGCACATAGCACACGAGCTATGAGAGCCACTGAGAGCCTGGGTGTGCACACATATGCATGTGTGTACAAACAGAAAATATGCATAGCACACATGCCCACACTGCCCCTGCTCTTTTGTGCCACTGAGAACCTGGGTGTGCACACATATGCATGTGTGTACAAACACACAGAAAGTACATGTAGCATACACTGCTCCCCACATCCTCACACAGGGACCCCATGCTCAAGCCCAGGTATTCAAAGCCCACTGAGAGACCCATGGCTGGGGCACAGCTGTCTGCTCTCTGAGAACACTGAGAGGCACCCACATGGCCAGGCTTAGTGCACAAACTAAGAAACCCTTACACAGGCAGATGTGCTCTCCTGCAGAGACACAGCCAGCTCCTGTACAGACACACCTGAATCCTCATAGAGACCCTTCCCTCAGTTGTTAAGCATTGATCAAGCCCCTCTCAGTGTGAGGGGCTCAGTGGTGAAGAAGACAATGTGGCCCTGTCCTCATGGAGCCTACAGTCTTGTCTGGGAGTTGGGCATGGAACAGGTCAACAATAAAACACAGTGACAGGTGGTGATGTGGTCAGGGCCACTGTCGGAGGTGAGCCGAGGGCCCTGTTCTAAATGGTGTGCCCAGAGCAGGTGCTCTGTGCAGGTGACGTTAATGCTGAGACTTGAAAGTGTGTGGGAAGGAGTCCAGTGAGGGACGCATTTCACACTTGGGATATTGTGTGAAGGGCCAGGGCACAGCAGGACTGGTGTGCGTGGACATGGGAAAAGGCTGCTGGGTTGGGTGGTGAGCAGGGTAGAGAAGCAGTCAGGCTGGAGCAGGTAGACAAAGTTTCCAACAGTAAGTATTGTGGACATTGAACAGCCATGGACCATGCGTAAACCGATGAGCTTGGCTGTGTTCCAGGAAAACTGCTTAGAAAACAGGCAGCCCATGCGTGCTGACCCCTGAGTCCGGAGGGCGAGAGAGGGAGGGCCAGATGCTGCAGGGCTCTGTGGGCTATGCTGAAGAGATGGGATCTGGGGAGGGACTAACTCAGATTTATGTCTTCAGGGGAAAAAGCTTGGGGTGCTCATGGAGAGTGGCCTGGGGGCATCAGGGCTGTGCTCCTAGAAGGTGGCTGGGGATGCTGGGGACCAGAGAAGTGAGTACAGATCATCCACTTCAATCTGGCTCTCACATCTGGCACCCAGTAACCATGGAGATCATCAGGGCCTTGGTTCCCTCAGCTGTGAAGTGGAGGTCACAGGGGTCACTGGCACAATTGTCTGTGACCGGCTGGGGCTGGGGGCAGGTGTCCTCCAGAGTGCGTCTGTGGGGGTCCACAGGTGGGGTAGGCGGGTGCCCATTGGTCCCCACATCCTCAGTAACTCCCCATCCCCTCAGGATCCCCCTTCGCCCGCGCCAGCCTCAAGAGCGGGAAGACAGAGAGCTCGTCATACTTCCGGAGGAAGGAGAAGATGTTCCGGTTTTTTATCCGGCGCATGGTGAAGGCTCAGAGCTTCTACTGGGTGGTGCTGTGCGTGGTGGCCCTGAACACACTGTGTGTGGCCATGGTGCATTACAACCAGCCGCGGCGGCTTACCACGACCCTGTGTACGTATCCCCGTCCCTCCCTCAGGTGCTTCCTGAGCATCTCTGCTCTCAGTCTGGAAACCCTGGTCCATGCCCTGGGGCTACCCCAGGTGGGACGGGACCCACCCCCATGTTGCTCAAAGTATCCCACAGCCCTAGTCAGCCTCCAGGAGCCTCTGTGGGGGCCTGGGGTGTGTCCAGAGCTGGAGGGTGGCCTCTCCAGCCCCTGGGTTCCAGAAAGCACAGCTGGATCTGCTAGACCCCTGTCCCTCAGCATAGTGTGAGACTGGTTGAGGGGTCCGAGGCACCCAGGGCAGGATATATGTGGGACGACCAGGGGCGAGTCAGGCCAGGCAGATGGGTGTCCTCCCCTGAGAGGGCTTCAGACCCACAGACAGGGGACTTAGCCCCACGCTCCTTTCCACCACGTGGCTGCTGATTCTGCCCCGGGTTCCTGAGGGGGGAGTCCTGGCTTCTTACCCTCCCCAGGTTCCCCTGGTTACCTTCATTTTTCTTTACAATTGGCTAAATCTGGATGCATTCATGCCCTTCCGTGGAGTGAGCTGTTTGCAGTTCTGTTCCACAAGCCTCAGCACAGGGGCCAGGATGGGCCCCTCCAGGCCTGGTCTGTCACAGCCTCGGACTCTCTGTCCCATGTGGAATACAGCATTGCTCTGTGGTCTTACTTCACAAACAGGATCAAAACCAAAGAGTCCACCCATGTTTTATGTCCTTTCAGGTAGTGATTCAGCCCTCCTGACCCCAGGGGTCAGCTGCACTCACCCTGCTGGGTGTCTACAGCGGATCTGGAGACAGGGCCTGTTTGGGGCTCCCTGGAGGGCCTCAGTCTCCCCTTGAGGGCCCTGTTTGCCTGAAGCTGCCGAGGCACCCAGGAAAGCCTTTTCCGACTCCAGAGAAGAGCTATCCCAGCTCCCAGTTCCAGCCTGGCTGTCACTGTGTCCTGCTGTCACGGTGGCCTCACCAGGGCTCTAGCCGGCCGGCTGAGCCCTGCTCTGTAGACCAGAGGGCCTCACCTGCTCTGCCCAGGAGTGTGAGGGTTCCCTGAGCTGCAGGATCTGACAGCTCCACAGTGGGAGAGATGGGGCTGCAGGTCACCTGGAAGCATGGGTGGGAGAGTGGCTGTGTTGGGGTGGAACTCTGGGCTACAGTTTCCCAAACTTGACATTGAAATCTACGACTTCCGAACGGGGAGATGGTGCGGAGGGGCAGAAGCAAAAGGAGCCAAGAGAGCTCCGGCTCAGGCTCCCTGGGCGGCTGCAGGTCGAGAAGCAGCTTGTGTACATGGAACTGCCTGTCCCAGCTCCTGACTGACACGTCCTGGGGCCCACAGGGTGGTACCTCGGGACTTTGCTTGGGCCTGAGTTCAGTGTCTCTCTTGAGTCCTCCGGCTAAGGTTTTCCCACCCTTGGGGGTCAGGTGGGGACCAAGGACTTCCTCCTGACCCAGTGACTAGGCCTGTTCTTCCCCGTGAGAGGCTGTTGGTGTGCAGTGAGTCGGCAGGCAGTGGGGTAGGGGTAGGGCTGCACAGCCCAGTCGCGCATCTGCTGTGTGCGAGCACAGGGCTGGCAGTGTCCAGGCGTTGGTGAGGCCACAGGCATCCCTGACCGTAGACCGCTACTGTGTCTTCTCTGTGGTTTCCTGGAGTTCCTGGCTTCATTGTGTCACTGAGGGAAAAATGGCTGGAGGGAAATGTGGGCAGTGTCCCTGACAGCCGGGCTGGGCCTGAGGGAGGCTTGCTCAGTAGGTAGGACAGGCTTGCCAGAGGCGAGGGGGTGTGGCCGCCCAGCCTAGAGCAGCTTTGCAGGGGCTCATCGTGGGTTCTGTGCACCTCGGCTGTCCATTCTCCAAGGACCTGCCCTCAATGCATTGCCAGAACCTTCAAAATTGAGGCTCGAGTGGTTAAGAGGGGCACTGTCAGGACTTGCCATCCTGTGAGCCCCTGGGGGGCCTTATGCAGCTCACCAGACTTGCTCACCCTCCCTCTGCTCCCATAGCACACCATCCTCTTGGAAGACAAAACCTGGTTTTAGTGATCTGTCTCTGTTTCCCCCTCAGCTTGTGAACTCCTGGGGAGAAGGGTGAACTCTGTCCCCATGCTGGCTCAAAACAGCACCAGTGCCTGCTGGTAGGATGCATGATACAAGAGTGTACGAATGAATGCCCTTTCTGGGCCTCAGAGTGGAGGCTGAGTATGTGAGGCTGAGGGCCTCTGTTCCTAGGGAGAGTGAGAGGGCAGACAGGATGTTGGAGGATTTCAGATCTCTTTCTCTGAAAGTTTTACCGTTTGCATTTCTTGTACTTGTTCCTTGCAAAGTGCTCTCACTTTGGTCTCCTGGGGAGCAAGGTGTGTGCCTGGGTAGCCTCCCCTCCCAGATCTAGGGTGTGGGTGCCAGCAGTCCCATCTCTGGGGCCTCTCCTCCCTGGGTCCGAGCCCCTCGTGTGGGGAGCCCGAGGCCTTTGTGACCCACGCAGAGGGGCTCTGGGACTTTGTGGCCAGGCGTGTTGGGCCTTTCCAAGCTGCTTGTGTATTCCCCTGGGCTTGCTGGGGTGCTCTGCACTGGACTGCAGGGGTCACGGCTTTCCTGCCACATCTCACACCTGGTGGTCTGCACAGCCAGGCCCAGGTCAGAGCTGTAGGGTCCAGTGGTCTCAGTTGAGGGTGGATCCTTCCATTCCCGAGCAGCCCTGCCTGAGGGTCGCTGGGCATCCATGCCTCTCACAGGGGGCTCTCGGCTTCTCCAGGGACACTGCTTGGCCTTGTTATCATCCCATGCTTAGCTTGAGTGCCTGGTGATTTTCTGGCTGGTGTCAGAGGCCAGGCTTGCTACAGGTGACTTGCTCCAAGGAACTGGTTGTCCATGTCCTCAGGCCATACAAAGTGGGGTGTCCGCTCCCTGAGACTCCTGTCTGTTTGTACGGTGCCTGAGTGGTCTGTGAAGTTGTCATCTCTGCTTATCCCAGGTCTGGGCTGCTGCAGACTTGCCCCCGACCGAGGCTGTCTGGACCTGTGCAGCACAGCCCTTGGTGGAGGAGATTTTAGGAGCATAGGGGTGGGAAGAGTGTGTGGCCCCCTCTTCCAGTGTCTGCTTTATCAGAAGTTGTGTCTGCTGAAGGTCCCGTGTCCCAACAGAGACTGTAGAGGGGGATTCAGAAGCCCTGGGAAGGCCGAGCTGGACTCTGCCCAGTTGTGGACTCTCAGGGGCCTGCCCTTCATGCCCTCCCAGGGCCTTGTTCTCCATGTGGGCTCTGCCCTGGGCTCTGTTGCCTCCCTAGCCCCTGCTGACCTGGCAGAGCCATGGTGCCTTTGGCCTGACCAGCACTGTGAGAAGTTTAAGAGCCAATCCCTGCCCAACCCTTTGGGAGGAGAGTCAGAGACAGTGGCCTCACCCTGACGCCTAGGACTCCTGGCTCAGCCAGCGGCTGGGCCTCGCTGGGCCTCCTGCTGCCTGTGGCCTCACCCAGCTCTGGAGCCACGGCGTTCTTCTGTGCTGCTTCCCTCTTTCTGCTTGGGCTGGGTGAGCAAGAGTCTGTGTACCTTGAATTCCCAGCACAGCCCTCTAGCCCCAGCATGGCCTCCCTCAGTACTGAGGCCCGGAAGGGTCAGCAGGACTTCTGAGCCCAAGACAGCCCCCCTCCACTGCTGCTGTGCCCGCAGGAACCTCTGTGTGACTTGGTGACAGTGCAAGGGGACAGTGCCTCTTGGCAGCCTCGTGCTGGAGAGGAGTGCAGTGGTGGAGGAGGTCTACCCTCGGGGCAGCAAACGTGAACAGAATACAAGTCAGCCACAGTGCCGTGGACATTGTGGGGAGAGGCGTCTTTCCACTGGGAAGTCCCAGTGGAAAGGTGGGAGATTCTGACAAGGAGGTTGAGGGACCCCACCTTCGGTCAGAGATTGGGGTGAGGCCAGAGGCGGAAGGACCAGCTGGAAGCTGTAGCTGGGCCTCTCCTTGGGGTAAATGGGGCCCTTTGCCTCATAGCCCCAGGACCTCCTCTGGTGAGGAGGGGGCACCCCCATGACCCCAGAACTCACACCTGGGCTGATCTCGGGAGCTTGCCTCCTGCTGAGCCCGTCCTTCTCTGGGTCTCAGAGGCACTAGGGACTCACCACCTTTCAGACTGGAACAGGTACCTCTCCGTGTCCCTCTGAATCCATCGTTCCTTTCCTAGGCTGAGACTTCAGAGCATAGGACCATAGGCCAGGCCTGGAAGGCTCAGCCCTGGGAAGGCCCAGAGGTCTGGTGTCCTCCAGTCTGGGCTGGAGCCAGAGTGGGAGGAGGCCTCGAGCTAATCCCCCTCTTCTCCGGCTTCTCCTAGATTTTGCAGAGTTTGTTTTCCTGGGTCTCTTCCTCACAGAGATGTCCCTGAAGATGTATGGCCTGGGGCCCAGAAGCTACTTCCGGTCCTCCTTCAACTGCTTCGACTTTGGGGTGAGTGAGAGGCCTGATCAGGGGCCCAGGCTGTATCCTTTCCTGCAGGTGCACACAGCCCCCTCCCATAGGCCATGCCCAGTGTGGGCTGGGGTCTGTGACCCTACATGGGTCAGAAAGGCTGCCTGAAGACAGTGAGGAGCAGGGGGCTGGCAGCGGGAGGCCTGTCCTGGCGGGGCCTGACTGATGGGAGTGTCAGCCTCAGCAGCTCTCTGTCGGCGGGAGGTCACCCTTCCCTCTTCTGATCCTGTCCATAGATTTTCATAATCAGCTGAAGGCTCTGCAGCTACCTCCATGCCTGGGATCTCGCAAACCTGTGGAGGGCTCAGTCTCTCCCCAGTGGAGCTCAGGGGGGCTCTGGCCCTGGGCAGGCTTGGGTACATCCACCAGCACTTCTGGGGTTGGGGCACGATAGGCCATGATGGTCCTGCCCTCTCTGTGAGGCTGGGGGAGGTGGTGGCCCTGGCCTGAGTCTCTTTACCAACTTATGTAGGTAGGGAGGCCTTGGAGGCAGTGTGTTTCCCAGCTTACCATGACAGTTGAACACAGACGGCAGGGCAGGGCAGTCTGAGAATTACCAACTTATGTAGGTGGGGAGGCCTTGGAGGCAGTGTGTTTCCCAGCTTACCATGACAGCTGAGCACAGAGGGCAGGGCAGGGCAGTCTGAGAATTACCAACTTATGTAGGTAGGGGAAGCCTTGGAGGCAGTGTGTTTCCCAGCTTACCATGACAGCTGAGCACAGAGGGCAGGGCAGGGCAGTCTGAGAATTACCAACTTATGTAGGTAGGGAAGCCTTGGAGGCAGTGTGTTTCCCAGCTTACCATGACAGCTGAGCACAGAGGGCAGTGCTGGGCAGTCTGAGAATTACCAACTTATGTAGGTAGGGAGGCCTTGGAGGCAGTGTGTTTCCCAGCTTACCATGACAGCTGAGCACAGAGGGCAGGGCAGGGCAGTCTGAGAATTACCAACTTATGTAGGTAGGGAGGCCTTGGAGGCAGTGTGTTTCCCAGCTTACCATGACAGCTGAGCACAGAGGGCAGTGCTGGGCAGTCTGAGAATTACCAACTTATGTAGGTAGGGAGGCCTTGGAGGCAGTGTGTTTCCCAGCTTACCATGACAGCTGAGCACAGAGGGCAGGGCAGGGCAGTCTGAGAATTACCAACTTATGTAGGTGGGGAGGCCTTGGAGGCAGTGTGTTTCCCAGCTTACCATGACAGCTGAGCACAGAGGGCAGTGCTGGGCAGTCTGAGAATTACCAACTTATGTAGGTAGGGAGGCCTTGGAGGCAGTGTGTTTCCCAGCTTACCATGACAGCTGAGCACAGAGGGCAGGGCAGGGCAGTCTGAGAATTACCAACTTATGTAGGTGGGGAGGCCTTGGAGGCAGTGTGTTTCCCAGCTTACCATGACAGCTGAGCACAGAGGGCAGGGCAGGGCAGTCTGAGAATTACCAACTTATGTAGGTAGGGAGGCCTTGGAGGCAGTGTGTTTCACAGCTTACCATGACAGCTGAGCACAGAGGGCAGGGCAGGGCAGTCTGAGAATCTTCTGGATTCTCAGACCCCGCAGGGAGCACAGGACACTTCCTGGGACCTGAACCCAGAGCCTAGGGATATGGCACTGTCGGCACCTGCCCAGAGGCTGAGTTCTGAGTCTTCCTGCTGGAGGCTGGGAATGATGGGTGGGCACGCCGCCCCCTGAGGGAGGAGGGAGGAGTGGGAGTAAGTACTCCCTCCAAGTCTTTGTACCAGAGCACTTCAAGCCCTCCCGTAAGGAGCAACAAGTGGGAGTGACAAGGAGTGATGAGTGGGAGCATTGCCCCTCTCAGGGTGGAGTGAAGGGTGGGAGCAGAGTCCCCCAGGAAGGAGTAACAGGCGGGTGCACTACCCCCGCAGGAAGGAGTGACAGGTGGGAGCACTACCCCCCCCAGGAAGGAGTGAAGGGTGGGAGTACTACCCTCCCTCCCAGGAAGGAGTGACAGGTGGGAGCACTGCCCCCCCAGGAAGGAGTGAAGGGTGGGAGCACTACCCTCCCCCCCAGGAAGGAGTGACAGGTGGGAGCACTGCCCTCCCCCAGGAAGGAGTGATGGGAGCACTGCCCCCTCCCCAGGAAGGAGTGAAGGGTGGGAGCACTACTTCCCCCCCAGGAAGGAGTGACAGGTGGGAGCATTGCCCCCCCCCAGGAAAGAGCAACGGGATCACTACTCCCCCAGGAAGGAGTGAAGGGTGGGAGCACTACCCTCCCCCCCAGGAAGGAGTGACAGGTGGGAGCACTGCCCCCCCAGGAAGGAGTGATGGGAGCACTTCCCCCCCCAGGAGGGAGTGAAGGGTGGGAGCACCACCCCTCCCATGAAGGAGTGAAGGGTGGGAGTACTACCCTGCCCCCCCCAGGAAGGAGTGACAGGTGGGAGCACTGCCCCCCCGAGAAAGGAGTGAAGGGTGGGAGCACTACCCCTTCCATGAAGGAGTGCCCTCCCATGAAGGAGTGACAGGTGGGAGCACTGCCTCCTCAGGAAGGAGTGGGGAGTAGGAGTGCCGCCCCCCAAGGGAGGGTTTGGAGCTCGGCAGAGTTTACAGGAGCCAGAGAGGGGCCTGGACCGTGGTAGTAAAGCTTCAGTTAGAAAATTCAGCTTAATTGGACTTTTTCTCTCATGAGCATTGTACTTACACAGGTGGTAGACATTTGTGTCTGTGATTTTGTTGAATCCTCACAAGGACTCTCATTTTACTGATGATAACGGCAGACATTGTGTGACTGGCCCCAGGCTGCCCATCAGTTTGAGAGGAGTCAGTGGGTGAGCCTGGCTTTCTGGCCTCGGGGGTAGTGGTTTTGCATCATGCTGTGCTTCTGATCTCTGAGGAAGGGAAGGCAGTGGCCATCCAGGGTGCTCTCTGAGACATGGAGACCTGTGATTTCAGTAGACAGTGGGAAGACAGCAACCCTTCTTACCCTTTGACTTCTTGGTCACAAAGAAGGTCTGAGTGCATCGGCCAAGGGAGCCGAAGAGATGGAGGCGTCAGAGATGCAGGGATCTTTTTCATGTCTTCCAATCTTCTGATCTGAACTGACTGGATCTCAGGACATGGGGATAATTTGCACATAAGCTAACACATTCTTCTAACACTTAGCAGCTTTAAACTACAAAAATCTGTCTCACATTTCTATGGCTTAGGAATTCAGGTGTGGCACTGGGTATCTCTGGCGCAGGGTCCCCCATGAGGCTTCAGCCCAGTTGAAGGCCAAGGATATGGTCATTCCACGGCTTGACTGGCACTGGAGAATCTGGTGTCAAGCTCATGCATTTGGTTGCTGGAACGCCGAGTTCCTGGTCATGTGGCCTCTCCACAGGCTGCCGGAGTGTCCTCAGCTGTGGTCTGAGGGAGAGAACTGAGAGTATGTACATAAGACAGAAGTTATAGAAACCCTGTCTTGAAAGAAAGATCCCATCAGTTTTGCCATAGTCTTTTAGTTAGGAGTGAGTCACTGGGCCCAGTGACTGGGCCGGGGAGAGGAATATATGGGGGCAGGTATTATGCAAGGATGTGAACACCAGACAGTGATGACCACTGGGGCCATCGAAGAGGCTGCTTGCCACAGCCTGCCCTCTGGCTCTCAGTAACTCATATCCTTCCCATTGTAAAACACCTTCACCCTGCCAACTCCCCAAAATCTTATCCATTACAGTATCAGCTCAAAATCCAGAATCTCATCCTCAGTTAGGTCCAGGTGTGGGTGAGACTCCTTCGGTGTAGTTCCCTAAGTGCAGTGGCTGCGGTACCTCTTAATCTGTTGACCTGTGGAACTAGAGAGTTATCTACACTCAACATTCAGTGTGCAGTGGTAGGATGGGCATAGGGTAACTGCAGTAGATATTCCTGCTCAGCAAGGGGACACCAGGAAGCTGAGCCACTGGTCCATAGGGATTCTGAAATCCAGCTGGGCACATGCGGGAAAGTCTGGGATTCATTGTTACAGACAGGAAGCCCTCTGGGCTCTTGGTTCTGCCCTCTCACTCCCTTTGCTTTTCCATGAAAGGTAGTTCAGGTTTTCAGCTGAATGGTTTTCTCAGCCTACTTCCCACTGGCAGAATTTTGGGAATCTAAAGACCTATTTTCGTTTTGTATTGTCTTGATTCTTTCAGTCCAAGTTGGTGATGTCTCTGCATATATGTCCTCTAAGAACTTTATGGATATGTTGTGAAGCTTGGGGTTCACTTTATTATTAGAAAAAAGCTCTACCCACACCTATTAGGCCTTAGACCTTTTCTGTCTGTGTTCCTGTTGAAATGCTAAGGGTCAACACCTCCAGTGTCTTAGAGAAGTTCCTGCTTCATTGACCAGATGTGTGAGGCACCCTCAATCTCTTTGAAGAGCCTGAAAGTGTGGCTGAGTAGTGCTCTGAGGCACCACCTTTGATCGTTTTGGGATCTCAAATAAAAGTCACAGTCTTGCCCTTGGCTTCATCTTTAGACCATGCCACCTTTCTCTCTTTTTAAAATTTCAAGTTTTATTTAGATTCAGGGGTTACACGTGCAGGTTTGTTACATGGGTATATTGTGTGATGCTGAGGTTTGGGATACACACGATCCTATCACCCAAGTAGTGAGCATAGTACCCGGAAGATAGTTTGTCAACCCCTTCCCCCTCCCTCCTCCCTCTAGTACTCCCCACTGTCTATTGTTCCCTTCTTTGTGTCCATGTGTATCCTTGTTTAGCTCCCACTTGTGAGAACGTGTGGTATTTGGTGTTTGTTTCTGCATTAATTCACTTAGGATAATGGCCTCTGGCCACATCCATATTACTGCAAAATACATGTTATTTTTTTTAATAGCTGTGCAGTCTTCCATGGTGTATATATAATGCATTTTCTTGATCCAATCCACTGTTAACTGGCACCTAAGTTGATTTGTGTCCCTGCTGTTGTGAATAGTGCTGTGGTGAACAAATGCATGTGTCTTTTTGGTAGAACGAGTTATAGTCCCTTGGGTATATAGCCAGTAGTGGGATTGCTGGATCAAATGGTAGTTCTATTTTAGTTCTTTGAGAAATCTGCAAACTGTTTTCCACAGTGACTGGACTAATTTACATTCCCACCAACATCCCCTTTTCTCCGTAGCTTCGCCAACATCTGTTATTTTTTGACTTTTTAATAATAGCCATTCTGACTGGCGTGAGATGATATCTCACTGTGGTTTTGATTTGCACGTCTCTGATTAGTGGTGTTGAGCATTTTTTTCCATATCTTTGCTGAGACCTTGCCATTATTTATGTTGAGATCTGGAGAGGCTAAACATATTCAAAACCAGCAAGTCCTGGCTTCCTTTTATTTAATGCAGTTTCCTTGGTTTATCTCTCTCCTCTCATATTTGACTACAAGCAGCAAGAAGACATCAGGTGGCACCTTCAGCACTTGGCTCAGAGATCTCTTGAGGTTGATCCCCTGGTTGATTAAGCATGTTTTCTACCTTTTTTTGTGTGTGTGTGTCTCGCTCTGTTGCCCAGGTTGGGGTGCAGTGGCACGATCTCGGCTCACTGCAACCTCTGCCTCCCGGGTTCAAGCAATTTTCCTGCCTCAGCCTCCTGAGTAGCTGAGATTACAGGCACCCACCAACACGTCCAGCTAATTTTTTTGTATTTTTAGTAGAGATGGGGTTTCACCATGTTGGTCGGGCTGGTCCCGAACTCCTGACCTCAAGTGATCTGCCTGCCTCAGCCTCCCAAAGTGTTGGGATTACAGGCATGAGCCACCACGCCTTGCCTGTTTTCTACTTTTTACATAGCTGCATGCAACAGTGTGGCTAAATTTTCTGCCAGCACACAACAGGACCCCTTCCTCTAGTTTCCTATGAAATTCTCCTCGCTTTCCTGCAGACCCTGATGTGCAGCATGCTTAATGTCCAAAATTCTATGAACTGTGTGTTAAGTGCGCTTTAGCCCTTCATTAATGTGCTGCTCAGTGTCCATCCTCTGGTTCCAAAACCACTCCCACATTTTAGGTTTTTATCACAACATCACCCCACTTCTGATTCCAAAATCTGTATTGACTTTTCCTGCTGGGGAACAAATTATCCAAAAGCTTGGTGGCATAAGAAAAATGTTTATTATTTCACTGTTTCTGTGAGTCAGGAATCAGGGTGGCTTAACTGGGTGCACCTGGCTTGCAGTCTCTAGTGAGGCTGCAGTCTTCTCAGGCTCATTTGGGGCTGGAGAATTCACTTCCAGCCTCATGCTCATTATGGCTGTCAATGGACCTCAAAACATCTGCTTCCAGGCTCACTGGTGTGGCTGCTGGCAGGCCTCTGTTCCTGGTCACATGGGCCTCTCCCAGCTGCCGGAGTGTCCTTATGACATGATATTTGGTGTTCAGAGAAAGAGTTAAGAGTTCCCAAGACAGAAACCAGTCCTTTTGTAATCTGATCTCAGAGGTGACATCCCATCACTTTTGCTGTATTCTGTTTACTAAGAGTGAGTCACTAGGTCCAACCCATCCTTAAGGGGATAGCATTATACAAGGGAGTGAATACTGGGTGGTAGGGATTACTGAGGCCATCTTAGAGGCTGCCTACTACATGAACCAGTGAGGACAAATTTTGATAATTAGTGGAAAACAGGACAGATGCTGGAAGACTGGCAATGAGAAGAAAGTATATTTAGAAAACTACAATCTTCAACCCTAGGCAAACATCTGGATGATTTGCTAGTGCAGAGAAAAGTTGGTGGTGATGATCAAGGGCAACATGTGATCACCAAGAACAGATGGCACTCTTGGCAAGACTGGGGTGGCAAGCTTACCCAATTTGTTGTATTGATAGGGTTATCACAGGTTCTGTGCATATTGGTGTACCTGGTTGTTGACAGAACGTTAGATATTCTCTGAATGGCGATCTGTGGACAACGTAGAGAAATGTGCAGCAGATGACTGTGCATTTGAGTTGATCCATAAATGGTGCACAGCCATTCCCAGACATGCTGGTTAACAGATTAGTGTCAATCTGTAGGGAAGTCTCTAGAGATGTACCACAGGGCTCTGTCTTAGCATATTCATCGTTCTCTCAGTGACTTCGTAAGAGCATTGACGTTAAGCTCATCAGCTTTGCAGTTGATGCGAAATTGGTGGAAATGACTGAAACTTTGGAAAATATATGTCCCAAATACAATGTAATTGAGTTTGAGAGGCTCAACATTTGAATTCTCCACACCAGTTGCAGAAGTGTGGCTTAGAGGAAATGAGAATTACACACATGAAGAAGACATGGGCGCTCCTGCTGACTGTGAGCCCAGATTGTGCCCCTTGAGGTATGGTGGCCTGGGAGAGAATTCAGTTTGGGGCCCCTTGCTTGTCCTGTCCAGAGGGAAGGTGGTAAAGGGTCTGCTGTGTTCCAGCCCCACTGGTCTGTCCTTTCTGAGTCCCTCACACCGGGCCCTGACCAGGACGGCCCTCCTCACAGTCTATCTGAGGAATGGCTGGAAGGAGGGACGTGTACCTTGCTCACAAATTCCAGCTCACCAACATCAACAGTGCATGAAACAAACAGGCAGGCTTGCCATAATCTGTTCTTGGTGGCATGTGCTGTTTCCTGGTCATTGGGAGAAGAAAAGACTCAAGATGCAATTTATGAATCTGAGTATCTTGGAGCAGTGGCAGAACCAGGGAGGGGAAGTTACAGGGAGACAGATTTTGCTAGTCTGTGAGAGAACAGTCTAACAGTCAGGGCTGTCTGAAAGTTTGCCCAGCTCCAGAGGTGTTGAAGAAGACACCAGTGTCACCAGGCTGTGGTCAAGCACAGAGGAGGTATTAGACCAGGTGGTTGTAAGGTCTGCCAGGAAGCCAGCAGGCCTAACCTGGTCCATGTCCTGTGTCCTCCTGGTGTGTCTGGGGTGGGGGGTGGGAGGGAGGGCAGGTACCAGGACTGGTGGGACTCTATAGCCTTTCCCAAAGGTTCCAAGAGCTCAGTGTGAGGTGTGTGCCTTGTGTTACCATATCTGGCTTGATTGTCAGACAAGGAA
Source organism: Homo sapiens (assembly GCF_000001405.40). Classification (NCBI taxonomy): domain Eukaryota; kingdom Metazoa; phylum Chordata; class Mammalia; order Primates; family Hominidae; genus Homo; species Homo sapiens. The sequence continues at coordinate 137,984,027 of NC_000009.12, forward strand.
GCAGGATGGTTCCTTACGGAGAGGTGCAGCCACGCAGGGTGTGCACACACATCCATCTGCATGCACAGGTGCAGATACGGTGCACCCAAGGCTAATGCCATCCCGTTGCAGGTCATCGTGGGGAGCGTCTTTGAAGTGGTCTGGGCGGCCATCAAGCCGGGAAGCTCCTTTGGGATCAGTGTGCTGCGGGCCCTCCGCCTGCTGAGGATCTTCAAAGTCACGAAGTACGTCCCCTGCGCTCCCAGGCGAGGGCAGGTGTAGGGTGGAGAGGGCGTGGGATCAGCCACACAGGGTGCTTGTCCCCAGGAGTTCACAGCACCCAGAAGCTCTCTCTGTGGCTTATAGTTGATTTAAATACAAAAGGTGGTTCCAAAACGGCCTTGTGGGGCCACATCTGCCCTCAGGGCCATCCCTGACTGGCCTCCGTGCTGCCGGCACACCCTTTAGCTTTCTTGTTCACTTGCTTTCCACGATTTCCCATCGTCTCCTGTCTTGAAACCACCACCCCATCTTCCCAGCCTTCAAAGGTGACTTTGCTTTGTAGTTAATGAGGAAGACAGAAGTCATCAGATGGAAGCTTTTCCATCATCCAGCCCCCAAGTCTGCCTACCTCCCCTGCAGCTCCACCCCTGGAGAGCCTGTGTGCACCCTGCCATGGTCCTGAGCTTCTCACTGAGCCAGCCTGGCACCTGCCTGGCCCCTGTGCTCAGGCCTGCTTTCTCCACCCTGCACCTTGCTGACGATGGCAGTGACAAGACCATGTTTACAGTTATGTCCCACTTGACTCTGGAAGTGAGTTGCTGCAGTTTGCCTACAAAGAGACTGAAGCCCAGGAAGTGACAGATGCAGGTAGTGAGAGAAGGACCAGGGTGAAAACCCTTCCCCTCACTGCCAGAGTTGTAGTGGGGAAGAGAGAGAGAGACTCTCCTCACAGCAGTCTCATCGGCAGCAAAGGCTGCACCGCGGAGGCTCCTGAGCATCTGGACCCTACCAGACACACACGTGGGCCAGCATGGACTTTGGTGTGTGTCCTTGGCAGCTGCAGGGCCCAACAAGCAGAACTGCCGACACTGAGCCCGTGCAGTGCCAGGTCATAGGTCACACCTCTAGTGACCAAGATGACCTCTCAGAAGCCCACTGACCTCCCCAGGGCAACTGAAATCCCAGGTCTTTTCCAATCCATTTTAAATCCAAACCTAAGACCATAGGAGGATATGAAGCTATAAAGGCAGAAGAGTTTTGGGCAGAGTTGAGTCCCGCTGGGTCCATGAATCCTCACTGGCGCTCTGTGCTGTGTGTCCTCAGACTTCTGTTGCCTTCCCAGAACTTGCTGGTGTGAGGCTTCAGGAAGTGTCCACAGGGCTGCCTTTACCCCACCTCCAGGTCTGGCATCTTAGGCTCCATTTTCTCCCAGGAAGTAGGTGACCCTGTCCTGAGGCAGGCTGGCCTAGACCCCTGCTAGTCCCAGGAGAAGGTTCAATTCCTTTCCCAGAGTCTTCCATCCCGTCTGCCATTAGCCCTCAGGTACTTTGTAAGAGAATCCATGGAGGATAGCGGGGCCTCTGATGTGGGCGCCAGGGAGAAGGACATGGTTTGGGAGCCCAGGGGTGCCCAGGGATAGAGTGAGCACAGAAGGAGACCAGTGTCTGTCTTGCAGTCCCTCCATTCCAGGGAGATGGGACAGCACGTGCAGAGGCACAGGGACATGAGGGACCGGCCCCTCAGTTGCCATCAGCAGCCTCGGTGGCACCTGTGTGCCATGGGGACCCGTGCATGAGCAGGGCACGGTCACTGCCCTCTGGGATGGGAAGCGTTGAGGGATACCACAGAGAGTCTGCGTGGTGTCACCCTACAAGCTCTCCACGCCGCGTGTCCCTTGTCCCTGGTGAGGGGGCACTGGAGCCAGGGTCTCTGCCACCGGCCACAGCGCTTGCAGATCTGCTGTAGGTTCCGGTGTAGCTCTTCCTGCTGTGGGCTGATGACAACAGTTGTGGGACTTGCTTCACATGGCACTGGTCTGAGACACTTGGTGGCTGACTGGGTGTTGAGGAGTGAGGGGCAGGGAGGGGCCGAGGATGAAGTTTGGGATTGGGCCTGGCCACCTGGATGGTGGCCTCGTCCTCCTGAACCTAGGGACAGGGAGCAGTTTGGGAGGACGAAGTGAGTCCTCCACTGGGTGTGTTTTTCTCTGCCTTCCCATGGGGCCCTCAGGGAGAGAAGTCCAGGGTAGTGGGCCTGAAACTCCAGAGAAAAGCTCTAACTTCACACCTAGGTGTGCAGCCCTCAGGGTTTAGAAAGTCAGTGGAGCCTTAAGTGTGGCTGCAGAGAGCCATGAATGTGAAGTCAGCGTCTGGAGCTGGCTCAGACCCCCTGCCTGGCCCCGCAGGTACTGGAGCTCCCTGCGGAACCTGGTGGTGTCCCTGCTGAACTCCATGAAGTCCATCATCAGCCTGCTCTTCTTGCTCTTCCTGTTCATTGTGGTCTTCGCCCTGCTGGGGATGCAGCTGTTTGGGGGACAGTAAGTGGGCCCGGGAGGGAGAGCTCAAGGCTGGGGGCTTGCAGGGAAGCAGAGCTCAGAGCAGACGGTGCCGCCCAGGCTGCCTCCACCCACCTTCCCACCAGGAAGGTCCTCAGAGGGGCCAGTGTGCAGCCATCTGCAGCCTGAAGCGAGCAGGTTGAGGCCACGCTGGAGCCTGCAGGCGCTGCCTCGCTGCTGACGGGACTGCCACTTCCCAAGCCTTCCTGTTTTCCTCAGGTTCAACTTCCAGGATGAGACTCCCACAACCAACTTCGACACCTTCCCTGCCGCCATCCTCACTGTCTTCCAGGTAAGGCACCTGCTCTGCACATTTGCGGCCTGCCCGGCTCCCGTCTCCCCTGGGTGCTGGGAAGGCGGACTCTCCTGTCATTCCCTCCCTTGTTCCTCCACACGGCCCAGATCACTGACTTTTCAGACACAGTGTTCCTCAAACGAGGGAAGCACAGGCAGTCAGCAACCTGCAGATCTCCAGGTCCGGGGGCCCCAGCCCCTACGGTGAAGGAAGCTGGATTCTGTGGCAGCACTGTAGGGAGCAAGTGTAGTTCCCGGGGGGCCCAGCTGGCCTTCAAGCCACCAGTGTATCTCTTAGCTCCTGAGACTTGCATGCACTTCTGTTTTTTATTCTCCGAGAACAAAAACAAAGCACTTCCTAAACTTCTCCCCCTCCTATCTCAGATCCCAGTGACCCCCTCAGTTCTCATCTGTATCTGGAAAACTACCCCCCTCAGCTCCTCGGGAAGTGGGGGCTGGGGGCCCACTTCTCTACGACGGAGACCTTGTTGGCTCATGCAGACTCTGCCCTCTTGGAGGGTTCCCTTTCGAGGACTTTCTTGGTTGGGTACTCTCCCCTTCCATAGGCTGTGGCCCCACAGTCCTGCCCATGACTGGCCTTACTGATGAGAGCATGCCTTGCATTCCTGTCCCATGAAACATACTTGGATGCCATGTCTGAGACTGAACAGGATGGTGGCTGTTGTCTTGCCTGTGATGCCTCTTACGGAGGCCCAACAGGCTGTGTTTGCTGCAGGCCAGGGGCTTGGCTTGGCTCCCTGGCTCCTGGGGCTGCTGATCCTACCCTTGGTCAGGGCTGGAGCCTACAACTTGTGTGAAGAGAGGGGCCCTTTCGGTCCCACTCTCTCGAAGGGAGGAAGTCTTACCAGCAGACCCTTCAGACCAAATTAGACGATTGGCTCAAAGAGGAGTTCTGTCCTAATTTGCACCACAGTCCTCCATGACTGTCCCCTTTCTCACATCTTCCCACTCACCCCCACCCTGCTGGGCTGGAGCCTATGACCCGTCAGCTCCTAGTCACTGCCAGGCAGAGCCAGCTCTTCTCCCAGAGGTGCATCTGCCCCAGGCCTGTCAGGGCCTTGCTGTTGTCATCCCTTCTTCCTCTCTGGTCTCATGTTTGAGTTGCTGCCTCTTCTCCTCTCCTCTTATTCCTCGAGTGGGAGGCACTTGTCAGCCTCCGACTGTCCTCCCTTTCTCTGACTTGAAAGCCTCGGCTGCTCACAGGCCAGTGACTTCCAGACTTTGGTCTCCCAGATGTTTTTGAGCTCTTAGTGGGTGACAGGACCTATGTCAGCCTCTGGGACAGAGGTGGGTGGTCTCCCAGCCACACGACGGGGAGGTCACAGGCCTGGAGCTGCCCGTAGGGTCCTGAATGTCAGGCAAGGGAAACTGGGAGGAGGCATTCCCAGCAAAGCAGCAAAAACGTGAGGAGTGTCTGGGGTGGCGACAAGGTGGCAGGTGTGGGATGGGAAACTCCAGGTGTGGGCGGGCCAGGCTGAGGCTTTGCCCTGTAGAAGCTGTTGCAGGGAGGGGCTCCATGCCAGGGGGGTGGCATGGTCCATGACCACAGCCACGCTTTGCCATGTGTGTTGCAAGAAAAGACCTGAGTGTGATGAGGGAGAGAAGTTGAAGTTGGGAGGAAAGTGGGCTTTTCTGATCAGATGATGCTCTGATTCAGACATTACATGCCCCCTGCTCTGAACACAGCAATAAGATAAAAAAAATACACTTAGAAAATAAAAGGACCTAGACAAGTAAAAACAAAATCTCTGAGGAATAGAAATGGAACAGAACATACAGTGGTGAGAGACAGCAGAGACCCAGGCACCAGGACATGGCTTGAGATAGGCAGATGGGCTTGGGAGTCTGAGTTCCATGGCAGCAGAAGTGTGCAGGTGTGGCTCAGCCCCCTCTGAGCACTGGGGGAGGTACCTGGGCCCTTTGGAGGAGGCTGAGGAGGGGTGAAGGCTTGTTGAGCTGCAGAGACCAGGAAGGCTGCAGGGCAGGGCTGACTGGTGGCTAGGTCTGTAATTCCCACAGGTGAATCTGGACCAGGGTCCTGAGATCCCAGGGTGGGAGCCCCTGCTTCTGAATGGGGTTGGGAGTGGGGCAGGGAGGGCATGTGAGGAGGAAGAAAGCAGCTTCAGCTGTGCTCATGGTGGAGCTGCAAACTGAGGGCTGGGAACAGCCAGCATCCCAGACAGTGCCAACAGCATCTACAGTCAGAAGGCGTAATCACTCCCAAAGAAAAGGAAATAACAGAACAAACACAGGTGACTTTAAACCGAATATGCCTAACATCCTCCAAGGGGTAAAGGGGGAACCAGTTAAAAACACAAAATTATGAAAAAAGGCACCTAAGAACAAAGAAAAGACCTAAACCAAATCCTAGAAATGAAATATACAGCTATTTACATTTTAGAAGCAGAGTGAACCGTACGCCGGGTGTGATCAGAGAGAGTATGGGTGAGCCGGAGGATGTGGTGGGGCTGAGCCAGCTGGGCATGGAGGCTTCCTGGAGAGAAGGAAGTGAGGGTGGGCTGGAGTGGAGGCTCCCATGTGAGGTGCGAAAGAGAGGGTGGCCAGTGCCCCTTCCGAGTGAGTCCTGGAGAACATGTGCTCAGATGATCAAGCAGGATAAACAAATAATTCCAGACCTAGACAAATTGTGATCTCAAGAAAATCTTATACGCTGCCCTAGAAAAATAGATTTCCTACAAAATAATGACAGATAGTCTGATGGCCAACGTCTTAGGAGCACAGATGCCAGAGGGTCATGGAGAAGTAACGGAAACACTGGGGTACAATCACTATTCGCCAAGAATTCTGAATCCAGACAGCTGTGGTTTAAGCGTGAGGGCAGAGCTAAAGACACTTTCAGACACAAATAGGAGTGAGTTACCACCACCCACCCAGATCATTTGAAAGCACGACAAAAGCTTATACATTTAGTAAAGTGGATGATTTAGAATAAAAAATACTAATGTATTTTTACCCAAGAAGAAATTAACTGAAGAAAAAACAGGAAATGGAACCATTTCAGAAATTGAATAATTAGGTCAGAATCGGATTAAGATGGCAGATAGGAGGAAGGACTAGCTTGCAGCTCCTGCTCGGACAGACAGAACAGCGTCTGGAGACTCACATCATGAACTTTTGCTCCAAGAACTACCACGGGAAGTTCTTGGAACTACCACAGGCAAGTTCTCAGCCCTGGGCACTGGCTGCCTGGAAATAGACTCAGTGCTGTTGGGGGTGGGCACGGTAGGAGTGAGACCAGCCTTTTGGACTGCGGGCTGCGTGGGAGTGGGGTGAGGCCTGTGACTGCTGGCTTTCTCCCACTTTCCTGGAGGACCTGTATGACTAATGGCCTTAATCCTCCTGGGAACATAACTCCATTGGACTGAGAACCACACACCCATCCCCCACAGCAGCCACAGCAAGCCCCGCCCAAGCAGAGTCTGAGCTCAGACACCCTATTCCTGCCCCCACCTGGTGGTCTTTCTCTACCCACCCTGATGGCCGAAGACAAAGGTTATAATCTCCTGGGGGCTCTGTGGTCCTGCCCACCCCCTGAGAAACCTGAATACTTAATTAGGCTACCTTAGGGCAAGTTTGCATCCTCTCTACAGGACCTCAGCTGATGCTCTCTTGAAAGCGCCACCTCCTGGCTGGAGGCCAACCAATATAAAACCAGCACACTTAACAAAAATACAGCCGAGGACCCTCACAGAGTCCACTTCACTCCCCTGCTACCCCCACCAGAGCAGGTGCTGGAGGTCAACCAATATAAAACCAGCACACTCAACAAAAATACAGCCAAGGACCCTCACAGAGTCCATTTCACTCCCCTGCTACCCCCACCAGAGCAGGTGCTGGTATCCGCACCTGAAAGACCTGAAGATGGATCACATCACAGGACTCTTGACAGACACTCCCCAGTACCAGCCTGAAGCCTGGTAGCTCCACTGGGTGGGTAGACCTGCAAGAGCAAAAACAGTCATTGCAGTTTGGCTCTCAGGAAGCCCCATTCCTCAGGGCAGGGGGAGAACACCACATCAAGGGAGCACCCCCAAGATAAGAGAACAGCAGCCCTTGAGTCGCAGATCTTCCCTCTGGTTCCAAATGAGAAGGAACCAGGAAAACAATTCTGGTAATATGACAAAACAAGGTTCTTAAACACCCCCAGAAGATCACATCAGCTTACCAGCAATGGATCCAAACCAAGAGGAAATCTCTGAATTGCCAGAAAAAGAATTCTGAAGGTCAATTATTAAGCTAATCAAGGAGGTACCAGAGAAAGGTGAAATTCAACTTAAAGAAATAAAAAACATGATACAGGTTATGAAAGGAAAATTCTTCAGTGAAATCGCATAAAAAAATCACAGTTTCTGGAAATCAGGGACACACTTAGAGGAATGCAAAATGCACTGGAAAGTCTCAGCAATAGAATCGAACAAGCTGAAGAAAGAACTTCAGAGCTCAAAGAAAAAGCTTTTGAATTAACCCTATCCATCAGAGACAGAAGAATTTCAAAAAATGAAGCCTCCAAGAAGTATGGGACTAAGTTAAGTGTCCAAACCTAAGAATAATTGGTGTTCCTGAGGAAGAAGAGAAATCTAAAAGTTAGGAAAACATATTTGAGGGAATAATTGAGGAAAACTTACCTAGCCTTGCTAGAGATCTAGACATCCAAATACAAGAACTCAAAAAACACACTTGGGAAATTCATTGCAAAATTCATTGCAGAAGAATTCATCACCTAGGCACATAGTCATCAGATTATCTGAAGTCAAGATGAAGGAAAAATCTTAAGAGCTATGAGGCAAAAATATCAGGTAACCTATAAAGGAAAACCTATCAGATTAACAGAAGATTTCTCAACAGAAACCCTACAAGCCAGAAGAGATTGATTAGGGTCCTATCTTTAGTCTCCTTAAACAAAACAATTATCAGCCAAGAATTTTGTGTCCAGTGAAACTAAGCCTCATAAATGAAGGAATGATACAGTCTTTTACAGGCAAACAAATGCTGAGAGAATTCGCCACTACCAAGCCAGCACTATAAGAACTGCTAAAAGGAGCTCTAAGTCTTGAAAAAAATCTTCGAAATACACCAAAATAGAACCTCCTTAAGACACAAATCCAACAGAACCTCTATAACAATAACAATGAAAAAAACAGCATGGTATTCAGGCAACAAATAGCACAATGAATAGGATAGTATCTCACATCTCAATATTAATGTTGAATGTAAATGACCTAAATGCTCCACTTAAAAGATAGAGAATGGCAGAATGGATAAGAATTCACCAACCATGTTTCTGCTGTCTTCGGGAGACTCACCTAACACATAAGGACTTACATAAACTTAAAGGGGTGGAAAAATATTTCATGTGCAAATGGAGACTAAAAGCGAGCAGGAATAGCCATTCTTTTATCAGACAAAACAGACTTTAGAGCAACAGCACTTAAAAAAGACAAAGAGGGACATTATATAATGATAAAAAGCCTTGTCCAACAGGAAAATATCATAATCCTAAATGTATATGCACCTAACACTGAAGCTCTGAAATTTATAAAACAATTACTACTAGACCTAAGAAATGATATAGACGGCAACACAGTAATAGCGGGGGACTTTGATACTCCACTGACAGCACTAGACAGGTCCTCAAGACAGAAAGTCAACAAAGAAGGAATGAACTTAAACTATACCCTACAACAAATGGACTTAACAGGTATTTACAGAGCATTCTACCCAACAACTGCAGAATATACATTCTATTCATCAGCACATGGAACATTCTCTAAGATGGACCATATGATAGGCCACAAAACAAGTCTCGGGAAATTTAAAAAAATCTAAATTTGGAGCTTGCAGTGAGCCGAGATCCGGCCACTGCACTCCAGCCTGGGCGACAGAGCGAGACTCCGTCTCAAAAAAAAAAAAAAAAAATCTATATTATATCAAGTACTCTCTCAGACGATAGTGGAATAAAATTGGAAATCAACTCCAAAGGCACCCACAAAACCAGGCAAATACAGGGAAATTAAGCAACCTGCTCCTGAATGATTTTTGGGTTAACAATGAAATCAAGATGCAAATTTAAAAAAATCTTTGAACTGAACGATAATAGTGACACAACCTATCAAAACCTCTGGGATACAGCAAAGGCAGTGCTAAGAGGAAAGTTCATAGCCTTAAATGCCTACATCAGAAAGACTGAAAGAGCACAAATAGACAATCTAAAGTCCCATCTCACACAACTGAAGAAACAAGAACAATCCAAACCCAAACCCACCAGAAGAAGAGAAGTAATGAAAATCAGAGCGGAACTAAATGAAATTGAAACAAAAAAAATTACAAAAGATAAATTGAACAAAAAGCTGGTTCTTTTTAGATAAATAAAAAGATAAATTTTTTTAGTTAAAATTTTTATTTTATCTATCTAGATAGATAAAATTTAAATTTTTGTCTATCTAGATTAAATTTTTGTCTAGATAGATTAAATTTTTATTTTGTCTGTCTAGATGGATAAAATTTTTATTTTGTCTATCTAGATAGATAAAATTGATAGACCATTGGTGAGATTAACCAATAAAATAAGGGAGAAGATCCAAATATAAGCTCAATTAGAAATGAAATGGGAGATATTACTACTGGTACCACAGAAATACAAAAGATTATTCGAAGCTACTATGAACACCTTTATTTATGCACATAAACTAGAAAACCTAGAGGAGATGGATAAATTCCTGAAAAGGTACAACCATCCTAGCTTAAATCAGGGAGAATTAGATACCCTGAACAGACCAGTAACGAGTAGCGAGATTGAAATGGTAATAAAAAAATTACGAACAAAATAAAGTCCAGGACCAGATGAATTCAGAGCAAAATTCTATCAGACATTCAAAGAAGAATTGGTACCAATCCTATCGACACTATTCCACAAGGTAGAGAAAGAGGGAATTCTCCCTAAATCATTCTATAAGCCAATATCACCCTAATACCAAAACCAGGGAAGGACATAACCAAGAAAGAAAACTACAGACCAATATCCCTGATGAACATAGATGCAGAAATCCTCAACAAAATACTAGCTAACTGAATCCAACAGCAAATTAAAAAGATAATCCACCGTGATCAAGTGGGTTTCATATCAGGGATGCAGGGATGGTTTAACATATGCAAGTCAATAAATGTGATAACACCACATAAACAGAATTAAAAACCAAAATCACACAATCATCTCAATAGATGCAGAAAAAGCATTCAACAGAATCCAGCATCATTTTATGATTAAGTCCTCAGCAAAATCAGCATACACGAGACATACCTTAATGTAATAAAAGCCACCTGTGACAAACCCACAGCCAACATAATACTGAACCAGTAAAAGTTTGAAAGTATTCTCCCAAGAACTGGAATAAGACAAGGATGCCCACTGTCACCACTCTCTTCAGCAAAGTACTGGAAGTCCTAACCAGAGCAATCAGACAAGAGAAAGAAAGAAAGGGCATCCAAATCGGTAAAGAGGAAGTCAAACTGTCACTGTTTGTTTGCCGATGATATGATTATTTATGTTGAAAACCCCAAAGACTTTTCCAAAAAGCTCCTAGAACTGATAAAAGAATTCAGCAAGGTTTCAAGATACAAAATTAATGTACACAAATCAGTAGCTCTTTTGCTCTTTTATACATTAACAGCGATCAAGCTGAGAATCAAATAAAGAACTCAACCCCTTTTACAGTAGCTGCACAAAATAAAATAAATACTTAGGAATATACCTAACCAAGGAGGTGAAAGAGCTCTACAAGGGAAACGACAAAACACTGCTGAAAGAAATCATAGACGACACAAACAAATGGAAACACATCCCATGTTCATGTATGGGTAGAATCAATATTGTGAAAATGACTATACTGCCAAAAGCAATCTACAAATTCAATGCAATTCCCATCAAAATACCACTATCATTCTTCACAGAACTAGAAAAAACAATCCTAAAATTCAGATGGAACCAACAAAGAGCCTGCATAGCCAAAGCAAGACTAAGCAAAAAAGGCCAGGTGCAGTGGCTCTTGCCTGTAATCCCAGCACTTTGGAAGGCCAAGGCGGGCAGATTACCTGAGGTCAGGAGTTTGAGACCAGCCTGACCAACATGATGAAACCCCAACCCTACTTAAAAAAGTACACAAATTAGCCAGGTGCGGTGGCTTGTGCCTGTAATCCCAGCTACTTGGAAGGCTGAGGCAGAAGAATCACTTAAACTCAGGAGGTGAAAGTTGCAGTGAACCAAGATCGCGCCATCCATTGCACTCCAGTCTGGGTGACAAGAGTGAGACTCCGTCTCAAAAAAAAAAAAAAAACAAAATCAGCAAAAAGAACAAAGCTGGAGGCATCACATTACCCAACTTCAAACTACGATATAAGGTCATAGTCACCAAAACACCATGGTACTGGTATAAAAATAGGTACATAGACCAATGGAAAAGAATAGAGAACCCAGAAATCAACCCAAATACTTACAGCCAACTGATCTTTGACAAAATAAACAAAAACATAAAGTGGGGAAAGGACACCCTATTCAACAAATGGTGCTGGGATAATTGGCAAGCCACAGGTAGGAGAATGAAACTGGATCCTCATCTCTCACCTTATACAAAAATCAACTCAAGATGGTCAAAGACTTAACCTAAGAGCTGAAACCATAACAATTATAAAGATAACATCAGAAAAAATCCTTCTAGACATTGGCTAGGCAAAGACTTCTTGACCAAGAACCCAAAAGCAAATGCAACAAAAACAAAGATAAATATATGAGACTTAATTAAACTACAAAGCTTCTGCACAGCAAAAGAAATAATCAATAAACAGACATCCCACAAAGTGGGAGAAAATTTTCACAATCAATACATCTGACAAAGGACTAATATCCAGAATCTGCAAAGAACTCAAATCAGCAAGAAAAAAACAAACAATCTCATTAAAAAGAGGGCTAAGGACATGAATAGACAGTTCTCGAAAGAAGATATACAAAAGCATATGGAAAAATGCTTAACATCACTGTCAGGGGAATGCAAATAAAAACCACAGTGTGATACCACCTCACTCCTGCAAGAATGCCCATAATAAATGAAAAATAATAGATGTTGGTGTGGATGTGGTGAAAAGGGAACACTTTTACACTGTTAGTGAGAATGTGAATTAATACAACCACTATGGAAAACATTGTGGAGTTTCCTTAAAGAACTAAAAGTATATCTACCACCATTTGATCAGCAATCCCACTTCTAGATATCTACTCAGAGGAAAAGAAGTCATTATATGAAAAAGGATACTTGCACATGCATGTTTATAGCAGCACAATTTGGAATTGCAAAAATATGGAACCAACCCAGATGCCTATTGGTCAACGAGTGGATGAAGAAAACGTAGTGTATACCAGTATACTATAGAATACTACTCAGCCCTAAAAAGAGTGAAATAATGGCATTTGCAACAACGTGGATGGAATCGGAGGCTACTATTGTAAGTGAAGTAAGTCAGGAATGGAAACCCAAACATTGTGTGTTCTCACTCATAAGTGGGAGCTGAGTTATGAGGATGCAAAGGCATAAGAATGATACAATGGACTTTAGGGACTCGAGGGAAAGGGTGGGAGGGGGACGAGGAATAAAAAACTACAGCGTATGCTGCTTGGGTGATGGGTGCACCAAAATCTCAGAGATAATCACTAAAGAACTTAGTCATATAAGCAAACACCACCTGTTCTCCCAAAATCTATCGAAATAAAAAATAAATTTTAAAAAATTTAATAATTAAAAATCTCCTGCTCAAGTTACCAAGTTCAGATAGTATGATATGTGAATTCTGCTATTTAAGAAATTATTCCAATTTTATACAGACTCCTCCGCAGAATATAAAAAAGGATAGCTCGCCACTCATTGTATGAAACTAGAGTAGCCTTGATAATGAAAAAAACTAAACAAGGACACTATCAGAAAAGAAAAATACAGATCACTTCTGCAAATACAGATCACTTCTGCAAACACAGAAGCAAAGCATCTGGGGGAAACCATCATTAATCAAATCTAGATATTCTTAAAAATTATTTTTATAATTGACTAGAACTTTTCCTAGAAATGCAAGATAATTCAACATTAGAAAACCTATGAATGTAATTTGTCACACTAACAGATTAAGGTGGATACAAACCCTGTATGATCAGAGAAAGCACTGGAACTGTAGCACAAGCACAGTCAGCCAGAGGTGAGAGGAGCGGAGATAAGATTGCAGAGTTGCCGATGGCTGAAACTGGATGGGCATGTAGGGCTCATTGTACTCCACTCTGTGTATGCTTCAAATGTCCGTGATAATTTTTTTTTAAGTAAGACCTAACACTCCTTCCAAATAAAAATGCTTAGCAGATTACAGTAGTATCAGGGGTCTTAGCACAGTAGAACAAGAAAAAATGAAATAAAAATTGTCGGGATTGACAAGAAAGAAAACTGTCATTATTTACAGATGAAATATTTATACACAGAAAACTCAAGTCCTGTCATGCAGATAGTATTTACATAGAAAAACATGAAATTGGATTCCTACCTTGTACCAAGTGTGAAAATCAATTCTAGATAAATTAAAAGACAAATGATGTAGTATGAAAGGACAAAGGATAAAAACAAGTAACTCACAGGAGAAGAAACTATGATCAATTTTACTGCAGTCAGGGAAATGCAAATTAAACCCTCAATGAAACAACCATTTCCACCTGTCAGTTTAGCCAAAATTAAGAGATCTAACAATATTAAGATTTAGAGAAGAAGTGGAGAAATTAGTGTTTCTTTATGCTGTTGGTGGGTTGGTAGAACCACTCTGAAGGGTAATTCATTATATCCCATCCACTGGAATTGGCACGAGCAGTTCCTGCCAGGTATAGTTTTTTGCCCAAGTGCACAAGGAAACATGTAAAGCCATCCTAGCAGCATTATTTGTAATAACAAAAAACTGAAAATCACCTGCATGTTCACCATCAGGGAAATGGATAAGAGAAGTGTGATCTGTTTGTGCAGAAGGGAAAATGAGTGCCTTAGAACTAAATGTATTTATAGCGTATGATACTATTTAAGGATGAACAATGTGCAAAACAATGTCATATACTGTTTATGATATGGATGTAGTAAACGTATAAAAGCTTGCACAGGAATGATTAGCACCAAATTCAGGACACAGTTTTCCTGGTGGTGGGGTGGGGGTTGCTGGGAGGTGGGGAGAGGGAGAGGAATGAGACTGGGGAGTTCTGGCCACATTCTGATGTTTTATTTCTTAAGCTGGGTAGTGGGTACACAGAGGTTTGTTAAATTATTCATTGCATCTTTCGGAGTGTTTAAAATATTGTGTAATTGAAAAATAAAGGGATACGAAAAGATGAACTAACTAAACATTGACCAAAAGAAAGCCAGTGTAGGCCGGGCACGGTGGCTCATGCCTGTAATCCCAGCACTTTGGGAGGCCGAGGTGGGCAGATCACTTGAGGTCAGGCGTTCGAGACCAGCTGGCCTACATGGTGAAACCCCATCTTTACTAAAAATACGTAAAATTAGCTGGGTGTGCTGGTGCTGAGGTGGGAGAATCGCCTGAACCTGGGAGGCAGAGGTTGCAGTGAGCTGAGATCACGCCACTGCACTCCAGCCTGGGCGACAGAGCGAGACTCCGTCTCAAAAAACAAAACAAAACAAAAGAAAGCTCATGTATTAATATCAGCCAAAATAGAGGTGAAGGTAAAAAGAGGACGGATGAGAATAAAGAGGCATATTACATGATGAAAAGAGGACGCCTCCAGAAGGAAAACACTGCAGGGCATGAACTTGCAGGACCTAACAACCTGGCCTCAGAACATTGACCAAAAACAGGCAGAATTACAAGGAGAAATAAAAACTTTACCATCTTATAAGAGATTTATAACATGTCTCTGTCAAACTGCAGGATGAAACTGACAAAAGATTAGAAAGGATCTAAAAACATGAACCAGTTGTCACATACAGAACTGTACCCAACAGATAGTGAATAGAATATTCATTATTTGGGGCACTTGGAACATTTGCAGACTTTGACCATTTATTAGGTCACTCAGGAAACTTCAACAAGTATTAATTACTGTCCAGCTGGGCACAGTTCCTCACTCCTGTAATCCCAGCGCTTTGGGAGGCCGAAGTGGGCAGATCACCTGAGGTCAGGAATTCAAGACCAGCCTGGCGTGGTGAAACCAAAATGGCGAGACCCCGTATCTACTGAAAATACAAAATTTAGCCAGGTGTGGTGGTGGGTGCTACTGTACTCCAGCTTGGGTGACAGAGTGAGACTCCAACTAAAAAAAATAAAAAATAAAAAATGAATATTGCTGTCCTGCAGAGCACAACTTTGATATCATTTAGATAAGCAGGCACCGTTAATGAAAAGTCATTTAATATCTTTCCCATATTTGTAAGTTGAAGGATTTGGGAGTAAAGAGGAAATCAGAAATCACGATGGCCATTACAGAATATTTAGAACTGAACAGTATCAACACTTGTAAGAGGAATCCGAAACAACACTTAAAGAAAAACTTATAATCTTAATGCAGTTATCAGAAAAAAAAAAGGATAAAAAATAAACAAGTACTCTTAAAAAAAAAAGTGTCTTGCCCTGTCACCCAGGCTGGAGTGCATTAGTGTAATCATAGCTCACTGCAGCCTCGAACTGGGTTCAAGTGGTCCTCCCACCTCAGTCTCCCAAGTAGCTGGGGCCATAGGCACACACCACCATGCCCAGCTAATTTCTATTTTTTGTAGAGACGTGGTCTCACAATGTTGCCCAGGCTGGTCTCAAACTCAGTGGGCTCAAGCGATCCTCCCACCTCAGCCTCCCAAAGTGCTGGTAATGCAGGCATGAGCCACAGAGCCTGGCTTAACAAGTACTTATATGAAAAATCTAGAAGAAGGAATAATAAACCAAAGAAAAATTGAAAGCAGATGATGCTAAGAGTAGACATTTGTTGTACAGATCACTGAAACACCAAGATAACAAGCATGTTCATGAAGTAGATAATTGTACAGCGACTGATCAAGGGAAAAAAGCACAAACAAAAAATGTAACCCAAAAGGGAGTCGTAACTATAGGAAAATGAGATTTTTTTTTAATTCCAAAAGAATACTTTGGCAACTTTATGCCATGAGATTGGAAAGCGTAGATGAAACATGCTTTTTTTTTTTTTTTGAGATGGAGTCTCGCTCTGTCGCCCAGGCTGGAGTGCAGTGGTGCGATCTCGGCTCACTGCAAGCTCCGCCTCCCGGGTTCACGCCATTCTCCTGCCTCAGCCTCCCGAGTGGCTGGGACTACAGGCGCCCGCCACTACGCCCGGCTAATTTTTTGTATTTTTAGTAGAGACAGGGTTTCACCGTGTTAGCCAGGATGGTCTCGATCTCCTGACCTCGTGATCAGCCCGCCTTGGCCTCCCAAAGTGCTGGGATTACAGACATGAGCCACCGTGCCTGGCCAAAACATGCATTTTTATAGGAAGACATTAAGTGGATTAAATTAGCTCAAGAAGAAATTTTGAAAACCTGGACATTTCATAATTATAAAAGAAATTTAACAGACAGTCAAAGTTCTCTTCCTATCTTTCTGCCTCCTGCCTGGGGCCCAGTCATTATAAGGCGAGTTTCACCAAGCCTTTCAAGAAGAAATAATAACTATTTGACTCAAACAATTTCAGAGAAGGGATGAAATCATTTCATGAGGCTAGTACAACCTTGACACCAAAGCCATGCAAGGACAATTTAAGACAAAATGCAGACCAGAACGCAAGCTCCATGGGGCAGGGTCTTTGTTTTATCCACTGACCATCCTAAGCACCTGAATATCGCCCAACACGGCAGGTACGCTAATGTCTCCCCAGTGAAAGTAGATTCATTCAAATCTCATGGCATAAAGCTTCCATAATATTCTTCTGTAATTAAAAAAATCTCTTTTTCCTATGTTATGACCCCCCTTTCGTGTTACAATTTTTATTTGTGCTTTTTTTCCCTTGGTCAGTCTTGCTATACAATTATCTACTTCATGTGTCTCCTTAAAAATATGCTTTTTACAGTCTTGTTATTTTGGTGTTTTTTTATCTGCATCACAAATGTCTGCAAATAATCTAAAATCTATTAAAAAATCAAATCAGCTGCATATATTAAAAAAGAACCTAATAGCTAAACTGTGTTCATTCTAGTAATACAAGAAATACAAATAATACAGGAAATTGTCAGTATAATTCCTAATCTCTACAGGTTAAAAGAGAACATGTGTCATAGATGCAGAAAAGTGAAACATTGATAAAAATAAACTTTAATTCATGATAAAAAAAAGTCATACTAAGAATTGACAGGAGTTTAAAAAAATCTGGTAAAGAGTATCTACAAAAACCCTACAACCAGGATGGGTGATAGCTAATGGGTATGAGTTTCTTTTTTTGAAGGGATGAAAATGTTCTAAAATGGACTGTGATAATGGTGACACATATTTGTGAGTATACTAAAAACTATTGTATACACTTTAAATGGGCGAATTATATCCCAATAATGCTGTTATTTAAAAGAGACCATAGCAAGGATCATAGATAATAGTAAAAGATTAGAAGTATTGTTAAAAGGAAAATAAGGATGCCTACTATTCAAGCAGTCGAAGCTAATGTCGTAAGAAAAAAGAAAGAAGTAAAAAGACTGAAAAGGAATAGAAAAAAACTATTATTATTTGCAAATGTGATTATTTACTATAGAAAATCCTAGATAATATATTAGATATAATAAGAAAATTCATCAGTATTGCTGAACATAGGATAAATGTACAAAAATATAGCTTTTCTATATAATAAATAACATTATTCAATTAGAAAATTCAATTTAAAAGAAAGGTCTCATTCACAGTAGTAACAAAACTTCCAGGTACCCAGAAATAAATCTAACTAAAATTGTGCAAGACTTTTGTTGCAGTAATTATGAAATGTCATTCAAGGCCTTAAGGAGCTGTATGTGTGCAGAGAGATGTTTATAAGTAGGAAGCCTTAAAATGGTGAAGGTGTCAGTTCTCCCCAATTTAATTTATGAATCAACGCAATCCTGATCCAAATTCCAATGGGACTGTTCTTGGAATTCAGCATATTGATTATATGGAAGAGTAAAAGTCCAAGAAAAGACAATTCAGGAAGAAGAAATTTGTCCTACCATATATCATGACTTTTTATAAAGCTATGGTAATGAAAATAGTGTGGTATATGTAAAAATGAAATATCAAAAGAACAGACCAGAGAACCTGGAAACATTCCAAACATATATAGAAAGTTGGTTATATGAGAAAGATGTCATTGGAAATCAATGGAGGAAGGATGGACTATTCAAAAATTTGGGTCTGGGAAAATTGGCTTTCCGTATGAAAAAAATTGGATCATCATCTCCATGCATGCACAAAACTTCAGTTGGATTAGAAACCTAAATGTAAAAAATCAAACTTGAAAATGATTTAAAGATGATTTAAAGAGTAAGAGGCCAGGCATGGTGGCTCATGCCTATAATCCCAGTGCTTTGGGAGGCTGAGGTGGGAGTATCGCTTGAGGCTCTTAAGTTCAAGGTCAGCCTGGGCAACATAATGAAAGCCCATATCCAAAAAAAAAAAAAAAAAAAATAGCTGATGGTGCACCTCTGCAGTCCCAGCTACGTGGGAGACTGAGACAGGAGAATTACTTGAGGCCAGGAGTTTGAGGTTATAATGAGCTAGGATCGTGCCACTGCGGCCTGGGCAACAGAGCAAGACCCAGTCTTTAGAAGAAAAGAAAGAAAAAAATATATATTATGAAAATATCTTTATGATCTTGGATGGAGAGAAATTTCTTCTCTTTTCTTTTCTTTTCTTTTTTCTTTTCTTTTCTTTTCTTTTTTGAAATGGAATCTAGCTCTGTTGCCCAGGCTGGAGTGCAGTGGTGTGATCTTGGTTCACTGTAACCTCCGCCTCCCGGGTTCAAGCGATTTTTCTGCCTCAGCCTCCCGAATAGCTGGGATTACAGGCACCTGCCACCATGCCCAGCTAATTTTTGTATTTTTAGTAGACAGGGTTTCACTGTGTTGGCCAGGCTGGTCTTGAACTCCTGACCTTGTGATCCGTCCACCTTGGCCTCCAAAGTGCTGGGATTACAAACGTGAGCCACTGTGCCTGGCCCAAATTTCTTTTTTTTAATGGAGATGGGGTCTTGCGATTGTGCCACTGCACTCCAGCCTTGGCAATAGAGCAAGACCCCATCTCCAAATTTCTTTTTTTTTTAAATGGAGATGGGGTCTTGCTCTATTGCCAAGGCTGGAGTACAGTGGCATGATCATAGCTCACACAACTGGCTCAAGTGATCCTCCTGCCTCAGCCTTCTGAGTAGCTGGGACTACAGGTGCGCACTACCACACCTAGCTCATTAAAAAAATTTTTTTGTAGACAGGGTCTCACTATGTTGCCCAGGCTGGTCTCTATCTCCAAAGTGTTGGGATTACAGGTGTGAGCCACCACTCCTGGCCGTGTGTGTTTGTAGTGAAAATATCTTTATGACCTTGGATGGAGAGGAATTTCTTAAGATGCAAAAAGCAGAAAACATAAAGGAATAGACTGATAAGACTGATATTTAATTACATTAAACTTTTTTAATACAAAAATAAAAGCAAACAGGAGACTAAAGATATTTACAATAGATAATGCAAATAGAGTATTAGTATATACAAGAATACATAAGCAAGTCTCAAAAGTCAGTAAGAAAAAGATGAGTCATCAGAAATAGGAGCTGGGGGGTTGAAAGGCAGGGCACAGAAGAGATCTAAGGGCCCCTGGGCAGGAGAAATGATCAAACTCACGGGCTTGCCTTTTTTTTTTTTTTTTTTTTTTTTGTAGAAATGGGGTCCCACTATGTCGCCCAGGCTGGTGTCGAACTCCTGGGGTCAAGTGATCCTCCCACCTTGGCCTCCCAAAGCGCTAGGACTACAGACGTGAGCCACCACGCCTGGCCAGTGCTTTTAAGCCCTTTCACGTTTATCAGATTGGGAACTGTCAAAGGGCGTGACAGTGCCATGGGTGGTGTGAGGATGTGATGAAGAACCATCCTCTGCTGCTGGCGGGAATATGATTTGGGATAACCATTTTGGAAACATCTAGTGAAGTCGGCGAAGGTGTGCATAGCCTACATACCTGGCAGCTGCAGTTCTGGAGAAACTTCACATGTGCACAAGGGGACACGGCAGCAAAAACCCGGAAGCCACTAAAAGTACCTGTGAGAAGGAAAATAGGTAAATGGAAGGAAAACTGTGTGATGGTTTACACAAATAAGTAGATTTATATGTATCAACATGGAGAGCCGGGTGCAGTGGCTCACCCTGGTAATCTCAGCACTGCAGGAGGCTGAGGGGGGGCTGATTGCTTGAGCCCAGGGGTTCAAGACCAGCCTGGGCAACATGGCAAAACCCCATCTCTACTAAAAAATACAAAAAATTAGCTGGGCATGGTGGCACCTGCCTGTGGACCCAGTTACTCAGGAGGCTGAGGTGTGAGGATTGATTGGGCCCAGAAAGCAGAAGTTGCAGTGGGCCAAGATCACACCACTGCACTCCGGCCTGGGAAACAGAACAAGACCCTGTCTCAAAAAAAAAAAAAAAAAAAATGGAGAAACCTCAAAGCTGTATTGTTGAATGAAAACAGCAAGTTGAAGAATGATGTGTAGTCTGGTACCTTCCTGTGCATGTTTAGCACGTATGCAGTATTCTGTTTATACATACGTGTATGTGTGTGATGTGTAGTGGAACCCTAAAGACTTGGATCCATTCATCCAACAAGGGACTACTATCCACAATATACAAGGAACTCAAACAACTCAACAGCAAAAAAAACAAATAATCACATTTAAAAGTGGGCAAAGGCTCTGAATAGACATTTCTCAAAAGAAGACATACAAATGGCCAACAGATGTATGAAAAAATACTCAACATCACTAATCATCAGGCGAAGACAAATCCAAACCACAGTGAGGTATCGTCTCACCCATTTGGGATGGCTATTATCAAAGACAAAATTAACAAATGCTGGCAAGGATATAGAGAGAAGGGAACTCTCTCACACTGTTGATGGGAATGTAAATTAGTCCAGCCACTCTGGGAAACAGTATGGAGGCTCCTTAAGAGGAGCCATACCACAAAAATCCCACTGCTGGGTGTTTATCCAAAGGAAAGGAAGTTGGAACATGAAGTGCTGCCTGCCTCCTCATGCTCATGGCAGCACTATTCACAGTAGCAAAGATAAGGGATCAGCCTAAGTGCTTGTCAACGGATGAAAGGATACAGAAAATATGGTGTATATATAACAGAACACTATTCAGCCACAAAAAGAATGAAATCCTGTCATTTGCAGCAACATGGATGGAAGTGGATGTCATTAAGTTAAGTGAAATAAGCCAGGCACAGAAAGAGAAACTTCACATGTTCTCACTCAGATGTGAGAGCAAAAAAGCTGATCTGGAGGTAGAGGTTAGAATGATGGCTACCAGAAGGTGGGAAGGCTGTAGGAAGAGGGGATGAAAAGAGGGTGGTTAAGGGGTACAAACACAGTTAGATAGAAGGAGCGAGTTCCTAGTGTTTGATAGCATGGTAGGGTGACTATAACTAACAACAATATATTGTCTATTTCAAAATAATCAGAAGAAAAGGTTTGAGATGTTCCCAACACAATGCTAAATGTTTGAGGTGATGGATATCCGAATACCCTATTTGATCATTGCGCATTGTATGCATGTATCAAAATACCACAAGTACCCTAAAATATGTACAAATACTATGTATCGATAAAAAGAATTAAAAAACGGCAGGGTGTGGCGGCTCACGCCTGTAATCCCAGCACTTTGGGAGGCCGAGGTGGGCGGATCACGAGGTCAGGAGATGGAGACCATCCTGGCTAATGCGGTGAAACCCCGTCTCTACTAAAAATACAAAAAATTAGCCGGGTGAGGTGGTGGGTGCCTGTAGTCCCAGCTACTTGGGAGGCTGAGGCAGGAGAATGGCGTGAACCTGGGAGACGGAGCTTGCAGTGAGCCGAGATTGCACCACTGCACTCCAGCCTGGATGACAGAGTAAGACTCCATGTCAAAAAAAAAAAAAAAAAAAGAAATTTAAAAACCCCCACAAATAAATAGAAAGTGAAAAAAGAAAAAAGACTTGGATCTGTGTCAGATCCCTGGTTGGAGTTGGTCACGGGGAGGGGGACCATTGCACATGGGGCAAAATTTCCATTTTGGGTGGGGGACACATGAGTGTTTATTATTTTATTTTCTTGTATGTTTCCAAAAATTAAAGTAGAAAAGAGACATGGCTACTAGGACAAGGGTTGCATTTAGCCAGGCTGTGAGGCTAGACCCACCAAGTGGAGTGGCAGGAACTGAGAGCATAAGGCTCTGCTTCTGCTGGGTGGCCGTGTGCAGCCCAGTCCCCTGTGAACCTCGGCTTCCTTGACTGCAGTGACGTGGATGGCGCTGTTTCGTCTCTCCATGCCTGATCTCACTGCTGCCCTCCTCGCCTCTGCCCACCTCCTTCTCCTGTTGGGAGCTCCCTTTTCATTTCTGGCTGAAAACCTAGAGTATGTTAGTCTTTTAAGACCCAGTTCTGCAGCCATGTCCTTCTGGAAGCTTTTCTGGAGGACCCTGGGATGCCCAGACCTTCGGAGACAGCATCATCTAAAGACCTGGATGTGCATGTGTGGACGTGGCAGTGCGCGTGGACGTGGCGGTGCACATGCACTCATGTGGGTGGGGGTGCGTGTGTGTGGGGAAGGCGGCCATGGGGGCTTGCCCTGTGTTCTCTCCATCCTGGCAGATCCTGACGGGAGAGGACTGGAATGCAGTGATGTATCACGGGATCGAATCGCAAGGCGGCGTCAGCAAAGGCATGTTCTCGTCCTTTTACTTCATTGTCCTGACACTGTTCGGAAACTGTATCCTTCTGTGGGGCTGGGGCAGAGGGTGGTCAGTGCTTGGCCCTCCTCTTCTCCATGGCCACCACGCGGATCCCTCCAGGAGGACTAGGGGCCGTGGACGTGAGAGGTGCATTCTCAGAGCTGAGTGCAGATGGAGAACATTCTGCAGGTGGCCGGAGCGCAGGGCTCTGGAGGCTTTGGGACTC
This sequence comes from Homo sapiens, assembly GCF_000001405.40. Classification (NCBI taxonomy): domain Eukaryota; kingdom Metazoa; phylum Chordata; class Mammalia; order Primates; family Hominidae; genus Homo; species Homo sapiens. The sequence continues at coordinate 138,007,073 of NC_000009.12, forward strand.
AGCTTGAGGGAGCATGAGCTGCTGCGTGTGGGGGTATCCAGAGGTGGGGGTGGGTGCGGCCAGCAGCAGGCCCAGGACAGACTCTGAGCAGCAGTCGGGGAGCCTCACACTCTGGGCAGGTGGGTTTTTGTTTTCACTTTGATTTAATTGTGTACTTAGGTTTTGGCACTGGGCTTTAAAAAGGAGCCCTTCCCCCTGCTGATACCATCCCCTTTGCAGAGAAATGTAAGGAAAGGTTTTCTGTGGAGGATGTCAGTTGGGCTGTTTCAGGACCTTGAGTCAGAGGGTGAGTCTGTGGGGTCAGAGCGAGCCCAGCCGCCGGTGGTGAGCTCTGCCCTAGCAAGGGACCATGATAGGGACAGGGCTGTGGCCAAGGAAGATCTGGAGGGAGAACTACAGCATTCGTGGTATAGGCAAGGGTGAGGGCTATGACAGGCAGTGTGAGTGGGTCCCCCTGTAGCTGGGGTGGGAAGTTCAGGCCTAGAAGTGTCTTTGGTTCTCAAACTCATCTGGGCATCACAGTCCCCTGAGGGATGGTAAGCCTGGATTCCAGCCCTAGCCCAGGGTGTCAGAGGCAGTGGGGCTGGGCTGGGGCCTGAGAATGTGCATTCTCACAGGCTGCAGGGGGAGCCCGTGTTTCTGTTCTGGGGACCCCACTTTGAGAACTGCTGTGACAGAACACCCCACAGGGCCCCGAGGAGCTGGAGACAATGTCTCACAGTCGACCTCCCGGCTCTGCTTCTACCCCGAACTTCTCACACACGATGGCCACTCCACCCCGTCTGTCTGTCCTCGTCTCTGCCTCACTGGTGCCGGTGCCCTCAGTGCCCTTGCAGACTTCACCTTCTTTCCTGTCTCCATCTCCCTGGCTCCTCATTCCTTGCTCCACCTCTCCTAGGCTGGCCCAGCAGGGGCTCCCTCTCTCAGTCTTGTTAGTCACGGGGTGGTCCTTAGGCTGCAGCTCAGGGCCTGGTCCCCAGAGTGGGGGATCCAGCCTTCCTGGGAAGTTGAGTGTGTGTGAGCCTAGGAGGGGCTCCAGAGAGCCTGAGGGGGCAGTGTCTGCTTTGGAGATGGGTGGCCCTGGGGCTGGCACCGGAGGCACCAAAGAAAGGCAGCCCCGGTTGTCAGAGAGGGACGGAAGCCTCAGACAGGACAGCGGTGTCCAGAAGGAGGTGCCTCTGCCTCAAGACAGAGCAGTGGCCAGTGGTTCACCACAGCTGAGTCTGACCCTGACACTGAGGCCAGGCATGCTGGCCACGAGCGTCCCCCTCCCTGTCCACTCAGCGTTAGTCCTGCTGGATCCCAAGGGGCATGGCCCTTGGTCCTGCTTTCTGGGCATGGAAAGGCCTCTGAGGTGTCAGTGGCTGTGGCTGGTGCCTGGAGGTGTCAGCCTGGCCTCAGTGTCCTGCCCTGTGGGCTCTGCTGGAGCTCTGCGTGGACTCACCTGTGAGGCTCTGGCCTGGGGTATGCGCTCCCTTGACCCCCAGGGAGGGGGCACCTGTCCAGCCAGAGAGGGACCTGACCTGCCAGGGTCACTGCTGTTGGCCTCATACAGAGCCAGCTGCTATTCGGCCTGGCAGAGGCCAGTACCACAGGGAGAGTGGCTGTAGCCTGGGCAGGGGTGAGTCGCAGGCCTGTGGTGAAACGGGCTGGATCACGTGGAGTGCAAGGTTCTAACGGGGGCAGCTTCCTCTCCCTACAGATGCTGTGGTGCATTTGGCAGCTTCTGAGTCACTTTTGGTTGTCAGCACTGATGGGGAGGGGCTGATGGCCTCAAGTGGACGGAGACCAAGGGTGCTGCCTGCCGTCCCATAGAGGATTGCCCAGCCCCAAATGCCAGCAGGGCCTGGGCTGAGAAACCTGGAGTGATAAAATGGCCAGGAGGGCACCCCCAATGGCCAGGGTCTGGAGGGGCAGACCCAAGTCACAGTCGGGGTCCTGACTATGTTTGTGGTGGTTCTGGGAAACTGTGCAGGGGCAGGGAGGTGAGAGTTCAGGAAAAGGCTGCTTCCAGTGATGGGTGAAGAGTTCCTTTTGCAAAGAAAAACACCGTGATGGGACAAGGACCTGGTCCCGCGAGCTTTGAGAAGGAGGCCGCACACCCCAGGCGGTGCCTGTGCCGGTACCTGTGGCAGGTGCTTCCCTTTGGGCCTTGGTTTCTTCATTTCTAAAAGGTGGGGCAGCACCTCACACTGGGTCCTGGGAGGTCAGTTGAGGCAAGGTGCAGTCCCAGGAACCAGATCATGCCATCTGCCGTCTCCACGGCCTGACGTGAGTCCTGCAATCTACGGAGCGGATGCCGCAAAGAAGAGGCCCCAGGACACCATGCGGGAAAAGGAAATGGAAAGGAGGGGAAGGTAGCACTAGGTGGCATCTGTGGGCCTAGGACTTGGGGCCCAGCATGTGCTGGCCACAGGTGGGTTTGCAAGCTCGTGGTTTGTCTGAGGTGGTCTCTGCTCACAGGACCCAGAAGGCAGTGGAGCCCCACCTGGAGCCTGTGGAGTAGGAGCTGTTTGTGGGGAGGCTTCTTGTGCTGGCCGGGGCTTGGGGAGTTGGGAGCACAGCAGGCAGACCATGGGCCCTCGTTAGGAGGCAGAGGCAGATGGCTCCAGCACAGCCTCTGAGCTTTGCTCCTGCACAGTCAGCCCGAAAGAGCTGGGTTGGGGGAAGAGGCTCAGGTGGGCATTAGGGGAGGCTGGGTGATGGGAGGCTGAGCAAAGGAGGGATTGGCAGAGAGGCTGGAGGTGAGGATGGAACAGGGGGCTGGAGGGCCTAGTGGCTGGGCTGGAGTGTGTCTGGGGATGGGGCCTTGGGGAGCTGGTAGGTGCCAAGGGAAGGAGGCTGGAGGCTGGTTGGGATCTGGGGAGATGGGGGAAGCTGCAGTGTGACTGGGGCCATGTGGGGCAGAGGTTCCCTTCCTCAGCTGGACCCAACCAGACACTCTGCTGAATGTCTTTCTGGCCATCGCTGTGGACAACCTGGCCAACGCCCAAGAGCTGACCAAGGTAGGTGGCGACAGGGAGGGACCGGTGTCAGCCCATGTCACTTGAATGTGGCCGCAGCCAGGAAGAGTCTGGGTCCTGGGTTAGGGCCTCGTGTCCAGGAGCGTTGCCTTGGGTCCTGGCGGGCAGAGGCTGGTCTGTCACTCAGGGGCTGGAGGCTGGAGCTGAGGATGCAGGGAGAGCCAAAGCCCCGAAGGCAGATGGACAGGCAGGCTCTCAGGGAAGCCAGCACAGGGAAGAATGGCCTGAACGGCAGGGTGTGCTGGGAGCAGGAGGGGCCTGAGCAGGAGGAGCAGCTGGTGGCCCTATCCCAGCACAGCTGTGCCACAGTGGGACAGCTGCTGCTTCAGGCAGTGCTCAGCGGGTGCCATTTTAATATTCATCTCATCCCTGAGCCTGGTGGGGGATGCAATTGTACATGTCTCCCTCTGTGATATCCCTCCGGATGACACAGTCCCCTCCTGGTCATGCTCTCCCCAGCCCTGGACACTTGTAGTGTGGCCACCTGCCATCTCAGTCGCAGGCTTGTGTGTTGACTCAAGCCCTAGCTCCTAGTAGAGGTGGTGCTGCCTTCTGGTTTGGTGTGAACCACGCTGCAAACGTCCCACGTGCATGCTCTGCACATCAGTGTGTACCTGTGTGTCACCATGTATGTGTCACTGTGTGCCCTCTTCTGCCTGTGCACCATCCCTGGACAGGTGTCTGCATGCACCTGTGCATGTCTAGGGGTCTGACACAGTTCTGTCACTCCAGTCCAGTGTCTCTCCATGCCTTCCCTGTTCCGGGGCTGAGAGAGGCAGGTTCAGGATTTCTGTCCATGGGCAGCAGAGATGCAGGTGTGCCACAGAGCTTCTCCAAGAGTGAGTGCTGTGCAGGTGCCCCTGCTCCCCCCAGCCGAGCTCTCCAGGAGGGGGGTGTGGTCCATGCGGTGTGCCAGCTGCAGCCTGAGCCTCCCTTTGCTTCTGCTCAGCCTTCTTACTCCCACGCCTCCAGACCTGGGCCATGGCCATGCCTATGCCTAGGGGCCCGGATTCCTCCCTGGCGCTCTGGTTTCTGGCTTCTCTCTGTTCCTGTCTTCAGCTGGGCCGCTTGGGTTGGGGGAGCCCAAGCCCCCACAGAGCTCTCCTTGGTGCCGGGGTTGCCTTGGAGCCCGGGGCCCTAGCTGTCCTGGGTGGGCTGCACTGGAGCGCTGGGGCCCCACTGTCTCTTTAAGTTCTGTCATGAAGGAAGATGCATGGAGGAAGCCATGTCCTTGGGGCCCTGTGTCCACATACATGTACCCTCATTGGTGGCCCCCCTTTTGTGTAACTGGCCTCATTTAGGAATTTCTTCTCTGAGGATCGGGGCCACTGGGGGCCTGTCTGTGTCTGGCTGTGGGCATTTTTCTGGGCTGACCAAGAGCCGCAAAGTTTATGACTCGACCATCCCCTTCCCTTATATTCCCATAATATTCCCACAAAAGCATTACAGCACTATGTACCTTTTGAAGCGAGGATAAACTTGAATTTGTTTTAGACCTTCCAGGGGACTTTAGAACACTCCCTGGAGTGACTGGCAAAGTCCCTGCCCCAGAGGGTGGGAAGCTGGATGCAGCCGGATCTGCGAGGAGGGACCTGGGTGTGGGTGTTTCACGCTGGGTCTGGCTTTGCCTCCTCTCTGGGCTTGAAGTTCGAAGGTCTCTCCTCTGTGGAGGGAAATTCGCAGGCAGCTAACAAGGGACTTAGTTTCTGCCAGCGTTGCGCCCCGAATGCAGATTCAAGGACATTTTAGGGAACACTGGGAATGCTGGCTCCCAGGGGAGCCAGGTGGGTCTGGGCTTCAGGATTTTGAGGAAACAGTGGTGGCCCCAGCAGTCCAGATGGACAACGTGGAAGTCGTAGCTTCCATTCTGAGGCCTGTGGTCTCAGCCGAGAACTATTGATCCGGAACCCAGGTGCCGAGCATGTTGGTCTTGTTTAGTGACTTAGGGTCAGGGCCAGAGGGGGCAGAGGAAACTGCACCTGCCTGCACATGTGCACATGCCCAGCCCTGAGGGCAGGAGCCATGTGAAGTTCAGGGCCAGGCACTGCAAGTGGTCACCCAGGAGTGGGGGAGACAGGGAGAGGCTTCTGACAGCCACAGCTGGGGAAATGGGGACAGACATGGTCTGCTGGCTCCAGGCAGAAAAGCTCAAAGATGGTGCGTGGCCCCACTGGACACCCTCCTGGTGGCAGTGCTTGTGGGCAGTGCTGGGTCAGGACTTAGCCACAGGTGCAGAGCCTCTTGCCCTTGCTCTTGGCTTTGTTAAAGTGTGACAGATGCTCCTGGGGGGACAGGTGGGACAAAAGGAGGGACAGATTTGCATTTCAGTGGGCAAGTTTGAGGTGCCATGGTACAGACAAGCTGAAGGCCAGGCATGGTAGCTAACACCTGTACTCCCAGCACTTTGGGAGGCCGAGGTGGGAGGATCACTTGAGCCTAGGAATTCAAGAAAAATTAAATTAAAAAAATTTAGCCAGTCGTGATGACACGTGCTTGGAGTCCCAGCTGCATGGGAGGCTGAGGTTAGAGGATCACTTAAGCCTGGGAGGTCGAGGCTGCAGTGAGCTGAGATTGAGCCACTGCCCTCCAGCTTGGGTGACAGAGCGAGACCCTGTCTCTAAAAAAAAAAAAAACAAATAACAAAAAACAAAACAAACAAATGGAAATATCCAGGCAGTGGCTGGGTACCTGGGTTAGAGCTCAGAGTAAGGTCAGGATAGCACAGAGGTGAGGCCGTCGCCTCCAGGGAGACGGCACAAGCAAGAGGGCACTGAGGAAGGAATCCTAGTGACCATTACCTTTGAGTCACAGACACAGAAGGGAAGGCCCTGGAGAGCACCAGAGACAGCTCCTGTGGAACAGGTCGTGGGGGGCCACATTCACTCAGGGGTTGGCTGCCTGTCTCCACTGGATAGAGAGCAGCACTGTGTATTTTTTGAGGCCCCTGGAGGAAGAGCTGATGTTATATATAGCCAGTGTTAGAGTGGCTATAACACTGTGAGGGGAACTGGACATTTCTCTTTGCTCAAACAGGATGAAGAGGAGATGGAAGAAGCAGCCAATCAGAAGCTTGCTCTGCAAAAGGCCAAAGAAGTGGCTGAAGTCAGCCCCATGTCTGCCGCGAACATCTCCATCGCCGCGTAAGGCTCCTAGGAGTGGATTGTGGGGTGGCAGTGGGGCTGCTGCAGGGTCCCATGGCTGGGCCCTCCCCAGGGCACCCCTTCCAGAGGCTTCCTCAGAGGGCCTCTGGCCTTGGCGGGTGAGGACACAGCCCCTCCTCGGAACTGGGATGAGAGCCTGGGGGCTCCAGGGCTTTTTCTCAGTATGAGCAGGGCCAGGGTGTGGCCAGGCACAGCCCTCACATTGTGGCTGGGATTGTCTCTGCTGTGATATTCACTCCCTGGATAGCCTCAGGGTGGCTCCAGGCCCCTCCCCAGGCAACTGTGAATCAGTTGGGGGAGGGAGTCAGTAAGTTGCTTTTATGCACAGCTTTTCAGAAATTTATTTTATGAGCCAAGAGATTCTAGGTGATACCTGAGCAGTCTGAGAGACTTACTGCAGTTTCCAAAAATGTCTCTGCAAGTGTTTGGTACTGGGACAGATGTTAGAGGAAGTTATTCTGGCGAAAACTGCGTATTCCATAGAACCATATTTGGAGGTGTTAGGGGCTTTAGAGTTTGGGCAAAGTGTCCAGCCCAGGGCCAAAGGCTGCACTGAGCCGAGCTGTGGGGAGGTCAGTCCCTGGGAAGGGAGGCAGGAAAGTCTGGCCCATGGCCTGGTCACAGGGTGGGCCACAAGAGTGCAGAGATGCCCTTACTGGGAGCTTGTTCTCTAGGCCCAGCTGAATTTAGCTCTGGAGCCACTAGCTCCGTCTGGCTGCATGCCCACCCCCCACACCTCCCATTCCCCATGCTGATGGGCGGGCCCCAGCTCTTCAGCCGGCCACCCGCCCTGCCGTGAACACGGAACACAGGGCCGGGTGCAGCCACAGGTGCATCTGTAGTGACGTGTGTCTGCACTTCTGTGTAAGCATGTTGGCATGTGGATGAGTGTGCTAGGTATGTGTGTGTGATGTGTGTCTGCACTGCTGGGTAAGCATGCTGGCATGTGGATGAGTGTGCTAGGTGTGTGTGTGTGCACTTGAGAGTTGCACAGTGAGCATGTGTGTGAGTGCATGTGCTGAGTGTGTGCACCCCCATACCAGCCCTGATCCTGCCTGGAGGGCACCAGGAAGATGGTGTTTGCGGAGGGCCTGTCTCTAAGCCTAGCAGAAAGTGCTGGTCTTTGGGGCAGAAGCAGCTAGAAGAGGCTGCAGCCCGCCGGGGACTCAGGCAGGGATGGGAGGGGCCTGCAGGGGAACTTGGCAGCTGTGGACACGGTGGCCATCACGCAGAAGACTGCTGGGGGCTCAGTCCTCAGTTGTTTAATTTCGATCTTTCATTGTCTTGGCCAATTCGGTTATTTGGTTCATTAGTTATTTAGTCCACTTAGTTTGGTTACTTGGTCCAGGGGTTTGCTACCAGGGCTCTGTGAGCTCTGCAGGTGGGTGGTCTGCAGTAGATGGGGCGAGTGGTGTGTTCAGCTCCTGGCCTCGCGCAGGCCTCGTGTTGTTCTCCTGAAGACTTGCCTTCTCTGCTGTTCCTGGAGGCGAGCACTTGTCCCTTGACCCCTGCTGCCTGCCGGCCCTGCCTCCTCCTGGGGGTATGGGAGGGTGTCCACTCCCATCTGGCCTGAGACCTTGCAGAAGAGGCTGCCAGGTCCCTGGCAGTCATGGAGCCTGAGTCAGGCTGCCTGAAAAGGAGGCTGGACACTCTTCCTTATCTGCTGCCCTGTCCTGGTTTGGAGACACTGCTATGCAGGAACAAGGCAGTAGACTGGCATCCTTGGGCACAGTGTACATCGACACCACCTGTTGGCCTGAGCACCATGCTGATTCCTACGCGAGGAAAGAGCTTCTTTTTTCCCGGGGGACCCCTAGGTGTTCTGCCTCACGGTGGGTCTGGAGCCAGGTGTCAGCTCCAGTGCCAGCATCCTCAACTCAAGCAGGCTGCAGCCCTCACACGTGGCAAGGGGCAGCCGGCCCAAGCCAGCCCGAGGCGTCCAGGTGTCAGCCCCCATGGTCCCTGCCTGCGGTGCAGCTGTGGGCCCTCATCCTCTGTGGCATGTCCTCAGCCCACTGGTTTGGACATGACAGCCAGTCTGATTTCCGCCACAAGAGACCCTGCAGGAATCAACCTTGAGGGGTTTCCCTCAAGGAGGGCCCTGCACCTGGCGAGGCCTGGCCCTGCTGCTGCTGTTTGCGTGCCTGTGTTGTGCTGAGACCTCCGAGGGCTGAAAGCTGTCTGTCATCTGTCCTCGTCTGCTTCCTGTTCTCCTGGTGGGACGAGCAGCGCTGCCTCCTGCCCTGCTCTCATTTCCAGCACCTTGAGCTGCTGGGCTGTGCGAGAGCAGTGCCCTTGAGTACCCTTCACCCTTCTGCCCCCAACAGCTGTGCTGCGTGGCCTGCGGAGCGGGGCCAATGCCGGGCTTGGTGCCCTGGGTGCTGGGAGGACTTGGGGTGTCCTTGGTGTTTGAGAGGTTCTCAGTGATGCTCTGTTTGGCTTGACACAGACGGTGCCAGAACATGCCTCAGAAGGGCACCCTAGCGTGTCGCATGCAGTGCTGTGCGTATCCTGGGCCTCAGGTGACAGCTGCTTGAAGGGACACTAAGGTGGGCCTCAGGTGACACTGCTTAAAGGGACATGTCTTCCTGGTTCTCTGCTGGGTCAGCCTCATCCTCACATGAATTTCTGAACACTGGCAGCCTGCAGAGTCACACTGACACTCACACACACACACATACTCACAAATACATATAGGCAAGCACACACACAGGCACACAGACTCACATACACACTTATACACAAGTACACACAGACACACAGTCACAGAAGCACACACAGAATCATACACACAGACTCACACAGACACACACACACAGACCCACCCTCACAACACTCACAATCTCACACATTCAGTTATAATCATCCCACACTGTCAATCACATACACACATAATCTCACACATTCACACACAGTCTCACACACACAGTGTCACACTCACACACCCTCTCACACACATGCCTGTTTGAAGCCAGAGCCTGTGGGCAAGTAAGCTGGTTTGACTGCCCACAAAGGCACAGAGAGCTTGGCCTTGAGAAGGAGGGGCTGCAGCCCACCTGGCCCTCCCCTGGGAAGTTAATTGGAGGGAAATGGCTGTAAAGGGAGCTTTGGTTTCTTTCTGTTGGTTTTAGAAAAGCCTTTGAAAGTCACTTGGAAATGGCTGGAGCTGCATCCAAAAGGAAGGTGGGTTGGCGTGTGGCTTGATTTGCCCTGGAGGTGTCCTGGTGGCCCAGAGGCGCCTGGGTTGCAGCCTGGGGAGCCCTGGGGCTGGAACCAGAGTGGGGTCCAGGTGCTTGCCGGGAAGTCAGGTGGGTTCGGCAGCAGGGACCAGGCGGCATCTCCGGAAAGGGCACCCTCGCCTCCTTTGTTAGCCTACGCTGCCCCATCTCGAGGGCCGGGAGACGGTGCGGTCAGCCTCCCGCCGCAGGGTGCGGGGGCACCCTCGCCTCCTTTGTTAGTCTATGCTGCCCCATCTTGAGGGCCGGGAGACCGTGCAGTCAGCCTCCCGCCGCAGGGTGCAGGGGGCTGTTTGGAACTGCAGGAAAATCGGTGTTGGGTCTTCCCAGCCGCACTGCCTGTCCTGGGCAGTGTGTGCTGAGTGATGGATGGGCCCCCGAGCTAATGGCTTCTGTCTTCCAGGCATTACAGGGTTTGCTGTCTCACTTCAGTCTCACTTTTCTGCATGTGTGGAATTGGTTCTCAACTTCTCTTTCACCCTGAGGTCTCGGCTGGTGCCCGTCTGACGGACGCGTCTGCGGCCTCCTGTCCAGATGCACATGGCAGCCTGCGCCTACACTGGCGTGGCTCTCAGTGTCACTGGTTCTCTCAGAACTCTGTCTCTGGTTTTCTCACTTCTGTCTGTTCTGTTTTTTGCATGTGCAGTTTTGTAAAGCAAGCTCGAGGTACTGTATCTCGCAGCTCATCTGTCTCCAGCGTGAACTCACCGTGAGTCGCTCTGCTACGATATTCCATCCATGGCTTCATGATAACTACATGCAGACACCTTCCTTCCACTCCTAACTCTGCTATCTCACCGCAAGTCATTTGCTTCATGGGGCAGCTCCAGGCCGGGCTTCTGTGGCCTGAGCGGGGAATGGTGGGCTTGCTCCCTGATGTCCCCAAGTCCTGCCACGGGGTCAGACCCTCTGCGCTCAGCGCCTCCTCCTTTCCCTCCTGGTCTCTGTCTTTTTGTCTGCTGCCTGTTGTGTCCGCTCACTCCGGTGTCTCGAGTGTGTCTGCTTCTCCTGAGTGGACTGGGCGTCATGGGTTCAGGTCTCCTTGTGGTTCCCATGAGGTCAGGGCCCTGTGAGCAGGCACAGCAGAGAGTGCTCTTTAGGGGCTCACTGGGGACGTTTATGGGTCCTCCTAGGCCCCTTACTTGGGAGGGACTGTGTCTGTGATTCTCAGGAAGTCCTTGTTCTAGCAAGAGCAGAGAGCTGTTGTCCACTTGGGAAGCTCACAGTAGACCACCCAGGGCCCAAGGCAGAGACACGGAAACTCCAGGGTGGCCCTCCAGGGAGTGACTGGCTGGCATCCCCTCGGGCAGCTTCTCATGGGGAAGTGCTCATGGATGGCTGGTCCGCAGGGGCTTCCCCTGGAGGGCAAGGCCAGGCCCTGCAGGTGAGGGGTCCCTGAAGTGGTCAGGTGCAGTTAGGCCACCTGCCCTGATGGAAGTGGCCAGGTGCAGTTAGGCCACCTGCCCTGATGGAAGTGGCCAGGTGCAGTTAGGCCACCTGCCCTGATGGAAGTGGTCAGGTGCAGTTAGGCCACCTGCCCTGATGGAAGTGGCCAGGTGCAGTTAGGCCACCTGCCCTGATGGAAGTGGCCAGGTGCAGTTAGGCCACCTGCCCTGATGGAAGTGGCCAGGTGCAGTTAGGCCACCTGCCCTGATGGAAGTGGCCAGGTGCAGTTAGGCCACCTGCCCTGATGGAAGTGGCCAGGTGCAGTTAGGCCACCTGCCCTGATGGAAGTGGCCAGGTGCAGTTAGGCCACCTGCCCTGATGGAAGTGGCCAGGTGCAGTTAGGCCACCTGCCCTGATGGAAGTGGCCAGGTGCAGTTAGGCCACCTGCCCTGATGGAAGTGGCCAGGTGCAGTTAGGCCACCTGCCCTGATGGAAGTGGCCAGGTGCAGTTAGGCCACCTGCCCTGATGGAAGTGGCCAGGTGCAGTTAGGCCACCTGCCCTGATGGAAGTGGCCAGGTGCAGTTAGGCCACCTGCCCTGATGGAAGTGGCCAGGTGCAGTTAGGCCACCTGCCCTGATGGAAGTGGCCAGGTGCAGTTAGGCCACCTGCCCTGATGGAAGTGGCCAGGTGCAGTTAGGCCACCTGCCCTGATGGAAGTGGCCAGGTGCAGTTAGGCCACCTGCCCTGATGGAAGTGGCCAGGTGCAGTTAGGCCACCTGCCCTGATGGAAGTGGCCAGGTGCAGTTAGGCCACCTGCCCTGATGGAAGTGGCCAGGTGCAGTTAGGCCACCTGCCCTGATGGAAGTGGCCAGGTGCAGTTAGGCCACCTGCCCTGATGGAAGTGGCCAGGTGCAGTTAGGCCACCTGCCCTGATGGAAGTGGCCAGGTGCAGTTAGGCCACCTGCCCTGATGGAAGTGGCCAGGTGCAGTTAGGCCACCTGCCCTGATGGAAGTGGCCAGGTGCAGTTAGGCCACCTGCCCTGATGGAAGTGGCCAGGTGCAGTTAGGCCACCTGCCCTGATGGAAGTGGCCAGGTGCAGTTAGGCCACCTGCCCTGATGGAAGTGGCCAGGTGCAGTTAGGCCACCTGCCCTGATGGAAGTGGCCAGGTGCAGTTAGGCCACCTGCCCTGATGGAAGTGGCCAGGTGCAGTTAGGCCACCTGCCCTGATGGAAGTGGCCAGGTGCAGTTAGGCCACCTGCCCTGATGGAAGTGGCCAGGTGCAGTTAGGCCACCTGCCCTGATGGAAGTGGCCAGGTGCAGTTAGGCCACCTGCCCTGATGGAAGTGGCCAGGTGCAGTTAGGCCACCTGCCCTGATGGAAGTGGCCAGGTGCAGTTAGGCCACCTGCCCTGATGGAAGTGGCCAGGTGCAGTTAGGCCACCTGCCCTGATGGAAGTGGCCAGGTGCAGTTAGGCCACCTGCCCTGATGGAAGTGGCCAGGTGCAGTTAGGCCACCTGCCCTGATGGAAGTGGCCAGGTGCAGTTAGGCCACCTGCCCTGATGGAAGTGGCCAGGTGCAGTTAGGCCACCTGCCCTGATGGAAGTGGCCAGGTGCAGTTAGGCCACCTGCCCTGATGGAAGTGGCCAGGTGCAGTTAGGCCACCTGCCCTGATGGAAGTGGCCAGGTGCAGTTAGGCCACCTGCCCTGATGGAAGTGGCCAGGTGTCCTGTCCCTGTCCTAGTGGTGGTGAGGCCCCTGCCGCCCCCGCCCTGCCCAGTGCTTCCTTGCTGGCAGCCAGCATGGAGCTGGGCTCAGTCTTTCCACGAGCACTGTTTGCTGCTGGCTGTCAGAGGCACTGATGTCTCCTGGGGCAAGAAAGCATGCTGGATCCTGCATCCATCCGCGGGGTGGAATAAGATGTAAGATGCAGATGGTGGCCGGGCGCGCTGGCTCACACCTGTAATCTAGCACTTTGGGAGGCTGAGGTGGGCGGATTCCCTGAGCTCAGGAGTTCGAGACCAGCCTGGGCAACATGGTGAAACCCTGTCTCTACTAAATACAAAAAATTAGCCGTGAGTGGTGGCGGGCGCCTGTAGTCCCAGCTACTCGGTAGGCTGAGGCAGGAGAATTGCTTGAACCCGGGAGGCAGAGGTTGCAGTGAGCCGTGATCACACCACTGCACTCCAGCCTGGGCGACACAGCGAGACTCTGTCTCCCAAAAAAAAAAAAAAAAAAAAATGCAGATGGCAGGTATCCATGGTGTCACACCAGGGCTGCTTCATATTGTCAGCAGTTCCGGGTTGTCTGAGCCCAGAGACCTCAAAGCAGGGCCACAGAGCGCCTTGAGGCCACTTCCAAGTCCTGTAGTTCCCCACAGCACCCAGCTGAGCATGGCTGAGCCCTCCTCCCTGGAACAGCTGGGTTGTGCCTACCAGCTGAGGCCAGGACACAGGGGTGCCAGTCGTCCATGTGACTTCCTTAAAGAACCCTTTTAAACCAGGACTTTGCCTGGATTAATCACCAGCCACACTTCACTCTAAGTTGGTGTGGATATGTGCCAGATAGAGCAAGGACAGAGACAGGGGCCAGGGGAGGTGCAGGCTGACTTAAGACACCATGCAGAGAGGCCCGGCACGCAGATTCAGAGACCTAGGGGATACCTCCAGAGAGGAACTTGGTGGTGCTGGCCGAGTGAGGGCAGATGCAGACAGTCTCTGGTGACGTTAGGGCTGACAGTGGCAGATAGGCCCGGAAGGAACAGGCCAGGTGGAACCAGTGGGGCTGCGGGGGGCGGGCAGGTGCCCTAGCGTAGGCTGCTCAGCATGTTGCTCTGCCTGGGTGGTCACGGGGGAGCCTGCCAGCCTGACAGCGCCCTCAGCCCAGCAGACAGCCTGGCCTTTCCCTGCTCCAGGTGTTTCCTGGGCGAGAAGGAGCCACACCTGAATGCAAGGGTGAGGGCAGAGCTATATGGTCTGGAGCCCACCCCACCTTCACACAGACCCTGTGCCTCTGCATGTTCCCCATGGTCCTCACTGCCTGTCTTTTTGGAACTGCAATGCTGGTCCCCAAGATTCACGGCTTCATCAGAGCGGGCCACCCTGCTGACCAAGTGGCTCAGAGCCCAGGCCCCTCTCGGGCACTGGAGTGGACTGGGAGGCTTGAGGCAGTGAACAGCCTCCGCCCTCACAGGGCTCCTGTGCCTGGTGCAAGCCCCTGGGGCTGCCTTCTGTTTTACACCACTCAGCACTGTTGGCAGTAGAGCCCTTTTGTCTTGGTCCCAGCTGGGGTTGGTGGGTCTTCTGTGGGTCAGTTGTAGGGCACCCCTGGGAGCAGGGGCAGCACAGTTTAAATGCATCAGGGATACAGGTCAGGGCCTGGGGCTTCAACTGAGGCTGGGGGTCTGCAGACGGCCCCTACAGGTAGCCCTGCCTGCCCCCACCCCACCCAAGCTCCCAGGTGAGACACAGACACCACACTTCCGCTTTCATTCGTGCAAAGTGCTGCCCCTGGACATTGCTCCCACTGCAGCCTGGACTTCTACAAAGGGGCAGGATTTATTGTTCACCTGCCTGGGGTGGGCCGGCTGCAGGGACTGGGCTTTCCCACATCTGGCTGCTCTGTCTTTGCAGGTCAGAGTGGTGCTCAGCGGCTCAGGGCCCCGGAGCTGGTGGCCGCCGGCCTGGGCCTCTGCAGGCCGTGGTTGTAGCCTGTGTTGTTAGTGCAGTTGGGGTCTGGCCAAGGACTCGTGTCTTCTTTAGAAATGTTTTTCCTTTTTGCCCTTGCCTGTGTCTGATCCTGACTCACTGTGGGACCCTGAGCAAGTAACATCCTCTCTCTAGGCTCAGTATCTTCATCTGTGAAATGGGGACAAGAGTAGCACCTGATTCTTGAGGTGGTTGTAAGGACTGGATGAAGTGGGCACTGCGCCCAGAGCACCACGTGGCAGTTGCAGGACACAGATGCCATGGCCCTCATTGTTGGTGTAGTCACTGCTGCCGCCAAGGCCATCCAGCAGCCTTGGAGGCTCCAGGGCGGGCCTCTGGCCTCAGATGAGGTTTCTCCCTGGCGATGGTGGGGCTTAGTTTTGGGATAATAAGACCTTATCCAAAGGTGGTCTTACTCAGCAGAAGGCCCAGAATGCAAAGGGCTTCCTGTGCACTCTGGGCTATGGAGCCCCATGTGTGATGTGTGAATAGAGGAGGTGCTTGGGCCCATGACATTGGAGTAGGGGTCAAGGCCTTCGGTAGCCCATGCAGTGAGGGCCGAGCCTGGACCACTGGCCATCCCTGGTGCTGGAGGGCTCCGAGGACCATGTTCTGGCTCTGCTCCCAGTAGAGGGAGGGGCTCTCCATGGAGTCAAGAGAGAGGAGGGCATTGGTGGCCACGGGAGGTGGCATTTCCAGCTTCAGACCTGACTTCTGGGCTCCTGGTCACTGAGCCAGGGGGCAGCTGCGGGGCTGCGGCTGACCACCTCGGGGACTGGCAGAGGCTCTGCGTTTGCTCCTGAAAGGGCCAGGTGCTCCCTTGGCTGCTGTCTGCTCTGCCACAGCAACTGCCCTCTGGGTTCCCTGGCAAACAGCCTTTTCACCTGGCTGGTGGCCTGCCTCCTGGAGGCAGCGATGGGGAAGTGCCTCTGGAGAAGGGGCCGCGTGTCCCGCCCTTCCTGTAGCAGCTGTGCTGGTGCTGCAGCAGGGGCCAGCTCCCAGGGAGGCTACAGGGCCTCCCTGGCTCCTGCCTCTCCATCCGTCCTGCCCTTTGTAACATGCCCTTCCCTCCCGCGGTGGCCTTCCTGGCCAGCCGCCCACCCACCTGCTTGGCCTGTCTGGTGCATTCCCACTGTCCTGTACCCCTCGGCCTCCTTGAGCCCCCCAGGGTCCTCCTGACAGGCTGGTGCTTTCACCTTGCGGGTCCTGTGGGACACCGTGGGGGGGGGGGGCGGCGGGGCTGAATTCGGTTCCCTTGGGCGTTCCCCACCTGATCCGCGTCCCCCGAGGGGTGTGGGGGCTCCCGCGGCCACGCCTCCCACCTCCCTGCGCCATTACTCCATTGCTGTGTGTGCATTGTGGCCTCCCTGGAGAGCGGCGGGCGGGCGGCAGACGGGGCCGCGCTCACCGCCAGTCTCCCCGCAGCAGGCAGCAGAACTCGGCCAAGGCGCGCTCGGTGTGGGAGCAGCGGGCCAGCCAGCTACGGCTGCAGAACCTGCGGGCCAGCTGCGAGGCGCTGTACAGCGAGATGGACCCCGAGGAGCGGCTGCGCTTCGCCACTACGCGCCACCTGCGGCCCGACATGAAGACGCACCTGGACCGGCCGCTGGTGGTGGAGCTGGGCCGCGACGGCGCGCGGGGGCCCGTGGGAGGCAAAGCCCGACCTGAGGCTGCGGAGGCCCCCGAGGGCGTCGACCCTCCGCGCAGGCACCACCGGCACCGCGACAAGGACAAGACCCCCGCGGCGGGGGACCAGGACCGAGCAGAGGCCCCGAAGGCGGAGAGCGGGGAGCCCGGTGCCCGGGAGGAGCGGCCGCGGCCGCACCGCAGCCACAGCAAGGAGGCCGCGGGGCCCCCGGAGGCGCGGAGCGAGCGCGGCCGAGGCCCAGGCCCCGAGGGCGGCCGGCGGCACCACCGGCGCGGCTCCCCGGAGGAGGCGGCCGAGCGGGAGCCCCGACGCCACCGCGCGCACCGGCACCAGGATCCGAGCAAGGAGTGCGCCGGCGCCAAGGGCGAGCGGCGCGCGCGGCACCGCGGCGGCCCCCGAGCGGGGCCCCGGGAGGCGGAGAGCGGGGAGGAGCCGGCGCGGCGGCACCGGGCCCGGCACAAGGCGCAGCCTGCTCACGAGGCTGTGGAGAAGGAGACC
Source organism: Homo sapiens (assembly GCF_000001405.40). Lineage (NCBI taxonomy): Eukaryota > Metazoa > Chordata > Mammalia > Primates > Hominidae > Homo > Homo sapiens. Next base: position 138,023,732 of record NC_000009.12, read on the forward strand.
ACGGAGAAGGAGGCCACGGAGAAGGAGGCTGAGATAGTGGAAGCCGACAAGGAAAAGGAGCTCCGGAACCACCAGCCCCGGTGAGTCCGCGGCTGGGCGGGGTCAGGGAGGGAAGGGTTGGCCGGGGCGGCGCGGGCCCCAGCGGTGGCTGCGGCCATGGGGTCCACGGCGGAGGCTGCAGCCCCGGCCACGCTGCCATGTCCAGAGCCGTCGGGGCTGGGGTCTCTGCATGCCGTTCACGTGGGGTGGTGACAATCCTGCCTTGCAGGGTTGACCTGTAAAAGGCTTGGCAGGGCGTGTATGCTCCGTAAAAGGCTTGGCAGAGTGTTTGTGCTCCGTGAATGCCAGCCGTTATTTAAGAAGGGAGGGCTTAAGGGGGAATTGTTGCGACTGGCTTGGAAAGAACAAAGTGGCCCTGGGAGAAGAGAAAGTTGGGGATTGCAGTGGAGGAAGGAGAGGCAGAAGGGCCCAAGGGAAGCCTGAGCAGGCCAGTGGGCTGGGCGCAGAGCGGGGTGTGGGGGCCAGGCTGTGTGACCATGACAGAAAGAACCCCAGCTAGCCCAGCTTGCTCCCTGGGGCAGGACTCACCAACCCCGTGAGGGCCTGGGGTAACAGTGGTCCAGTGGCCAAGACCAGCAGTCGCCAGGTACCCACTGGCCACAAACCAACCAGAATACTTGCCGCTGGAGGCCCCAGCCCAGGGTCAACCCAGCCGCCGCCCTGTCTTTGTGTGTGGGTGGGTCAGCCCCATCCCTGCCTTTCGGACTAAAGACACGGAGGTGTATAGAGTAATTTAAAAAACGTACAGAAGGCCAGAGTAGCAGAGCAGGTGGTTATGGATTTAGTTGGTCTGCATGGAGGCTTAAGGGTTTTGGTTGATAGGATTTTGCTGATGTGCATTATTATTATTATTATTGGAGACAGGACCGCACTGTCGCCCAGGGTGGAGTGCAGTGGCGCAATCATGGCTCACTGCAGCCTCAACTTCCCGGGCTGAAGCGATCCTCCCACCTCAGCCTTCCCAGCCTGAATAGCTGGGACTACATGCACGTGTCACCACGCCCAGCTAATTTTTTAATTTTTGTAGAGATGGGGTTTCGCCATATTCCCCAGGCTGGTCTTGAACTCCTGGGCTCAAGTGATCCTCCTGCCTCTGCCTCCCGGTGCCGGGATCACAGGTGTGAGCCACTGCGCCGAGGCCTGATGTACATTCTTGATTGCAGGGAGCCACACTGTGACCTGGAGACCAGTGGGACTGTGACTGTGGGTCCCATGCACACACTGCCCAGCACCTGTCTCCAGAAGGTGGAGGAACAGCCAGAGGATGCAGACAATCAGCGGAACGTCACTCGCATGGGCAGTCAGCCCCCAGACCCGAACACTATTGTACATATCCCAGTGATGCTGACGGGCCCTCTTGGGGAAGCCACGGTCGTTCCCAGTGAGTATCTCCCTGTGCCAGTGGGGCAGGGCCCATCTTGTGCAGGTCCAGCAACCCCCATTCCCTCCTGCTCCACAGCAGCCACTGGGGACCCAGCCTACCTCTGTGAATTGTTCTCCTGGCTGGAGAGAGAGTCCTTTGCTGTCAACATCTGTCCCTTGATGTCCTGTTGATTTCTAGTGCCCCAGAGATAACTGAGGTTGAGCTCCATTCTCCTTCCTTCCCAAAATATTTGCACGTTGCCAACTAAGTGCCAGGTGCTGTGTTAGAGTGCTGAGAGCATAGTAGGAGGGAGACAGTCTTGTCAGGAAGACAGACCACAAAACAGGCACAACTCTTGATGGTTGCACAAAAGCTGCTGGCTGAGGACTCTGTCCACGGCCTTGACTGGGGCTGAGAGCGAGGGGCTGCAGAGGAGGAGGCTCTCCACTGCGTCTGCCCATTTGTTCATGGGCCTGTGCCATCCCTGCTCTGAGGCTGTGCTCCCAGGCCTTTATTTGAGCTGCCTTCTTTCCTCCCCTTGCTCACTCACATGCTCGGAACAGCCTTTCCATGCCTGCCTGTGTGCAGTCCCTGAGGGCACAGGGGACCAAGATGTCATTCCTGTCTTGAAACCTGTCTAATAGGGAGAGATCTGCTGGTTACAAATACAGGCCCCTTACGTGGTGGGGAAGGTGCATGGGCGTTTCATGGGCATCAAGGAGGAGCCCTCCTTTCTTAAGTACAGAGAAAAAAGGGGTAGAAGAGAGGCCATAGAAACAGGACTCACATGAATGCCAGCAGAAGCATTTAGGTCTTAAGCAGACCAGACGGACTCAATCAGGTGCCACCACATGCATGCCCATGTTTGCAGACGGATCTCCACACACAGATGTGTGCATGTCCGTGTTTGCAGATGCATCCGCACACACAGACGTGTGCGTGCCCATGTTTGCAGACAGATCTCCAGACACACACATGTGCATGACATTCTCTCTTGCTCAGGTGCTCTCACCTGGGGCCTGTGGACTGGCGCACAATTCCAGGTATAACCATGGAAGACACAGCCTCTAACTGCTCAGCCTCCCCTTTTCCTTTGCTTCCTTGGAGGAAAGTTGCCCTTGGTTCATTTTCTTGTTCACTTCCCATGGGCACAAGTGAGTCTGCCTGCCCAGCTCCCTCACCTGATTCTCTGTGGATCAGCTTGAGGATGAGCCTAGGTTCCCTACCTGGCTTTTATCTGCAGGAATCCAGATGTGACTCCTCCCCAGGCTCCCTATGCTCTTCCCCACACCCCTGTTGGCAACCACTGATTTTTTCACTGTCCCTATAGTTTTGCCTTTTCTAGACTGTCATAGGGTTGGAATCATACAGTATGCAGCCTTTTCAGATTGGCTTCTTTCCATTAGCAATATGCACTTAAGTTTCCTTTGTGTCTTTTTGTGGCTTGACAGCTCATTTGTTTTAAGCGTTGGATTAATAGTCTGTCTTTTGGGCATACCACAGTTTATTTATTCACCTATTGAAGGACATCTTGTTGCTTCCAATTTTTGGCAATTATGAATAAAACTGCTTTAAACATTCATGTTCAGGTTTTTGTGTGGACATAAGTTTTCAACTCATTTGGGTAAATACTTAATAGCATGCTTATTGGATTATATGGTAAGACTGTTTATCTTTATAAGAAACTGACAAACTATCTTCCAAAGGGACTGTACCATTTTGCATTCCCACCAGCAATGAATGAGAGTTCCTGTTGCTCCACATCCTTGCCAATATTCAGTGTTGTCAGTGTTTTGGATTTGAGTTATTCTAATTAAGCGTGTAATGATATCTTGTTTATTTTGCAATTTCCTAATGACATATGACGTTGAGCATCTTTTAATGTGCTTATTTGCCATGTGTATAATTTTCTTTGATGAGATTCCTATTCAAATCTTTTACCCACTTTTTATTCTGGCTGTTTGTTTTCTAGTTGTTGAGTTTTAGGAGTTCTTTGTATATTTTGGATACAAGTCTTTCATCAGATATGTGTTTTTGCAAGCATTTTCTCCCATTTTGTGGCTTGGTTTTTCATTCTCTTAATGTCTGGTGTTTTCGATTGCTAAAAACAACTGATTGTCTGGTCCCTATTATTACTTCTACTAGAAACAGAAATCTAGGCTATTAGTTTTTATATGTTGATTATGTATCCTGCTACTTTTCTGAATCCTCAAATTGTTTATTAGTTTCACTGATTCCCCCTTTTTTTCCGAGATATATTATCAAAACTTCTGCAAATATACTTCTAACTCTTTCTAAGTCTTACACCACTCATTATTATTTTTTTGTCTGATTTCACTATCAGATAACAATGGAATTACTGGGCATTACCTTGTTTCCGCCTACATTAAATAAAATTTTGGTTTGGGGCCTGAGGGATGTGTGTGTGTGTCTGTTTGTGTGTGTGTAAAATTATGTTGTGGTATCCATTAGTTCCTACTTCAGTAAGTGTTTTTATCTGGAATAGATGTTGAATTTTCTTGAAGACCTTTTCAGCATCCATAGAGATCATATATTTTTTTCTCCTTAGATATGGGGATTTATAGTAATGAATTTTTTGATATGAAATATCTTTGCAATCTTAGAATAAATCCAAGTGGTTATTATATTTATTTTGTAATATGCCATTGGATTCTCTTTAACATTTTTTGTAGGATTTTTGGATTGATATTTTTAAGCGAGATGTGTTCTGTAGCTTTCTTTTGTCACATTTGAGGATCATAAGGTTTAAATATCAATGACATAGAGTTATCTATTGCTTAACTTCACAGCTCCATTCCTGAAAATCAAATGTTCTAAAAGAGGGTCTCATTTCCACTCCCCCCCAACCTTTTTTTTTTTTTTTTTTTTTTTTTTTTGAGACTGAGCCTTGCTCTGTCACCCTGGCTGGAGTGCAGTGGCACGGTCTCGGCTCTGCCTCCCAGGTTCAAGCAATTCTCCTTCCTCAGCCTCTCGAGTAGCTGGGATTACAGGCGCCCACCACCACACCTGGCTAATTTTTGTATTTTTAGTAGAGATAGGGTTTCGCCGTGTTGGCCAGGCTGATCTTAAACTCCTGACCTCAAGTGATCCACCTGTCTTGGCCTCCCGAAGTGCTGGGATTACAGGCGTGAGCCACCGTGCCTGGCCCCATTATTTTAAATGGTAAAACATTATAATGTGTTATGTGTCCGCTAAAAATTCCTAACCGATTTTGTAAAATATAAAGCACAGATAAACAATGAAAACTAATAAACAGTCATAATAGAACATAAAATGCTTCACATATTGTTTCCTGATTACCAGTTAAAATAGCTAGTAATAAGCAATTGCTTTAGATACCTCCTTTATTGAAACTTGTACTTTTCAAAAACATCCATACGATTCCCATAACTTACTGTGAACAAAAGTTCTCTGAAAAGGAGTTTGGAGGAAACAGGCTTTATTCTAGTGAATAGTTTGCAAACCAGGAAGATGCAGCCTTCCTTGTAAAATGAAGGCGCATTCCAGAGGAGAAAGAGAAGTTTTGACATTTCCTGCCCAGGTGCTTAATCAAGTCCCTTTATGCAAATGAAGGATTCAGACTTGCTTGGTCTGATTGGTTGACACAGCTGAGTTCTGATTGGTCCATATAGCTGAGCTCTGATTGGCTGAGGCAAGTGAACTCTGATTGGTTGGTTCAGGTGAGCTCTAAAAGTTCCCAGAGTTAAAAAGGTGTGGGTTTTCTGGGACCTCTATTCAGCATATGGCTGCTTCTCTCTGACTTAAATGTAGGCTCAGTTAGCCACTTGGGATCCATCTTGAAGGATTAGCTCTTTCAGGTTTCTTCACACAACCAACTGAATTTGGAATCCTGCCTGAGAGTTGTTCCCCACATTATTTTGTTAAAAACATTATATTGACTTTTGGGCATGTATACTTTTTTTTAACATAAATGTCAGCCAGAAAAGTCAACAACACTGTAATGAAAGATATATATGTTTTCCAGAAGCATGGGCATTATAAAACTTGGCAGTGCTCTATTGGGAAATACTATCCAAGGATATATTCTGTAGGATATTCCCGTTATTGGTTCATAAAAATAATTAGAATGTCTTCTTGTGCTCAAGGGTAGCTCATGTAGTATAGGAATTATGTGGTCTTTAAATATTTGATAGAATTATCTTGTGAAATTGTTGATGTCTGGTCTCTTTTTGTAGGACAGTTCCTTTGTAATACCCCTTTTTTTGTATGGATGTTGGTCTGCTTAAACATTGTTGCCTCTTGAGATGAGTTTGGTAAATTATATTTTCCTTAGAAATTATCCATTTGATCTAGGTTTTCCCACTTACTTACATAGCCTTAAGAGTGGCTTAAAGTTTTAAAAATTTCCCTCTGTTTCAGTGTTTTTCCTCCTTGTCATTTCTGATCCTGTGTTTTTTTGTGTTTTTCTTTTCCTTTTTTTTTTTTTTTTTTCCAGACAGGGTCTCGCTCTGTCGCCCAGGCTGGAGTGCAGTGGTGCCATCTCGGCTCACTGCAACCACCATCTCCCGGGTTCAAAGTGATTCTCGTTCAAAGTGATTCCTGAGTAGCTGGGATTACAGGCACGCACCACCACACATGGCTAATTTTTTTGTATTTTTAATAGAGATGGGGTTTCACCATGTTGGCCAGGCTGGTTTCGAACTCCTGACCTCAAGTGATCTGCCTTTCTCAGCCTCCCGAAGTGTTGGGATTGCAGGTGTGAGCCACTGTGCCCAGCCCATTTTCATCAAATTTCAAAATTAACTATGTAATTTTGGCTTATATTTGTGCTAGGTGTGTGTTTGTAGATTCTTTGGGATTTTCCAGAGAGTATAAGGCATCTGCAAATGAACAGTTTTAGTTTTTTCCTTTCTGACATACATGCCTTTTATTTCCCTGTCTTCCCTTATTGCACTGTCTGTGACTTCCAGTACTATTTTGAATAGCTGTGGCAAGAACTGACATCTTTCCTGGAGGGAGGATTTTGTCTTTCATCATTTAGTATGATATTAGCTGTAAGGTTTTTGGGTTTGTTTGGTTGTTTTTTGTTTTGTTTTGTTTTTTGGTAGATGTTCTTTATCAAGTTGAGAAAGTTCCCGTTCATTGCTTTTTTTTTTAAAGAATTTTTGTGGTGAGTGGATGAATATTGTCAAATGATTTTCTGCATCAATTGATATTATCGTGTGTGTTTTTTCTGTTATATGGTATTTTATATTGATTTATTTTCAAATATTAAACTGGCCTTTATCATTATGAATAACCCTACTGGTGTATAATTATTTCTCTATGTTGCTGAATTCTATTTGCTAATATTTTGTTAAGGAGTTTTGCGTCTGTATTCATGAGGGATGTTGCTCTGTAGTTTTATTTTTTGTGCTGTCTCTGTCTGGTTTTGGTATCAGAGTAATATTGGATTCATAAAATGTTTTGAATTGAATGGATTGTCCCTCTTCTATTTTCTAGAGGAGATTATGTTGAACTGATATTAATTCTCCTTTAAATGTTTGGGAAATTTTGCCAATGAAGCATTTCTTTTTTGGAATTTTTAAATTACAAATATAATTTCCTTAATAGATACAGTGTTATCTATTTCATATTGGATGAGTTGTAGTAGTTTGTGCTTTATGAGGAATTAGTCCCTTTTATTTAAGTGTATACAGTTGTTTGTGATGTTTCCTTATTATCCCTTTGATGTCTGCATAATCTGTAGTGGTAACTTGTGTCTCATTTCTTATATTGGTAATTTGCTGTCTTCTCTCTTTTTTCTTTGTGAGTCTTACGAGGAGTTTGTATAATTTTATTGATGTTTTCAAAGAACCAAATTATTGTTACATTGATTTTCCCTATTATTTTTCTGTTTTCAATTTCTTTTGATTTCTGCTGTTTATTATTTCCTTCTTTCTGTTTGCTTTGGGCTTCTTTTGCTCTTCTTTTCTAGTTTCTTGGGGTAGGAGCTTAGATTGTTGATTTGAGTCTTTCCTTCTTTTCTGCTGCAAACATTTAGCTCTGTAAGTTTCCCTCTTGGCAGCTGCATTCCACAGGTTTTCATATTGTATATTTTTTCAGTCCCGTTTAAAAAATTTCCTTTGAGAAGACTCATGGACTGTTTAGAAGTGTGTTGTTTAGTTTCCAAACATTTGGAGATTTGCCTATTTCTCTGTTATTAACTTCTAGTTTGATTACTTTATGGTCAGAGAACATGTTCTGTATTATTTCAGTTCTTTTAAGTTTGTTAAGGTTCGTGGCCCAGGATGTGGGATATCTTGATGTATGTTCTGTGAGCCTTTGAAGGGAACATGCATTCTGTGTTGTTGATGTGCATTCCTATAAGCATTGTTTAGATCCTGTTGGTTGATGATGTTATTGAGTATCTTTGTCTACATTCGGATTTTCTGTCTAGATATGTCAATTGTTGAGAAAAGGATATTCAGTCTCCAGCTGTAAATGTGGATTTATCTTTGCTCCTTTCAGTACTGTAAGTTTTTGCGTCATGTGTTTGCAGTTCTGTTTTTGGGCACATACACATTTAGGATTTCTATGTCTTTTTGGTGGACTGGCCCTTTAATTGTTGTGTAACGTCCTTCTCTGTACCTGGTAATCTTCTTTGCTCTGCAGTCTACTTTATCTTATGTAGATATGTTCAGTCCTGCCTTCTTTTGATTAATATGTGCATGGTATATATTTTTTCAACCTTTTGCTTTCAACCTAACTATATAGTTATATTTGAAGTAAATTTCTTGTAGATAGTATTCATGTTTTCAATCCACTCTGTCAATTCTGTCTTTTATTTTGCATATTTAGATTGTTTACACTTAGCATAATTATTGATATATTAGGGCTTAAGTCTGTTATTTTATTTCTTATTTTGTTTTTCTCTTTCTGTTTTTCATTTCTCTGGTTTCCTTTTTCTCCCTTCCTGTGGGTTACTTGAATGTACTTTAGAATTCCTTTTATCTGTAGTATTTTTGAGTATATCTCTTCTATAGGTTTTTTAAGACCTCGTATAGGTTTTTTTAGTGGTTGCCCTGTGTATTACATTATATATACATAACTTACTCCAGTTTCTTCATGTAGTCATTTTACCAGTTCATGTGAAATATAGAAGCTTTACCTCTCTTTATATCGCTTTTTCCTCTTCCATTTGTAATGTAATTGTCTTAAATAGCTCTTCTATGTACTTTTAGAACCACATCAGAGTATGTTATAATTTTTGCTTCAACTGTCACACATAATTTAGAAAACTCGAAAGGAGAGGAAAAGTGTGTTGTATTTACCTGTATTTTTACTCCTGTTATTCTTTCGTCCTTCCTGATATTCCAATATTTCTTCTTTCATAATTTACTTTCTGTTTAGGGGAACTTCCTTAGGCATTCTTTTGTGGTAGGTCTGCGGGTGACAAATTCTCTTAGTTTTCCTTCATCTGAGAATGTCTTGATTTTCCCTTCATTCCTGAAGGGTATTTTCAGTGGGTATAGAATTTTGGGTTGACAGTTCTTTTTTTTTCAGCACTTGAAAAAAACGTGTGCCTCTTCCTTCTGACCTCCATGGTTTCTGATGAGAAATCCACTGTCATTCGAATTGTTTTCTTCCTATAGGTAAGATGTTGTTTATCTCTTGCTGCTTTCAAGATTTTTTTCCTTGTCTTTATATTTCAGAAGTTTGATTACAGTGTGCTTTGATGTGAGTTCCTTTAAGTTTATCTTGTTTGGGGTTTGCTCAATTTCTTGAATTTGTAGGTTTATATCTTTTGCCAAATTTGGAAATTTTTCATCCTTTATGTCTTTAAATACTTCTTTAGTTCTGCCTCTTTCTCTTTTCTTTCCAGGACTCTGATGACATGAATATTAGATCTTTTGTTATAGTCCCAAAGGCCCCTGAGCTCTGTTCACTTTTTTAAGTCTACTTTCTCTCTGTTGCTCAGATTGGATCATTTCTATTATTCTATCTTCCAGTTCACTGACTCTTTCCTCTGTGCCTTCCATTCTGCTGTGGAGCCCATCTATTGATTTTCTAATTTCAGTCACTGTATTTTTCAGTTCTGAAGTTTCCATTTGGTTCGTTATATCTTCTTTTTCTTTCCTGAGACTTTATTTCTTTGCTGATAATTTTATATTTTTCATTTGTTTTAAGTGTGTTTTAAATTATCTGTTGAGCATTTTTATAATGGGTGTTTTTAAAATCTTTGTCAGATAATTCTAACATCTGTATCATCTTGGTGTCTGTTGATTGTGTTTTCTCATTCAAGTTGAGATTTCCTGGTTCTTGGTGTGATAAGTGAATTTTGGTTGAAACCTAGACTCTCAGTGGTATTGTGTTATGAGCCCTAAGTCTTATTTACATCTTCAGTTTTAGCTTGTCTACTGTGATGCCACGCCAGCAAGTAGTGGGGCATATTAGTCCTTTCTCACACTGCTATGAAGAAATACCTGAGACCAGGTAATTTATAAAGGAAAGAGGTTTAATTGACTCATAGTTTCACATTGCTGAGGAGGCCTCAGGAAACTTAAAATCATGGCGGTAGGCAAAGGAGAAGCAGGCACCTTCTTCACAGGGTGGCAGGACAGAGTGAGCGCAAGACACTTAATAAGACCATCCTATCTCGTGAGACTCACTATCACGAGAACAGCATAGGGGAAACCACCCCCATGATCCAATTACCTCCATCTGGTCTCTCCCTTGACACGTGGGGATTATAGGGATTACAATTTGAGGTGAGATTTGGGTGGGGACACACCAAACCATATTACAGGGGTTGTAGAGAGTTGCCCCATTATTGACAGATGGGAATAGAAGTATGGATTCTTCACTTGAGTTCCACTGACATTCTAGGGGAGAAGGATTACTCATTACTGCTAGGCTGGGCTGGGAGTTTTAGCTCCCCACTAGGCTTCCATTCATACCGGCCTGACTGGGAGAGATAGGAGTATCTTGTTACTGTTCCCCAGCTGGCTGGCCTTGACACAGTGGAGATAGACCTTATCACCTCCAGGTAGCAGTAGAAGTCCTGACTTTCCACTAGGGCTTGCTCCATTGAGTAAGAGGAAGAGATTGTCTCATTCCTGCTGGGTGAGACGTGACGTCTAGGCTCCCCGTGTGATCTCTACTGGCATTGTGTGTATTGGGGGTCTTGTTACCACTAGATAGGGATGAAAGTCCCTGCTCCCACTTGGCTCTCTCTCAGACCACCCTAGCAGGGGCTTTGGGATGGTGGTGAGGGTGGAAGTCTAGGCTCCCCACCCAGTTTCTGCTGGTATAAGTGGAAGTAGGGTCATAGTTTTTTTTTTTTTTTTGGCTTGTGTGTGTAGTTTGGCTATTGTTTAGTGATTATTGTCTATAAGTTTTATATCTCGGTAGGCTGCCCCTTTCCTAGTCCTTTCACTAGGGAGAGCTGGGTTTATTGAGCCTTTAAAAAATCTGTGCCTATTGGCATTTCTGGGTTGTTGGGTTCACTAGTACCAAATCTAGGATATATATGAGGCATAAAAGAAAACTCAAATAAGAAACTTATTGTTGTGTCATTCCTCAGGTCCCAAGGTCCCTAGCCAATATTTTCTTTCTTCCTTCTACCTGTTAGAATCTTATATTTGCCTTATATATGATGTGCAAGGATCTTGTAGTCCCCCCTTATCCATGGTTTTACTTTCCCCACTTTCTGTTATCTGAGGTCCACTGTGGTCTGAAAATATTTATTACATAACTACTCTCGCACTTTGGGGCCATTATTAAGTAAAATAAGGGTTACTTGAACATAATTACTGCAATACCATGGCAGCCAACCTCATAACCCAGATGGCTGCTAAGTGACTAATGCAGTCCAGGTGGGACAGAGCAGAACGGTGTGGGGTTTCATCATGGTACTTAGAACAGCTAGCAACTTAAAACTTATGAATTACTTCTGGAATTTTCCACCTGCATCACAATGCCTGTGTCATTCACCTCAGTTCGTCTCATCATGTAGGCATTTCATTATCTTATAGCATCTCAAGAAAAAGATGACCGCTGGCCGGGCACAGTGGCTCATGCCTGTAATCCCAGCACTTTGGGAGGCCAAGGCTGGTGGATCACTTGAGGTCGGAAGTTTGAGACCAGCCTGGCCAACATGGTGAAACCCCATCTCTACTAAAAGTACAAAAATTAGCTGGGTGTGGTGATGGGTGCCTGTAATCCTAGCAACTTGGGAGGCTGAGGCAAGAGAATCTCTTGAACCCAGGAGGTGGAGACTGCAGTGAGCCGTGAGCTGTGATCGTGCCACTGCACTTCAGCCTGGGCAACAGCGAGACTGTCTCAAAAAAAAAGAAAGAAAAGAAAAAGATGACTGCCAGTATCTGTAGAAACTAGTTTCTTATTATTTTTTAAGTTTCTGATGGATTGGTAGTTGTGGCCACTTTTATATTTCTGATAGCCTTCCCTCCCTCCCTCCTTCCCTCCTTCCCTTGATAAGCCCTTTTTTCCCTGAAGTTTTGTCCACTTAAATGGTTTATCAATGCCCCAGTCTTTGTCTTTCTTGATCTTCTCTGTTGTATTTTTGTTTTCTGTTTCACCAGTTTCTGTTCTTATTTATTATTTCCTTTCTTCTACTTTGTGTATGTGTACTGTAATATTCTTTCTCCAATTTATTAGTTGGATACTCAGCTCATGACATTGAGCTTTTCTACTTTGCTAATGTGTTTAAAACTTTAAGTTTCTCTCTGAGAGTTATTTTAGTTATATATTGAAAGTTTAAATTTTTTGTTTCAAATATTTTTTCCAAGTGTGATTAAGAATTCTTGTTTGATTCATGAGTTTTTAAAGTAAGTAGGATTTTAAATTTCTAATTGACAGAGATTTCTCTATCTTGTTCTCTTTTCCTATGTTTTGCAGTTGATTCTGTTATTCCTTTTCATATTTCATCACTCCTTATATTTCGGATCATCCATTGGGTTTCTTTCCCCCCCGCCCCTTCTGCCTGAAGAACAGCTTTCCTAATTTTTTTTTTTGTTTTTGAGACGGAGTCTCGCTCTGTCGCCCAGGCTGGAGTGCAGTGGCGCAATCTTGGCTCACTGCAACCTCCGCCTCCTGAGTTCATGCCATTCTCCTGCCTCAGCCTCCCGAGTAGCTGGGACTACAGGCGCCCGCCACCACGCCTGGCTTATTTTTTATATTTTTAGTAGAGATGGCGTTTCACTGTGTTAGCCAAGATGGTCTCGATCTCCTGACCTCGTGATCTGCCTGCCTCGGCCTCCCAAAGTGCTGGGATTACAGGCGTGAGCCACCGCTCCCGGCCTTCCCCTAATTTCTTTTAGTGAGGTTTGATGGTGGTAAATTCTCTTGGCTTGCCTGAACAGTCTTTATTTTGCCATTGTTTGTGAGACGTGGTTTTACATCGTAGAAAATTCTCATTTGTTATCTTTATTTCAACATATTGAGACTGCTCCACTGTCTTCTGCCTTCTGTTGTTTCTGTTGAGAAGCCAGTCATTCGTCTAAATTTTTTTTCCTATGTATGACTGTCTTCTCTCTGGGGCTGCTTAAATAAAATCAATTTTATTGTGGAAAATTGAAACATACGGGAAAGTGGAGAAAATGCGGTGAACTCCTGTGCTCCGTCTCCACCCACATTTTGCCAATGTTGTTTCACTTACGCTTCTTCTTGCTTTCTTGTGTATCATTTTAGGTGTAATACGCCAATAAGCATGTCTGACAATTAAGGATTTATCATAGCTGTAGAGCATTATTACACTTAGCAATGTTGACAATAATTCCTTAATATTATCTAACACCTATTCCAAGTTCAAATTTTACTAGTTATTTCAAAAATAACTTTTTACGGTTGGTTTGAGTCAGGATTCAAATGAGGTTTACTCATTTGGGTTTGCTTAATCTGTCTAAGTCTCTTTTACTTTAAAAGAGTTTTCCTCTGCTTATTCATGCCATTTATTTGTTGGGGAGAACATATGGTTTGTCCCGTAGAATTTCTCAGTTTGGTTGTTTGCATCATGGTGTTGTTTGGTACAGTCCTCTGTCCTCAGTGTATTCTGTTACCTGGTAATTAGATCCGGAACAGGGCTTCTCAGCCTTGGAGCTGTTGAAGCTCTATTGTGGACCGTGGCCTCTGCATTTTAGGATGCCTAGCAGCATCCCTGGCCTCTGCCTTCTCAATGCCAGGAGCACCCACTAGTTGTGACAACCAAAGGATGTCTAGAGACCGTTGTGAAAGAATCCAGGCCGGGCTCAGTGGCTCACATGTGTAATCCCAGCACTTTGGGAGGCCAAGGTGGGAGGATCACCTGAGGTCAGGCATTCGAGACCAACCTGGCAAACATGGTGAAACCCCATCTGTACTAAAAATACAAAAATTAGCCAGGTGTGGTGGCAAGCGCCTGTAATTCCAGCTATTCAGGAGGCTGAGCCAGGAGAATCGCTTGAACACGAGAGGCGGAGGTTGCAGTGAGCTGAGATCGCGCCATTTCACTCCAGCCTGGGCAACAGAGCGAGACTCTGTCTCAAAAAAAACAAACAAAAAAAAAAAGAGAGAAAAAATCCAGTTCCCTTCTTTTGGAAGGCTTCCAGGTGGTGGTGTACACTTCCTGCCATATGGTATCAGGAGCTCTGTCATGTCTGATGTCTCTTTGGGTGATACTAACATGGAGCAGTGGGTTCAGCCTGATCTGCCATTGTGAAGTTCTCCACTGGTCTTTCCCTAAATGGTTCTAGTGACATTGATGATTGTTACCCAGATCTGTGAGTTCAGTGAGGGTCGCAAAATGGTGAATTTATAATTTCATGATTCTTTCTGTGTTTGTTATTTTGACTTTTTCTGTAAGAAAGATCTTACCTCATTAACTGCTTGGTTACCCTGAAATTCAGTTTGTATGTGTATTAAACAAGGTACTTGGTTCATTCTGTCCCTTTATTTATAAGTTTTCAAAATAATGAATCAATGCCCTATTAACAAATAGGACCAGTGAGAGCTAGAAGAAAATTATTCTTGTAAAATTTTGAATTTTAACGTGTTTGACGTATTTCAGTTCTTTGCAATCACTATTACTTTTGGTGCTTAAATTGTCCTATCTTGGCCAATGTTCACCCTTTCAAGTTGATCGTTCTGCCCTTCTCACAGGCCTGGAGTAGAGTTTGACAGTTATCTGGTTTTCGTCTATGACAGCATGTTCCAGGATCGTTGTGCACACTTCCTGTCCCCGATCTGGAATTGCTCATTTCTCCAAGAAGCAGCACACGCTGGACACTGCCGTGATTCCTGTGGATTCCACCCCCCCACCCCTGTACTCTGGTGGCCTTTGCCTCCAGGGGCTTCCTCTTCAGCTCCTCTTCAGAGACTTCCCTTGGACTACAGGAACCACGGGAAGTGCATGGGAGTTTGCATCCCCCAAGGTGGCACTTAGCCAGTGAAGGGAAAGTGCAGGTGCAGGAGAGCCAGCTCTCTGGCTTCAGTCAGTACAACCTTCTGGTTCAGATGAGAGCCCAGAGTGTCCCTGTGGGAGCCTAAGCCACCTTTGCAGGACCTGGTCTGAAGTGCACCCTTGCTCGGCTTCTTTACCTCCCTGTCTTGCTTTTGTCTTCCCGTCTGGAAGCCCGTCTCACCTCACGGTGTGCTTCTGTAGAACCTGACTGGAGATGCCCTGGCTACTTTGATGAGATAGAGTATTTAGAGACAGTCATCTGTGGTCATTGCTTCTGGGTTTTTATTGCTTTCAGGCTTTTTGGTGGGCTTTTTAAAAAGAGAAAAGTGGCTGGATGCAGTGGCTCACTCCTGTAATCCCAGCACTTTGGGAGGCCAATGTGGGTGGATCACCTGGTGTCAGGAGTTCGAGACCAGCCTGGCCAACATGGCAAAACCCCGTCTCTGCTGGGAAAAAAAAAAGTGTATAAAAATTAGCCGGGTGTAGTGGGGCGTGCCTGTAATCCCAGCTACTCAGGAGGCTGAGACAGGAGAATCGCTTGAACCCAGGAGGCAGAGGTTGTAGTGAGCCAAGATCTCGCCACTGCACTCCAGCCTGGGCGATAGGGCAAGACTCCGTCTCAAAAAAAATAAAAAATAAAAAAAAAAAGAGAAAAATATGTCATTAATTCCGTGGCATTTGTAATTCAAATAGAAGATTGTAGGATTTTAATCTCACTTTTGTATTTATCTCTTTTCTTCTATCCTGAAACTGTCTTTTTGTCTTTTTACCTTGCTTATTCTGTTTTTTAAAATGGTATTGTTTAAAAGTTTTTTCTTTCCTAATTATTTGCTTCTACTGCATAGAAATAATAAGCAGTTTCGTCTGTTGGTTCTGTGTTCAGCCACAGAATTATCAAACAAACTCTCGTTACTCTAAGTAATTTTCTGTAGATTATTTTGTTTTTTTAGGACACAGTTGTACCATCTGTGAATATATCATTTTTGACCCATGAATTCTTTAGTCTTTTTTTCAGTTTCCAAATGTAAAATTTTAATTTTAATTAATCTGTTTGTTTCTGGTTTCTGCCTTAATTTCTAACTTAAGTTAGAACTTAAGTTAGATTAGGAGAACATGATCTGTATGATAGTTTTCTTTGAAATTCATTTGCATTTGCTCTGTGCCTTGGCTTTATGGTCAGCTTTTTTCATGGTCGGCTTTTGTTCTTGTTCTATATGTGCTTCCGAGGGATATGTTTTCTCTAATTTTGTGAGCTCTGAGTTTTTTATATTTGTATGCTAAATCAGGTTTGTTAGTTGTATTACTCAAATATTCTTTATATTCATTAATATTTTGCTTGATTGATCTGTCAATAATTTTGTTTTATTTTTATAGAGTTAGTGGGGACAAATGCAGTTTTGTTACATTAGATCTATTGTGTAGTGGTGACATCTGGGCTTTTCACGTAGCCATCACCTGGGCTCAGGCCATCCTCCCACCTCAGCCTCTGCAGTAGTTGGACCACAGGCGCACACCACCATACCCAGCTAATTTTTTATATTTATTGTAGACATGGAGTTTCTCCATGTTGCCCAGGCTGGTCTTGAACTCCTGGGCTCAAGTGATCCACCTGCCTTGGCCTCCAAAGTGCTGGGATTACGGTTGTGAGCCACTGCGCCTGGCCTATATTTACTTACTTTATGTATCTCATCTAAGAATTCCTGTATCTGAAGTCTTTAGGGGTGTGAGTGCACTCATTGTTTCTGTTGTGTCTTTCAGTAATGGTGACCTTGTTTCATGGTGTGTTTGGTGATATTGCTTGAGTTCATATATGACTGATCTTAATCCTTTGTATTAGTCAGGGTTCTCTTAGAGAGACAGAACTAATAGGATATATATCCTATATATATATGTATCTCCTATATATCATATATATATATATAAATGATATATGTATGGGAGTTTATTAAGTATTAACTTACATGATCACAAGGTCCCACAATAGGCCGTCTGCAAGCTGAGGAGCAAGGAGAGCCAGCCCGAGTCTCAAAGCTGAACTTGGAGTCCGATGTTCGAGGGCAGGAAGCGTCCAGCACGGGAGAAAGATATAGGCTGGGAGGTGAGGCCCGTTGTCTCCTTTTCACATTTGTCTGGTTGACATTCGCTGGCAGCTGATTAGATGGTGCCCACCAGAGGAAGGGTGGGTCTGCCTTCCGCAGCCCACTGACTCAAATGTTAATCTCTTTTGGCAGCATGCTCACAGACACACCCAGCATCAATACTTTGTATCCTTCAATCCAATCAAGTTGACGCTCAGTATTAAACATCACATCCTCCTTTTCTCAACTAAGGTTTTGTGAGCTAATTAAGCCCTACAGAAAATGAATTAACAACGTTTTCAGTTTTCTCAAGGATGGAACATAGCTTGTACCTCTCCAGATATGTAGGAGAGAAATCCTTTCTCTTGGGATATCTTTAGATATCTTGGGAAACAATAGCTTAAATTATCTCCAAATTCCCCCTAACCTGTGGGGACTCTGTAGGCCAACTGAGGAAGGTTTTTGTCAGAGAGGATTTGCATTTGTTGTTTCCAGAAGCCTGAGGTGCTGCCAGTCCAGGCTTACTTTAGCCCCGCTTTGGGGATGATTCCTATTCAGCTTCCCCACCTTGAAGCGAACCCAAGGCTTGGGACTCCTACCTGTGCACTGGAAAGAGCGGTTCCTCAGTTCAGCCTCAGTTTCTTAATCTGGAAAGGGGAACCTGTGCCATCGCATGCTGTTAGGGGGAGTAAAGCACCTGGGCCGTGTCTGGCATGTGGCTGTTTTTAGTGAAAGCTCTCTTCCTTTCTGTATTCCCCTCCAAAGCTCGCTGTTTTGCTTCATTGTCTCCTATTTCAGGGATTTAATTTTTTTAACTATTAAGTCTTTTTAAAAATAGCCTTTCTCCTAGCCTTTCTCCAACAATGACTTTAGTCTGTTGCAGTTTTCATTTTTATCCTTTCCGTTCTTTCTTCTGCTTTGACTCAATTGACATTTTTTTCCTATGATTGATGACTTTCATATGATTTTCCATGTTGTAGTAAATCGATTTCAGAGAAATAGTTCCATCCGAGCCCTGGCATCTTTGTCCTGTTTATTTCGAGCAGCAGAAGTCTTCATTGAAGCCAGACTGATTCTTTTTTCCTTAATTTACTTAAGTTAATTAATTATTTATTTATTTTAGAGACAATCTCATTCTGTCACCCAGACTGGAGTACAGTGGTGCCATTGTAGCTCACTGTAACCTTGAACTCCTGACCTCAAGTGATCCTCCTGCTTCAGCCTCTGGAGTCGCTGGAACTGTATGCACGCGCCAACACACCCTAATTTTTTAATTTTAAATTTTTTTGTAGAAACAGGGTCTGTCACCATCTTGCCCAGGATGGTCTCGTTGCTTGAGACTCCTGGACTCAAGGGATCCCTCCCACCTTGGCCTCCCAACGTGCTGGGATTACAGGCATGAGCCACCACACACAGCTGTGGCATGTTTAATATCCATAGTATGGTGCTTCTTTTAAATATTGCATATTTTACTTAGTCAGTTTATGGTTGTGCATTTTATAATTTTTGTTATTGTAAAAAAACTTACAACACACGCCTGTAAGCCCAGCAGTTTGGGAGGCCAAGAAGGGCGGATCATTTGAGGTCAGAAGTTTGAGACCAGCCTGGCCAACATGGTGAAACCCTGTCTGTACTAAAAATACAAAAATTAGCTGGGTGTGTTGGCGTGCGCCTGTAATCCCAGCTACTCGGGATGCGGAGGCAGGAGAATCACTTGAACTCAGGAGGCAGAGGTTGCAGGATGGTACCACTGTACTTCAGCCTGGGCAACAAGAGCGAAACTGTGTCTCCTGTCTCAAATTAAACAAAAACAAAAAAAAAACTTGCAACAAAACTTTTGGGAATACATATTTTTGTGGGCATGCTTCATTTCCTTAGTAGGTAATGTCTAATAAATTAATAGAATTTTTTGGGGCTTCAAGTAAGTTTTGCCAGATTGCTTTCTCAGATTACATAATTTTTGTTTTCAACAGGGAAGTTTGATGGTGCCCATTTCAAAAGTGGTCGCTTTAAACTGCTTGTGCTCGTGGGCAGGGGCTGGTTATCTTGGCTCTGGAGCCAGCATCCTCGGTGGTATAGACCCCACTGCTGTGGCCTTCGCTGTTTTCATGCTCACCTCGAAGCTTTTTTTCTCTGGCACAGCCCTTCTCTGCAGGACCTCAAAGTGGCCAGCAGTCAAGGCCTCCACAGCGGGCTCTGGGGATTAGCACCTTCACTTTGTTGCTTCTTAAACTCCTATTTGCTTTTATGTTTCTTTAAAGAACTCAAAATGAGTTGCAGCAGTGGGAGGCGGCTCCAAGTCACTGCACGTCTTCCTTGGTGTCCCTGAGGTCTCAAGAGCTCTGTCATCTATAAGAATTGAAATATACAATAGGATAGTTGAAAATGAAGAATTATTGTGAGAAAAACACTGGGCAGGGACAACAAAATTTACCTAAAAAAACAAGGTGGCGGCCATATTAGCCCTGGGGAGTTTGATTTGTGGGAGCACAGCTGGGGTGTGGTGGGGTGCTGAGCGGTAGAGGATGGGCCCTCGGGGAAGGAGGCGACGAGTCGGGGCCTGGCGAGGGAGCAGGGCCTGAGCAGAGGCTGGGTCCCCCTGGGAAGGGCGTCCTTCCAAGCTCCATGGCCTCACAGGACCCTCTCCTGGGATCTCGAGGAAGAAAATCCCAGGTCAAGGGAGACTGGACAACGAGGTACAGGGAGCCTCTGTGGGTTTGTGGATCGGGGGCTGGCCCCTGCTCCTCCCTGTGCTGCGGGTTCGAGGTCCCAGCAGAGGCAGTGGGAAGGTCTCACCAGGCTCTGGGCTTCTCAGCGCATCGAGGCCCCTCAGCGCGGCAGAGGGGTCCACAGCCACGGGTGCTGGGCTCGGTGTTGTTGCCAACGTTGGTGCAGCAAGAGGTGAGGAAGGGTCCGTTAGCGTCTCTGCGGCAGATGGTGGTCCTGGCTGTCGTGCGCCACGGTCATGTACGTGAAGCACTGTTCTTAGCTGCTTGCCCATCCCTGGTGGGCCTGTGAGGACCTGACGCAAGTGCCGGGGGCATGGGAGCTGGGAGGGAGCCACGCAACGTGGGCTTCATGTGCACTACACCCCTTACTCGGGGGCCCTGTGTCCTTGTAGGTGGTAACGTGGACCTGGAAAGCCAAGCAGAGGGGAAGAAGGAGGTGGAAGCGGATGACGTGATGAGGAGCGGCCCCCGGCCTATCGTCCCATACAGCTCCATGTTCTGTTTAAGCCCCACCAACCTGTGAGTCTCCTTGCCTGCTGGTGTGTGTGGCCGCCCACTCACCCATGCATCATGACCCGTGGGATCTCAGTAGCCAGCGTGCACTGATTCTGCGCACTTATGTAGAGAAACGGCTCTAAATCCCATGGCAGACCCCAGAGGCACGTGCCCGTGTGACCTCATTCTGCAGAAGAGGACACGGGCACAGGAGGCAGCCTCAGCGGAGCTGGGGTGAGCTCCAGGCCTGGGCTCCTCACCTCCTCTGTGGTGTGCGTGTGTCTCTGCACACAGGGACGCCGTCTGCCCTGTGTCGCAAACACACTTCCATCCATCTGCCTTCCCATCACACCTGGCACCTGTGTTGCCTGCGTGTGTGCACTGTGTTTATTTGCATGTCTATCCGTGTGTCCACGCCTGTGCTTTTCATGCATTCATCATCCACTCTTCAGTCCAGGGCTTCCATTAGTCCAGCCAGTGTTTCTGTGGCAGACAGCACTCTAGGTCCTGGGAATAGTTAGGAATGAACAAAACAGGTGAGAACCCCTGTCCTTGCTAAGCCTGTGTGCTGGTGGGAGAGGCGGACGACAGACACGACAAATAAGTAAAAGACATAAGATGCAGATAGTGTTAAGTACTAGGAGGAAACACAAAGCAAGGCATGGAGATGCGGACCATTGGGTGCTAAAACTTAGATGAGAAGGTCAGGTGGGGCTTCTGGGGTGAGACTGGAGCAGAGCTTGAGGAGGAGGAGGCAGAGGGAGAGGCAGACAGGGGTGGAACCACACAAGAGCTTGCCCGGCCAGAGCAGGGGCTGGGCAGGTGGACGGGAGGGCAGAGGGCAGCAAGGCTGCATGGACGTACCCCTGTTCGTTACCGATCTGCCCATCCCCTTCTTCTTTCACCACCCAACCGTCTTTCTACCAAGCCCTGCATTACCCCGCTCCCTGCCTCCTCCCCCCAGTCACTCTTTTATCCAACACACATGTCTTGGGAGCTTACCCTGCTACGCTGCGGTTAGGAGTAAAGCGGTAATGGAGACAGACGTGGACCCTGCCATGTCAGGACTGACAGTGCAGTGGCAGGTGAGGGGTGGTAACCCGGTGTGGAAATGGAAACACAGGAAGGCACTGGCATTCTGGGAGCAGGTGATAGAAGGCCAGGGAGGTTTTCTGGTGGAAGTGACATCTTGGTTGAAACCTGAAGGATGAATAAGAGTTAAGGTGAAGAGGGGAGAGGGGAGGAACTAGCGGAGCATTCACAGTAGCCCAGAAGTAGAAGCCAGCAGTTGGCACACAGCCAAGGACAGAACTGGGTCAGAACACAAAAGGGTAGGCAGAGCTGGCTGGTTGTTCTGTTGTGGGGTTGGGGGGTTGCACCATCCCGGAGCACACTGAGAAGCGTGGGACGTGTGCACAGTGGGGGTACTCGGATTGCAGCCCAGCAGGGCCCTTTTATGGGGAGACTACAGATGGAGGCCACTGAGTAGATGGTAAGGGTTTCAGGCAGAGAGAGTGGTGGTTTGACCAGGGTACTCATAGTGTTGAGGTTTGGAAGTCAGGTGCGTATGGAGGAATTTTAGAGGCAGAATCTACAGAATTTGGTGATAAATTAGATGTGGAAGGGGAAGGAGACATCGAGGATGTCTGACTGAAACCCAGTTTCTGCCTGACAGTGGCGGAAGGCACTGCGTTCACTGAGACCAGCAGTGCTGCTGGGGTCCCGCCTGCAGACCCTGCAAAGCCTGGGGTGGCTGGGGATGTCTCATGGCCAGGTGGACTTAGGATCTGAGCTGGGGGCTAGAGCTGAGTGCCAGAAACCCAGACACAAGTTGGAGTGGATGACGGCTGAATTAGAAGGAAAGGCAGGGGAAGTGGCAAGGGTTGAGGCAGCAGCAGGCTGGCGGTGGGCCAGGGATGAACAGCTCTGTGGACACAGGGGCAGGAGCTAGATGGCTGAGTTCCCTTCAAGGAAGAGGGAGATGTGGGCAGCCGCTTAAGATGAATGGCCCTTGGGGGTTCGCAGGTGTGGGTGAGAGGAAGAGCTTAGAGGGGCTGGGGGCGGTGGACACGCCTGCGAGGCAGGGGAGGCATCTCCAGAGCACAGCCCTCGTGATGGGGGCCGTCTGCCCCACCTGCTCCGTCCACGGCTGCCTCTTCTGGTCCCCCACCCGTAGATGGGCTTCCCAGCCTCCTGGTTACTGTGCACTCTCACGTTGTGGCTCTGCCAGTAGCAGGGAGGCCCCTGCTTGTTGATTTCCTCGCTGCTTCCTGGTGTTTTGACTGCTGAATGGAGCTTCATCAGGCCTGTTCTGGTCACCCCTGTGTCCCCCAGTGTCCAGCACATGCCTGGCAGGGTAGGTGCTCAGTAATGTTGAACAAGCGAGTCGGGCAAATGGGACTGGAGCAAAAGGCGAGCACGTGGCAGTGTGTGGAGTGTGTCCCCGTGCAGCGTGTTCACGTGGAGCGTGTTCACATGCACCCTGGGAGCCTGGACAGGGCACACACCCCGCACAGGCCCCAGAGAACTTTCCTAGGGCAAGAGAGGCCTGCTCTCCGTGAGAATGTTGACGCTGAAATTCTTCCTCTCTGAGCAACTCCCTCCCTGCTGCCCACAGCTGACCTCTTCTGTGAAAGGGCTGGGTAGTTGATGCTGTTGGCTTTGGACTGCTGTTGGCTGCATGGACAGTTGGTAGTGAATGGATGTAGCTGTACTCCAGTGAAGTTTTATTCACACAAACAGGTCTCCCTATCTGGCCTGTGAGCTTTGGTTTGTTGACCCCTGCCATGAGGTTCTGCAGCCTTCCCCACCCCCCGTCCCGGGAGGCCCTCTCAGGAATCTCAGCCACTGTCCGTCACCTGGCTGCCACCACCAACCACAGGGACCATTAGCAAAGCGAAGCTCTGGGGCCACAGCTTCCTGAGGCAGCCCAGAGCCCTTTCTGCGGGACGGGCTGAGCCTGCCCTGTGGCAAGGGGTGGCGCGCCCGGCTGGGGGGCCTTGTGGTGATCCGTGCCTTCCCTCACAGGCTCCGCCGCTTCTGCCACTACATCGTGACCATGAGGTACTTCGAGGTGGTCATTCTCGTGGTCATCGCCTTGAGCAGCATCGCCCTGGCTGCTGAGGACCCAGTGCGCACAGACTCGCCCAGGAACAACGTGAGTGGCCCGGATGGCCGGGTCCCCGCCAGGCTGTGGCGGGGGAGCTGGGTGCCTTCCCAGGGGCCCAAGGGGCTGGGGTGGGGCTGAGGTCCTGTCGTCTCACAGGGCACCCCTCCTTCCTCTGTCTGTGTGCCTGGCAGTGCACGACCAAAGGTCTGGAGACAGGAAGACAGGGTGCGGCAGAGGGGGCCTGTTCCCAGACGGTGCTTGTCAGAGACCCCCTTCCCAGAACCGTTTTCCACAGGCTTCCTGGCTCCCTGGCTGACTGCTCAGAGGCCTGGAGGAAAAACTCGGAGCCACCGAGGGCACCCTGGCTCAGATTTCAGCCCAGCCTTTGAGAATAACCTTCCTTTTGGTTTCAGGCTCTGAAATACCTGGATTACATTTTCACTGGTGTCTTTACCTTTGAGATGGTGATAAAGGTGAGATATGTGGCTGCCCTTGTGACCCCAGTGTTTTGCTCTCCCTCCCTCATGATTGAGATGGGACCAGGGCAGTGGTTGAACCACAATTTCTATAAACTCTTAAGACATATGGTAGGTGTGTGCGTACTGGGTGTGTGCTCAGCACATGAACATGTGCACACAAAGAGGCTTTGTCGTTCACTGAGAAAATTACTTCCCGCGCTGGGAGTGCTCCCCAGTGTCGTGCCTGGGCCTCCACCTGCTCTGGTTTCTTGAACACATGAGCTACATACAGTCTGTCTCCAATGTGCACATGTGGGCGGAGGCCCTTCTTCTTAGGACAGCAAAGGAGGAGGGCTGCATGGCATTGGCTGGGGGAGGAGGAGACCTGGGAGAGAGAGGGTGTTAGAAGATTGTTGGAAGTGGGTGCTGAAGACTTGAATTTAGGAGGGCATTTGTCTTATGATAGATTGAGTCCTTCACTGTCTGCCTCTAAGTGTTGACACGAGGTCCCCCATATCACTGACTAGTGTGGCCCTTGTGTGTTTATGCAGGTGTGCCTTCAGTGTGGTTGAGTGTGCACACACCTGCACGTCCATGACTTCCGTGCAGCTTAGGGTATGTGTGAGCCGGCATGCGTGCACACAGGACAGCGTGTGCATATGGAGCACTGACAGCAGATGCATGAACACGTTACCTCTGCTATTTCACTCTTGCAAAATTCTGTGGGGTGTGTGTCATCATCCCCATTTTACAGATGAGGAAGCTGACCCTTAGCGAGGTTATGTTACCGGCCTAGAATCACAGCAGCAGGAGTGACAGAGCCAGGATGTGAGTGAAGGTCTGCGTAACTGCAGTCCTGCTGCTCTGAGCTTGCCTGCAGGGGATCTGGGCGAGCTCTGAGCTCCCTGGGGCCATGTGTACCTACAGCCCAGTGATGGAGGAGCAGATGGAGATGGAGACCTCAGTCTCATTCAGGCTGCAGGGAATTTAGGAGCCCAGGCAGGATCTCAGCCGGTCACAAGCCATGTAGGGATATTTGGGTCCATGGCATTGAGGTCCAAAGGCCCACTGAGGCCCTTCGGGGTGTGACCTGGGCCGTGTCTCCCTACTCTGACAGGGCATGTAAAGGTGTCTCTAAGGTGCACTGATGTCACAGGTGTGCACATAACGTGTGCACTCAGCCACACTGAGCCTTCCATGGGGACCTAGAGCTATATTCCTCCCCCATGACTCTGGAACCAAGCCCTGTAGCTCTGCCTATCTTTCTAGGTTTGTTTTGGTTTGGTTTTTTGAGACAGGGTCTCACTCTTGTCATCCAGGCTGGAGTATGGTGGCGTGATCTCAGCTCACTGCAGTCTCTGTGTCCTGGGTTCAAGCAATTCTCATGCCTCAGCCTCTCAAGTAACTGGGATTACAGGTGTGCAACACCACACCCGGCTAATTTTTGTATGTTTAGTAGAGATGGGGTTTCACCTTGTTGTCCAGGCTGGTCTTGAACTCCAGAGCTCAGGTGATCCACCCGCCTCAGCCTCCCAAAGTGCTGGGATTTCAGGCATAAGCCACCATGTCTGGCCATGTTTTATTTTTTTTCTTAAGAGACAGGATTTCACCATGTTGCCCTGGCTGGTGTCCAACTCCCGGGCTTAAGCAGTCTGCCTGCCTCAGCCTCCCCAAGTGCTGAGATTACAGGCATGAGCCTCTGCACCTGGCCTCTGCCTGTCTTTTCTGGACTATGACGTATCTAACGTGTGTTTCTCCCTCCTAGATGATCGACTTGGGACTGCTGCTTCACCCTGGAGCCTATTTCCGGGACTTGTGGAACATTCTGGACTTCATTGTGGTCAGTGGCGCCCTGGTGGCGTTTGCTTTCTCGTAAGTAACGTTCGCTCTGCTCTGGCTAGGGAGAGCCCCCAGAATCACGATGGGCGTGAGGGTGAGGGAATAAGGAAGAGGCCCTCTTG
The DNA here is from genome assembly GCF_000001405.40 of Homo sapiens. Taxonomy (NCBI): domain Eukaryota; kingdom Metazoa; phylum Chordata; class Mammalia; order Primates; family Hominidae; genus Homo; species Homo sapiens. The sequence continues at coordinate 138,049,405 of NC_000009.12, forward strand.
TGGGCTTCCCTGGGCTGCCTGTGGCTCTGTTGCTGTCCATGTGGGACTGTCCCTGCCTGCTTGGGGCGGGGCTGCGTGGGGTTAGGAGGGCATGAGGTCTGTCTGTGGCTCTCAAACTAGGTAGGGCCCTGGTGTGGCCTGTGGCCCTGGGACCATCCCCGCCTGCCTGGAGGGGTGGGTGCTATGTGGGGCTGGGAGGCCCTGGTGCGGCCGGTGGCTCTGGGACCGGGCGGCACAGCCTCTGGTGTGTCCAGCGTTTGCCTCCCAGGGTCCTTGGAGGCAACTTCACCTTGACCTGCTCTGAGGCAAGTCTGCTCCTGACCCAGGGAGACCTCTGGTGCTTTCGCCCAAGGCAGAACTGGTGGTCGCCTTCCCCTTTTGGGGCATTAGACGTCTCCTCTGACTCCTGAGCCAGTGGCACTTGGCCCTGCTGTGGCTGGAAATGGAGTTGGCTTCCTCAGATAACTGCATGGAGGGCATTGTCGGGGGCTCAGCTACAGCTGGGGATGGGAATACGGCGGGGAGTTGTGGGGTGAGATCCAGAGACAAGGAAGACCCCTAGTGGACGACAGACATGAGGGAGGGTCCACATCTCTCTGAGCGGCTGGGAGGGCTGCTCCTGGTGCCACTGACTCTGTTCTCTTTGTCTTCCTCTTGCTGGACTCGGCAGGAGCTTCGTGGGGTAATGCCTTCTCTCCCCCACACGCTGCCCCTGACATCACAGCATTCCAGCAGCCCCTCTTGGGTCATTTCATCTCCAGCCTCACCCCCCGCCCATCCACTTTCACCCCATCGGGGCTGCATGCTGCCGGGAGCCAAGTCCCCGGCCAGGGGTTCCTGCCATGCCTCTGGGAGCGGGGCGGGGAGCTGGGCTGGAGCTGGGCATGGTCAGCCCTTGGTGAGGAGCTTGCTGGTGAGCAGGCTGTCACCAGCGAGGGCTGGAGGCTGGGGCCATTGGCCTGGAGGGCAGCAAGGGCTCCGGGAGGGAACTGCCACCTGTGGCCACAGCCCGAGGACCGGGGACATCGCGAGGCGCTCCCGGTGCAGCTCCTCTCTGGAAGAGCGGCATTCTTTCCTCTGTTTCCTCTCCACTCCAGCCCCCTGCAGTTCCCACTATTTCCTCTTTCTGTGATAAAGGAATGAGAGCTTTGCCAAAGCATCAGCTTAGGCCTTGGGAGTGGGAACACTGCAGCCAGGGGTCCCCCAGTCAGGAGGAGGGGAAGGGGTTGGGCCCATCCAGGCGGCTTCAGAGCAGGAGAAAAGGAGCAGGCCCCAGATGGACGCTCCCCCAGAAAGCCTCATTTACTGGGTGACAAAACAGTATCCCCTCCCTCCTGCTCCTGTCCCCTCTTCCCTCAGCTGGCGGAGGAGCTGGTTTGAGAGTGGGTGTCGGGAGCACTGGGGTGATGGAGACAGGAGGCTGGGTTCTTCCCACCTGGAAGCGTTTCAGGGGGAGTTTGATCTGATTCTGGAGTGTAGCCTACAGTCAGGGGAGAAGAAGGGGACCAGGGTGCCTGAGACGTGTAGCTCACTCTCCCTGCTCAGCCCCAAGTGTTGCTGGAGCCCCAGGAAGAGCACAGGGGGCAGGGCCACCCCTAGAAGCAGGCCTTCCCCAGGGAGCGTGGTGGGACGTGGCCTCTGAGCAGGGTGGGAAGGGTTCCATGTGTGAGTGAATCCCACTCAGTCCTGAGTCCTCAGCTCCCACCCTCACCTCCCACCAAGTAGAGTGGCTTTGCTTCTGAGAACGGGGGCCGCCTTAGGAGGAAATCTCTCCTAGACACTGCTGGCCCGGCCTCAGTAGGGTCGTGGGAGGTCCAGTCCCCAGAACCTGCTAATTCCTGCGTCCCTGACAGGTAGAGGCAGCTGCCTGGGTCTGTCCTGGCTTTTTCTTGGAGGGGCCCTGATTGAGGCCCTCTGGTTCTGTACTTCTGCTTGCTTCTGTGCCTGGAATTTTCTTTCCCCGACTTCCTGCCTTGCCGTCCCTGCTCTGCATGAGTTTTCCTGTCTGCTGCTTTCTGGGTAGCATTGATATGTCTGTCTCTATGGCTCTCCCTCCCTCCCTCCCTCCCTCCTTCCCTCCCTCTCCCCTTGTTTGTCTTAGTCCACCATGCCTCTTGCATTGCCTCTGTATTCGTCCGACTTTTTCTCTTTCTTACTCTCCTTCCCCTCTTCTGTCTTCCCGCTGTCGGTTTCACGTCAGCGGGAGGAATGTTAGGACGGCTGAGGAGATCTGTAGGGCAGAGGCCAGACAGGTCCCCTTTACCTCCCTCTAGCCAGCCCAAAAAGCAAGGAAAAAAGCCCTTCCAGAAGATTCTCGCCCTAGAAACGTGCTTGTGGGCTCCCACTTCTGGGTCTGCAGTCCTCGTGCGGGTCTCTTCTGTCCTCTTAATCCTGGAATCTGGGGTGGGAGGGGTGTCAGGGGTGATGGTTCTTCTCCTTGTGCACCAGATGCTGCTGCCCTAGCCCCAGCTCCTGTCCTTAGATGAGGCCCGGGCCAGGCAGCCCCTGGGAAGAGTCATGGTGGCCTGTGGCACCTGCAGGGCAAGGCCTCTCTGCTCCTGGGTCCTCCACCCTGGAGTCTGAGACAAAATGCACAGGGGAGCAGGACTCAGACCCTGGGGGGCCACGTGGGAGCTGGGCACACCCATGCCTCCTGCCTGTCTGCATCTGTGGCTTCTCCCTTCTAGAGGATCCAAAGGGAAAGACATCAATACCATCAAGTCTCTGAGAGTCCTTCGTGTCCTGCGGCCCCTCAAGACCATCAAACGGCTGCCCAAGCTCAAGGTTAGAGCCTGGAGTTGGGGCTTGAGGGATGTGCTGTGTGTGTGTGCGTGTGTGTGTGTGCGTGTGTGTGTGTGTATGCATGCAGTGCATGAGTGTGTGTGTGTTCACATCACACCCCTGTGTGAGGGGGTTGGGCTCACTCAGCTGTAAGCCCCCATTACCCAAGTAGACCTTGTTCCCAGCAGCCTCCTGTGAGAATCCTCCTCCTTAGCCCAGCAGGACCAGGCGGCACAGGGTTTTTCTTCAGCAGCTGCAGTGCAGTGCGGGAAAGGCTGCCGGGACAGGTGCAGGGTGGTGGAGGGAGATGCTGGAGGTGAGGGGCTTGGGACATTGGCTGCTGAGAGGGGGACAGGCATGGGCTGAGCTTCTGGATAAAGACAGAGAATAAACTCAAACTCATAGGGCCACGCTGAAACCTAGTAATTGTGAGCTTGTGCTAGGCCCTGTGCGAATTGCTTCATGTGCTTCAGCTCACTTAATCTCCCAAACCTTTATGCAGCAGATTCTTTTACTGGAAATTCAAGCCATTGAGACCTGAGGCAATGGGGACTTAGAGAAGAAAGTTTGTTTAGAACCTGTATGTGAAGGAGTGGGCTGGCAGGCAGCTGGGGAAGGCGTCGGAGGCCCACTGGGTCCAGGGAGGAGTGGCACCTGCCCTGGCACCGAGTGGCGCTGTGCAGTGGTCATCCACAGTGTGCCAGGCTGCTTTGTGGGAGACGGTTGTGGCCCCACCTTCCCGTCACAGCTAGATCAGAGCAGCCTGTGAGGTGTCTTCCCAGCTCTGAGAGCAGCATTGTGTGCACAGGGAATGCTGAGCTTCCAGGTTGGGAGGGACCCAAGAGAAAGCCTCAGGTGGTGATGGCTGATGACAGGGCGGCCTCGGGCCACAGAGCACACGTGTTCCTGTCCTGGAGCCTACTGCTTTATCCTCAGTTTGCCCAAATTGCTTCCCTGATGGGCAGGGTGCAAGTGCAGGGCAGAGCCTGGCTGCATCCTCTCTGCACAAGCCCAGCACCTGCTGGTGCAGCTGGGTCTGGACTCTTGGTCATTCCCGTTTCTGTGGCTGAACTCTGACCTGTAAGGTCGGCCCTCCTAGGCATCCAGCTGCTGCCTCTAGCACCTCCTGCCCCTCCATCCGGGCCAAGATGCCTCCCCTCACAAGAGACACAGCACCAGTCTTGTGTGTCAAGGAAGCTGGCGGTGGAGCCTCTCTGTGGTCAGGGGCCTGAGGGCCTTGCAGGGCCCTGGAATGCCTGGGGGCCACCTGGGCCTCAGTGGTCCTCAGGTTTCCATCCCGTAGGTGCCCTGCCTGGTCCTCTCTCCTGGCTCCCTTCACATCCTTTCCTGCTTCCGGCCCCTCCCTGTGGCTCCACCTCTTGTCATGGCTCCACTCCTCCCCTCATGGCCCCACCCCCCACCATGGCTCCACCCCTCTCATCATGGCACCACCCTTCCCCTCATGGCCCCACCCTCCCACCATGGCTCCACCCCTTTCCTCATGGCCCCACCCATTCCCTTACGGCCATGCCCTCCCACCTTGGCTTCACCCCCTCATCGTGGCTCCACCCCTCCCCGTGACCCTACCCTTCCCCCTCATGGCCCCACTCTCCCACCATGATTCCACCCCCTCATCATGGCTCCACCCCTCCTCCTGCAGGCTGTGTTTGACTGTGTGGTGAACTCCCTGAAGAATGTCCTCAACATCTTGATTGTCTACATGCTCTTCATGTTCATATTTGCCGTCATTGCGGTGCAGCTCTTCAAAGGGAAGTTTTTCTACTGCACAGATGAATCCAAGGAGCTGGAGAGGGACTGCAGGTAAACTGAGGCAGGGTGCAAGGTGGGACACACAGCCCCATGATGCAGACAACACTGGGAGTTCCCTTGGGACCAGGTGGAGCTGGTCACACGGCGTGGGAGACTCCACTGCAGAGCATCACGGACCCTGCCTGAGGGCCGAGGAGGGGCTTGCTTGAGAAGGGCTAGAGTCACCACAGAAGACAGGATGCATCCCCTCCCCAGCACCACACCAGGGACCCCCAGCACTTCCTCCTCAGCAGAGTCAGGAACCAGGCATGTTCTGAGGGACACAGACATCCAGGGAGCTCAAGGTGCCCACTGGGCAAGGCTTTCTCTAAGCCCTAGAGATCTTGGCTGGGCTGTAAGGTCAGAGGGGCTGCCCGATGGCTGGAGCTGCTGTCACTGTCCACATGAGGCCTCAGAGCTTCCTGTGCCCAGCGCTGCCTCCAAAGTAGACAGGAGAGGGGCCCTTGGGGAAGAGCTGGGGGAAAGCTGGTTAGCTGCCTGTGTGGACCCCGGGCAAGGCAGTACCCACAGTGTCTTCCTGCCCACGCGGCAGCGTCCCAGCTGCTTCTGTGTGAATATCATGCAGCTTCCTCCTGTGCCGTGTGACTGATGGGCACTTGGCTGTTTGCAGCTGGGAATGCTGCACGTGCACACGTCCGCCAGGGAGCAGTAGCAGTTTGGGGAGGTGTATCTGTCTGGTAGTGGAATTGCCGGGTCCTGGGTGTGCGTGTACTCAGCCTTAGTAGATGCTGCCAGGCCCTTGTGTAAAATTACACTCTCTCCAGCGTAGATGAGAGCCCCACATCCTAGCTAAATCTTGGTGTTTTCTTTCTCGCCTTTCTGGGTGTAGTGGTCATTCACCGTGGTTTAATTTTGCACTTGTGTGATGACCAATGAGATTGAGCCCCCTTTGCTAGGGGGATTGGCCGCTTAGGTGTTCTTTTCTGGAAGTGTCTGCCTGTGGTCCTGTGTCTGCTGTCTGCCTCTTTCCTGTCGGTTACTAGGAATCATGTAATGTTCTGGACAGGAACCCTTTGTCATATGTATGGATCGCAGACGTCTTCTCCTCCTCTGAATGGTGCTTTCTACTCTTTTAATGGTGTCTTTTAAAAAACAAAGTTCTTTTTTCTTTTTCTTTTTTTTTTTTTTTGAGACAGGATCTCACACTTTTGCCCAGGCTGGAGTGCAGTGCTGCTATTGCAGCTTAATGCAGCCTCGAACTGTCAGGCCCAAGTGATCCTCCCTCCTCAACCTCCTGAGTAGCTTAGACAACTACAGGCACGTGCCACCATGCTTGGCTAATTTTTAAAATTTTTTGTGGAGATGAGGTCTTGCTATGTTGCCAAGCTGGTCTCGAGCTCCTGGGCTCAAGCAGTCCTCTTGCCTCGGCCTCCTAGAGTGCTGGGATTACAGGTGTGAGCCACTGTACCCAACCATAGTTCTTGATTTTAATAGAGTCCAACTGATCTTTTTTATTCTTTTATGCTGAGTACTCTTTATATCCTGTTTAAGAAATCTATCCCAAGGCCAGGGATGTTTTCTTGTGTTTTCTTCTGAAAAGTGTTATTTTTGCCTTTCACATTAAGATCTGCAGTTTACTTGGAAGTTGATTTTTATGTGTTACATAAGGTATGGGTTAAGATACGTTTTCTGACGATAGATATCCAATTCACCCAGCATCGTTTATTTGAAAAGATCATTCTTACCCAGTGTAATGGATTTTTTAAAAAACAAAAACAAAACAGCTTTAGGCCAGGCGCGGTGGCTCACGCCTGTAATCCCAGCACTTTGGGAGGCTGAGGTGGGTGGATCATGAGGTCAGGAGTTGGAGACCAGCCTGGTCAAAATAGTGAAACCCTGTCTCTACTAAAACTACAAAAAATTAGCTGGGTATGGTGGCCAGCACCTGTAATCCCAGCTGCTCAGGAGGCTGAGGCAGGCGAATCGCTTGAACCTGGAAGGCGGAGGTTGCAGTGAGCCAAGATTGTGCCACTGCACTCCAGCCCGGGCGACAGTGTAAGACTCTGTCTCAAAAAAAAAACAAAAACAGAAACAAAAAAACAGCTTTATTGAGATGTAACTAACACATTATACTGCTTGTTCATAACAATCCACTTACAGTGTGCAATTAAGTGGCTTTTAGTCTATTTACAGGTACATGCAAGCATCGCCACAGTCAATTTTAGAACACATTTTCAGCACCTCAAAAAAAAAGAAAAACCCGCACCGTTTAACTATCATCCCCTACATCCCTGTCCCACCCCTAGCCAACTATGAATCTGTTTTTAATCTCTGTAAACCTCTCTGTTCTGGACACTTTTTGTAAATTGAATGATACAATATGTGGTCTTTTGTGAGTAGCTTCTTTCGTGTGATGTTTTCAGGTTTGTCCACGCAGTGGCTTGTGTCAGAGCCTTGTTCCTTGTTACGGCTGAATATGTGTTCTGTGCTGTGCCACATTTTCCTTATTCTTTCATTTGCTGATGAACATTGGGTTGTTTCTACCTTGTGGCTGTTATAAATGATGCTGTTGTATACATTTATGTCCACATTTTTGTGTGGGTCTGTTTTTGCTTCTCATGGGTGTGTACCTAAAAGTGGAATTAATGAGTGATTGGGTAACTCTGTGTTTAACTGTTTGAGGAAATGCCAGACTGTTTCCAAAGTGGCTAAAGCATTGTATATTCCCACCAGCAATGCATGAGGGTTCTGAATTCCCCATATCCTTGCCAACACTTGTGGTTTTCCATCTTTTTAGTTTTGGTATTTTTTAAACTACAGCCATCATCATGGGCATGAAGTGGTGTCTCGTGGTGGTTTTTATTTGCCTTTCCCTGATGATGAGTGGTGTTGAGCAGCGTTTCATGTGCTTAATAGCCATTTGTATATCTTCTTTGGAGGAGTGTCTATTCAGATCCTTTACCCATTTTTTATTTGGGTTTTTTTTTTTTTTTTTTTTGAGACGGAGTCTCGCTCTGTTGCCCAGGCTGGAGTGCAGTGGCGCGATCTCGGCTCACTGCAGGCTCCACCTCCCGGGTTCACGCCATTCTCCTGCCTCAGCCTCCCGAGTAGCTGGGACTATAGGCGCCCGCCACCACGCCCGGCTAATTATTTTTGTATTTTTAGTAGAGACGGGGGTTCACCATGTTAGCCAGGATGGTCTCCATCTCCTGACCTCGTGATCCGCCCGCCTCGGCCTCCCAAAGTGCTGGGATTACAGGCGTGAGCCACCGCGCCCGGCCTTTTTTATTTATTAGAATAGTTATTTACATATTCTAAATACAACTCCCTTATCAGACAGAGGATTAGGAAATAAGTATTTTTCCCATTCTGTGGATTTGTCTCTTTACGTTCTCGGCGTCCTCTGAGCACAGAAGTGTCCGATTTGATGCGGCCTGATTTATCTGTATTTTTTATTCTGTTGCTCATGATTTTGGTGTCACATCTAAGGCTCCATTCCCAGATTCGAGGTCACGAAGTTTTGCCCCCGTTTTCCTCTAAGTGTTTTATAGTTTTAGCTCCTTACACTTAGGTCTGGAATCCATCATGAGTTAATTTTTGTCTATGGAGTAAAGTAGGGTCACATTCATTCTTCTGCATGTGGACATCCAGTTTTCCCAGCACAGTCTGTTGGAGAGGCCATTCTTTCCCCACGGAATGGTTTCAACACTCTTGATAGGTGGGTTTATTTGGATCTTTTGTCTTTGCCCTCTAACCTCCCATGTTCTCATTCCTAGGGGTCAGTATTTGGATTATGAGAAGGAGGAAGTGGAAGCTCAGCCCAGGCAGTGGAAGAAATACGACTTTCACTACGACAATGTGCTCTGGGCTCTGCTGACGCTGTTCACAGTGTCCACGGGAGAAGGCTGGCCCATGTGAGTGCTCATCCTGCTCTCCGTAGCTGGGGCAGGCAGCCCCTGAGCTCGGCCTCCCTTCCTCCCTCTATCCCTGGGCTCAGGCATGGAAGCAGACCCACCCTTGTGGTGCAGGTCTTGAGTTCTTAGGGCTGTCTCCTTTGGGGGTTCCCCTGACACTTGCTCTCCTCTTTGCCCAGGGTGCTGAAACACTCCGTGGATGCCACCTATGAGGAGCAGGGTCCAAGCCCTGGGTACCGCATGGAGCTGTCCATCTTCTACGTGGTCTACTTTGTGGTCTTTCCCTTCTTCTTCGTCAACATCTTTGTGGCTTTGATCATCATCACCTTCCAGGAGCAGGGGGACAAGGTGATGTCTGAATGCAGCCTGGAGAAGAACGAGGTAGGTGGACGCTCTGTGGAGTCTTGCAGTGGACAGCGTGGGCAGCGCCATCAGGCTTCCCTCCTGCACACAAATCACTCACAGCTGGGTCAGCTTTGGCTGCCACCGTCTGCCAACACAGGGGCAGGTCCTCCTTTCTCCTGCAGAGGGACCGGATTTGGCTGGTTGAGGCCTGCTTGGAGAAGGTCTGGGCTGCTTCAATTTGTCTTCTGTTGTCAGGGCTCCCTGTGAGGCCTGGCGAGACAGGGCTGGGTGCAGTAGATGCCGTCGGGTAGGTTTTCTGCTTCTGAGTCTCTGTGCTCCTTTCTCCCCTTACAGAGGGCTTGCATTGACTTCGCCATCAGCGCCAAACCCCTGACACGGTACATGCCCCAAAACCGGCAGTCGTTCCAGTATAAGACGTGGACATTTGTGGTCTCCCCGCCCTTTGAATACTTCATCATGGCCATGATAGCCCTCAACACTGTGGTGCTGATGATGAAGGTGTGTGGGGCTCAGCGCAGAGGGGCAGCTGGCGCTGCTAGGGATTGGGATCTAACCCTGAGGCTGAGTGGAGAGTCAGCCTTCTTCCTCCCTGCATGAGCCAAAGCAGTAGTGGCCTTGCATCCTGGCCAGCATGGGATGCCTGTGGAATCCTGTTTCCCTTTGTTGTCTGTGGGCTGGGACAGTGGGGAGGTTCTGGGAGGACTCGGGGAGAGCAGGAAGGGGTGTCCCAGGCCTAGGCAGGCATCGAGTTCTGTCTGCCCGCTTTGCTTGGTCATAGTGGTCCCAGATGGGGTGTCTTGGGGCTGCCAAACCCATGGCCAACAGTGCCTATTCCCCGGGCAGTTCTATGATGCACCCTATGAGTACGAGCTGATGCTGAAATGCCTGAACATCGTGTTCACATCCATGTTCTCCATGGAATGCGTGCTGAAGATCATCGCCTTTGGGGTGCTGGTACGTGCTTTGGTCCCTGCTTTGCCTTTTGACAACCTATATTCTGGTTCCCCATCTGTAGGGCGACCTTTGGGGGCTCACAATTTGGAGCTGGGAATTCTCCGAGTACCCAGAGTATATGTAATGCTACAGGGGCCCTGGGGAAGGGGCTGTTCTGAGACTCTTGGCTACATAAGCTCTGCCCCCAGCCTAGGTCCTGGGAGGGAGGCAGGGCTGGGTTCTTCCTCTTTGGACACATGGCTCTTAGTCCTGCCTCTGCCCAGGCCCAGAGGTATCTGTGTCCCTGGCTTTGACATCTGCTTACCTCTGGCCTTGTGCTGTGCCCCCTGGGGTGGCCTGTCTGCCCTGTGCTCAGGGTCTATCACCCTCACCGCTTTCTTAATCAGGGCCACCACCTATATATACCTCTTTGCCAACAGAGCCCTCATCAGCCGCTGGCACTAACTGCTCTTCTTTTTCTCTAGAACTATTTCAGAGATGCCTGGAATGTCTTTGACTTTGTCACTGTGTTGGGAAGTATTACTGATATTTTAGTAACAGAGATTGCGGTAAGTAGCATTTCTGTCCCTCCTTCAGGGTCCCCAGGTGGTTTCCTTCTAGAGCCTGCTCCCCTCAGTGCATCTCCAGGCCCTGTGTTAGCCTCTTCCTGGGTTCCGCAGAACCCCCTGGACATGTGGAGGCTTCGCTCCAGGGGTGGAGTTTAGGGATTGGGTGTTACCTCAGCAGATGTTCTTTCTTGAATAAGAAAGTGGTTCTCAAAGATCTTTTGGGCTGCTGGCCTGAGAGTTACCTGGAGCTCCATGGTAACAACTAATCAAGAAGATGTGAATCTTAAATTTGTATCTGTATAATATGTATCTAACAAGGTGGTATCAAAAATATATAAACTGAAACCAGTAAGGATTTATATTTCAAAATATTGCCCCCCACCGTCTCTCTATCTCTCTCTATATATATCTGGAAATACTCATTCTTACCAAACATATGTGGATTATGTCTTAAAATTGACCAGTGCTGGGATATAAACTTGTCTCAACAAATTTCAAAGCATCTGAATCATAAAGCAACATTCTTTGAGTACAACACATTACACTGGAAATCAATGGCAGAAAATCTCATTTGTTTGGTCTTAGGTTGAATTCTCGAGAAGCAGACGCAGACACGAGCACTCATGTGAAATTTATTTCTTAAGTTATGTTCCCAGTAGAAACCAGCAGAGGGGCATGGGGAAATGGGTGGGAAGAGAAGGACCAGAAATCCTGCGTCCCAAGCCAAGTCCTGGTGGGTCAGTGTGGGTCATCTCCCAAGGGACTTCTGGCAGCAGCGTAGGTCGCACCTCAGAGCTATCCCTGCTGGAAAGGGAGCTGCAACGTGTTTGCCTCTGCACCCTCCGCACGGCATTAGGCTGAGGGCTGCACCTGGGGTGTCAATTCTCAGATGCTTCCAGCTCCCTGAGTGTGCCACGAGTGCTGCACCCAAGCTGTTAGGGCTGAAGGGACGTCTGACACCATCAGAGGAGAACCTGCTGGAGCACCAGGCTCCTTCCTGTTCTGCCCACACTTCACATTGGGTTCACTGTGCTCATTCTTTAGGATGGTGCTGGTCATGGTCTCTGGGAGACAGAGCGGAGCTCCGTCTGCTGTGCTGGTCCAAGCAGAGCTGGTGTTCATCATCCCGTTCCCCCCACCCTTTCTAGAGCCCCTGAGCTGATGTTCATCATCCCGTCCCCACCACCCTTTCTAGAGCCCCTGTCCTGTGGCCAGCCTTCTGCTGCACTGGTTGCTGGCCTGGTGGGATGACCCAGACCCTCAGCCCTGCGCATCCCAAGTCCCTACTTGTTGCCGTTCTTTTTCCAACCCTGGCTGCCGTGGTAATCCAGTCGCAGTGAAGACTGCGCACAGGAGCGTGTTCATAGGAGCATGGAGAAAGGCCCAGTGAAGCCCCTGATTCCCAGAATTATGCAGTGGCAGCTCTGCCCTTCACAGTAATGAGGGTCAGATGATCTGGCTGGCATGGAAACTCTTTGTGATGCCTGCTGGCCTTCTGGCACGAGCAGCCCCAAGTGACCAGGTGGCCACCATGGCTTTGGTGTTGTGTGGTAGAAGCCTTCTCCACCTGTTTGAACCAGGGCCTCTAGATTTGCCAGACCTAAAATTGGGGAAGATGAGCGCAGAGTTCATACTGGGTTTCTGGAGCGATGGTGAGACAGGCCCCTTCTTCTTTCACCATTTCCTCCATCCATACATTTTACTGATTGGGCACCCAGTACCATCGATTGGCCGTTGGTTCATCTTGAAATATGGCACCCCAACCCCATGAAGTGTATCACCAAGCCGGCATTTTATCTCTGCCTTTAAGGTCAGGGCAGCGTCTCCTAAGTGGTGTTGCGTTAGATGATCCAGTGGACCCCGCGGTCACCTGGCTCACATGCATCCCCTGCGTGTGCTCCAAGCTGATGTTATATGGAATCCTGTGTTGGTAAATCTCTGAGATGTTAGTGCCGGCACGGTACTGCACAAGGAAAGGCAAACCCACACCTGGGATGTGGGTGGATCCCAGATGAGACAAATCACTGCCCTTTCCAGGAGAGGGTGTTCTGATATAATCAGCTTACCACTAGGTGGCTGGTTGACAGCCCCAAGGCATGGCACCAGATGGAAGCCCAGTGTTGCTGTCTGTTCATTCCCGGTAGATAATCGTCAGTGGTCATGACTGGATCATGCTGCTGAGAGGCTCTTGGCCACGATGGTCACCCTATCCAGAGGTCTGCTGTGTGGACACTGGGGCTGGTGAGGACAGAGGCTAGCCAATATCTGTTGGTCGACTTATCCCAGTGCTTGGTTTTTAGTGCCCCATGGTGAGCATTGGTTTGCAAAACAAAGGCCTGTACCCCATGCCTGTTCCCAAGGCCCATCTGTCTGCCTCTCACCTAGACCTTGTTCCCTCCAGGATCCTGACCAGCCGTTTGTGCCTGCCTAGGACCCTGTTATCCTCAGCACAGGCAACTTGTTTTCCCCCCCACACAGAGCTGACCAGATACCCTGCCCAGGGCTCTGCTCCACCTCTGTCTTTCAGGCTGTTCCTATGTGAGGCTGTAGTGAGGCCTGCACCAGTATACCAAGCAACCCATCCACAAATCAGGTCTGCGTTTCCCCCTAAGTTGTAGTGAATCCCCATGAAGTGATGGCGGGAGTGAGGTGAGGACGTCATTGGTCAACAGAGGTGCGTGTCATGGGGGATTGGGCCACATGTTGTGTGCTGTGTCCTCTAGACATGCTTGGGTTCGGTCGTAGAGGTACCCCTTCCATTGTTCACTGGGCCTGTGGTGGGTCTGACAGCACATCACTATGGGGAGATGCTTTGGTGTCATAGACAGCGATGTCTCTTGGTGACACACACAGCTGCCACCAGGGCCAGGAAGTAGGTTGGCCCCTCTCATTATGCTTCCGTTCTGTAGATGGCATGGCCTGCTCCCAAATGCTGGGTGTCTGCACTGACTTCTCTGTGGAGGCTTTCCCAGGACTTTACCCAGTATCCTTACCTACCACATACACATCAAGGACCCTGGGGGTTGCTGGGTTTTGTGGCCCAAGTGGCAGGGCCACTGCTATCACATCCTGGGTCTGTTGGAGACCTCACTTGTGCTCTGAAACCTCTCAAGCATGGCAGCGTCTTGAGTCACAGCAGTATTTCCTAAGTGGCCTATGCCATCTCCAAAACGCAAAGCAGCCTACCCGCAGTAGAAGTGTGAGGTGCAATCACTAACTTGTCTCTTACCTTGGAGTCCTTGTCCTGGCATAGCCCAGACCACTGGACCCCTAAAAACTTCACTGACGTGGAAGGTCCATGAATCCTTGTAAGATTTATCACCTGTGCTCTGGAGTGCGTCAGGGCATCTGATCTAAGTAACATAACATCATCAGTGTGGTGGACCAGTGTGGTGTTCTGAAGAATGTCTTGGCAGGCACAGTGGCCACACCTGTGATCTCAGGGCTTTGGGAGGCCAAGGCAGGGAACGTCTTGGGCAGGCACAGTGGCCACACCTGTGATCTCAGGGATTTGGGAGGCCAAGGTAGAAAGATCACTTCAGCCTAGGAGTTGGAGACTAGCCTAGGCAAGACGGCGAGACCCTGTCTCTGTAAAAAATTTAAAAATTTAGCCAGGCATAGTGGCACACGCCCGTAGTCCCAGCTACCCAGGAGGCTGAGGCAGGAGAATCACTTGAGCCCAGGAAGTCAAGGCTGCAGTGAGCTATGATCGCACCACTGCACTCCAGCCTGGGCCACAAAGTGAGTCCCTGTCTCTAAAAAATAAAAATAAGAATTCCAAATGATTAAGAGTACCTTTGGACCATGTTGTGACATAGGGTCAGACTGTGAATGTCTGCTGTGGATACAAACTGCTTCTGACCCTGCTTAGCAGTGACTGCTGAAGAGTGTGCTCACCAGGTTGGCACCTGTGTGCCAAGTCCCAGAGGCTGAGTAGATCTGTTCTATTAAAGATACCAAATCTCCCACAGCAGTGGGTACTGAGCCTGGGTTATCTGGGGAGTAGTCCAGTGTCATCCATTGTGATCCAGTTTTCTTGCACAGTCCATACTGGTGAATTAAATGGGAATGAGGTGTAGACCAACCACCCCTTTATCTTTTAATTATTCGAGGTGGCACTAACCTCTCCATTCCATACTGGATGCAGTGTTATAATGTACCGTTTTGGCTGGGGGGTGTCGGTGTTGAGGACTTTCCTATTGTTATGTCTACTTCACATGTCGAGGAGCCAGTGTGGTGGGTTCGGCCAGTTAGTTAGGACTAGCCAAATGAACACCAGCTGTGCCTGGGCACACGAGACCACTGAGAGATGGGCCTGGGCCAGGGATTCATTGGTGTCCTGGCCCCTGCGCACACTCTGAGATGGAGCCGCAATCTCATTTTAGTTCCTTGGTATCAATGTTATCTTGGACCTTGTATCCAACAGCCTTCAAAACCTCCGGGTATTCTTTCTCCAGTGTGCAATTTCTCAAGTAAACGAACCAGATCTCCTTGGGGAGGGGCAGAGAAATGGTTGCTGTCTGGATCCAGTGTGCAATTTCTCAAGTAAACGAGCCCGATCTCCTTGGGGAGGGCAGAGAAATGGCTGCTGTCTGGACTCCTTCTTGTGTTGTAGGATTCTTCTGCAAGGGGGCCCAGTCTCTCCTCTAAGCTGTGGACCCTGGATCTGAAAACTGACTGGTTGAGAGACTCGGGAGGGAGCATGTTTGTCCATGGTGGTGGCTGTTATCAGCCTTCTGCTCACTTACTTTCATTCTTTTGAATTCTATATTTACATATGTTAATCTCAAGCAGCATCCTTGTTGGCGCTGCCCCTCTGTCCTGCCTCTAGGAATGCCATGGCCGATTAGCCGAAGCAGCATCCTTGTTGGCAATGCCCCTTTGTCCTGCCAATGCCATGGCTGATTAGCCACCACTGTGGACCTTTGCAGGTCAGGGCTCTTGGTTGCCATTGAGGCCTCGCTGCCCACTGTGGTGGTTCCAGGCAACCAGCCATGGAAGGGAGCCAGCCTCATGTGATTGTGTGCTGCCATGGAGCCTCTGCAGCTCCAGAGCCTTCTCTTCTTCCCAAAGGAATCCCTGCTCCATGACAGCATCTCCTCCCGTCAACCCTGGCCTGCAGAAGAGAACCACCAGTGGCCTTGTGCGTGATGCCAGTGCCCTCCTCCCAAAACGCTCTGAGAAGCTGGTTGGCTCGTGGGCACTTGGATCGTACATGATAGGTTCTTTCTAGCATGCCTACCTCTCTGAGCCTTTTGGTCCTATGCTCAGCATCTGCCAAGGCAGTTCTGGCACCCTCACCTCATTTAATGTGGGCTATGAGGTTTTCCAAGCTCCTGGGAGTCATCCCAGCAGCCTGTTAGCACCTGCTTCAGGTGCCCTCGCCAGGGTATTGGATCCTGAGTCATGGGAGAAAGCTCCCCTACATTAAAAATAGTTTTTTATCCTGCCTGTCTTCCAGCCATCCTCATCCAGTCCCTCCCACCTTGCTCCTGCCACACATACCCGTTATATCACACAGCCCTTCACTGGGCAGCCTTTTTTTCTCACTCAGCAGGACCACCGCTTCCCAAGTCAGGCTGTATGAAAACTCGAGTTGTGGGTCTAGTGGCCGGCATTGGAAGTGAGGTGGAACTTGGGGAGGGTGAGTACCATCGTGGAAAGCATCCACCTCAGCTGAGACTCCTGCAGGTATTCAGGCAAGACAAAGTGAGGTCCTGCAGCAGGGAGGGGGACGCTCCTGCAGGCCCAGGCAGTCCCGGGGCATCTGAGAGCTCTGTGTTGGGGGCATGCCCACACTGGTGTTCCTCCTCTGCGTGGCAGAGCCTGCCCTTCCTTTCTGGGTGCTGACGTTGGAGCATGAGAGACTTGTGGAGTCCTCTCTAGAGCCCTGGTCCTCCCTTGAGTCCCAGGCTGGTCAGCACAATCCGAAACACAGACCACATTTGGGTTATGCTTGGAGTTGCTAATTGACAACTTGTAATGTTTTCTTCCCCAGAGTAATTGGTGGCACTTAGCCATGGTTCACCAGCTCTACCATCCTTACAGCGCCCATTCCTGACAGCCTGTGGATGCTAATGATATCTTGCGGTATCGTTATTGCACCCCTTTCAACCCTTTACAGATTTGCCCAAGATGAAGGTTTCAGCAGTTTTAATGCTACAGCACACCAGGAGTTACCGTCACCTCACTTACCACCCACCAACAGAGGAGAATCTGTCCAGTGAGCCACTCCCCAAGGTCTCCATCCTTAGAGTCGGCTTCCAAGGAACCACCCCTGGTGTCACCTGTCTTTGGATCAGAACGTGTGATCCAAATGTGATTTACTGGAATCACAGTTTCCAGGAATAGTTGGTGAGGATGGGGGCAGTTGGATAAGGAAGAGATCCAGTTTCAATCAATTCCATGTAATTTGGGCTCCTTCCTGCAGGGGAGCTCTGAGGGTAGTGTGGATGCCACATCAGAGTTGTCCCAGTGAGGGGCAAGAGAGTGCAGCATGGGCTCCACCTGCAAAGCAGGTTCTGGCAGCCTGTGGGAATCCCTGCATCAAGAGACCCAAGAGGGCGGGGCACGCTGGCTCACGCCTGTACTCCCAGAACTTTGGGAGGCTGAGGTGGGAGCATCGCTTGAACCCAGGAGTTCGAGGCTGCAGTGAGTTATGATTGTACCACTGCACTCCAGTCTGGGCAACAGAGCAAAACGCTAAAAAAATAAGAGAGAGAGAGAGAGAGGCAGGGAGGCAGGAGGAGAGAGACAGAGGGGGAAGGAGAGAGACAAGTGCTGCTGTGGGGCGTGAAAGTGCATTGGGAGCCAGTGTGGACAGAAGCAGAGCGATCACAGGGCCTGTGTGGCTGAGACACTAACAGTACCTTCTCCACTTTTAAGGAAATGAACTTCTGAATAAGTCATGGGTAAAAGATGAAATGATGGAAATTAGAAAATATAAATAACAGAAAAACAATGAAAATACTGTATATTAAAGCTCATGAGATAACAGCTGAAGCAGTACTCAGAAAGAAATTTACAGCCTTAATGTTTATATTAGAAAAAGAAAACGGTGTAAAAATTAATGAGTTTAGCATCTAACTTTAAAAGTTAGAAAAAGAACAACAGAATAAGCTCAATAAAGTAGAAGAAAAGTATAAGAATAGAAATTAAGAAAGTGGAAAACAAAGACTAGAGAGAATCAATAAAGTCTAAACTTAGTTCTTTAAAGACTTAAAAATTGACACACTTCTGGCAAGATTAATCAAAGAAAAATAAGAAGGTAAAATACACGATGTAAGGCAGGGGAGAGGGGTCATGATGGTAGGTACAGGAGAGAGTAACGTGAATAACGTGAAGGAGAATATTGTGAATAGTTTATGCCAGTACGTTTGAAAACCTAGGTAAGTGAACACATTACTAGAAAAATATAAATGACTGAATGTGACAAAAGAAGAGAGAAAAACCCTAAATGGTTCTTTATTAAAGCATTAAAGAAGTTGAGTCAATAAACAATCTTCCTATAAAGAAAACACCAGATTCTAGTGGTCTTATACATTAGGTTTCTACTTAAAATATAAGGAAAGATCATTCCACTCTTAAACAGATTTTTCTAGAGAACAGAAAAAGAGTGAACATTCTCTAACTAACTAGACTAGTATAATGTTGACATTAAAATTTTTTTAAAAGAAGAGAAGGCTGGGTGCAATGGCCCAGGCCTATAATCCTAGCACTTTGGGAGGCTGAGGTGGGCAGATCACCTGAGGTCAGAAGTTCGAGACGAGTGGATAACATTGTGAAGCCCCGTCTTTACTAAAAATACAAAAGTTAGCCAGGCATGATGGCGCACGCCTGTAATTCTAGCTACTTGGGAGGCTGAGGCACAAGAATCGCTTGAACCCAGGAGGTGGAGGTCACAGGGAGCCAAGATTGCGCCACTGCATTCTAGCCTGGGCAACAGAGTAAGACTCTTTCAAAACATATAAATAACCAGAACTCTGGCACTGCTGGTGGGCGTGCCAGCCAGCACAGCATCTGGGAGGGCTCAGCAGCCCCTCGAAAGTTGGACATGTGCATACAACTCAGCAACTGTACTCCTAGGCAGGTGTCCCAGAGGGTGCCTGCACAGATAACCCCCAGAGGCATTTTCACACAAGTGTTCCTGGCACCAGCGTTCTGCCGACCAAACAGAGGCATCTGAGTGCCCATCGGTAACAGAATGTGCCAGTTGTTAGGGTCTCTGCTAACGTAGTGAAAATACGCAAATGATGTGAAATTGAAACACAGCTTTGGGGGGTTTCTGTGTGTGCACCCCTTTCCAGTGACATCAGCACAGTGTGGATGCTTCTCAGAAACAGTTTTTGGTCAGAGCATAGGTGTGCGCAAGTCAAAGAAGCCTGCGGGCAGCCTGATCCCACAACAAAGGCCAGGGACAGGCAAACATAGAATGCATTTCCAGAGTTTCTGGTAAAGCTGAAAAGACAAGCCATGATTAACAAGAAGGGAAGGTAGTGGCTGCATCTGCAGAGGAGGAAGGGAGACCCGAGACGGCTTCGGAAGTGATGGTGATGTGCCGTTCGTAAAGCTGGGTGATGAATATATATAGATACTTGGTTTTACTTTTCTTTAAAATATTTATGCGTAATCTTTTATGTGATATGCTTTACGATTTAAAAAAGTTAATGATCTGAGTAATCCAAGCAAAAAAGCTGAAACCTGCCATTTAATCAGAAAAATCAGAAAAGTTGAGTCCCCCTAGCACTGGTGTTGTGTTTCCCAGTGGCTGCCTCCTCCCTGTGCGTCTCGCCCGGAAGCATTTAGTCCCAGTGCGCTTTCCGAGAGGCACAGGTGGGCTGCATTGCTGATTCCTAAGGGCCTCCTCCTTGGAAACAGAAATCTTTATTCATCAAATACAGTGATGGAAACATTGAGCTCCCAGCTGTAAGGACACAGCTTGGTGGGGAGGGGTGGTTTCTGCGTGTGTGTGCCTCCTTTCCAAGAGGGGCGGGAACTGCTGACTGCTGAGAGGGCACAAAGTGGAGGGTGCCTGGCTGACGTCAGAGATGTGCAGAGAGCCCCAGTGCCCAGCCGGGCTCTAGGGAAACCTCCCCACACCCCAAAGAGGCCCTGGTGTAGGGCAGAGGCCTTGATACAAGGCAGATTCCTGCTGCAGTGCAGGCAGCCAGACTGACCCACACTCCGTCCCTCAGCTGCGAGACAGTCGAGGCCGGGCTGTTTGTGGTCGTGTCAGACCCTGGCTCAAGCAAGCCCTCCTTGGCAGCCCCTGCCAACCCTGGACACCCAGCAGGTTGGGGGCCTGAGAGCTGCTGGTTGGAAAGCTCAGCTGTCCCCTGGCCACTCTTGCTCCTGGAGCCCAGGTCATCTCCTGTTCTGCCTGGAGGAGAAAAGATGAAGGGAAAGCCATCGTGTGGACTGGTGGTGCTTTGTTTTGTTTGTGTGTCTGTTTTTCATTTGGAGCCACTTCATATGTTTACTTTGTGAATGCACTTTTTTTTCTTAGGCAAAAATATGAGTGTCAGTTCCCATCCCCAACTTAAAAATCAAAATAGAGTTTTAGCAAGGGCACCCAGAGAGAGGGCTCCAAGCAAGCATGAAACTGACATTGATTTCTTTGCCTGGAAATAAAAATAAATAAATAAGTGTCTGTGAGTCATCTTTGGATTTGCATTACAAACAAGAATGCAAATGAATGCCACCTTGTCTGCATAACCTACAGACTTCAAAAATATGTTTTGATCTGATATATTTTAAGAAAAATAATGCAGTTTACCAAAATCCTAATTTTCTAGTTAAGTAATCAGAGTTTGAGTTTTTGCTTGTGTTGATGACTCATTTTCTCTTTTGTTTTCTGTTTTTGTTCTTGATTTACCTTAACCTACCTGCTGACTCACGCCATCCAACCAACATACAATGCGAAAACCCATGTCTCCGTCTGTATGTTGTGCACCTGCTGCTCAAACCTCCCCAATTTGTAAATAATATGCAAATATCCATCCATGAAAACATCACATGTAGGAAACGGTTGGTTTCACGACTCTGAACGGTTCTTGCAAGTCCTTGCTTTGCTCGCTCTGCTCCTCTCCTGCTCTCTGGTTCCTGGGACTCCAGCCCACTGCCCTCTAGGCGTGTGGTTGGATGCGGCTGCATCCACTCACCTCTGGCCTCCTGGACTTGCTCCCTCGGCTCTGGGCATTCAGCAGGGCTTCTGAGGGCCCTCCTGGCAGCGATTTGATTCTGGGAACTGGCCGTGGGCAGGGCTTCCCTGAGACCTGCCCAAGGAGAGGGAGGTGGGGTTTCTGGAGTGGGTAAGTGTCTAGGGTAGTTTTTCCTGTTGGGACTGGCTCAGATTTGGGGAGGCTTTGCAGGACATGAGTTTGTCCCTGATCCCTGCGAGTCCATGGTTCCTGTTGCGCAGCCATCTCCCACCTGCTGTGTCCCCATCAAGCCAATCAAGAAGGCCCCGCTTTGCCCAGGTGGCCTCTGCAGACTCCCCTGTAGCTTCCGTCCTTCCTGGACTGACCGTGCCTTGGAGTGGGCAGGGTCAGGCCTGGGGTTCAGGGCTCGGGGGCAGGGCTTACAGTCTTTGTCTTCATGATTCAGGAGGGTTCTTGTAGGGCTGAGTAGAAGAAGGGGGCTCTGCCCCTAGAGGCAGTGGAGCCGAAGCTCCCCCATTCGCATGTCACTGAATTGTGTATGTGCTCGGTCAGCAAGCTCATTTGGAGTGCAGGTCCAACCGGAGCTTCCTGCTGGGTCTTCAGGAATTTTAGAGCAAAGATATTTGGTAACTGACCCAACTTTAGCTGTGACTGTGGAAATTAATATAAAGTAGAAGATATTTGAGAGTCGTGTAAAAGTGAATGTTTGTGATACAGCGATTCACAATTGGAGCAGAAGAGCTAGCGTTTTGAGAAAATACCATTTAATGCTGCAGAAACACCCAGGCAATGTCATCTGCACGCATCCAGCTCGTGCCAGTCAGGCCTCTGCTCAGCGTCACCTCCTCAGAGAGCCCTTCCCCACATTGTCTGTCCCCTGTCCTCTTTCTCCACCACACATCCACACCTGACATGTTACTCATGCACATGCATGTCTCTTTCCCGTCTTCAATTGTCAGTCTCATTAGAATGAAAGGGAGCCACAGAGCAGTTTTTCTGCACCTGCTGGGCCTTGTCCTCTGGTGTGGTAGCTGGCCCACATCGGGGCCCACAGATCGGGGTGGGGTGCCCAGCTGACACTCGGGACAAGCCCTCACTTCCCTGTGACTCTGGCCAGAGGCCGTGGTGGTCTTGGATACAGGGGATGCTGGTCTTGGTCCAGAGTCAGTGGGTCACTGTCATGGCACGGTGTCCTGCAGTGCTAAGAGCAATTTTAAATCCCTTTTCTCAAGTACTCCTCACCTCCTGGACTGGGTGTCCCCGTGTTTCTTTGTGGATGAGAAAGCTGAGGATTGAAGGGTTAGGGACCGTTGTCCCATCAAGGTGAGTCAGCCACCATGTTGAGGGCACAATGCTGTGCCTTTGGGGTGCCACAGACCTTTTCCAACTCAGGTAGAAGTAAGGAAGGGCCTGGCCTTGAAGTAGGTGTGGCTGCAACAGAAGCCATGGACTCAGTGAGGTTGGGGCAGGCTGTGTCTGCCTCCGAGGGGCTGGCGGAGGCCAGAGGTGATGGTGCAGGTGCACGGCGTGGCGCTGCGTGTGCTTCTGTCCCTTGCTCTCCTGCATGCAGCTGGCATGGTGCTCGGCCTGCCACGCTGTGCTCGAACATCTGTGGCTGCCGTCACCGTCTGTCTTCACAGCTCTCCAGGGCGCCCGTCTCCTGCCCCCAGCCTCTCCTGAGTACCCACAGGAGCCCCGAGAGAAGCCAGGAGGAAGGGGGGAGTGTGGGTCTCCACAAAAACAGAAAGTGATGGTGGCTGAGGTTGGCATTCATGCATTAAGTAATTTGGACAAACTGTTACTCTCCACGCACCTCTCGCCTGCCCTGTTGTCTTCCAGTCCTTCCTTCTTACCTGGCAGCCTTTATTTTCCCCAGTGTCTTCAGGGAATCTTGTCTGTGCCACTGCCTGACTGTGCTTTGAGCCAGTGGGTGCTGTGTTGCCCCAGTCCCTGCCCCTCCAGACCCCCTGAGCACAAGGTTTCAGAGTGGGAGCCTCCAACCCCCGGCTCTGCTTCATCATCTTACATAAGGGTCTCTTGACACGGGACTGCGGCCCTCCACCCCTGCACCCATGTTTCTAAGATGGCTGGCTTCTCTGTGGGTCCTCGTGGCCCAGAGTTCTTGGCCATCTTGTCTACCGTGGAGATTTTCTTTCCCTGGCACAAGCAGATTACGGAGCTACAGGTACACTTGTGCTGCCCTCTGGGGTCACACCCTGAGGTCTACTGCTGCCGCCTTGCTGATTTGGATCATAGCCCGTCCTTGTGCCCACTGGCCATGGATAT
Organism: Homo sapiens; assembly: GCF_000001405.40. Lineage (NCBI taxonomy): Eukaryota > Metazoa > Chordata > Mammalia > Primates > Hominidae > Homo > Homo sapiens. Next base: position 138,072,184 of record NC_000009.12, read on the forward strand.
CATTCAAAACCAGTCCTGCTCCCACAGTTGCAGCATCCCGCCTGAGAGCCAGTACCTCGAGTTGAATCCTCAGCCACCCTGCCCCTGCCAGTGGAAGTGGCAGACCTAGGCAGAGGTGTCCTCAGTACGGGTTGGGCCACTGTCCCTGGAAGGAAGAGTGAGGCCCACCCCTCCACTGACACCTCATTCCCACCTAACGGTAGCCCTGGAGAGTCGGGATGCTCTGCCAGGCCCTCACCGCCTCTGCGCCTGCACGTGCTCCTGCTGCTGCTGTCTCATTTGACATCTGTGTTCTCTTTATTTGATGACTGAATCTGACAACACGAACGTGTCTCTGAGCCTGAGCTGCTTGCATATTTTAAAATGCTGCAGTGGCAGGAAGCTGCTCTCAGGCTGTGTGTGGGCACCTGACCTCTAGGTAGACAGAGGGCAGAAAGCCTCCTGGGTCCACAAGCACCCCCATCTGTGCACGGACACCTCCCCAGAGCCTGCTTCCCTGAAAGGGATGTGCCAGTACAGTAATTCAAGTGCCCTGGGGCCACGTGGAGGCTTTACTGCCAGGTAATCTGTGGAGTCCCAGGTTTATCCATTTATCATTGTGCTTGATTTTGAGCCCCTTGGATGAGGGAGCTCCACTAGACAGCCTGGGCTCTCTAGAGCAGAGGCCTGTTTGACCGTGAATTGCAGAGGTGGCTTCCGTGGTGTGAGCAGCAGAACACCTGTACCTTCCATAACTTGTCTGCACACGCCTGGAGCAGCCTCAGAGGAAGTGTTTGCCCCTCTGCCAGGTCCCAGCGAGGGTCCCAGGCAAGCGAGGGCTTTGCTGACTGAGCCAGGGAGGAAAGGGCATAGCCGTGAAGCCTGGGCGGGGGTCCCTTCCGGGGTGCTGGGTGGAGAAGCAGTCATGCCCAGCACGTGGCCAGCTTGACCGTGTCCTGCAAGAGGTGGTCACTGCTGGAGGCCCAGCCACAGGTGATCTCCCAGCTCACCTGGCAGCAGAGAGATGCCTGGGAGAACTTTTCTTTCTGTTGCTCACGGTTGGGGGTGGGGAGGGGCCTTAGAGCCAAGGAGGTTTTCTCTGATTTGCTGCATGAGAAGTGATTTGCAAGGACAAGCTTTACTTCTGGAAGATTTTCTGGTGGCCGATTGCTGCTTAGACTGTGAAGCAGAGACCTTTGATTTTAATCTTTTTAACCACTTTTCTTTGGGGCCACAGGGATGTGGGAAGAGGTTGTAGGGTGGCAGCAGCTTGCCTGCGCTTTCGGGGCTTCTGAAGGTCAGAGAACAATTCCTCTTCTCTGCAGAACAATTTCATCAACCTCAGCTTCCTCCGCCTCTTTCGAGCTGCGCGGCTGATCAAGCTGCTCCGCCAGGGCTACACCATCCGCATCCTGCTGTGGACCTTTGTCCAGTCCTTCAAGGTGGGCCAGGCGGGGGGCCTCCATGCTTTCTGTCCCCTTCCTCCGTCTTGCTTCCCCTGCCCCCACCACAGTGGCCCCTCCTTTGGGAGGCTGGGAGAGGGTATGGCATGCAGGTTTCGTGGTTGTATGCATTGTCCTGTTGTCATTTATAAAGACGTTTTAAGTCATCTGTAGGTTCCCTTGGTCATGCTCACAAGAACCCTGAGGTGGGTTTCATGACTCCGAGTTAGAGATAAAGAAACTGGGGCATCACTTGGTGGAGGGGCTTGGTGGCCAGTGGGATGGAGCTTGAGTAGGCTGAGGTCTGTGTGACCTCAAAGGCCCAGCCACCGTAGCAGGAGGCCTGGGCGTGGTGGCTGGGAGGTGCCTGTAGCTGACCGGCCCCTGTCTCCGCAGGCCCTGCCCTACGTGTGTCTGCTCATTGCCATGCTGTTCTTCATCTACGCCATCATCGGCATGCAGGTGGGTGCTCCCCTTTGGGACAGAGCGTGGTTCCGGCCTCCCGTGCCCTGGAGCAGAGGGGCACTGATCATGATTGTCAAATCATCGTCATAATCAGTTGATCCTTAGTGAACATTCTCTGTGAGCCAGATCCTGCTTTGAGCACTTGCTGAACTTACGTAATCCTCTTTTCTTACTCTTTTTTTTTTTTTTGAGACAGAGTCTGGCTTTGTCACCCCGGCTGGAGTGCAATGGTGTGATCTTGGCTCACTGCAACCTCTGCCTGCTAGGTTCAAGCGATTCTCCTGCTTCAGCCTCCCAAGTAGCTGGGATTATAGATGTGTGCCACCACGCCCGGCTAATTTTTGTATTTTTAGTAGAGACAGGGTTTCACCATGTTGGCCAGGCTGGTATTGAACTCCTGACCTCAAGTGATCCACCTGCCTTGGCCTCCCAAAGTGCTGGGATTACAGGTGTGAGCCACCGCGCCTGGCCTAAACTTACGTAACCCTCAGAAAGACTGTTTTGCGGAGGAGGACATGGAGGCACCACAAGATTGGGCTGCTTGCCCAGGGCCATCCTGGTGTGGGGCAGCTCTGGCCCTCGGCCCATTGCCACCTCAACAGGTGGATGCACCGTGGTGTTCTTGAGGGCTGCATGGGCTCCCGCCCAGTGATGGTAGGGTGTCGGGGCACAGGTCAGAATGGGTGCTGGCTGTGTGGTGGAGGCGCGTTGGAGCACAGCTGTGTTTGCCGAGTGGCTTGCACAGTGGCGGTCGGTTATCCTGTTAGTCTGGCAGCCGCGCTGAAGGACAGGCCTGACCCGCGGCGGGGGTTACATGCTACTGGGGAAAACTGCCTGAGAATGTGAGCAGGAGCGCATCGGATCCTTGCGCTGGGCAAACTTGGCTTGCATAATTTAGATTTTCTTTATTTTAGAAAGAACACATTGTCAGCTATTTGGGAAAAAGCATTTAAAAAAACATAAAGCAGTGTCCCAGTTATAAATCTTTGGCATCTGACCACTTTTCCAACAGCAGGGACGGAAGAGGGACCCGAGTGTTAATTTGTTATCGAAGGTGCCGGTGTTTCAAAGGTTCACGGAAAACTGATTTCTAAACTCTATTTCAGGGATTGAAGAGTTCTCTTGCTTTAAAATTTGCAGAGATCTGATGCTGTTTAAATAAATACATCTTTTTTTCCTGCTTTGGTCTGTGGATGTACAAGAGCACATACGTTACTGATCTTTGTGGATGTGTCATAGTTCATAAATTTGCAGCCAGATTCCAGATTTTGGGCTGAGTACAATTACTGACCCATTTGCATTTCTTACTGTGGAAAAGTCAGTTAAAATGGCTAAAAAGCCCGTTGTACTATTGCATATGTTTTAAGAAGACATTTTCCCATGATCTGTCAGACCTGTTACCAACATAATGCCTGCTTTGGAGTCGCTGATGATCCCACTTGAAAACACTTCCTGTGTTACGTGTGGCAGAGGCCTCACAAACTTAGCTCGGGGCCGTTCTTGTGAGTGTTTCGGACTTGCATCTGTGGACAGGTTCAGAGCTGGAGCCGGCACATGTGTAGCTACGGAGAGGGCGTCTATACTGGGAATGCACACTGGCCTCTCCCGGGTGGGAGTTCTCTGGTGTGGGGCAGTCGCCCATCTCACGTGGGGTCCTTGTACGGCTCGCACGCCCTCTCTGGCTCGGTCCACCTGGCGCGGCTCCTGCAGACCCAGCAGGGTCCGTGCCATTGCTCTTCTCCATTGCAGGTGTTTGGGAATATTGCCCTGGATGATGACACCAGCATCAACCGCCACAACAACTTCCGGACGTTTTTGCAAGCCCTGATGCTGCTGTTCAGGTGTGTTGTTCGGTCAGCCCAGGCCAATGTCTGCTCTTCCGTCGGGGGCTGCTTTACTCAGGATGAAGAAGGCTGGGTGTCAACCGTGGAGACCACCCACTTCTAATTCCCCGACCCCACTGGCTTCCCCTCAGCAGGCCTTTCTGGTTCTTCCCCTCTCTCTGCTCCTCTTTTCCAAAGGCTCTTGATATCTGCCCCAGTCTCAGAACAGGCTGAAGGGAAGCCCTGAGGGAGATCATCCTGGGAGCCCTGGGCCAGGCCGGCCTCTGCTGCCTCGTCTGTGCTCCCTGGCGACAGCTTGGGAGCCTCCGGTGAGGCTCCAGGCAGAGGTCTGGGAGGACAGAGGTGCCTAGCAGGGGCTCTCTTGAAGTGCGGGCCTCCAGCTTTCCACCTGCGCCCTTGTTGATTACAGGGATTGGTGGGATCGAGGGCAGTAGGGCAACAGGGGGAACTGACCAGCAGAGTTTGTAGCTACTCAGTGGCCCAAGGAACCCAACTGACCAGAACTGCCGATCTGAACACACCTTTATTTTCCACCATCTCTCATGGGAGCTGCCGTTCCCTGGGCTCCTGGATCCAGCCAAGCCAAGTAACAGGCAGAACCTGGAGGGGCCAAGAGGCCATGGCACAAGCTTCGGGGCCTTCTGAGATCTCCTGGTGGAGATGTGCCAGGAGAGGCCTCAGCATCAGCTGCTGTTCCTGGGCGCGGAACAGGAGCTATGGGCCATCCTGGTTTGAGAGTGAACTTGGGAGCAGAAGGGAGGTGGGTGAACATGTTTTCCTGCCTCCTGAGTCTCCCACAGTTTATCACTCACGAGCCTAGGACAGAAGGAAGGAGCTCTTTTAGGGATTTGCCATTTCAGTCCATGTGTGCAAATGCACTGGGCTGCTGTACAGCCCACCCTGCCTGCAGATGCGCGCTGGGGCGAGCTCAGACCCAGACCTGCTTTGCTGAGCTGCCTGGAGAGACCTCTTAGACTCTTGTTTCTTTGCATAACATAAGCAAGCACCCTTAGGCTGACACTGTCCCCAGATGATGTTGTTTGGCTGGGCTTTAGCTGCTGCGTTAATTTTATCTCATCATTTATTACTATTCTGCCTCATGCCGCGGAAGACTTAAGGCAAACCTATGAAGTCAGCCTTAGTTTTGAGGCCTTTGGTCTCACAGCTTTCTGTTTCTCCCTGAACTTCGTGTTCCCTGGGAACACCCTTATCAGTCAGGCCCAGCACAGGTTGAAGCAGCAGCCCTGCAGGAACCCCCCTGCCTCCGGCTGTCATCAGTGAGGAGTGGGCCCAGCTTACGCCTGGGGCTGCGCACACAGACACACGGAGGTGGGGACCCAGGCCTCTGACCCACTTGTACCCTGCAAGCCCCCGGTGCTGGCTGTGTCCAGGAACAGACTCCGTGCAGGAGCATCCAGGGTGGCTGCTCAGGGCAGGGTGCTCTTGAGGTGTTCAAGGACCAGCAGAGGCCAGGGTGCTTGGAGTGGACTGAGCTGGAACCGAGATGGGGGTGAAGTCAGGGAAAGAGTGGGCAGCAGGTCCCACAGTGCTATGGGCAGTCATGTGGATTTTGGCATTTCTGATGAGCGAGGCAAGTCATCGGAGGGTTTTGAGAGGAGGAAGAATGTGATCTGACCTGTGCTTAGTGGACCTGCTTCCTGCCGTGTAGGGCAGAGTGAGAAGATAGGCTCAGAAGCTTCCATAGCACAGGGCAGGTCATGGTCGCTTGGCCTAGGACAGTGAGGAGTGGTGAGAGCCTGGCTGTGTTTTGAAGGCAGATGATCTGATGAACAGGATATGGAGAGAGAGAGGAGGCAAAGATGACCCCCACAGTTTTGGTTGGAGCAGCTGGAAGGAGAGTCACCATTTCTGGAAATGAAGACCAAGATGGCGTGTGTCTGGGAGGAGGTCAGGAGTACAACTGGGGCCTGTGGTGTCCACAAAGAAGTGCTCGCCCTGGCGCTGGCCCCTGGTGCCGTAGATAATTTTTAGTAAGCAGTGGTTTCCCAATTAATGCTCAGTTTGGAAATCTAGTGCCAGAAGTTTCCTTTGAAGAAACAGCATCTGTGACCCAGGCCTGGCACATGTGTGAGCTGTCTGTGGGAAGGAGCCCAAAGGAGTGGGCACGCTTGGTAGCCCCACAGGGCTCGGGCTCCCTCAAGGGCCTCTGTGGGCCTCACAACTCTGCCCTTCTTCTCAGGAGCGCCACGGGGGAGGCCTGGCACGAGATCATGCTGTCCTGCCTGAGCAACCAGGCCTGTGATGAGCAGGCCAATGCCACCGAGTGTGGAAGTGACTTTGCCTACTTCTACTTCGTCTCCTTCATCTTCCTGTGCTCCTTTCTGGTGAGTCCTGGGCACTGTGCCCCTCCCAGTGCCACGTCTTGTCTCGGTACAGCTCAGGCTTCTCCCACATCTCCTGCTGATCCCTGACTCTGATCCAGGCCATGTCAGAAGCTGAGTCCATGCTGATGGCCCTTGTTTCCCCAGAGATGGCGACTTTGTTAGCCAGAGAAAGGGCCGACATGGTAACGGGCTCCTGTGGGCCCTTCCTTGACATCCGTGGAAAAGGGTTACATTTCCAGGGGCAACTGTTCCTTAACTTCCAGCTTCTAGAAGGTCATCCACTGTGGTGATGGGATGTGAAGGAACAGCATCCCAGCCAGTGTACGGGGAAAGCAGCTGGACTGGGTGGGGAGGTCGGCAGGGCAGGCCCCAGAGGTGTGGATTTTATTTCACATCCATGGAAGCCTCTGGGGGCCTCACAGCATCTGCTTGACGTTTTACAGCTTGGCTCTGGCTTCTGTGTGAGTAGTGAGGACGTGGCTGCAGAGCGAGTGAGGAGACGACTGGGGGCAACAGTGGCCTGGAGAAAGGAGAGGCAAGGGAGTGAGGTGGGATTAGGCTGCATTTTAAAAGTAGAGCTGGCACGATTGATGATGAGAGATGGGCATGCGAAGAGGAAAAAGCAGGCTGCATCCTGGGGTTTTCTGGGGCCACAGGGTGAGCAGTTCTTCTGAGATGGGAGTACTGGGGAGCTGAGATTAGTTTAGGGTTGGAGGCAGCAGAGATGCCCAGCGACCTCTGGGCTGGATGGAAACGAGTTGTCGTTAGTGTTCGGTGTGTTCGTGGGGCTGCATGCTATTTGCTGGATCCCTGTTAATGCGAAGCTTAGTGCAGTGACCTGCGTCCAAAGCAGTGCCTGAGTGCCTGTTAGACATACAGATTCCCAGGCCACTCCCGAGACTGCATCAGGGTGTCTTGGAGATGGATCCAGGAATCTGAGTTTTAACAAGCTCTCAAGGTGACTCTGTGTGTGTTGAACTTTGGTGAGCACTGACGTAGGGGAAGAACAGTGTTCAGAAGAAGGCTGAAGACTCTACCCCAAGGGCATTGAGGAGGCAGAAAGGAGCACTAGATCCAGAAACTGAGGTGGAGCAGTCCAGGAGGCAGGTGGAGAACCAGGAGTGGGCGGAGAGAGGAAGTAACCAGCCATGCACCATATTGACGGAAGGTGATGCAAGATGATGACCAAGAATTGTTAACTGGGCCGGGCGTGGTGGCTCACACCTGTAATCCCAGCACTTTGGGAAGCCCAGGCGGACAGATCACCTAAGGCCAGGAGCTCAAGACCAGCCTGGCCAACGTGGTGAAACCCCATCTCTACTAAAAATACAAAAATTAGCTAGACGTGGTGGCAGGTACCTGTAATCCCAGCCACCTGGGGAGCTGAGGCAAGAGAATCGCTTGAACCTGGGAGGTGGAGGCTGCAGTGAGCCGAGATCGCGCCATTGTACTCCAGCCTGGGCAACAGAGCCAGACTCCATCTCAAAAAAAAAAAAAAAAAAAAAAAGAGGGAGGCTGAGACAGGAGACTCGCTAGAACCCGGGAGGTGGAGGTTGCAGTGAGCCAAAATTGCGCCACTATACTCCAGCCTGGGCAACAGAGCAAGACTCTGTCTCAAAAAAAAAAAAAAAAAATGTTGTTTATTGGATGTGGAAAGGCAGAGGCCGTTAGCACCCTTGGCACATCGTTCCTCCGTCAGCGTAGTGGGAGTGAAGGCCTTGTTGCCACAAGTTTGAGAGCCGGTAAGAGGAGAGGAGCACAGCCGGGACAGAGATGCTCTTGACAGTGAGCAGCACTGAGGAAACACCTCAAGCCTGTGGCCCTGACTCCAAGGAGGAACAGCTGGCATGGCTGTGCTTTTCTCTAGCCACATTCACTCCTCAGTACAAGGGTAGAAAAGTGGATTATCCAGATTCGGGATTTCCCAGACAAGTGCAAGGAGGGAGAGAAGGGTGTGTATAAGAGTGTGGTTATTGTGCTGGACGTGGGATCAAAGCTGGGGACAGAGGAGGGTGAGGGGCAATGCCACTGGATTGGAGGTTCTCGTGAGGACATGTTTTGGGATGCAGGTATTTGAAAAAGGGAGCCGGAAAAGTAGGCGATGTGAGCAGAGTGGGATGTGTGAGGTGGAGACTCGGGAGGCAGTGAGTGATGCCATCGGTAAACATCATTGCCGTCATTACATTATCATTGCAAGATCATTACATTAACATTAGCATGATCACTGTTGATAAGCATGTTTAGTGTGATTTGTGGAACAAGGAGATGAGCTGATGGGTGAGAAGGTTCAGGAAGGGAGAGGGCAGGCAGCGGTCGTCCCATCTCTGTGGATCTTAAAAGCAACAAGAATGATAACAAGAATAGAAGTGGAGACAAAAACAGCAAGCCAGGTGCTAAGTTTTTCATGAAGGAAGGGGAAACTTAATAGATGATGTGAGCCCCAGAGAACAGGTTTTTAAAGAAGAGACCAGAGGGGACATCCATCCTCTTAGATGTTTGAGCCAGAGCAAGAACAAGTGGAGAGCACTCAGGGGAGATGGAGATATAAGGACTTGTGCTGATGGCGGACTGTGAGCTTTGCAGGGTGCAGTAGGAGGTTGAGGTGGTTGGGAATGATGTGCACTTGAGACAGGTGAGCTTACACTTAGATAGAGAAATACAGAAGAACCTACAAAACTGTGTTTCACTACTTGCTAGAAACCAAGGGAAGGATTTCCATGTTTGAGTCATCTCCTGATCCCTCCGAAGACCCCTTGTGGGCAGCAGGGAGGGTGGGCTTTTTGGAGAATCACTTTCCTGAGGCATTGGTCTCTATACTGTTCAAAGACATCTGGTGCTGTAAGAACCAGCACACCTGTGGGCACAAAGCCAAACCTACTAGCCTGACCTTACCATGCACCTGGCCGCAGAGATGGGGTTCCACAGAAAGCCACATTCATGATACCACACCACGTACAGGGCCAGCACTCACTAGACATGTCCAGGATGAGTCGAGGAATCCTTGGGTTTAGCTATCACTCCTGTGCAGAGAAGAGGGTATTTCGTGGCCACTGTCCTTTGTTCTTGTCCCCATGGACCTCAGTCATGGTTCTTGGCTAACCCTGGTGTCTCCTTACTGAAACTGTAATCCTAATCCTTCTGGCACTTCCCTCACAGATTGGACATGCTGGGCAACTCATGCTTTGAAACACTTGGATGTGGTTTGGTCTGATAGAGAAGTGACATGGAAAAAATGGGACTGTGAATTTGGGATGGGTGGCAGGACTTCGTTAGGTTGGGATTTGGTTCCATTAATTGGAATAGAGGGTGCTGATGGAAGAATAGGGAATGAGGTTGTTCATGACAGCCTGCTGATAATCACTGAGTCAGGCACTATGCAGGGTCTTATGAATACATTAAGTATTTTAGTCTCTGTGACAGTCCTGAGATTGGTATTATTATTATTACAATGAAGAAATGGAGGTCTAGAGATGTTAAATATCTTAGCCTGAGTTTAGAACCTAAGCTTTTGAAATGGACAAATTCCTAGAAAGACACAAATTATCATAACTGACTGAATTAAGTAGAAAATATGAATAGACCTGTAACGAGTAAGAAGATTGAATCAGTAATCGAAAACTTCCCAATAAAGAGAAGCCCAAAACCATATAATGGCAAAGGGACACTCTTTGCTGGGAAAACGGGACATCCACATACAAAAGAGTGGAGTTGGACTCCTACCTTATACCATATACAAAGATTAACATAAAATTAAATAACTAAATGTAAGAGCTATAACTATAAAGCTCTTAGAAGAAAACATAGTGGGTAAATCTTTATGACGTTTTACTTAGTAACAGAGTCTTAGATTTGACACCAGAATCACAATAAAAGAAAAAATAAATTTGTCTACTCAAAATTAAAAACTTTTTAGAATCAAAGGACACTATCAACAGAATGAAAAGGCAACTCAAGGAATTGGAGAAAATATTTGTAAATTACATTTCTGATAAAGGGTTAATATCAGAATTGTTGAAAGAAAATCTTTAGCCAAATTAAATTTAACAGAGTTTAATTGAGCAAAGAATGATTCGCAAGTTGTGCAGCCTCCTGAGTCTGAGTAGGCTCAGAGACTCCAACACAGCCACATGGCAGAAGAGGATTTACGGACAGAAAAAGGAATATGATGTACAGAAAATGGAAGTGAGGTACAGAAACAGTTGATTGGTTACAGCTTAGCGTTTGCCTTATTTGAACACAGAACAGTTAGCTCCCTTTGATTGGCCAAAACTTGATGATTGGCGTGATAATAGGTTACAAAGTCTGTTTACACTTCCATTTAGGTTATAGTTCACTAGGTACAGAGAAGCCTCTAGGCTGAACTTAAAATATATAAGGAGGCAGCTTTAGGCTAAACTTGATTTAACAAAATGTATAAAGAACTTCTACAACTCAACAACAAAAATAAAACAACCCAATTAAGAAATGAGAGGTAACGTCAGCAAGATGGCTGACCTTCCACCTAGTGCTTGTCCTTCTCAAAAAGACAGAACAATGAACAAAAAATTACATTTTAATGAAAATAACTGAGGGAGAGTCTCGGAGTACATCAGAGGTGTAACAGAGACACTGGTGAGCACAGAAACTTGGGATGGCCACTTAGAGAATGGAATGAAACACCAAGCAAACACCACCACCCCATCCCACAACTAGGATCAGCTGGGACCTAGGAGAGCTTTTCCCTTTGGTGAGGAGGTAAGCAAGAGGATCCCAGCAGCCCCCATCACCATCTCGGACACCTGCAGACCCTACCACTCGGGTCCCCTGCAGTCCTCAAGGCACTAAGCCTAGCTGAGGGAGCTGCCTGGGGTCCACACACCTGTGCTCCCTCCAGAGACAAAGCCAACACTGCTCAGCCCCTGTGGCCCACGTGGCTACTGTGTTCCACTACCTAGGAGTTGGAACTAGAGCGGGAGTGTGACTTGCTCCTGGAGTAGCCGCAGCTTCCCTTTATCCTTGAGGCAAAACTGCCATCAAACTAACCAAGACTGGTGGCCGACATCCCCAAGCTGAGCTGCAAGCAGCTGTTACACCCTTCCCTGAGGGGCCACGTGGAGGTGGAGCTGCTTCACCTACCCTTCCCCTCCATGCCCATAGGCCAGAGCTGAAGTGGTACCCTGCCTCCTGGGAAAACAGTACCTTGGCCACTCAGAGCGGTCACACCTCCCCAGTGTCTTAAGTTGAAGCAGTTCCCTGCATCCCAGGAAATGGTGCGTTGGCCACCCAGAGCAGTCACATCCCCCAAGCCTGAGCTGAAGTGGCACATTGTCCCCACCCCCCACCCCTGGGAATCAGTGCCCTGGATGAACTGAGGGCTGTGCATCCCAGGGCTGAACTGACATGGTACCCTGCCATCCCAGATAAATAGAGCATTGGCTCAGCTGAGACACCCAGCCCCATAGGCCAAATAGCTCTATTGCCCTGCTTTCCTGGAGCTAGACTTGCCCCCTGGAGTCTGAGCTGCTGAGACAGACCTGGGGAGTGGAGTTCCCTGCCTCCCCAGGGCTCAAATGAGAGCGGTGCTCTGCCATTCTAGGGTACTTGCTGCTGCTACACCTGTTCTCACAGAACCTGGGATACTGCCAAGCCCTACCATCCCAGGGTCTAGAGTAACCACTACATGGTGCCTTTTCCCCTGGGACCCAAGATGCCACTAACCCCTATTGGTTCAGGTTCCTGAATTGCAGCTGTATCCAACTTCTCAGGCCCAAAACTCCAGAGCACCCCTTCTTCCTGAATTGGACCAGTGCTATGCCCTGCCCCCACCCCGCCCAGGAGTAGAATCACAGCTATAATCTCGCCCCCTGGGCCTGAGCTGCTAGGGAATGGCTTAGAATCAGATCCTGGCACTGTGGGCAACGTACACCCAACTCTGCCCCAGGGAGCAAACCTGTACCCCAACACCCAGGTGCCACAATAAGTTCATGAGATTCTAAGTATAGGACACCAGCTCCACAGCCACTCTGAGCACCTGCACCTGGAACCCAGTGGTGCTGCAGCTGATTGCAGGCCATTAGACCTGATACCAAGAGGTGTCCCCTCAGCTAAGTCTTCCCATTGTGGGGAAAACAAAAATAACAGGACCCCAAAAGCCCTTGACACTGAGGACATTTACAGCCTACACTGCCACTTCTGCTGCCACAAACTTCTACACCCTGGACAACTGAAGTGCCCACAATTACTGCTAATGTTGAATGCAGCTAAAGAAGTTGTAGGGAGACTATACCACTGCACCTGGAAACAGAGTAACTATGCCCTTCCCAGCTGGCACACTAAAACCCAACTGTACTGTACAAAGTTTGGAAGAGGTGATTTGTTTTACCAGATGTACAGACATTAAGGGACACAAGACACTTGAAAAAGCAAGGAAATCACCAGGTGTGGTGGCTCACGCCTGTAATCCCAGCACTTTGGGAGGCCGAGGAGGGTGGATCATGAGGTCAGGAGATCAAGACCATCCTGGCTAACACGGTGAAACCCCGTCTCTACTAAAAATACAAAAAAATTAGCCGGGCGCGGTGGTGGGCGCCTGTAGTCCCAGCTACTCGGGAGGCTGAGGCAAGAGAATGGCATGAACCTGGGAGGCGGAGCTTGTAGTGAGCCGAGATCACGCCACTGCACTCCAGCCTGGGTGACAGAGCGAGACTCCATCTCAAAGAAAAAAAAAAAAAAGCAAGGAAATCTGACATCACCCAAGGAACATAACTCTTTAGTAGTAGACCCTAGTAAAAACTAAATTTAAAAACTGACAGAAAAGGGATTCAAAATAATGTTCTTAAAGAAGTGCAACAAGATACAAGAAAATACAGATAGACAATGCAATGAAATCAGAAATGCAATTGACAATATGAATGAAAAATTCAACAAAGAGATAGGAATCATAAAAAAAGAACCAAGCAGATATCCTGCAGCTGACAAATTGAATGAATGAAATTAAAAATAAAAACTAACAATAGAGAGCTTCAGCAGTGAGTCTGATCAAGCAGAAGAAAAAAGAAATCTCTGAACTTGAAGATAGGTCATTTGAAATTAGTAAGAGGGAAAGAAAAGAAATAATTAAAAAGAGTGAAGAAAAGCCTTCAAGAATTATGGAGCATGATTAAGCAAAAAAATATTTTATGGGTGTCTAGAAGGAAAAGAGAAGGGAAAAGGTATAGAAAATCTATTTAATAAAGTAATAGCTGGAAAATTCCCAAGTCTGGGGAGAGATGTGGACATCCAAATCCAAGAAGCTCAACAGTCCCCCAATAGATTCAACCAAAAAGGTTCTCCCCGGGACATGTTATGGTCAAACTGTCAAAAGTCAAAGAGAAGAGAAAATTCTAAAAACAGCAAGAGAAAAGCATCAAGTCACATATAACAGAATCCCCCGTTAGACTGAAAGCAGATTTCTCTGCAGAAATTTTATAGACCAGGAGAGAATGGAATGGAATGGTATATTCAGAGTGGTAAAAGGAAAACAAAAAACAAACTGTCAGTCAAGAATACTATACCCAGCAAAGCTATCCTTCAGAAATGAGGGAGAAATAAAGTCTTTCCCAGACAAGCAAGAAGTGAGGGAATTCATCACCACTAGACCAGCCTTACAAGAAATACACAAGGGAGTCCTACATCTGGAAGCAAAGACATGATAATTACTATCGTGAAAACACACAAAAATATAAAACTCGCTGGTAGAGTGAGTTTCACAAAAGAGAAAGAGAAAATAATCAAACCTTACTATTACAGAAAACCACTAAACCGTAATGATAAATAATGAGAGGAAGAAAGGAAGAAAAGATATACAAAACAACCAGAAAACAATTAACAAAATGACAGAAGTAAGTCCTACCTATAAATGATAACCTTAAATGTAAATGGATTAAATTCCCTCACTTAAAGTATATAAACTGGCTGAATAGATTTTTTAAATGACCCAACTATATACTGCCTACAAGAAGCTCACATCATCTATAAGGACACATATAGAGTGAAAGTAAAGGGATGAAAAACATACTCCACGTAAACAGAAACCAAATTGAGCAGGAGTGCTATACTTACATCAGACAAAGCAGGCTTTAAGTCAAAAACTCTGAAAAGAAGCCCAGTGTGGTGGTGCATACTTGTAGTCCCAGCAACTTGGGAGGCTGAGGTGGAAAGATTGCTTGAGTCCAGGAGTTCAAGGTGGTAGTGTGCTGTGATTACACCTGTGAGTAGCCACTACACTCCAGCCTGGGCAACATACCAAGACCCCATCTCTTTAAGAAAAAAAATTTTAGGGCAAGGAATGTCATTATATAATGATAAAGGAATCAATTCAGCAAGAAAATACAACAATTGTCAATATATATGGACCCAACAGTAGAGCACCCAGACATACAAAACAAATATTATTAGATCCAAAAAGAGAGATAGATTCCAGCACAGTGTCATTTGCGGATTTCCGTACCCTATGCTCCGCATTGAACAGATCATCTAGACAGAAAATCAACAACAAAAAACCCACATTGGCTTTAAAGTGCCTTTTAGTCCAAATGGACCTAACAGACATTTCCAGAACTTTTCATCCAACCATTGCATGGTACACATTAGCTGCTTCATCACATGGAAGATAATCTAGGAGAGATCAGATGTTAGGCCACAAAACAAGTCTCAACAAATGTAAAATAATTGAAATTGTATCAAGTATTTTTTCTAACAATAATAAAATAAAACTAGAAATCAGTAACAAGGGGAGCTTTTGAAATTGTACAAATTCATGAAAATTAACATTCTCCTGAAAGACAAATGGGCCAAGGAAGAAATTAAGAAGGCAGTTTTACAATTTGGCCTGGCACAGTAGCTCACGCCTGTAATCCCAGCACTTTGGGAGGCTGAAGCGGGCAGATCATTTGAGGTCAGGAGTTCGAGACCAGCCTGGCTAACATGGTGAAACCCTGTCTCTACTTAAAACATAAAAATTAGCGGGCATGGTGGTGGGTGCCTGTAATCCCAGGTACTCAGGAGGCTGAGGCAGGAGAATCACTTGAACCTGGGAGGCAGAGTTTGCAGTGAGCCAAGATTGCACCACTGCACTCCAGTCTGGGTGACAGAGTAAGACTCTGTCTCAAAAAAAAAAAAAAAAAAAGAAAAAGAAAAAAAAGAAAAGAGAAAAAGAAGCCTGGGCACAGTGGCTCACGCCTGTAGTCCCAGCACTTTGGGAGGCCGAGGTGGGTGGATCACGAGGTCAAGAGATCGACACCATCCTGGCCAACATGGTGAAACCCCGTCTCTACTAAAAATACAAAAATTAGCCGTGTGTGGTAGCACGCGCCTGTAGTCCCAGCTACTTGGGAGGCGGAGGCAGGAGAATTGCTTGAACCCAGGAGGCGGAGGTTGCAGTGAGCCGAGATCATACCACTGCACTCCAGCCTGGTGACAGAGTGAGACTCCGTCTCAAAAAAAAAAAAAAAAAAAAAAAAAAGACAGAAAAAGAGAAGAAAAAAATATTGAAACAATAAAAATAGAAACACATGTCATGATAACTTGAACCAGGGGCAGGGTAGGTGGAGAAGAAACATAGCATGCCAAAACTTATGGGATACAGTAAAAGCAGTATGAAATGGGAATTTTATAGCAATAAAAGCCTACATCAGAAACACACAAAGATTTCAAATAAATGACTTAATGATGCATCTCAAGGAACTAGGAATAAAACCCAAACCAGGCCGAAAATTAGTAGAGGAACAAAAATAATAAAGATCAGAACAAGAGCAAAAAGAAACAATATTGAGATGAAAACATTACAAAAGATCAACGAAATGAAAATATAGCCAGGTGCGGTGGCTCACACCTGTAATCCCAGCACTTTGGGAGGCCGTGGCAAGTGGATCACTTGAGGTTAGGAGTTCAAGACCAGCCTGGCCAACATGGTGAAACCCCATCTCTACTAAAAGTATAAAAATTAGCCAGTTATGTTGGCGGGCACCTGTAAGCCCATCTACTTGGGAGGCTGAGGCAGGAGAATTGCTTGAACCCAGGAGGCGGAAGTTGCAGTGAGCCGAGATTATGCCACTGCACTCCAGCCTGGGTGACAAAGCCAGACTCTGTCTCAAAAAAAAAAAAATTGTTTTTTTGAAAAGATAATTGACAAACCATTAGCTAGATTAAGCAAGAAAATATGCAAATAAATAATTCAGAAGTAAAAAAGGAGACATTACAACTAATATCATAGAAATACAAAGGATCATTAGTGACTATTATGAACAACTGTACACCAACACATTAGAAAACCTAGCGGAAATGGATAAATTCCTGGATGCATGGAACCCACCAAGATTGAACCAAGGAGAAAAGAAAACCTGAACAGACCAATTACTGTAATGAGATTGAATCTGTAATTTAAAAATCTCCCATCGGCCGGGCATGGTGGCTTACGTTTGTAATCCCAGCGCTTTGTGAGGTCAAGGCAGGCAGATCATGAGGTCAGGAGATCGAGACCATCCTGGCCAACATAGTGAAACCCCGTCTCTACTAAAATACAAAAAAAAAAAATTAGCCAGGCGTGGTGGTGCACGCCTGTGGTCCCAAGTACTCAGGAGGCTGAGGCAGGGGACTTTCTTGAACCTGGGAGGCAGAGGTTGTAGTGACCGGAGATCGCGCCATTGCACTCCAGCCTGGACAACAAGAGCAAAACTCCGTCTCAAAAAAAAAAAAAAAAAAAAAAAAAAAAAAAAAAATCCCATCAAAGAAAAGCCCAGGGTGCTTCACTAGAGAATTCTGCCAAACATTTAAAGAAGAACTAACACCTGTTCTTCTCAAGCTCTTCTAGAAAATTGAAGAGGAGGGAATTCTTCTAAACTCATTCTACAAGACTAGCATTACCCTAATATAAAAACCAGAGAAGGACACAGCAGAAACAGAAACAAAAACAAAAAACACTAGAAAGAAAAAGGAAACTATAGGCCAATATTTCTGATGATCGTAGATGGAAAAATTCTCAAGAAAAATAGTATTTTGTAGTAATTAGTAGTAACTGAATCCAGCAGCACATTTTAATTCACTGTGATCAAATGGGATTTATTCCTGGGATGTAAGGATGGTTCAACATAAGTAAACCAGTAATCAACATAATACATTACATCAACAGAATGAAGGACAAAAACAATATTATCATCTCAATAGACACAGAAAAAAATATTTGATAAAATTCAACATCCCTTCATAGTGAAAACTCAACAAGTTAGGTTGGAAGATACCTCAACACAATAAAGGTTGTATATGACAAACCCACAGCCAACATCATACTGAATGGGGAAAAGATCTACAACAAGAAAGGATACCCACTTTCACAACTTTTATTCAACATAGTACTGGAAGTTCTAGCCAGAGCAGTTATGTAAGAAAAAAAATAAGCCGCATCCAAACTGGAAAGAAGGAAGTCAAATTGTTCCTGTTTGCAGACAACATGTCTTATATATAGAAAACCCTAAAAGCTCCACCAAAAAATCCTTAGAACTCATAAAGTAATTCAGTAAAATCAATGTACAAAAATCAGTAGTGTGTCTGTATACCAACAACAAACTAGCAGAAAAGAAATCAGTCTCATTTACAATAGTTACAAAAGAAATAACTAAGGAAGTGAAAGATCTCTACAAAGAAAACTATAAAACATTGATGAAAGATACTGAAGAGGACACACAAAAAATAGAAAGACATTTGATGCTCATGGATTGGAAGAATTAATATTGTGAAAAGGACCATGCAGATTTAATGCAATCCCTATCAAAATACCAATGACATTCTTCATAGAAATATAAAAAAAATCCTAAAATTAATACAGAACCACAAAAGACCCTGGATAGCTTAAATAATCTTGAGCAACAAGAAGAAAGCTGGAGGCATCACACTACCAAACTTTGAAACAGCATGGTACTGGCATAAAAACAGAAACATAGACCAATGGAATAGAATAGAGAACTCAGAAATAAGTATTTGTATTTACAGCCAACTGATTTTTAACAAAAGCACCAAGAACATTTATTGGAGCAGGACAGTCTCTTCAATAAACGATGGTAGGGAAACTAGATATCCACATGCAGAAAAATGCAGCTCAACCCCTATCTCTCGCTATTTACAAAAGCCAACTCAAAATGGATCAAAGACTTAAATGTAAGACTCAAAACCATGAATCTACTAGAATAAAATACAGGGAAAACACTTCAGGATATTGGTCTGGGCAAAAATTGTATGGAGAAGACCTCAAGAGCACAGGCAACCAAAGCACAAATAGACAAATGGGGTTGCATTTCAGTAAAAAGCTTCTGCACAGCCAATGAAATAATCAACAGAGTGACAACTTGCAGAATCAGAGAAAATATTGCAAACTATTTATCTGACAAGCTATTAATATCCAAAATATACAAGGTGAAACTCAACCCATCAGCAAAAAAAAAAAAAAAAAAAAAAAAAAAAAAAAATCAGATTAATAAATGGGCAAATGAACTGAATAGACATCTCTCAAAAGAAGACATACAAATGGCCAGCTGGTATAAGAAAAAGTGCTCAACATCTCTAATCATCAGGGAAATGCAAATCAAAACCACAGTGAGATACCATCTCACCCCAGTTAGAATGGCTGTTATCAAAAACACACAAAAAAAATAACAAATACTCATGAGAATGGAGAGAAAGGAGAACTCTTATACACTCTTGGTAGGAAGCCTCCTCAAAAAACTGAAAATAGAACTACTGTGTGTGATCTAGCAATTCCACTACTGGGTATATATCCAAACGGAGGGAAATCAATTATGTCAGAGATATCTGGGCTCTCATGTTTATTGCCATACTATTCACAGTAGCCAAGATATGGAATCAACTTAAGTGTCCATCCACACATGAATGGATTTTTAAAATATTTTCCTTATACACAATGGAATACTATTTAGCCATAAAAAGAATGAAATTCTGCCGCTTGTGGCAACATGGATGAGCTTGGAGGTCATTATGTTAAGGTAAATAAGTCAGGCACAGAAAGATAAATATTGCATGTTCTCACTCATATGTGGAAGCTAAAAAAAAATTGCTCTCATAGAAGTGGAGAGTGGAATAGTGGTTACTAGAGGCAGGGAAGGTTAGGAGGATGGGGGATAGCCAAAGGTTGGTGAACGGATACAAAAGTACAGCTAGACAGGTGAAATAAGTTTGAGTCTTCTGTATCACTGTAGGGTGACTATAATTAACAACAGTTTGTTGAATATTTTCAAATATTTCAAATATTTTCAAATAGGAGAGCAAATTTTGAATGCTCCCAACACAGAAATAAGTGTTTGAGGTGATGGATATGCTAATTACTGTGATTTGATCATTACACATTTGTATACATGTATCAAAATATTATACTGTACCCCATAAATATATGCAATTATTACATGTCAATTAAAAAAATAATGAAAGCAAAACAAAAATTTATAAGAAAGAAATGGGCAAAGGGATTGAATTTAAAAAAAGGAACTGAATAAGTAAAAATAAGTAAATAGCTCCTATGGGGGGAACCAGCCCCCAGTATTTCAACATAGGTTCTTTTCTATTTTTCCTAAGTGTCGGCTGGTCTGAGAAATAAAGAGAAAGAGTACAAAAGAGAGAAATTTTACAGCTGGGCCTCCGGGGGTGACATCACCTATTGGTAGGTTCTGTGATGCCCCTTGAACTGCAAAACCAGCAAGTTTTTATTAGGGATTTCAAAAGGGGAGAGGGGTACAAACAGGGAGTAAGACACAAAGAGCACATGCTTCAAAGGGCAATAAAAGATCACAAGGGCAGAGAGGCAGAGCAAGATCACAAGGCCAGGGTGAAATTAGAATTACTGATGAGGTTCCATGTCCCACTAGGCACTCATTGTCTTGATAAACATCTTAACAGGAAACCTGGTTTGAGAGCAGACAACCGGTCTGACTAGAATTTGCCAGGCTGAAGTTTCCTAATCCCAGCAAGCCTGAGGGCACTGCAGGAGACCAGGGCGTATTTCATCCCTGGTCGTCAACCACATAAGGCACACAATCCCAGAGCAGCAGTCTGTAGGCCTACCCCTGGGAATGCATTCCTTTCCCAGGGTTATTCCTTGCTGGGAAAAGAATTCAGCAATATTTCTCCTATTCGCTTTCTGCAAGAAGAGAAATATGGCTCTGTTCTGCCCAGCCCTGCAGGCAGTCGGACCTTATAGTTATCTCCCTTGTTCCCTGAAAATCGCTGTTATCCTGTTCTTTTTTAGGATGACCAGATTTCATATCGTTCAAACACACATGTTTTACTAACAATTTGTACAGATAACGCAATCATCACAGGGTCCTGAGGTGACATACATCCTCAGCTTACGAAGATGACAGGATTAAGAGATTAAAGTAAAGACAGGCATAGGAAATTATAAGAGTATTGATTGGGGAAGTGATAAATGTCCATGAAATCGTCACAATTTATGTTCAGAGATTGCAGTAAAGACAGGCATAAGAAATTATAAAAGTATTAATTTGGGGAACTAACAAATGTCCATGAAATCTTCACAATTTATGTTCTTCTGCCGTGGCTTCAGCCGGTCCCTCCGTTCAGGGTCCCTGACTTCCTGCAACAAGCTCCTGCACAGCCAGTGAAATAATCAACAGAGTGACAAGACAACTTGCAGAATCAGAGAAAATATTGCAAACTATTCATCTGACAAGTGATTAATATCCATTTCTCCAAATACAATGACCAATAAGCACATGAAAAAATATTCAACATCACTAATAATTAGGGAAATGCAAATCAAAACCACAGTGAAATACCACTTCACACCCAGTAGAATTGGTATTACTAAAGAAAAAAAGATAGAAAAAGAAAAGAGAATAGGCCAGGTGCAGTAGCTCACACCTATAATCTCAACACTTTTGGAGGCCGAGGTAGACAGATCACCTAAGTTCAGGAGTTCAAGACCAGCTTGGCCAACATGGCAAAACCCTGTCTCTACTAAAAATACAAAAATTAGCTGGGCCTGGTGGTACATGTCTAATCCCAGCTACTCAGGAGGCTGAGGCATGAGAATCGCTTGAACCCAGGAGATGGAAGTTGCAGTGAGCCGAGATCATGCCTGGGCTACAGAGTGAGACTCTGTCTCAAAAAAAAAAAAAAAAAAAAAAAAAGAAGAAGAAGACAGAAAAGAAAAGAAAATAGACCAGGTGCAGTAGCTCAGGCCTGTAATCCCAGCACTTTGGGAGTCCAAGGCAGGCAGATCAGTTGAGGCCAGGAGTTTGAGACTAGCCTGGCCAACATGGTGAAATTCTGGCTCTACTAAAAATACAAAAATTAGCTGGGTGTGGTCTCATACACTTGTAATCCCAGGTACTCAGGAGGCTAAGGCAGAGAATCACTTGAACCTGGGAGGTGGAGGCTGCAGTGACCTGAGATCACGCCACTGCACTCCAGCCTGGGAGACAGAGCAAGACTCCATCTCAAAAAAAAAACTAATAAATTAATTAAATTAATTAATAAATATTGGCAAAAATGTGGAGAAATTTCAACCCTTGTGCACTGGTGGGTATGACTGTAAAATGGTGGTGTGGAAAATAGTATGATAGTTCCTCAAAATAGTAGTAAAAGTGAATTACAGAATGATCCAGTAATTGTACTCTTGGTATAGACCCAAAAGAAATCAAATCAGGGACTTCAACAGATATATGTCCACACATGCTCATAGCAGTGTTACTCACAATAGCCAAAAGGAGAAAGGAACACCAGTTTCCATCAACAGATGAATGGGTAAACAATGTATGAACATTCAATGGACTATAATTATTCAGCCTTAAAAAGGAAGAGCGTTCTGACACATTCTACAATGTGAATAAACCTTGAAGACGTTATGTTAGGTGAAATAAGCTAGTCACAAAAGGACAGACACTGTATGATTCCACTTATATAAGTTACCTATAGTAGTCAAATTCATCGAGACAGTAAGTAGAATGGTGGTTTCCAGGGGAGGATGGATGAGGAATTATTGTTTCATGGATACAGAGTTTCAGTTTGGGAATACGAAGAAAATTTTGGAGACGGATGGTATTCATGGTTGCACAACAGTGTGAATATACTTAATGCCACTGACCTCTACACTTAAAAATTGTTAAAATGGAAATTTTTTTGTTATGTATCTTTACTACAGTAAAAAAAAAAAAAAAAAGAAGAAGAAGAAGAAAGTGAACACTCAAACTTCTCCCAAATATACAAGAGGAGGAAACACTTCCTAACACATTCTGTGAGGCCAGCATTGCCCTTATATCATGGTCAAATATGCCACAAGAAAAGAAAACTGCAGACTTATATCCCTTATGAATATTGATCCAAAGATCATCAACAAAAATACTAGCAAACTAATTCCAACAACACATTTCCCAATTTCAAAATGTACTAGAAAGCTACAGTTATCAAAACAATGTGGTACTGGCATAAAGATAGATACATAGGCCAATTAAGTAGAATTGAAAGTCCAGCAATAAACTCAAATATCTGTGTTCAATTGACTTTTGACAGTTGTGCTAATGGGGGAAAGAATTGTCTTTCTTTCCATGATAATTCAGTGAGGGAGAGAATAATCTTTTCAACAAATAATATGGAGAAAACTGGATATCCACATGCAAAAGAATGAGGTTGGACCTCTACCTCACTCAATATACAAAATTATCTCAGTCAATCAAAAACCTAATAGAATAGCAAAAATTATGAAACTATTAGAAGAATACATAAAGGATAAATCTTCAGGACCTCAGAATTGGTGATGGATTCTTAGATTTGACACCAAAATCATAAGCAACCAAAGAAAAAATAGATAAATTAGACTACATCAAAATTTAAAATTTTTGTACGTCAAAGGACATTATCAAATATGTGGAAATACAATGTACAGAACAAAATACTTGCAAATCACATATTTAATAAGGGGTTAATATTCAGCATATATAAAGAACTCCTACACCTCAACAACAAAAAACCAAACAGCTCAATTTTTTAAATGGCAGGGGATAAGAGTAGGCATTTCTCTAAAAAAGATATGCAAATGGCAAACAATCACATGAAAAGATATTCAACATCTTTGGTCATCAAGGAAATGCAAATCAAAACTACAATGAGATACCTCTTTACATCCACCATGACAGCTATAACAATAATTTTTCTAAAAATTGAAAATAACAAGTGTCGACAAGGATGTGGAGAAGGAGGAACTGTTGTACATTGCCAGTAGGAATGTAAAATGCACCAGCTGCTATGGAAGAAGTTTGGCAGTTCCTAAAAAAAAATGAAGCATAGAATTACCATATGACCCAGTAATTTCACTCCTAGGTATATACCCAAGAGAAATGAAAAGATGTATCTGCATAGAAACTTGTACATGAATGTTTATGGCAACATGAATCATAATAGTCAAAAGGCAGAAACAACCCAAATGCCTATCAGTGAATGAATGTGGTGTATTACCACTGGAATGTTATTCAGCCATAAAAAGAAGTGAAGTACTAATAGATACTACAATATGGATGAACCTTGAAAACATTAAGCTAAGTGAAAGAAGCCAGACATCAAATCATATTGTGTGATTCCTTTATGTGAAATTCCAGAATAGACAAAGCCATAGAAACAGAAAGGAGATTGGTGGTTGCCAGGGGGTTGGGGGGGCGGGGATTGGGGTGGTGATTACCCAATGTGTATGAGGTATTCTTCGGGAACGACGAAAAAAGTTTTGAAACGAGAGAGATGGTTGCACAATATTGTGAATACACTAAATGCCCCTGAACTGTACATTTTAAAATGGGTAATTGTATGTTGTGGGACTTTAAACTTAATTTTAAAATAAGAACCCAAATTGTTGGCCCGTAGAGTCCAAACTGTTAACTGCACGTCACGGATTTCATGGAAGGCCAGTCTGAGAGGGAAAGACAATGTGATCACAGAGAGGAAGGGAGGGAGGGTCATGGACAGGAAACTCCGGGGCCTGAAATAGGGCAAGACACTAGCATGTGGATTCCAGAACCCCGTGAAGGCAGGAAGTCTTGGAAGTCCCATGGGGAGAGCAGATCGGGCATGTGCTGGTCAAATCAGAGTGACCCCTGCTATCCTGAGAGCTTCACACACACTGGAGAGTGGTGGGGGGCGGCGGGGAGGGCAGGCTGAGGTCTCTCTCCGTCACCTGTTCTCCTTCCTGTCCTGCAGATGTTGAACCTCTTTGTGGCTGTGATCATGGACAATTTTGAGTACCTCACGCGGGACTCTTCCATCCTAGGTCCTCACCACTTGGATGAGTTCATCCGGGTCTGGGCTGAATACGACCCGGCTGCGTGGTAAGTGAGCCGTGGTGCTCTGTGGTCCTTGGGGGTGGTCCATGCCCATAGATCTTGGGATGGGCCTGGTGGCTTCAGACATGTTTCAAGTGAGCACCCCCTCAGGTTTTGGTTTGGGGCCTAGGGATCTGTCCTGTTTCGTGTAGAGCAGCAGTGATGTCCCCTCCGAGCAGCACCTCCCTTTTCCATCTCGTGTGCCTTCGCGCAGTGGCCCGGACTGCATAAAGTGATAAGGGTCTTTTGAGACCTTGAGTTCAGTTCCTTGGGAGGTACCAGGAGTCATGGAAGGTTTTCAAGGGGCTTGTGAGACTCAGGTCTTCTGCTGAAATTTACTGTCTTCTTTCAAGGCCTGTCATGTGAGGGCTCATGGAGGGCTTGTGGGAGGGTGTGTGGAGACAGCACAGCCATAGCGTCCTTGTGAGACTCGATGTAGGGTTTTAGGACATTCTCCCTAAGGGGCTCAGGAGTCTCCCTCTGCTCTTTCTTTTGGGGACAGGGGCCAACATGCACCTCTGTGTCCCCAGCCCAGGCTGCATATAGTGTGGGTGCTTGGTGAACTTTTTTGACAGATGAGCTACCAGGAAGGCTGTAGTGTGTTTAAGACCCTTGTCTATCATCTGTCATCGTGGGAAAGGTTTACTTGTTTCAAAGGCGAGGGGTGGTGCCTTTCCAGACAGAGGAGGAGTCGCATGAAGGGCATGGTTTGGGTCAGAAGGTGAAGCTGTTTGAGATCAGGATCCATGGGGGTCCCGTACAGCATGGCATCTCAGCAGGGCTGAGAGCTCATTCGGGAAGGAAGACAGGTCAGGCAGCATGGCTTCTCCATCTTTCTGTTTGTCCATTCCTTCCATCACTCGTTCCTCATTTACTTGCTCGCTCACTCACTCAAGCAATGTCTACTGTGGGCTGCTCCCTGCAAGGCCACTAGGCCTGCTAGCACCTCACTCACAGCGTGTGCCCGGGAAATGATCGTGGATGAGCAGCTCTCAGTGAGTGCGTAGACATCCACCACTCCCCGTGCCCTAGGGGGATGAGGGAACCGTGGGTGCCACCGAGGCCTGCCTTCTCTCTCTGAGCTCCTCAGCCTGCCCAGGCCCCCTCGCACTCCTCTGCCCCCAGTGCCCTTACTGGGGGAGGGCCGGCAGGACGTGGTCAGACCCCTCATGGTGAGGTCCTACTGCCCACAGAGCTCCTGGGTTCTGCCTGGTTTTGCTTAAACTGCAGCTCAGCAGAGGGAGCCCTCCACAGACACAAAAGGCCTGGGAGCCCGACTAGACTTCCCCACCCTCCTTTCCACTCAGCCTCCCCGGAGCACCCCCACCTTCCTAGTGAGGATCCAGAGGGTGCTGCACGGGCCCTTCCCAGTCTGGACAAGGTCCAGAGCCACTGGCAGCATCGGGGGCCCTGGGATGGGGCCTCTCCTGTCCAGGCTCTTCCAGGCACACAGCATCTCTGTGGGTGTTTTTCATTTGAGTCGGAAATATACAGTTTTTACGCAGTGCAAAACAGACGTAGAGATTGTCTGTGTTTCACAGTGTATATGACAATTTCCGTGGCTTGCGAGAACCCTGTCATGTCCGATGCAGCAATATGTTTGCCCTGTGATACTTACTTCATGCTGGGAGGGACAGGCTCAGGCACATTCACACAGGACCTGTGGTCAAGTAAGCCCAGTCGACCTGGGGGAGACTGACCACATTGAAGACCTAGACCTTGTTAGGCAAAGGGCAGGAGAGACTCCAGCCGAGGCAGGATTTAGGTGAATTCTAGGCAGGTCACCCTGAATGTGTGGTTTAGAGAGTCGCTGCTTTTTCTGGGTGTATTTTTTCTGGAGGAGACTGTGTTGCAGAAAACAGAGATACTTTATAGCATGTAGTTAGTACTGAAGGGCAAAGGCAGATCAACAAAGGCCTGTGAGAGGATGACAACATTCCCCAATCTTTATGAGCTACGCCCGGGCCTTCCACAGTCAGCCGCCGGCAAGAGCAGAGGCAGGAAGAACGGGAAGTGGACTTGGGCCAGATGGCAGCTTGGTTACCATGCACAGTGGTACCATACCAAAGCCAGAGTCTCAGAGCAGGGGTCCTTAGAAGACATAGGCAGTCGGGGATGTGAGAAGTGCTTACTGAAGAGTAAACAACAGAATACAGGCCTCACCCCAGAGATAGCACGCACAAAATAACACACAAAACCTGCGGGCCTTGAGATAGCACAGACGTGACCTGTGAGCAACACATGATTCTGCCCCCACGAGCAGCCTGGGCTCACCCTACGTAGTCCAAGATGGCCAGGACAGGCCGAGGGGCCCAGCAGAGGCAGCTGAGCAGATTGGGCCTGGATCCTGTGTCCTGAGCAGAGCACAGGGCACCTTGAGCCTTTTTGGTAGCCTCTGTGACAAACGCAGTGATGTAGTCATTTCCCAGGGGACCACTCTATGGCTCCTCGTTCTTTGGGAGAAACTTTGAAACAACAACAAAATTTTATGAGATTTCCTGAGTTGTGTGTGCACATGTGTGGTGCACAAACAGGACATGTGTGCATGTACATGGCTGTGTTGTGTGCGTGTTTGCACAGTGTGACCACATGTGCACTCTGTGCATGTGTACATGTGTGTTGTGCACGCATGCACACAGATGTCTACATGTGTGTTTTGTGCACATGTGCATGCACAAGGCGCGCACGTGTGTGCATGTTGACGTTTGTGTGTGCACATATGATTGTATATATGTGTGCCTGTGTGTATATGTGTGCAAGTGAACTGAATGTGCGTGCATGCCTGTGTGGTTGTATGTGGATGTGTGTATGAATGACATGTGCACCTGTGTGTGCATATGCCCATGTGTGCATGTGTGTGCCTGTGGATGTGCACATGCCCGTGTGTGCCTGTGGTGTGCACGTGTCTGTGGTGTGCACGTGCCTGTGTGTGCATGTGCCTTTGTGTGTGTGCCACCGTGGTGCGTATGTGCCTGTGTGTGCCTGTGGGTGTGCACGTGCCTGTGGTGTACTCGTGCCTGTGGTGTGCATGTGCCTGTGGTGTGCATGTGCCTGTGGTGCGCATGTGCCTGTGTGGGTGTGCATGTGTGTGCCTGTGGGTGTGCACATGTCTGTGGTGTACACGTGCCTGTGGTGCGCATGTGCCTGTGTCGGTGGATTCTGAAGGCACGAAACTGTTCACCCTGGTGCTGCTTTTCCCAGCCTTCCTATTGTTGTTGCTTCAACCCTGTGGTGTGAAGCCTGGTGACTTGAGAGGAGAATTGCAGTCACACTTCTTGCAGCAATCTGGCTGCTCATTTCTGTGTCCACCCATCTGTCTAATAACATCTCCTGGGCATCTGCCATGTGCTGGGGCAGGGGCCCAAAGGTGAAACAGGCACATGCTGTCAGAACACTCAGCCAGGCTTGGCAGTGAGACCACATGGTGACTGTAGCTCAAGGCCAGGGCATTTCTGAGGAAGGAGAGGCCATGTCTGGCCTGAAGAATGAGAGGAGGTGCCATTTGAGCTGAACTTAAAGGAATAGGAAGGATTGAGCACTAGAGAAATAGGATGGATTGAGCTGGGGATGGGAGGTGGGGCAGAGGGAAGAGGGAGGCCAGGTGGCTTCTGTCAGGCTGGAGAGGAGAGTGCATTGCAGAGGGGCTGCAAGGAAGGCTGAGACCGTTTGAGAAAGGCATTGAAATTGGTTGAACAAGTCGCTTTGATTTTGCGTTGTAGACAGTGGGCTCAGTCCTTGCATCGAGGAGTGATGGTGTCAGGCCCACACTTTCCACCTGGGCTTGATGGGCAGGGACAGCTGGGGAGGGTGGGGGGTCTCACGTGTGTCCAGCCCCCCGTGGTGGTCCCTTGGCTGCCACAACCTTAGCAAACATCTTTGGTGAGGCCGAGGTGGGGCTTCCTGTTTCTTCCCTTTTACAGAAGGAAATTCAACATGATTTGGAGCTGATTGGACCGAGGGGGCTACACTGTAGGAGAGAGGAGCATTGGTGGTGATCCAAGGATGCCAGCCTACGATGAGAGGAGGTCCTTAGCTGGACCAGGGCTTCCAGGGGAGGACACAGAGTGTTCAGGGAGACAGGGTCAGTCAGGAGGCAAATGGGTATGGGCCTCTGAGGTTGCTGTGATAGAGAAGCAGACCTGCCTTGCTGTGGTGGTGAGAAAGCCAGGCGTCAGAGGGTTTGGCTGACCTGGGAGGCCCAGGGAGCATCGTCACTCAGGGAGTGAGAGGAAGAGCTGACCGAGAGGGAGGGGCAGGGCAGTGTTCTGTGTGGAGCGGCTCCTGCACACATCGGGCTCCGGAAATTTCGCTGGGGTTGCCACACCTCCCGGGGAGCTCCAAGCCCCAGTACCCCGGCGAGGTGCCACCTGTCCAGTGCACCCCTCACCTCCGCCGCCACGCCTGCGCGAGGTCGGTCTTCCCATCACAGGCTGGGCGGGCGGGAGGGTCGGGCTCCATCCTGCCTTTGTTGCCATAACCTGTGACATTTCCTTTCCAGTTGCCGGATTCATTATAAGGATATGTACAGTTTGTTGCGTTGTATTGCGCCACCCGTTGGCTTAGGGAAGAACTGCCCTCGTAGGTTGGCCTACAAGGTTTGCAACTTCAGAGCCTCCATCCAACATACTTCCCTGCCCGAAACGCACACAGCACACACTCCCTGCCTGGTTTGGGAATGACGACGCCTCACCTTTCTTTCCTCCTGTCCTGCCCCGCACTCCAGCCTCCTGGACGCTTTGGTTCCCTGTCTAATCTCCCCTGACCCTTCTAGCTGGCTGGGGACAGGCAGCCTTTTGAGAGTGCACAGAAAGCTTTCTGGTTGGGATCAGCTAGCTGGGTGGGAGATGGGGGCTAGGTCCCTCCTGCATCAAGGAAGCAGCCGACTTGCCCGGTTTTTCCTCCGAGCTCTCGAGAGTGAGCTGATGGTCAGGCCAAAGGCCGAGGGCCCCAGAGGAAGGGAGCACGGGCACAGGCCTCCCAGGAGCAGCCGTCCTCTGGGTTGGAAGAGCCCAGTAACCCAGTGGCTCTCCAGTCCCTGGGGGAGGAAAGGGCAGAGGCAGAGTGGGGGCCAAAGACAAGCCGTCCTGCTTTGCCTCTGGAGTGATGCGCTCAGCTCAGCCAAGGAGCCCCTGGTCTGGAACCGTGGGAGGAGGGCAAGGCCCCAGGGCAGATCCATCTGCCAGGAAGAGGCTGTCCCCTTTCTCTCCTGGGCCACCTGAATCTGGCTGTGTCTCTAGGACCCCAAGCCCACAGGCAGGTGTCCCAGGGTTGGAGGTAGGCCCCAGGCCTCGTGGCCTCTCTACTTGGGAAGACTCTGTCATCGGAGCCTTTAGGTTCCTAGATCCTGCAACCTGCCCCTTTGCTGTCAGAGCTGGTGCAAGGTGGCCCCAGGCCATGTCCTGCCAGCTCCTCCCCCCTCCCGCAGTCTCCCATTTCCCACCCAGCCCTGAGCCCCAGCAGCAGCCCTGCCCTGGGCTGGCCTCGGGCGTCTCTGGGCTTGAAGCAGGACTTGCCCCAAGGTTAGGTTTTGGCTGTACAGCTTCAGGGCTCCCTGTTTAGTTTTCTGGTTTGTTTCAGATCTTCTCCACCTTTTTAGCCTCTAGCCTCACTTGGAAGCAAATCTGACCGTGAGGAAAGCTGATGTCTCTGCCGTGGTTCTCAGCCACTGCCTCATCTGCCACCTGACCCCGCCTGCCAGCTCTTCTGGCAGGGTGGACCAGCTCTTTTCTGATTGGCATTCACTGTGATTTTTAAAAGAGTAAAATCAGAAATTATCAACCCAAAGCCGCCCCGAT
Organism: Homo sapiens; assembly: GCF_000001405.40. Lineage (NCBI taxonomy): Eukaryota > Metazoa > Chordata > Mammalia > Primates > Hominidae > Homo > Homo sapiens. Next base: position 138,102,401 of record NC_000009.12, read on the forward strand.
GCAGCCCTTCCTCACCCCTCCATGTTCATTAGCTCAGACGCCACCCCCGCCCACTGCCCCGCGTGGGGCTGGAGTGAGGAGGTGAGGCTCGGGGGTGGGGGGCCAGGAGGGGGTCAAGCCAAGCAGAGAAATCCCTCATTTTATTTATTTTGATTTTGGGCTTTGAATCCGACACTTTGATTAACTGGCTCTGTTTTCTTGTCTGCTTCCTCCCTGCCCCTACCCCGCTCCCCTCCCCGCTCCCCTCCTGCTGCCGCTCCTCCTGTGGACCACCCCACTGTGCCCTGGCCTCGCTGGGACGGGTTTCCAGTGGGCGCATCAGTTACAATGACATGTTTGAGATGCTGAAACACATGTCCCCGCCTCTGGGGCTGGGGAAGAAATGCCCTGCTCGAGTTGCTTACAAGGTAGACCCTGACCCTGCAACCCGCCCCCCAGGAGGCTGTGTGTGCTTGCTGAGGGGTGCTTGCTGGCTCTCCCAGCTCCTCTCCCTTTCAGGGTGCCCGGCTGTCTGTCTGCCGCTCTGCTGTGCGCCCCCGGCTGCCTCACTGTGTCTTTCTCTTCAGCCCCATCCCAGCTTCCTTCCCAGACAGAGGGATGTGGCCACCATGATGTCTCACTGGCCTCTTGTCCCCACAACCTGAGCTGCCCCCTTTGAGAGCCCCCTGGAGGCTCAGGAAGACAGAACTAGACCCTCCTCCCTGCCTTTTCTCCCTCCCTTCCTTTCCTAGGAATGAGGGGACAGACCACTTGTTTGACAGAGATTGTTTTTGTTCTGGGCTCAGAACAAAGCCCTAAGCCCCTGGTATGGATGGAGCTGTCCAGCCCTCTGGGTCTGGCCCTGGGGGCAGGTGGGGCCTGCAGGGCCTCTGGTGCTTCTGTACAACCCCCTCCCCAGCTCAGCAAGTGCAGAGGCTCTCTGGGCCCAGGCTGCAGTCTCCAGGGACTTTCTAGGCTCCATGGTGGGGAAGAGGCACTGTGGCACTGAGAAGGAAAGGGGTGCTGGGGAGAGGCATCTTGCTATTATTCCTGGGGCCTCAGAGGGCTGCTGGAGGATGGGGATGGCCTCGGGGCCCAGGAGTCATGGGATGCTGAGTTGCCAAGAAGGGGGTAAATCGAGGGATGCCTCCAGGCCTCCCTCCTGGGTGGGCAAGCAGATCACATGGCCCAGCCCTAAAACTGTTCCATCTGCCCAGCTGTCCCCAGTCCCACCTCATACCCTCCATGTGTAAGCACCTTCGTTCCCCCAGCACCCACCCACCTACTCAAGAGCCCTCCTGAGGCCCCCACTGCTCTCCGGCAAACGGCCTGTGGTTCAGCCAACACGTGCCTAGAGCTTTTCTGATCCTCCCTGAGGAAGACTTTCCTGAGTCTGTCTGAGGAAGCTTCCTGCCAGAGCTTTCCTCTCTGGTGCTGTGGACAGCTGTTGTCCACACTGGCTCTGTGCCCTGACTCTAGGTCTTTGTCACCCGACTCAGTGCAGCCTGTGGGAGCCAAGTGGCTCCTCCAAGCCATCCTCAGCCCCTGCCCTGCCCCTGCATTGTGCCTGCCTGGGGGTTCTGCATGCAAGGCTGTAGCTTTGTCCCCAAGAAGGAGAGCTCTGTCCACACTTGGCGCCGGGGCAAGCAGGCAGGGCCATGATGGAGCAGCCTTTGGAGCCCCACCCAGCTGTGCTGGCTGACTCCAAGGTTCTGGGCATGGAGAGACCAAGGGAGGCCTCAGGGTGGGGGCAGAAGGGCCAGATGAGCTGAGGAGGGTCCAGGAGATGCCCAGAGCACTGCACCTTGGAGGGCCCAGGGCAGAGACACCTGTTTGTTTGCCCTGGCCTTGCCTCTTGGCTTCTTCCTGAGATTCTTGGCCCTTTGGGGCCTGGAGTGGGCTGATGGCACCCCTGGGGAGGGCAGCCCTCCAGTGCCCTGGGCGGAGCTCTTCCTTCTTGTAAATCACCTGCCTGCTCTGCCCTCACTGCTATCCCCAACGCCCCCCAACGCCTGCCCTGTGGGAGAGGAATTCCTTGGCCTCTCACACCGCCATTCATGCTGGTCTGCAGGGATGCCATTCTCCGGGAAGCCGTTTACTCCTGTTGTGCTGCACACACATGCTGTGCAAAGCCCTGGGACTAGGACTGGACGTGGCAAGTGGGGCTTTGCCAGCATTCGGGGCCAGAGTCAGGCTCATGTCTCCAGCCCGGCTTGCATCCACACCCCACTAGCTATTAGGCTGAGGACTCTGGATTTGGGGCCATGATGCTAGGGGCAGGGCTGTATGGCCCTCCCTAGAGAAGAGGCTGCCCTGCCACAGGTTGCAGGCTTGGGCAAGGACAGGCAGACCCTGGGGAGGAGCTCCTGTCTCTAGCTGGACAGTGCTCCTGGGGCTCCACTTGGCCAGCTCCTTGCTCCCCACGCTCAAAATATTCCAGGCACACTTGAGATGCATTTCCTCCTTGGGGCCTCTTCAGTTCTTAGAGCCTGGGTCTCTGGGCAGCACTGGCTGGGGCCAGAGGACTGTGGTGCAGACACGAGCTCGTCTCCAGCTGTTCTGTCCCTGAAAACTGGCAACAGGCTGTCCACCTGAGAGGGAGACGGAGCAGAGCTGCAGGACACTGCCCCAGCCCACTCTGAAGTGTAGCAGCCTCAGCCTGCAGCCCTGGGAAGTCCCATCTGTTCCTGTCCTTCCAGCAGCAGGAGCTGCCTTGCGCAGAGATGGGCTCTGCCTTTTAGTGACATCGAGCATCTCTCCCAGGCCTCATGCTGGGTGGTGAGAGGCAGAAGCCTCACTGGACCTGAGCTAAAACCAGGATGTCACCTGTAGGGGCCCCCACTGGGAGCTGGGCCCCAGAGAGGCACCCTGGACCACCTACTCCTTGTCCAGATGATCGAAGTGGTGGGAGGAGAAGATGGGGGTGGGCAGAGCAATGAGCACAGGGACCTCTTCTGTCTGTGGCTGCTGCTCCTCCTCCCCAGCCAAGGCTACACTCCTACATTCAGCCACAGGCAGGGGTCCCTCAGGGTGAGGAGGTGGCTGTGCTTTCAGAGGGATCAAGGCTCCAGTCTTTACCTGGAGTTCTACTTTTCTGCAGCCAGGAGGGTCCTCAGCTAGATTTGTGGGGCGGGGAGTCCAGGGGAGAGTGTGAATGCTGGCAAAACTCCCACCCGCCCCACCTCACTCAGGCCTAGGCACCTGCAGGCACCACCACTGGGATGCCCAGCCCAGCATCCAGGGACCCCATCATTGCGTAGTCTTGGGGTGGGGGGTGACCCCAGCAGGCCTGGCCCTGACCGGCCCTGCTTGTCCCTAGCGCCTGGTTCGCATGAACATGCCCATCTCCAACGAGGACATGACTGTTCACTTCACGTCCACGCTGATGGCCCTCATCCGGACGGCACTGGAGATCAAGCTGGCCCCAGGTGAGCAAGGCAGCCTCGGAAGGAGGGCCCTGGACCCAGGGATGTGCACCTCCGCCCTCAGTGTCAGCCCCAGGAGGACACGCAGGGAGGAGGGTGAGGGGCCAGCTGTGTCTGGAGGGGTCTGAGGACAGCTGCACAGGATACCCACCCTGGGGCACTGGCTTTTTCGCCTGGTAACCGTCTGCACATTAGCACTGCAATGATCCCATTTTCAGGTAAGGAAACTGAGGCATGGTGAGATTTCATAAATTGCCCAGGTAATTCAGAGCCAGCTGGTGGTGGAACCAGGACACAGCCTGGTCAAGCCTCACCACAGCCAGCGCCCTCCCTGGGGACGAGCCTGCATGCCCTTGGCCCCCTCCCATAGTGAGCCCATCCGGTCTTTCCCTGATCTGATGGACAGTACCACAGAGCGATGCCAAAGCAAGGAGAGAAGGAGCCTGTAGTGTGTTCTTCCCCACGTCCACCTTCCCCACCACAGAGGAGATTACAGCCCCAGAGGGCCCTGCCCCAGCCCCACCCCCCTGCGTCTGCCCCATCTCCTGCTTTGTGTGCCAAGCCTCACTTACGTCTCCCCAAGGGTGCCGTAGTGGCAATGCCATACTGTTTCTTGCCCTGTCTACTGGGTTATTTGTGTCAGCATATAAACACCCGATTATTTCCTCCATCTTCAAAAAGTTCGCTGGGCGCGGTGGCTCATGCCTGTAATCCCAGCACTTTGGGAGGCCGAGGTGGGCGGATCACGAGGTCAGGAGATGGACACCATCCTGGCCAACATGGTGAAACCCCATCTCTACTAAAAATACAAAAATTAGGTGGGCGTGGTGGTGGCACGTGCCTGTATTCCTAGCTATTCAGGAGGCTGAGGCAGGCTTGAACCTGGGAGGCGGAGGTTGCAGTGAGCTGAGATTGTACCACGGCACTCCAGCCTGGTGACAGAGCAAGACTCCGTCTCGAAAACAACCAAAAAAGTTATCTTCCCCTCTGTCGACTTCCCTATTCTCTCCTTTCTAATGCCCTGCTCTTGAGAGGTTGTCTCTGATTTCCCTTTCCCACATGCTGGGGGCTCTTCCCAGCTTCACCAGAGCTGCCCTTGGGGTCTCCAGGCCTCCACGTTGCTCGACTCAAAGGCTGAGGCACATCCCCAGCTCATGGGCTGTCCATGGCCGTTTCTCCATTTGCATTTTCTTCTCTTTGAACCTTTTTTATCTGTTTCTCCGATCCCACAAACTTTGGGTGTGCCTTTGTGCCATGGAATGTTCTCTCTACACTCACTCCTTTATCATCTCACCTATTCCCATGGCTTTAAATAACATTAATCTCCTGACTTCTCTCCTGAACTTCAAATTTTCCCCCACAGCCTTCCCTATCTCAGTCAATGCTTAAGCCGAAACCTTAGAAATCATCTTATTTTATTTATTTATTTATTTATTTATTTATTTATTTATTTATTTATTTATATAGGGTCTCACTGTGTCACCCAGGCTGGAGTGCAGTGGTGCAGTCACGGCTCACTGCAGCCTCCACCTCCCAGGCTCAAGTGATCCTCCTGCCTCGGCCTCCCAAAGTGCTGGGATTGCAGGCACCACTCCTCCATACTAGTTTTTGTATATTTTTTAGAGATGGGGGTTCGCTGTGTTGCACAGGCTGAGGATCATCCTTTTCTCCTCCTTCCTTATCCCATTTCTGATTCATGCCTTCTCTTTCATATTTTCTTGACTCTGTCTTTAAAATATATCCAAAATGTGGCCACTCCTCTCCCTTACCCCATTGCCGCCTCCTCTGGCTCTCAGCTGTTGCTGCAGCAGCTTCTAATTCATCCACTTCTGCCCTTGGCCCCTTCTGTCTGCCTTCAACACAACAGCCAGAGTGATCAGGTTAAAAAAAAGACTAATGGCCGGGCGCAGTGGCTCACGTCTGTAGTCCTAGCACTTTGGGAGGCCAAGGCAGGCAGATTGCCTGAGCTCAGAAGTTCAAGTCCAGCCTGGACAACACAGTGAAACCCCGTCTCTACTAAAATACAAAAAATTAGCCGGGCATGGTGGCGGGCGCCTGTAGTCCCAGCTACTCGGGAGGCTGAGGCAGGAGAATGGCGTGAACCCAGGAGGCAGAGCTTGCAGTGAGCCGAGATTGCGCCACTGCACTCCAGTCTGGGTGACAGAGTGAGACTCTGTCTCAAAAAAAAAAGAATAGATAACCTTCAGTTTCAACACCAGAGGACAAAAAAAAAAAAAAAAGAGATAACCAGGCCAGGTGCCCTGGCTTATGCCTGTAATCCCAGCAGTTTTTGAGGTTGAGGGAGGAGGATCACTTGAGCTCAGGAGTTTGAGACCAGTCCGGGCAACACAGGGAGCCCCTGGCTCTACAAAATATTAAAAAATTAGCTGAATGTGGTGGTGAACGCCTGTGCTCCCAGCTGCTTGGGGAGGCTGAGGTAGGAGGAATGAGCTGTGATGGTGCCACTGCACTATAGCCTGGGCAACAGAGTGAAACCCCATCTCAAAAAAAAAAAAAAAAAAAAAAGCAAAAGCTTCATAATACCATATATATTAAATAAATTAAGTTTAGAGTGGAAAAACCTTCCAAGAAAGACAATCCCAGGTCCAAATGGCTTCTTTATTGAAGTCTACCAACTGTTTAGGGAAGAAATAATGCCAATTCTGTATAGACTCTTCCAAAAAGTGGAAAAAGGGAATATTTTCCAACTTATTTTATTTTCAGAGGCCAGCTTTGCTCTGATACCAAAACTAGACAAAGACATGACCAGAAAAGAAAACTACAGACGAATATCCCTTATAAACATAGATTTTTTTAAATCTTCAACATAATCTTTAAGCAAACTGAATTTTTTTTTTTTTTGAGATGGAGTCTCACTCTGTTGCCCAGGCTGGAGTGCAGTGGCACGATCTTGGCTCACTACAAGCTCTGCCTCCTGGGTTCACGCCATTCTCCTGCCTCAGCCTCCCGAGTAGCTGGGACTACAGGTGCACGCCACCACGCCTGGCTAACTTTTTTGTATTTTTAGTAGAGACAGGGTTTCACCGTGTTAGCCAGGATGGTCTCCATCTCCTGACCTCGTGATCCGCCCGTCTCAGCCTCCTCCCAAAGTGCTGGGATTACAGGCGTGAGCCACTGCACCCGGCCAAACTGAATATATTTTAAAAGATAATATATGATGACACAAGTGGGGTTTACCCCAGGATAAGTTAGGTTCAGTGTTTGAAAATCCAGTTTACTGTATCAAAGAAGGAAAAGTATATGATTATCTCAATAGGTATAGAAAAAGCATTTGACAAAATTCAACATCCATTCATGATTTTTAAAATTTTACATAAAGTAGGAATTAAGGAAAGCTTCATCAATCATGTATCATAGACTCACTTATACGGTCAATTGATTTTTAACAAACTTGGAAAGGCAATTAATGGAGAAAAGATCATCTTTTCTACAAATGATGCTGGAGAAATTTAGACAATCCTATACAAAAAGAGACATTCTTGACATGCCGTTTTAGCTTGCTCGGGCTGCCCCAAGAAAATATCACAGCTTAGACAAAAGAAATGTATTTCTCACAGTTCTGGAAGCCAGAAGTCCAAGAGTTTGTGTTTGTGAGGTGGGTGTCACTCTTAGGCCTCTTCTCTTGGCTGGTAAACAGCCATGGTCCTGCTGTGTCCTCAAACAGACTTGCCTCTGTGTGTGCAGGGAGAGAAAAAGAGCAAGTGGATTTCCAGGTGTCTCCTATGAGACCACTGATTCTGTGGATCAGGGCCCCACAGGAACTCCTTGAACTGATCACCTCCTTACAGGCCCCGTCACCAAATACAGTCACATCTGGGGCTTAGGGCTTCTACATGTGGACTGGAGTTGGGGACAGCTTGATCCATAGCACATACCTTTTACCCTGTACAAAAAATAACTTGAAATGGATTGTAGACAGAAACGTAAAATCTAAAATTATGAAACCTGTATAGAAAACACAAGGCCAGGCGTTGGTGGCTCACGCCTGTAATTCCAACACTTTGGGAGGCCAAAGCAGGCGGATTACCTGAGGTCATGAGTTTGAGACCAACTTGGCCAACATGGTGAAACCCGTCCCTACTAAAAAAAGCTGGGCCTGCTGGTGTGCACCTGTAGTCCCTGGGAGGCTGAGGCAGGAAAATTGCTTGAACCTGGGAGTCGGAGGTTGCAGTGAGCCAAGATAGTGCCACTGTACTCCAGCCTTGGTGACAGACCGAGATTCCATCTCAAATGGAAAAAATCGATAAATTGAACTACAGCAAAACTTTTGCTATATGATATATATATATATACATATATATATATATTTGAGACAGTCTTGCTCTGTTGCCCAGGCTGCAGTGCAGTGGTGCAATCTCAGCTCACTGCAGTCTCTGCCTCCTGGGTTCAAACGATTCCTCTGCCTCAGCCTCCCAAGTAGCTGGGATTACAGGCACATTTCAACACACACAACTAATTTTTGTATTTTTAGTAGAGACGGGGTTTCACCATGTTGGCCAGGCTGGTCTTGAACTCCTGACCTCAAATGATCCACTTGCCTTGGCCTCCCATAGTGCTGGAATTACGGGAGTGAGCCACTGTGCCCCACCACAAAAGATATTTTTAAAAATGAGGCCAAGTGCAGTGGCTTGTACCTGCAATCCCAGCTTTGATTAACTTTGAGAGAAGAGGTGGGAAGATTGCTGGAATCCAGGAGTTCAAGACCAGCCTGGACAACAAAGTGAGGCTCTGTCTCTACAAAAAATAATTTTAAAAAATCAGCTGGGCATGGTGGCGCATGCCTGTGGTCCCAGCTACTCAGGAGGCTACGGCGGAAGGATTGCTTGAGCCCAGGTGTTCGAGGTTCCAGTGAGCTGTGATCATACTACTGCACTCCAGCCTGGGCAACAGATTGAGACCCTGTCTCAAAACAAAACAAAAAACCAGAATGAAAAGACAAGCCTAAAATTGGAGAACATATTTGCTAAACACGTATCTGCTATAGGATTAGTATTCCTAATATATGAAGAACTGTCACAACTCCCTAAGAAAATAACCCAACCAAAACAGACAAAAGATTTGAACAGAAGTGTCATCAAAGAAGATATATGGAAGGCAAACAAACACATGCAAAAATGCTTGATGTCATTAATCATTAGACAAATCCAGAATTTAAAAAAAAAAAAACCACAACGAGATTACACTCCAGTCTACTGGAGTTGCCAAAATGCTTTTCAGAATGACAATACTTAGTGCTGAGAGGGCAGAGCAACTGGAATTCTACATGTTCCCAGTCGGAAAAGAAAATGGTGCAGCCCCTTAGACAGTTTGCCGTTACTTCTATGGTCCAGCCATTGCACTTAGGAAATGAAAACATACATCCACACAATCTATGTGCAGATGTTTACAGCTTTATTCAAAATTGCCCCAAACTGTAAACAACTCATATGTCCATCAATTGGCAATGGATAAACAAATGGTGCATTCATACAATTAAAGAATACTCAGGAGTAAAAGGAAACACGCTACAGTTGCGTGTGGCAATGTGTATGACTCTCACATGCACCACACTGTGTGAAAGAAGCCAGATTCAAAGGCCAGTGTGCTGTATGATGCCATTGGCGTGACATTCTGGAGCAAAACTATAGGGACCCAAAACACATCAGTGGTGGCAGAGGCTGCCAGTAGGACGAGGGGTCGACTCAAGGGAGCACAGAGGAATTTGGGAGTGATCAGCTGTTGCACACCTTGACGGTGCTGCTAGGCACATGGGCGTATGAATTCACCAAAGTTCATAGAGAATGAAAAAGGGTGACTCTCACTGCATGTGAATTGTACCTTAATAAACCTGATGTTCAAGAAAGGTGAATCCAATTATTTTATTCCTCTGCTCAAAACCCTCCACTGCCTTCCCTAACCCTCCTGCCCACCCCTCCATCCACCCTGCCCCGAGGCCTCCCTGGCCCTTCGGGTGACACAGCAGGGCCAGTGTACTCGGGGGCTCCTTTTACCTTCAGGGCACACAGGCCTCCTCGGGAGACTGATGGCCGTCCTGTCCACAGCCGCAGCCCTGCTGATATTCCCCTTCCCCGCTCTGCTCTCCTTGCCTTGGCACTTTGCACTCTCCGGTACACTTTTTTTTTTTTTTTACTTATTACTGCTTTATTGGTAGACTAAAGCGTTGTCAACTCCAGAAGGGAAGTTTTTGAGAGTTTTTTGGTAAATATTGTTGAATGAATAGATGAATGCCTGGAGTGCTGCCATCTTCCTCCTAAATCCTCATTGCCCGTCCCATGCACACACGAACGTGCAGTGCACATGCATGCACACACGTCGGACACACACGTGTGCACATGAGGTGGTTGCCCTGCTCACCTGCCTCCTCCTCTGGGCAGACTCGCAGCAGGGAGGGCTGTGAGCAGCTTCTGCATCAGCGTTTGTTCCCACTGCACCCTCCTTCCAGCACCGTCTGTACCCCATCTCCGCCTACACCATTCATCTCCCCACCTGCACCAGCTCTGCCCCATTGGCGGCTGCAGGGCTGCTCCTAACATCTCTGTCTTTTCCCCTTCCCCACCATCATCCTGGTGCAGCTGGGACAAAGCAGCATCAGTGTGACGCGGAGTTGAGGAAGGAGATTTCCGTTGTGTGGGCCAATCTGCCCCAGAAGACTTTGGACTTGCTGGTACCACCCCATAAGCGTAAGTGTGAGGGTGAGAAATGCCCCCAGCCCCCACCTTTACTGTCCCACCCAGAGTGGCTGGAGGGCTGTGGAGGTGAGGGTGAGGGATGAAGGGCAGGCCACCTTGGAGAGGTGGGCTCACCTCCTCATGAATCTGCCCTCAGCTCCAACCAAGAGAGCCCTGGGTGGCAGAGGAGCTGCAGAGATGAGCGTGGGTTTGTTGTGTTGAGCTCCTGGTGTGTGGAATTTATTTTTTTTAAATCCAGAGGAAAGGCAAGAGGGGATCCCACAGGGATGTGAGGGAGTGCGGTGAGATGCCCAACTCCATCTTGTGAGAGACGTGAGGGAGCGCGGGGAGGTGCCCAACTCCATCTTGTGAGAGACGTGAGGGAGCGTGGGGAGGTGCCCAACTTCATCTTGCGGGAGACGTGAGGGAGCACAGGGAAGTGCCCAACTCCATCTTGGAGAGGTGAGGGAGCATGGGGAGGTGCCCAACTGCATCTCGTGGGAGACGTGAGGGAGCGCAGAGAGGTGCCCAACTCCTTCTTGTGAGAGACGTGAGGGAGCACGGGGAGGTGCCCAACTCCATCTTGGAGACGTGAGGGAGCACGGGGAGGTGCCCAACTCCATCTTGTGGGAGACGTGAGGGAGCACGGGGAGGTGCCCAACTCCATCTTATGGGAACGTGAGGGAGCGCGGGGACGTGCACACCTCCTTCTTTTGAGAGGCATGAGGGAGTTCGGGGAGGTGCCCAACTCCACTGGGAGGTGCCCAACTCCATCTTATGGGATACATGAGGGAGCACAATGAGGTGCCCAACTCCATCTTGTGGGAGACGTGAGGGAGCACGAGGAGGTGCCCAACTCCAACTTGTGAGAGACGTGAGGGAGCACGGGGAGGTGCCCAACTCCATCTTATGGGATACGTGAGGGAACACAATGAGGTGCCCAACTCCATCTTGTGGGAGACGTGAGGGAGCGCGAGGAGGTGCCCAACTCCATCTTGTGGGAGACGTGAGGGAGCGCAGGAAGGTGCCCAACTCCTCCTTGTGGGAGACGTGAGGGAGCGCAGGAAGGTGCCCAACTGCATCTTGCGGGAGACGTGAGGGAGTGCCGGGAGGTGCCCAACTCCATCTTGTGGGAGACGTGAGGGAGCGCAGGAAGGTGCCCAACTCCTCCTTGTGGGAGACGTGAGGGAGCGCAGGAAGGTGCCCAACTGCATCTTGCGGGAGACGTGAGGGAGTGCCGGGAGGTGCCCAACTCCTCCTTGTGGGAGACGTGAGGGAGCGCAGGAAGGTGCCCAACTCCATCTTGTGGGAGACGTGAGGGAGCGCCGGGAGGTGCCCAACTCCATCTTGTGGGAGACGTGAGGGAGTGCCGGGAGGTGCCCAACTCCACCTTGTGGGAGACGTGAGGGAGCGCAGGAAGGTGCCCAACTCCATCTTGTGGGAGACGTGAGGGAGCGCCGGGAGGTGCCCAACTCCTCCTTGTGGGAGACGTGAGGGAGCGCAGGAAGGTGCCCAACTCCTCCTTGTGGGAGACGTGAGGGAGCGCAGGAAGGTGCCCAACTCCATCTTGCTTTCTGGGGAGGAGACACAGGAAGGGCCCTGCATTAAGCAGGTGGGGATGGCCTCAGCCCGGTCTTGAGAGGCCTCAGGAGGAGTCAGGGCAGTCAGGAGGGCCAGGTCAGCATCTGGAGGAGCCCTAGGTAGGCCAAACTCCTGGTGGCCGAGCCCCATGTTCTGCCTGAGAGCCCTCTGTCCCAGTGCATTTCCAGGAGTCTTTGTGGGGGGCGAGGGAGGGGCGGCTGTTTCCTCACCTTACTTCCATACCTTGTTTCCGTGGATCCTCTGCCCCCTTCTCCGAATCTCAACTCCTGTGTTCTTTTCCAGCTGATGAGATGACAGTGGGGAAGGTTTATGCAGCTCTGATGATATTCGACTTCTACAAGCAGAACAAAACCACCAGAGACCAGATGCAGCAGGCTCCTGGAGGCCTCTCCCAGGTAGCTGGCGGCCCTCAGTTTTCCAGGAAAACTGTGATGCCTCCGAGGCTCTGGCATCCTTCGGGGGGTTGACGACGGGGGAGATGCACACCATTCTTGGAAAAAGTATCTCAGAAGGAAGATGAAAGATTCTTGCAGCTACCTCTCTGGCCCCCAGAGTCAGAAACTACACACAGCCTTTATGCTTTCCATGAGCTGGCGGTACTGGGCAGCTCCTGACATAGAAAGTCAGCACTCAGGGCCAGAAGTTGAGGGCTGGGCTGGGCAGTGTCATGGTTGTTATGGGGTGGAAGAGAAGAAGATGTGAAGACCATTTGAGGAGGATTGTTTGGAGAGGTGAAAGGAGAACTGTTTTCCCTTCACACAGAGAGCAAAGAAATTCAGATAGGTACAGGATCATTGTCTGTTCTGCTCTTGCCTTTGACTGAGATGATTTGGGGACCCATCTTCCCGATGTCGTCCTTCCCACACAGCCGTGTCTTCGGTGACCATATGTAGTCTGTCTGCTGGAAAATTGTCTAGATGTCCAGGGCTTCTGGGGACATTGACCTAGTCCTCAGATGGAGAATATGTGGTGCTCAGGCCACACCTTCCATTCTCACACCTGGGGTAGACATCACTAATCCATGCAGCAGTCTTCCCCAGCCCTGAAATCTCGGAATTTTGCTCAGCCCAACCCTAACCCTAACTCCTACCAGCCAATTCAAGGTGATGATTAGATGGAATATTGTTGCCACCTGTAATCTGGTCCAATCCCCTAGTTGTGTAGACAGGGAAACTGAGGTTTTGAGAGGTGACATGGCTTTCCTGAAGTCACTGACAGGCAAGGTTTTGAGGAGATGCTGTAAGGGTCCCCTGGCTTGCTTCACTGTTTTGGTCACATGCTCATATTTAGGGACATATCAGGGAAAGTAAGCGGCCCCTTGCTAAGGGGAAAGAGCCCTTAGGCTGGGCTTGAACATGACCTGGCTTTTGCCCCATGCCACATGGTCAGAGCAGGTCACAGAGGCCACATTGCAGGCCCATTGGAGCTCTTTCCCTTCCCTTTGCCTCCTTTGCAGATGGGTCCTGTGTCCCTGTTCCACCCTCTGAAGGCCACCCTGGAGCAGACACAGCCGGCTGTGCTCCGAGGAGCCCGGGTTTTCCTTCGACAGAAGAGTTCCACCTCCCTCAGCAATGGCGGGGCCATGTGAGTATCCAGATGCAGGACATAGCTGGACAGGAGGAGGTCCAAAGACAGTAAAGGGGGAAGCAGACATCCCATTTCCTCAACCTCCCTGGCCCTCACTTCCACTGGCCTCTGGGTTCACCAGCTTGGAGGCACCTGAGGGGCGTGTCTGCCATCCGACCCTGCACTTGGGCCCTTAGCAACCCTCCAAGGACAGAGAGCCCCTAGGCCACATCTCAGTTCTCAGGGGCTGGCTTTGCTACAGATGCTTGTTGTACTTGCTGCCTGAGAGCAGTCAAGGGCTCTTCCTTTGCTGGGTTTCTGTGGCAGACTTTAAAATCGTTTCCTGTGACATTAGACAGGTGCTTCATCGAACCCGCCTTCCTAACAGCACTTAGACCACCACGTCCCATTCCCAACACACGCACCTGCTTCCCTTTCAGACAAGAGGCCCCTGCCCCTGCTCCTCATCGGCCCTCCGTGCCAGCAGACGCTGAGATTCCACCTCCATCTCCCACCCCTTTCTGTCAATGGCCTTCTACTGCTCTGATCTTTCTAACCCCGTAAGGCACTTTTCCTCTCAGATCTCCACTTTGGTACTGATTTCTGAAGCTGTTATATTTTGTAAAGAAATTGGTAAGGTTCTTTTGTATCACTTAACTCTTGCCACAATATTTCCGGGTAACAAATCACCCAGAAGCAGGTGACTTACAAGAACCATCACTTTTTCCCACTGTGGCCCAGAAAAGTGTGCTCCCAAATCTCAGGACCCAGATCCTGGGGGCTGACTCCCGAGCCGCTGGCAGCCCCCCATTCCCACACTGCTTTCAGCATGCTGTTGAAAACCTTCCTTGCATTTAAAGTCCTGATTCTGACTGTATGTGCAGGTGGGAGGAGATAGTGAGGTGTCTGGGGTTTATCTAAGCCAGGCTTTCAGCAGGAAATTGAGCTTCTGTTATTTCTGTGATGGTAGTTTCTACCTAAATCAATTACAACTCCAAGTCAGAGAGCACCCACTCAGACTGGGTCTGGTGAGGGTATTTATTGAGCCATTTAGTGAGCGGGTTGAGCACACCTCTGGCCTTGGACGTGGTGTTATTTCAGGGTTAGCGGTGCATTAGGAGCCAGCTCCGGTTCTCCTAACCACCCCTCCTCTCAGCACCAGCCTGCCACTGCGGCCGCTCTGTGCCTGGTGCCAGCAGGGGCTGCAGTGCCCCAGACAGCATGGAAGGAGAGCTGCTTGCAACTCTCAGAAGACAAAGGATGGGGCTTCTCAGAAGCCCCAGCAACCACCAGTGTGTCCTTCTGCCATCTCTGCGTCCACTGCTGTGGTCAGGGTGTGGTCCATTTAGACTATCAGGCTCCAGTCTGAGCTCAGAGTGATCAGTGCCACTCAACCTGCATGACTAAGAACGTAGTCTTCAGTGTTTCACTGAATGTGAGAATGAGCACTCACCCGAACACATTCCACGCCAGTTGGGAGATAAGTGATGAGAAATACCAGTGCGGAAGTATCTCCGGGTGGGGCTGTTGGGGCAGGCGTATGGGGAGCATGTGTGGGGTGGCCTCCGCCAGAAGGCTGCACCCCAGCAGAGAGCCGAGGGATGGAAGGGCTCATTGTGGCTTGGGGGGGGGGTCAGAGAAGTAAGGAGGAGCCACCAGCAAGGGACCCCTGAGGGAGGAAGCCCCTAGAGGAGGAAGCCCAAAGAGTCCCGGGCGAGGCCCCCTACCCCCCGTCCCAGCCCGTCCCCTCCATGACAGCTTTGCCCTCATCTGTCCCAGCCTGTCCTCTCCATGACAGCTTCTCTTGCTGTCTGCTGGCATAGGCAGGACTTCTTCAGCTACTGTCCTAATGCAGGCTGTACACATGCGGCCCCACTCCTTCCCAGGATAGTCCTGTGTGGCAAGGACAACCCCTGCTCCCACTTCACAGATCAGCCTCTTGTCCAGAGGAGCGGGTGACGGACCCAGGCCCCCCTCAGACTTGAGCACTGTGGGCTGTAAGCTGGTGCTCTGCATCCTCTCTGCCACTCTGAATCCCTTCTTGCTCTGACCCTGTTTTGGATCCATGTCCTTTGATGAGGCTTTGCCTGGGTCCAGCGTGCACAGGCCACGTTGGGGCTCTTGTGCCCAAAGGAGGGCTCAATTCAGTCCAGAACAGGGTGGCCAAACCCCCTGACCTCTGCTGCATGTGTTGGAGACGCCTGGCAGGTTGAAGCACCAGGCTATTGGTAAGGCACCTGCAGTCTCTGACCCTACAGGAATCTGTTTGTCTTCTCTGCCACAGACAAAACCAAGAGAGTGGCATCAAAGAGTCTGTCTCCTGGGGCACTCAAAGGACCCAGGATGCACCCCATGAGGCCAGGCCACCCCTGGAGCGTGGCCACTCCACAGAGATCCCTGTGGGGCGGTCAGGAGCACTGGTGAGCACTCCCGGGGGCTAGTGAGACTGGGTTGGGGGATGTGTGAACAGGGATGGGGGATGTTTGAGACTGGGGTGGGGGACGTGTGAACAGGGATGGGGGATTTTGAGACTGGGGTGGGGAACATGTGAGACTTGGGTGGGGGACGTGTGAGACTGGGGTGGGGGATGTGTGAGACCAGGGTGGGGGACGTGTGAGACTGGGGTGGGGGATGTGTGAACAGGGATGGGGGGTGTGTGAGACTGGGATGGGGGATTTTGAGACTGGGGTGGGGGACGTGTGAGACTGGGGTGGGGAACATGTGAGACTAGGGTGGGGGACATGTGAGACTTGGGTGGGGGATGTGTGAGACCAGGGTGGGGGACGTGTGAGACTGGGGTGGGGGATATGTGAACAGGGATGGGGGGTGTGTGAGACTGGGGTGGGGGACGTGTGAACAGCAGTGGGAGTTAGGTGAGACTGAGATGGATTTGGGTGAGACCCCAGTGCCTCATGGAGTGAGTCCGGGGTGGGATCAGATGAGTCCGCGGTGCCTTGTGTGGTGGGACTAGGTGAGTGCTGTATCCACAGGCTGTGGACGTTCAGATGCAGAGCATAACCCGGAGGGGCCCTGATGGGGAGCCCCAGCCTGGGCTGGAGAGCCAGGGTCGAGCGGCCTCCATGCCCCGCCTTGCGGCCGAGACTCAGGTAGGTGGTCTGGGAGGGTCCAGGCCCTGGGCTGGGCAAGTGGGGGGTGGGGAAGTGGGGCTGTGGCTCTGGGCCTCCTGCAGGTGAGGAGAGCTGGGGTAGAGAGGCTGGGGTCCATGTGTGGAGCTCTTTGCTGAGGCAGGAGCAGGCACCCCGGGCAGTCCTGTCTGGGCGCCGACAGAGGTGCAGCCTGGACGCCTTCAGCCCCTGAGGCTTCTCCAGAGGGTGGGTCAGGTCCGGTAGAGGACAGCTGTGCCTGTTCTCAGCCTCCTATTAGGGGCCATGGGGCATAGGGGCCCCCACTCTGGCTCAGCCACGTTCTGTTCCTCCTTTCCGGGGCTCTACTCCCTGAGACAACCCCCACTCTCATCCAGAAAATTTCACCGACACCTCAGTCCCCTCTCCCGCCCGTGGTTCTGCGGAGGACCCTCCCTGCTCATGGGCAGTCCCTGGACTACTTTTCTACCCAGCTCCTTGCTGGGCTCGCCTCTTTCTGGGACATGCACACTGGATTCAGGAAGAGGAAGCTCTGGCCCCATGTGTTTCCCGGGGGAGGCTCCTTCCACAAGGACACTGGGAGGATCGCCCCTCCGAGGCCAATCTGGGAACACTGTGCCCCGGCCTCCGAGGCCTCGGAGGAGCTGCAGGGCCTCACCTGCAACATGAGCCTGCTTCAGTTGGCCAAAAGTGACCGGAGCCCCCGTGCCAGCCCTGTCCCTCGGCCGACCTGGGCTGTGGAGCTGTGGATCTGAACCTCGTCCGTGGCTCGTCTCCCATCCCACTGCTGTGGCCAGCAAACCCTTTTCCTCTCCTCACTGCCTCTCCTCCCTCTTAGGGTTTTCTCCTCTTCCCACCTGTCCTTCCTCTCTTGTCTCTTTCCCCGCCCAGTGGTACCCTCCTGGGTGCTGCCTGGTGGGTGGGTGCAGGCTGAGCCTCCCTGCAGCCTGTGCTGGGGCCTCCTCCTTCACACACGTGATGCATTGGCGGCTGTGGGTGAGTTTACCTGGGAGGGCCTACCCGTCCCAGGTGTCTTCACGGGTCCTGATTCTGGCCGTGGAAGCAGCTCGGGAGCCAGTCCACCCCAGACGCACCAGGCAGAGTGATCCCATTGCAGCCAGCAGAGGCGTCTCTGGTTTCCACTCAGGGTTCTTCCAACCAAGCCAGCCACCTCTCTCTTCCTGGCACGACACATGGGATGGGGCGGGGACTCAGGCACTGTCTGCCCCCAGCCTGCCCTCCTGGGCTACCATTTCAGGCCTGGGTCCTTCTGACTGTGAGACCAGGATGGGGGGCGTGTGGGCCTGCTGTCTGGCCTGCTCCACCACCCACTTCCATGCCTGCATTCCCGCTGACCCTGGTGCCTCCCCTAGGCCCACTCTCAGTCCTTTGCCCACAGCCCGTCACAGATGCCAGCCCCATGAAGCGCTCCATCTCCACGCTGGCCCAGCGGCCCCGTGGGACTCATCTTTGCAGCACCACCCCGGACCGCCCACCCCCTAGCCAGGCGTCGTCGCACCACCACCACCACCGCTGCCACCGCCGCAGGGACAGGAAGCAGAGGTCCCTGGAGAAGGGGCCCAGCCTGTCTGCCGATATGGATGGCGGTGCGTGCGGAGGGGCCCGGGGAGTCCTTCGGGGAGCTATGGCCCGAGTCAGGGGGTCCAAGCGGCCCATGGGGGACCCTCTTCCTTTGTGGGCCTCGTGACCCCATAACCAGCCAGAGCAGGGTGGGACTGAGGCCCAGGCCCTAACCCTCACCCTAGCCTCCCCTGGCACCACCTGAATTCTGTCCTGCTGGGCCCGGGGGTCAGGGGTCCCTGCCTTGGGCCTGGCCGTGCTAACTTCTTCTCTTCCCTGGCCAGCACCAAGCAGTGCTGTGGGGCCGGGGCTGCCCCCGGGAGAGGGGCCTACAGGCTGCCGGCGGGAACGAGAGCGCCGGCAGGAGCGGGGCCGGTCCCAGGAGCGGAGGCAGCCCTCATCCTCCTCCTCGGAGAAGCAGCGCTTCTACTCCTGCGACCGCTTTGGGGGCCGTGAGCCCCCGAAGCCCAAGCCCTCCCTCAGCAGCCACCCAACGTCGCCAACAGCTGGCCAGGAGCCGGGACCCCACCCACAGGTAAGAGGAATAGGTGGAGAGGTCAGGGCCCAGCTGCCTCTCCTCGGCCCAGCACCCCTGTCCCACAGGCTCCTGCCTCTCCCCAGGGCCTCGCTGCTGCCCTTTGTCATTCCCAGCAACCCAAGGGCCGGGCGCTCCCCTCTGTGCCCTGTCCCGGAGCCCACGTCTGCAGCCTACCCCAGCTGTGTTCTCATCAAGCTCCTGCCTGGGTCACCCTGGGACAGTGGTTCTGCGTCCTATCCACTTTCGGACCTGGGCCCCCAAATACTTACCTCTCTCTCGGTCACTTAACTCTCCTTCCCTGACTGTGGTCGTTGGGCTTTTGTTCTGTCCTTTTCCCTGGCCCCAGCCTGTCCCTTCCCATCACCTGCTCTCCCCAACCCCATTCCTGGGCCTGACCCTGACCATCGCCCTCCCCCGCACACAGGTGCCTGTTGCCTCCCTGGTCACCGCAGCCCGTTGTCCCCCATTGCCTCCCTCTCTCCTCCCATCCCCCCAGGCACCTGTGTGTGATGTGCTCTGTCTGTTGGTTCGGCTTTTTTTTTTTTTTTTTTACCTCTGATTTGTTCTGGTCCATTTTCATGTAGGGCAGTGGTTCCGTGAATGGGAGCCCCTTGCTGTCAACATCTGGTGCTAGCACCCCCGGCCGCGGTGGGCGGAGGCAGCTCCCCCAGACGCCCCTGACTCCCCGCCCCAGCATCACCTACAAGACGGCCAACTCCTCACCCATCCACTTCGCCGGGGCTCAGACCAGCCTCCCTGCCTTCTCCCCAGGCCGGCTCAGCCGTGGGCTTTCCGAACACAACGCCCTGCTGCAGAGAGACCCCCTCAGCCAGCCCCTGGCCCCTGGCTCTCGAATTGGCTCTGACCCTTACCTGGGGCAGCGTCTGGACAGTGAGGCCTCTGTCCACGCCCTGCCTGAGGACACTCTCACTTTCGAGGAGGCTGTGGCCACCAACTCGGGCCGCTCCTCCAGGACTTCCTACGTGTCCTCCCTGACCTCCCAGTCTCACCCTCTCCGCCGCGTGCCCAACGGTTACCACTGCACCCTGGGACTCAGCTCGGGTGGCCGAGCACGGCACAGCTACCACCACCCTGACCAAGACCACTGGTGCTAGCTGCACCGTGACCGCTCAGACGCCTGCATGCAGCAGGCGTGTGTTCCAGTGGATGAGTTTTATCATCCACACGGGGCAGCCGGCCCTCGGGGGAGGCCTTGCCCACCTTGGTGAGGCTCCTGTGGCCCCTCCCTCCCCCTCCTCCCCTCTTTTACTCTAGACGACGAATAAAGCCCTGTTAGAGGATGCGGCTCTCTCTGTCCCCTTCCTGTCCTGCCTTCCTGGGTCTCGTACCACACACCAGACCCTAAACCGCAGGCTGCTGTGTGTGGCTGAGAAGGACCCAGGAGTCCAAATCCCGTGTCCTGGGACTCAGCATCCAGCATGGGTGCTTGGAGCCGTTGTGAGGAGCTCTGCGTCCTGTGGGGAGCACCCTTCACGTGGCCGTGCGGCACAGAGAAGCAGGGCCCACCTGAAAGTGCGCCGAGACCTCGGGACGGAGGGGATGGGGAGGGGGACACAGTCGTGGCTTGTGCAGCCCGCCAGTGTCAGCGAATGCTCACTCAGGCAAGCTCTGTCCTCCCTGGACACCGTCAGCCCCACAGGAACCGAGCTGGGAAGTGTTCTTGCTGTGGTTGTGATTTTTAATTGCAACACCTCTCATTCTTGTCACTTCTATATACGTGATGTAGAAAAAATGGAAAACCAGAAAAATGGGGAAGGAAATGTTCACATAACTTTAAAAAATCAAACCTGTGAAAGAAAGATGTCAGCTTTTTGCCACGTGTCTTTGTGGCTTATGCGAGGAGACTCCCTGTGCAGCCCTGTCCGGTCCAGGTGGACGTAGACGGCCCCTGGCTCTGCTGCTCTTGACCAAGTGCCTGACCGCCAGGCCCTCACACCCAGGCTCCTGGGCACTGTGGTGTGAGGCGAGGCCTCGGGATCCATCACCGCAGGATGCTGTGAAAAGTACTCGCGATGGCAGCCAGGTAGCAAGCCCTTGCCAGTGGAGAGCACTGGATGTCATGGTGGCAAACAAGGCAGCCATTTGCTGTCCTCCTCCCACGAGTGGAAGGGGTTTCCAAGGAAGCCACAGGGCAGCTGACCACGTGCTTGTGTGAGGCATTTTCAGTCTGTTCTGCATATGATTCTCAGGGCACACTCTGTGGTATGTGAAATAGGTTTCCTTCCACATACAGCAGAAGAGAGGCAAAGGCTGGTAGGAAGGAGGAAGACATTGGCTGGGGGCTTGGATGTGGGGCCGTCAGGGCAGGAGGGAGGAAGCCCCAGCTGGAATGAAACTCAGAGCAAGTGACCGAGGGAGGACACGGCTCCTGCCACTGAGGCCGGGCACCTGATGCCCAGCACTGTCCTGGCGCCAGACACAGGGAGCAGGCAGTCAAGTGAGGTCTGACCCCCATGGCCACGCTCAGGAGAGAAAGACCATGCTCAGGACACTGTCCAAGGTGCACAAGATGCTGGGAGGTCCCTTGTTTGGTGAAGAAAGGGAGCATTTAGAGCAGTTGATGGTGGTGTGTCCTCCGTGTTCTGAAATTCCAGATGATCTGTGTTGGATTCTTGGCTTCTACCCCATGATTCTCCTCAAAGAAATTGTGTGTGATGTGTGTGTGTGTGTGTGTGTGTGTGTGTCTGTGTCACAGGAGATGCAGTGCCTGTACAGGTGTGTTCAGTGTGTGGATGTCATTAACCCATAGGGCTATGCAACAAAAGACACATTTAATAGAAGTAAAACACACAAGACCGCTGCCTGGTCTCGGGGTTCAGCATGATTGTGACCAAACCTTTTTATAGAATTTCCTTACCTGAAGGCACAACACTCTGAAACTTTAAAGATAACAGAGTATTTTATTCCAATAGAATAAACCAGGAATCTCGGACTGTGCATGTGATCACTGTGCTCCTGTTGCAAAGTAGAAGGATGTGTATTTTGACACTGACGTTTTGTCTCTTGTTCCCCAGCCCCCAGCCCATGTTATCTTGGGTGTCGAATGTGTCCATTCCATGCAGAACCACAGCCATTTCCCCAGGCAGTGTTGGGTCGAGAATCCACTTTTCTAAACCCACACAGCCTAGCTGGCTTGTCTAGACTCTTCTAGGCATTGGAATTGATGAAAACTACAGGGAGCGGGGAAAGGAGACATTATGTCTTGTTTTCCTGACTTTGGGTTTTGTTTCTCACTGTGTCTTCTCCGGCTATCATATATGTCCCCTGAATCTCATAGTGAGCTGCCAAATTTGAAGTGCATCACCCAGTTGTCTGCATCTGGAACCAGTCAAGCAGTGGCTGTAGTTTGAACAAGTTATGTGTGCATGTAACATATATACATATATACATATATACAAGTATGTGCATGATAATGTATATCTTCGTACTTTTTGATACAATGTATTCATTTGTTAATTTTTAATTATATTTGATATAAATCAAAGGTTTGTTGCAAAACTTTATATTTAAGAAGTGTTAAAAAAAAAAAAAAGTCCCAACCATGCAACACAACTGGGACCTACTTAAAAAGAAATTCTGTGATTGACTAGTTTGCTGCCTGAGTCATATTTATCAGCCAAACTTTGGATTCTGCTGTTGTTTCTACAATGACATTTTGTATGAAGCAAAGTCCTTGAATTAAAATAAAAACTTAGCAAAAAATCAAAAACAAAACCCCACCATGCTGCCATTGGTATATGCAAGGGTGTGGGCCTGGGGTGCACTGCTAGGAGGGGTCAGAAGAAAGTGAGAACTGCAGTTTGTTGTTGTTGTTGTTGTTTTGTTGTTGTTGTTGTTTTTTGACAGAGTCTTGCTCTTGTTGCCCAGGCTGGAGTGCAGTGAGGCAATCTTGGCTCACTGCAACCTCTGCCTCCCGGGTTCAAGGGATTCTCCTGCCTCAGCCTCCAGAGTAGCTGGGATTACAGGCGTACACCACCATGCCCATCTAATTTTTGTATTTTTAGTAGTGACAGGGTTTCACCATGTTGGCCAGGCTGGTCTCAAACTCCTGACCTCAAGTGATCCGCCCACCTCAGCCTCCCAAAGTGCTGGGATTACAGGCGTGAGCCACCATGCCTGGCCTGCAGTTTGTTTTCAATGCAAGTGTGGGATCAGGTTTTGAGAGTGTGGTGAGGATCAAGGGAGGCACTTGGCAGGAGGAGGCAGATTCAACTTCCCTGGGGATCAGGGTTAGGGTTGGTTAAGATTACAGTGGTGGGTTAGGGTTGGGGTTGGGTAGAGGAGGTTCTGGGAGGCTGTGTGAGTTTGGGGCACAGAGCTCCTCTTAAGATGCCCCAATAATCATTCGCTCTGCTGTTAAAATGTTAGGATATTGCTAGCTACATGCTGATAAGGACAAAGGGGACATCCTTAAGAGAAACCTGGCACCATAAGTACAGATTAGGGCAGAGAAGGACATTCGAAAGAGATAGGCAGGCACAGTAGGTACAGACATGACCACTGTAGGACCTTCCTGGAGTGGCAGGAAGGAGCCCAGCCCCAGCAGTGGAATCACACTGATCACTGCACATATGTGTCAGCCAACAGTGAGGGGGTCCCACAAGCCTGGGTGGGGCAAGTCAGGGATCTAAGGAAGGAGCAGGAAAACCAGACAAAGAAAAGAGGTGGAGACTTGAGGAATGTGAAGAAGTCCAACATAAAACTCCCTGCTCAGGACCCTGGGGCTGTGTTCCTGCAGATCAGCCCCACTTCTCCCTTGAGGCATACTTATTTTTTCTACAATAAGCTCTTTACACTATATTTCTTTTCAATGAAGTTATCTGCCATCTTTGTACTGCCTCTTGGTGAGAATCTTTCTTTCAAGTTAGACAAGAACTGGGACATCAGGTCTCCCCAGTATTAGCTCCATTTCAGTTTGAATTTGCAGAATTGATAGTGCTGAACAACCTGCACTCCAACTTTAAGTGGTGTAGGAAGAGGCCAGCAGGGTCAGACCCTGAAAACAGACCAGCCACGTCTCCCAGGTGGACGCAGCGGGTTCTCCACGAGCGTGACTTGGGGATTTACGGCACTGAGACCGTGCTACCCACCCCCCCTTAAAAATCCCTCGTGGCTCCCAGTTGCCCTGAAGGGGAATCCCAAACTCTTCAGAGGCAGCACATGCTGGTGGGTGAGAGTTGGGAGCCTGAGTCCAAGTTCCAGCCTGGCTGCTATCGGCTGTGTGACCACTGGCAACTCGCCTAACCTCTCTGGGCCTCACGGGCTCGTTGGAGGATGTGGTGAGAGAATGACCGAGATGAGCTTAGCACAGTGCTGGCCACACTGTCGCTGTTCAATGCCAGGTGGCTGTGGCAGCAACAGGGCCCTGCAGTGTCTCCAGCCGCCAGCAGGGTGCGTGCCGCCACTACACTGGGAGCAAGAGGGCCCTGCAGTGCCCTGGCCGCCAGCAGGGGGCACGAGGCCATGACACCGTGAGCAAGAGGGCCCTGCAGTGCCCCCGGCCGCCAGCAGGGGGCGCAAGGCCATGACACCGTGAGCAAGAGGGCCCTGCAGTGCCCCCGGCCGCCAGCAGGGGGCGCAAGGCCATGACACCGTGAGCAAGAGGGCCCTGCAGTGCCCCCGGCCGCCAGCAGGGGGCTCAAGGCCATGACACCGTGAGCAAGAGGGCCCTCCAGTGCCCCCGGCCGCCAGCAGGGGGCGCAAGGCCATGACACCGTGAGCAAGAGGGCCCTGCAGTGCCCCCGGCCGCCAGCAGGGGGCGCAAGGCCATGACACCGTGAGCAAGAGGGCCCTGCAGTGCCCCGGCCGCCAGCAGGGGGCGCAAGGCCATGACACCGTGAGCAAGAGGGCCCTGCAGTGCCCCGGCCGCCAGCAGGGGGCGCAAGGCCATGACACCGTGAGCAAGAGGGCACTGCAGTGCCCCGGCCGCCAGCAGGGGGCGCAAGGCCATGACACCGTGAGCAAGAGGGCCCTGCAGTGCCCCCGGCCGCCAGCAGGGGGCGCAAGGCCATGACACCGTGAGCAAGAGGGCCCTGCAGTGCCCCGGCCGCCAGCAGGGGGCGCAAGGCCATGACACCGTGAGCAAGAGGGCCCTGCAGTGCCCCCGGCCGCCAGCAGGGCGTCCACACCGGGCCGAAGCGAGGGTGAAGCCCGCGTCCTCCTCGGCACAGACCCGGGGGGCACCGCCTCGCTTTGGGACAACTCGAGGCCATGGTGAGTAAAATCCTTCCTGTTTGCAGCCCTGACTACTGAGGGTTAGAGACCAGTAAGAGGGGTCGGTGTGGGAAACTGGAAACCAAAAGCCCCTCTGAATCCTGAGCACTGAGGTTCTCCCCACCCAAGGCGAGGCGGGCGCAGTGCGAGGTCTACACCGCGGCCTTGGAACACAAATGGAGCGTTCCTAATGCAGATATGCCTCCCGAAATACGAATGTGACACTCGCAGTGCTCAGGTAACAAACACCTGTAATGCTAATGCGCTGCCTCAATACAAAAATGTTAATATGAAACCCCGTGCTCCCCACACGGCCCCGCAGTCCCCGCTCATAATAATCAACACTGACATAATCAACACAAACGTAGCCTCCAGCTGCTCACAGCTGCTGCTGAGCTGGAGCTGCCTCGGGCTTGGCCTCCACAGTGGAGCTTGTTGTCGTATCTGCTTCACGGACGTGGAATTGACACAGTTGTTTTAAAAAGTAGCTTACTTCCCAATAATTCCATACTTTCAGGAAACTTGCAGCGGTAGTGTGGAGTTTTCTTTCTCTTTTCTCTCAGATTCCTCAGCGGTTGTTGCTGAGCCAGATCTGCATCTCACAGAAAACACCCCAGTGTTTTTCACCCAAAACAGGGACCCCTCCCAGGTAAGCGCCAGGTGACCCCAGCACAGGAGGCCACGTTTCTACCTGAGGGTCGTGTCCGCAGGCCCGTTTCACTTCACAGCCATCACGGCTGGGTGGAAAATGTCTCTTTCCATCTGGGTCCAGTTTTCCTTTTCTGGAGCCTTCGCAGAGTTGAAGAGCAGAGCTGCCCCCAGCCTGGGTCTGCACAGCGGTTCCCCCTGGGCAGATGCAGACGCCGCACTCCAGGTGGGAACTCGCAGCCTCTGGCAGTGCTCTGCACAGCGAGTTCCCCGGAGGAGCACAGACCCACCCACACCCCACAGAGACCTCAGGGTGATTGCGACAAAACTCTCCTTTACAAACAAGTCTCATCCCATCACTCTTCTTATTTAACTTTAACGATGGTTTCCCACTGGCATCAGAACAGGGGTCGCAGAACTGACCTGGCCCCCAGTCCCTGAGCGCTCCCACCTGCTGCCCTCTCCCGCCCAGCCCAGCCCAGCTGCCTGCGTTGCGGCCTCCACCTGCAGGGACACAGCAGGCTCTCGGGAGTCTTGGGAACTCTATGCACATCCAACACCCTCTTATCAAATACTCTTAAGATTCTGTCTACCTAGATCCTTCAAGTCACAGCGGTTATGATGTCTAACAACACAAATGTTCTGACGTGATTTTTTTAGACCAAAAAAAAAATGTTTGGTAGATCATATGTGAGAATCACCCTTAATTTATAAATCAAGGAAATAGATACATAAAAGCAGAGTCCATATTTGGGATAATCAGTAAAGAAAAATAAAATCTCAATGCAGAATGAAAGGCAGAGGGCACCATTGATCATTGAAATTTCATAAGAGTTTACTGGACAGAATATTACCTTACTATATTCTCCAGCCCTGTGTGTGTGTATGTGTGTGTATATCACACATATACCAGTTGCAAAAAATTTCAGGTTTAAACACTCATGTTTGCTTTTTTTTTTTTTTTTTTTTTTTTGAGATGGAGTCTGGCTCTGTCGCCCAGGCTGGAGTGCAGTGGTGTGATCTCAGCTCACTGCCACCTCCACCTCCCGGGTTCAAGTGATTCTCCTGCCTCAGCCTACTGAGTAGTTGGGATTACAGGCGCCTGCCACCATGCCCGGCTAATGTTTGTATTTTTAGTAGAGACTGGGTTTCACCATGTTGGCCAGCTGGTCTTGAACTCCTGACCTCTGGTGATCTGCCTGCCTCAGTTTCCCAAAGTGCTGAGATTAGAGATGTAAGCCATCTCGACTGGCCTACTCATGTTTACTTCATTAGTCAATACGGTTGATTAAGAAGTTAGGGTTAGGGTTGGGGTTAGGGTTAGGGTTAGGGTTAGGGTTAGTTTTAGGGGTTAGGGTTAGGGTTAGCTTTAGGGGTTAGTGTTGGGGTTTAGGGTTAGGGTTCGGGTTTGGGTTTGTGTAGTGTTAGGGCTAGGGTTTGGGTTAGGAGAATTGCTTGAACCTGGGAGGTGGTGGTTGCAGTGAGCTGAGAGTGTGCCACTGCTCTCCAGCCCAGGCGACAATGGGAGATTCCGTCTCAAAAAAAAAAAAAGGATAGTAATACCTACTTTTAACAGTCATGAGCAACATTTTTTTTTAATGTGGGTCACTTCTTTATTTTTCTGATTGCTAGAGCCATGTCTCAAATGCAAACATCCTCGTGCTTACTTCATGCAGCTTCAGACTCGCTCTGCAGACGAGCTGATGACCACCTTCTACAAGTGCTGCAATTCTCAGGGTGGACACTGCTGTAGGGATTAGGACTAGGATGGCCCAGCTGCTTCAGTGTGTGCTTACCTTGTCCCTTGGGGTAGATGCTTAGCTGGCAGTGTGAATCGTGTATCCTGAGGGTCTTTGCTGGTGTGGTGGAAAGACAAACCTTTTGAGGTGAAGAGCCAGGGTGTCAGGAAATGTGGCCTATCTGCTAGTCAGAGTGGATGAAGTCATGAATGTTGGGGAGTTTTTCTGTATGGGTAGGAGACGGAGACCCATAACTAAGTATGTGCTGTTTAAAGTCCTGTTCCTTCATCTTCTACATTTATTGGCAGTTGACATTCCCTTACTCCCAATCAATACTATTTTTTTTTATTTTGAGACAGAGTCTCACTCTGTCGCCCAGGCTGGAGCGCAGTGGTGCGATCTCTGCTCACTGCAAGCTCCACCTCATGGGTTCACGCCATTCTCCTGCCTCAGCCTCCTGAGTAGCTGTGACTACAGGCGCCCGCCACCACTTCTGGCTAATTTTTTTTGTATTTTTAGTAGAGACAGCGTTTCACTGTGTTAGCCAAGATGGTCTCAATCTGACCTCGTGATCCACCCGTCTCAGCCTCCCAAAGTGCTGGGATTACAGGCGTGAGCCACCGCATTCAGCCTCAATCAACACTCTTAAATGTTTGTACTGTTTGCAAAACTGAGTACATTAAATGTCTCTAAATATTTAACTGTTGCTTGTAAACTTAATTTAGTATTTATTTTAATCAAAATTCTGAATATTTCGTTAAAATGAAAGTTCTAATATTGCCTTCTCAGTGTTTTAAATAGCTTATTAAGTAGAAAGCAAACCCCAAATCACAGTGATCCCAAAATTGACTACATACTTAGATTTGAACAGGCTATGAAAATCCTCATCACTGGTATTTCAATTTATTTCTTTACTCCTATTCTTATTCCCTTATTCATTTTTTGAACCTTCCCTGATTGCTTCCTAGGGTTGCATTAAACGTATAAGATTCTATTTTTTTTTTTTTTGAGACACAGTCTCGCTCTGCCGCCCAGGTTGGAGTGCAGTGGCATGATCTCGGCTCACTGCAACCTCTGCCTCCCGGGTTCAAGTGATTCTCTTGCCTCAGCCTCCCAAGCAGCTGGGACTACAGGCGCATGCCACCATGCCCAGCTAATTTTTTGTCTTTTTAGTAGAAACAGGGTTTCACCATGTTAGCCAGGCTGGTCTCAAATCACCTGACTTTAGATGATCCACCTGCCTTGGCCTCCCAAAGTGCTGGGATTACAGGCATGAGCCACCGCGCCCGGCACTATGTTTTTATACTTTATACTTTCTGTGTTAATCATTCAACTCTCAGAAGAGAAAGGACACCTCAGACTAGCTGAGTCTAGGTTCTTGATAATTGATTCTTGGTCAAGGCCCCAGTCTTAATTGCTTTCTAAATCAATCTCTCTCTCTCTCTCTGAAAGAGATGGGGTCTTGTTTATGTTGCCCAGGATGGGCTCAAACACCTGGGCTCAAGTGATCCTACCGCCTTGGCCTCTAAGTAGCTGCCACCACTCCCCACTCCACATCTTTTTTTTTTTTTTTGAGACAGGGCTTTGCTCTGTTGCCCAGGCTGGAGTGCAGTGGCATGATCTTGGCTCACTGCAACCTCTGCCTCCCAGGTTCAAGCGATTCTCCTGCCTCAGCCTCCTGAGTAGCTGTGATTACAGGCATGTGCCACCATGCCAGGCAAATTATTTTATTTTTAGTAAAGACTGGGTTTCACCATGTTGGCCAGGCTGGTCTCAGACTCCTGGCCTCAAGTGATCCTCCTGCCTCAGCCTCCCAAAGTGCTGGGATTACAGGTGTGAGCCACCACGCCCGGACTCCAAATCTTTTAATAGTGTATTCTTGCTTATGAAATTGTGATACTTAAATTTCTGCTTTTGGTGCAGTTTTTACTCTTTTGAGACTTAGTATCTTTCCCAGTAATGGTATAATCTTTACTTTTTCTTTCTTTTTTTGTTTTTTTTTAAATGGAGTTTCGCTCCTGTTGCCCAGGCTGGAGTGCAATGGCACAATCTTGGCTCACCACAACCTCCGCCTCCCAGGTTCAAGCGATTCTCCTGCCTCAGCTGCCCAAGTAGCTGGGATTACAGGCATGTGCCACCACACCTGACTGATTTTGTATTTCCAGTAGAGATGGGGTTTCTCCCTGTTGGTCAGGCTGGTCTCAAACTCCTGACCTCAGGTGATACGTCCACCTTGGCCTCCCAAAGAGCTGGGATTATAGGTGTGAGCCTCTGCCCCCGGCCAATCTTTACATTTAATATGATTGTTTTCGTATTGTTTGAACATGTTAACCAGTTCCTGAGCTTATTATCTCTAATTGGCTCTAGTTCAGAATAGTTTGTTCTGGTTTCCCAAATGTGATTTTATCACGTGGGCATTATCTGTAACGTCTTCTGCTTATGCTGTTAGTTTTACTTCCTCAGGTGACAGTTCTTCTGTTCAGTTTTGTTGTTGGAAGGCAGCATGGACCCACGGTACACATCATGTACTCTGAAGCCAGCGTCCCTGACTGCACCTTAGCTGTGAAACCCTGGTCAAGTTGCAGAACCTCTGCCTTCATTTCCTCATCTATAAAGTGGATATAATAATAACCTGTTTGAGGGGTTTACAAACTGTTTTCTTAAGGGTCAGAGGGTGAATAGTATAATTACTTACTTTTTAATTTTCTTTGAGACAGGGTCTCACTCTGTTGCCCAGGCTGGAATGTAGTGGCATGATGTCAGCTTACTGCAGCCTGGACCTCCTGGGCTCAAGTGATCCTTCCATCTCAGCCTCCCTAGTGGCTGGGACTATAGGTGCGCCCCATGCCCAGCTAATTTTTTTTTTTTTTTTTGGTAGAGACAGGGTTTTGCCATGTTGCCCAGACTGGCAACTTCGATATGTTTTTTATAGGCAATTTTAAAAAAAATTTAATACTTCTTTATTTTTTTTGAATTTAACCTCAGAATGTGATTATAGGCAAAATTCAAAATGTAATAATAATTGAGTTTAATTTTTGTAATGTGGGTCTATTACTGAGAAGAGTGGATGCCATTTTGCTTAATTGGGGTTCACAGTTAATGTTCCCTGTCATCGAAATCAATTGCAAATGTGCATCTGTGAATGCTGGTTACGTGCAGGAGAGCAAATGAAGTACACCATTGACACCACTGAAAGAGTCAATAGATTCACCACTGACAATGGATTCAGATATTTCCCACAGAGTTCTTGCTGATGAATAATACAGAGAAGCAGGTGTGGTGGCTCACACTTGTCATCCTAGCACTTTGGGAGGCCAAGGTGGGTGGATCACCTAAGGTCAGAGGTTCGAGACTAGCCTGGCCAACATGGCAAAACCTCATCTCTACTAAAAATACAAAAATTAGCTGGGCATAGTGGTGCATGCTTGTAATCCCAGCTACTCTGTGGGGGAAAGGAAGAGAGATCAGACTGTTACTGTGTCTATGTAGAAAAAGGAAGACATAAGAAACTCCATTTTGATCTGTACTAAGAAAAATTCTTCTGCTTTGAGATGCTGGTAATCTGTAACCTTAGCCCCATCCCTGTGCCCACAGAAACATGTGCTGTGTTGACTCAAGGTTTAGGGGATTTAGGGCCGTGCAGGATGTGCTTTGTTAACAATGTGTTTGCAGGCAGTATGCTTGGTAAAAGTCATCGCCATTCTCCATTCTCCATTAACCAGGGACACAGTGCACTGCGGAAAGCCGCAGGGACCTCTGCCCAAGAAAGCCTGCGTATTGTCCAGGTTTCCCCCCAGTGAGACGGCCTGAGATATGGCCTCGTGGGAAGAGAAAGACCTGATCGTCCCCCAGCCCGACACCCATAAAGGGTCTGTGCTGAGGAGGATTAGTGAAAGAGGGAGGCCTCTTTGCAGTTGAGATAAGAGGAAGGCTTCTGTCTCCTGCTCGTCCCTGGGAATGGAATGTCTCGGTGTAAAACCCGACTGCACATTCTATTTACTGAGATAGGAGAAAACTGCCCTGTGGCTGGAGGTGAGACATGCTGGCGGCAATACTGCTCTTTACTGCATCGAGAGGTTTGTGTAAAGTCAAACATAAACCTGGCCTACATGCACATCCGGGCACAGCACCTTTCCTTAAACTTATTTATGACACAGATTCCTTTGCTCATGTTTTCCTGCTGACCCTCTGCCCACCATTACCCTATAGTCCTGCCACATCCCCCTTGCCGAGATAGTAGAGATAGTGATCAATAAATACTGAGGAACTCAGAGACCAGCACCGGTGCAGGTCCTCACTTGCTGAGCGCCGGTCCCCTTTTCTTCCTCTATACTTTGTCTTTGTGTCTTATTTCCTTTTCTCAGTCTCTTGTCTCCATCTTGCAAGAAATACCGACAGGTATGGAGGGGCAGGCCCCTTCATTACTTGGGAGACTGAGGCAGGAGGATCACTTGAATCCGGGAGGCGGAGGTTGCAGTGAGCCAAAACCATGCCACTGGACTCCAGCCTGGGTGATAGAGTGAGACTCCGTCTCAAAAATAATAATAATGATGATGAAGCAGTGAAAAACCGTACACTTTAAGCACTTTATGATTTCACAGTCTTCATACATTTGTCCACCTAAGCTTGTTCCTGATCCACACATGCTTTTACCACTGCCAGTTTTAACACATATTAGTAGATTCCTGTTTTGCTGCATTAGTTTTCTCAACTTTGGTAATATTCTTGCTGCAGTTGTTGGTTTTCTTTTTGGAGACAGGGTCTCACTGTCACTCAGGTTGGAGTACACTGGTGTGATAACGGCTCACCACAACCTAAACCTGCCGGGCTCAGGTGATCCTCCCACCTCAGCCTCCCAAGTAGCTGGGACTACAGGCGTGGGCCACCATGCCCGGCTAATGGAGGGGGAAGGGCTGAGCTTGTCTGAAGACCCTCCCGTGGGTGTGGCAGAGCCTGTGGTCTGAGGCAGGGGTCCAGCTGCAGAGCAGCCCACAGCTTCGCAGTGGCCCAGGGAACCAGGGCAGGCAGGCCGTGGGGCCCAGTGCCTTCTGGGCCAGGCCTTGATGCTGAGGCCATGGAATAGGTGCGGCTCTGAGAAGGGACCAGAGTGACCATGGGCTGAAGGCTATGTCCACAGACCCAATGTGGCAGAAGCTGTGCCAGGCAGTGATGTCAGCCAGGCTCCCTAGCAGGTCTAGGGATGTCAGGGGCAGCTCTGTCCCAGGTGGCAGACACTGGTTTCCCCTCCTGCTCTCACAACTGTCCTGTGACCGGGTGTTGTCTGAGCTGTGGTGAGGCCTCCCTGGTGACATCCAGGAGCAGGGAGCATGTGGGTGGGGGGTGTGTGCACCTGCCCTGGCTGCCTGGCCCTGTGGCCAAGGATGGGGGAAGGCACTCCGCCTGCAGCTCCACCCCATTTGTAAAGCACTGTGTGCCTTCTGCTGGGGCATGTGCTGAGGGTGCCTCGCAGGCACTCCCCTCGGGAAGTTCACAGGCTTGTGTAGAAGCTGGTGGAAATGTGCTAAGAAGAGGTGTCAGGAGCCAGATATTGGGCAGGTCCCAGGTCTCTGAGCCTCAGTTTCTTCATCTGTAGGAGGGTGGTAACCCTGCCCTGCTCAGCTTACCAGGTACAGCTGTGAGTTTTCAGTGCAGAGGAAAAGCAGAGCCCTTCCCCTCAGATGGCCATATTGCCTTGTTGCTGTACCCAACTTTCCAGTGCTCCCCCAGGGGGTGTCCTGGCCTCCTCCTTTGTAGCTCTCAGATGTCACATGTGGGTCCTGCCGTACCATCCCCTCTCCCTGTCTTGAAACGAGGCCTGCTGAGCTTGAAGCCACCCCACTCCATGCTCTCAAGCCATCTGCTCCTGGGTTAGCTTGTGGCTGGCCTGGCCTGATT
The DNA here is from genome assembly GCF_000001405.40 of Homo sapiens. Classification (NCBI taxonomy): domain Eukaryota; kingdom Metazoa; phylum Chordata; class Mammalia; order Primates; family Hominidae; genus Homo; species Homo sapiens. The sequence goes on from NC_000009.12 coordinate 138,135,401, forward strand.
CTACATAGATGTGGGTGTTTCTCCAGTGCTGGGGCAGCGGTTGTCCATTCTGGGGCCTGGGTCAGCTCTCAGCTATGGCTGTTGTGCCTGTGCTTCCCCAGGTCCTTGTGGTCACTCCAACCCTGCCCTCAGATATCCTAAGAGCAGGCTGACTGTCTTCCCCATTCCTACCTTTCCAGTAACTGTTGCACAAAGGGACAGACACTGCTGCAGAGAGCTTGCCACGGTGTTTCATGCTGCGGCTGGTGGTTCCAGGCTGCACGCTCCATTCTAGAAAGGGTGAGGATTACTGATCATCAGTCTTAACAGGGGACTGTCCTATGGGTACCTGGATACGCTACCGGGAGTGGGGCAGAGTGGGGTTAGAGTAGTGCCTGATGCCCGTTGAGGGTGTGCGGGTTCCTTAAGAGTGTGCACCCTGTAGCCAGCACGTATGTCTGTTTTTTTTCTTCTCCTTATCACTAATCAGCCTTTGGTAACCAGGCTGGCCCTGCTTCCTGCCTACGGGCTATGGGTGTACCGTCTGGAGCTGCAAATGGGGTGATGGGGCATCAGTAGCCTTCCCACACCCAAGAACTTCCTGACACTCAGCGCCTCATCTCCAGCCAACCTCTGGCTCCCCCAGAGATCCTGGGACCCAGGCCTCACACTCCAGCAGGGGGGGGTCTTCGTCCTTCTGGTGGTGCTCTCCTTTGGAGGTACCGTCGAACAGGGGTGCAACAGATAGAATTCAGGAAGTGCCATCTGTTGCATGGATACCCTGCTGCCACCCTTGTCCACCTTCCTGGGGCAGATCCTGGGATGGATCTTTATGTAAGAACACAAAAGGGAGAGAGAATGCATAGAGGCCAGGCACGGTGGCTCATGCCTGTAATCCCAGCACTTTGGAAGGCCGAGGTGGGTGGATCACTTGAGGTCAGGAGTTCGAGACCAACCTGGCCAACACGGTGAAACTGCCTCTACTAAAAATACAAAAAAATTAGCTGGGTGTGGCAGCGGGCACCTGTAATCCCAGCTACTTGGGAGGCTGAGGCAGGAGAATCGCTCGAACCCAGGAGTTGGAGGTTGCAGTGAGCCGAGATCACACCACTGCACTCCAGCCTGAGCGACATAGGGAGACTCCGTCTCAAAAATAAATAAATTAATTAATTAATAAATAAATTCATAGAGGTTGTCTATGTGACCCTGGGCAAGTGATTTCTCCTCCTTCCCTTCTTGGGATTCAGCTCCTTGCCTGTGAACAGGGACAGTGCTTCTCCCTTACAGAGCTGTTGTGAGAATTAAAGTAGAAAATGCACCTGTGGTGGTTGTTGGTAGTGAGTGGTTCCCCCGATCCCGACTCCCCTGCAGGATGGGGCCTGGGCCCAGGGACAGGGGATGGGCTGGCAGAGGATGCCTGTCCCAGAGAGGAGCCTTCTTGGCAGACGTGGAGATCTAGCTGAGTCAGAGTCCAGGATCTAAGTTTGAGGGTGCATCTTACAGCCTGCAATCATGAGTCTTTGGCAGGGTCAAGCGGCCTTTCTGAGCTTTAGTTCCTTATCAGTAAACCCTGGGCAGTGGTGCCCAGCATCTTTCACAGGACACCACGTGAGTGCAGATGGAGATCCACTGAGCACTCTGCTAGGGAACAATTCATGGGGAGCACCCCTCCAGAGAGGGATGGCTCGCACAGGCCCTCAGCCCAGCCCCTTGCAGGCTGGACCTTGGAGAGTGAGGCCCTGAGACGAGACATGGGCACCTGGCTTCTGGCCTGCACCTGCGTCTGCACCTGTGTCTGCTCGGGAGTCTCTGTCTCAGGGGATGGACAAGGTGAGGGCTGGGCACTAGTGTCTGTATGAGGTGGGTGGAGAACTAGGGTATGTTTGGGGGACTGGGTTGTCCAATGTCGAGCCCCTAGGGAAAGGTTTGGCCCAAACTGTGCTGGGGCATGTCCTCTAGGGGTCAGCCTGGACCTCTGTCTCTAGTCTCTCTTCCTTTACCTCCCTACCTCCGGTCCCTGGACCGACCCTTCCTTCACCCTCTTGACACCTCTCTGGTTCTGACTTTCCCATGTACCATGGGTCAGAGCCCATCACTTCCCAGGCCTCCCAGTGCTTCCCTGGACAGATTCTGGGGTCATTCACTGGTGACTGCCCTGCTAGGATGTCAGCTGTCGGATCCCCCCCAACCCCCCAACTCAGCTCTCTTCTGAAGCACTCACTGTGGGCTCCCAGCCGTCACTGTCTCCAGGGCCAAGGGCTGGAACCTCCACCTGCCTCACCAACAACATTCTCAGGATTGATTGCCACTGGTCTGCCCCAGAGCTGGGTCAGGGCTCCAGCCCCGGGCTCCCCTTCATCAGGTGAGGGTGGAGGGCCATGCCCACCTGGATAGGGATGAGGGTGAGGATTGCAGCAGCTGCACCAGGATAGTGTAGCAGCCCCGTGGTGCTGACACATGCCCTTTTCAGCAACCAGGCTGCTGGTGGCACACAGAAGTGCATCTGGCAGGGCAGTGAGTGCACTGTAGTGTTGCCGCCCAAGGCAGCACTCCTGCCATCTGACAATTTCATCATCACTTTCTACCACTGCGTGTCCGGGAGGGATCGGGTCAGCCTGGTGGACCTGTAGTACCTGCCCTGGAGACACGGTGAACAGCAGCTATAGGCCTGGGGCAGGGCCCCTTGGCAAGAACATCCTGGCTGCCTGGGGGCTGGGAGAAAGGCCCTGCAGCCTGCGACCCCCGTGGCCCAGTAAGTGTTCTCAGTCCCTGCCAAGTAAGATCCAGGGCTGGGGGCAGGCTTGGCCCCTGGGAAGGGAGGGTCCACGTGGTTACTGCAGGGGCCAAAGGAAGTCACTGCTGTCCTGTCCCGCCTGGGGCTTTTCTGGACCAGTCTCCCAGTGAGGTGTCTGGTCTGAGAGGGTCTTGACCATGCCCCTTGGGAATCTTTCAGATCCCCAGTCTTGGGTGTGCTGACTGACACACCCAGACCCATGGGGCTTCAGCCTTACATGGATTCTCTCTGTTCCTGTGAAGCTGGACCCACTCTGACTTGCAGAGCACGTCATCTCGCCACTGCATCCTGACCTGGAGCCTCAGTCCTGCCTTGGAGTCAGTGACCACACTTCTCAGCTATGAGCTGGCCTTCAAGAGGCAGGAAGAGGCCTGGGAGGTAACACTTTGGCTGGCTTTTCTCCTGGGGGCCTCTCTCCTGGGAGCAGCAGTCCAGGGCAGACTCCCCACTCTAAATAAGGCGAGGTCAACTTGGAGTGATGAGGAGGGGAGGAACTGGAGCCAGGTGTGTGTGTGCACACACAGGCTGACATTTACATGTGTGTGCTTCATGTGTGTGTATGTGAGTAGGGTGAGTGTGCCTGTGTCTCTGTGTGTGCACATAAGTGTGGTAAGTGTGCATGTGTTTATGTGTGCACTTACAAGTGTGCCCATGTTTGTGTTTGTAAGTGTACATATGAGTGTGTCTGCGCCTTGTGTTTGTATGTGTGAGTGTGCACATGGGCATGCCTGTGTGTACGTGTATGTGAGTGTGGTGAGTTGCTTCTGTGCACACACTCGTGTATATGAGTGTGCATGCAAGTGTGCCTGTAGACATGTTTGCCTGTGTGTGCATATTTGTATTTGTGGGCAAACGCTGTATCTGTGTGTGAGTGTGCCTTCTCTGTGTGTGTGTGTGCACGTGAACATGGCGAGTGTGCCTGTGTGAACACAGGTGCATTCATGTATGTGTTATGTGAGCGTGTGCGTGTGTGTATTCTCAAGGGCTGAGGGACCCAGCCCCACCTTCAGCACCTGCCAACTGTCGCCACCCCCACAGCGGGCCCAGCGCAGGGATCACATTGTCGGGGTGACCTGGCTCATACTTGAAGCCTTTGAGCTGGACCCTGGCTTTATCCTTGAGGCCAAGCTGCGTGTCCAGACGGCCATGCTGGAGGATGACGGGGCACAGGCCGGTGGAGCGAGGGGAGCCAGCCCGTGTGCTTCCAGGCTCCCCAGAGACAAGGTGGGCGCTGCTATGGCTGCCGCACTTCCAGAGTCTGGGCTGGGTGTCCCCCACTCCCTTTCAGCCTCCTGGAAGCCCCTCCCTGAGGCAGCCATGTCCCAGTTGACCCCCTTCCTCTGAAGGTCTGAGGTCTGCAGGGAGGACACAAACACCTGCCAACTCTGGGGCTTCCTGGGAACCTGTAGTCAGTGGCTCCTGTTAGGAGTGAGGGTGGCAGGGCTGCACACCAGGGCTGGGCTCCTGCCTGGAGGCTGGACATGACCTCAGTGTCCTTAATGGGGGCTGGACTGACCCTTGCGCACTGCAGTGCTGAGACGGCCCAGGGACTTTATGACCCACCGTGTGGCAGATGGGAAGAGTGAGGCCCAGGAGTGTGGTTCACACAAGGTCCTTCAGCAGGTGACACAAACCTCCAAGGCCCATCACAAGGTCCTTCAGCAGATGACACAAACCTCCAAGGCTCATCACAAACCTTCCACTTTGGCCCAGGGCACTAAAGGGCGCACCTTTGCCAGGTGGGTTTGGGGGGAGCCTCCTGGCACTGACGCTGCTCACAGCCCTGGGCCCTTCCTGCCCACGGACCCTCTGATCCCACCCTGGGGGTGGCCAGGCAACACCCTTGTTGCTGTGTCCATCTTTCTCCTGCTGACTGGCCCGACCTACCTCCTGTTCAAGCTGTCGCCCAGGTAGGTGGCTGATGTGTGCGTGTGTGTACATGTGTGAGCGGGCAAGAGTGTGCATGTTAGTGTATGTGTGCAGATGTGTGACTGTGTGCATGTGTGAGTGTGTGCATGTGTGAGTGTGTGGTGGGTGGGCCGTCAAGGGCCGCCCTTGTCTGGTTCCTCCCCTCCCCTCTCCACTGCCTGGTCCTGGATGGGGTGGGCTTTTCGAGTCTCCACCCTGGTCCAGAAGAGGGTTCTCAACTTGCCAGGGGAGAGCAGGGAAGGGGGGTCTGAGGCAGAGGCTGAAGATAAGGGCAGCTTGGTCCCGACCAGTCCCAGAGTCACCGAGATCAAGAGCCCGGGGTCCTAGTCTCCTGCCTCTGGAGGAGCTTGGTTTGTTCATTTGTTCAATGTTCTACAAAAGGACAGTTGGGGCATCTGGTGTACACAGGACCCTCTTCTCACCCTGGCCGATGCCTTAGAGAACAAGATGGACAAGGACCCTCCTTAAATAAACCATCACGCCTCATGCACCACATGTCAGGTTACAAGAGGGAGTGCAGGGGCCATGTCAGGCGGAGGATGTGAGGAAGAGGGTGTGGGGAGAGGGGTGTTGGGTGGGGCTAAGCGGGAGGGTGCTTGGCTTCTCCTTGGAGCAAAGGAAAGTGTGAAACTGTGTAATACGACCTAGTTTATGTTTTGAGGAATGGATTGCTGGGAAAGGGGACATGGGGGACCTGCTGGAGGCCAGTGGGGGCCAGTGGGGTGCCCACAGGGAGATGATTTGGCGTGAGCCAGTGAAAGAAGTGGAGATAGAGCAAGGTGGAGGGAATTGCAGGGTCTTAGGGGGAGAAATAGAGGGGACGTGTGGCTGGATGAGATACGAGCGGTGACCCCTGAGGTGGGGAAATGGGGCACAGCCTTGCGGGGAGGTTGGCGAGGTCTATTTGCACCTCTTGGGTTGGAGCCCCAGGTGACATCCTTGTGGAAGGGTCACTGGATCCTTGGCAGCAAGTCAGGTGCTCAGGGAGACACTGGGTGGGGTGGGAGCCACAGACGTGCTGATGGCAAAGACAGAGTTCCTGGAGGTGCGGCTCCCTCCGCCGGCTGAGGATCTAGCTGACAACTCCCCGTTCTGAACCCGCCATCGCAGCTCATGCTGTAAAGGACGCGCGCCTCAGTATAAGTCAGTTCTATGCGGCCATTAGGCAAGGAGGCCCAGTTGGGTCCTGCCCTGAGAGTGGGTTGGGATGTGATGAGATGGGAGAGAGGCAGTGGCAGGGACGAGGTGGGCGGACCTCCTGCTGATGGAAGGAAGCTCAGCCTCTGCAGTGACCTCAGGCCACCTGGGTCCCCATAGGCCTCTGACTGGCCTCTCCTGGCCTCAGGATGAAGAGAACCTTCTACTAGAATGTGCCCTCTCTAGCAGTGTTCTTCTAGCCCCTCTACGGTGTGCACAATGGGAACTTCCAGGTGTGTGCAGAGACCACGGCAGGGCGTCGGGGGCAGGTGTTGCCCAGAGCTCTGGCCTGCCAGAGATGTTGGCTTTCATGAGGGTTGGCGGCCAGTATGGGAAACTTGTCAGTGCTTGGAGCCTTTTCTGTATATTCAGTGTATTTCAATTTATACGCTGTGTCTCCAGTGGGGAAAAACTAGCTTTATTCTCCGTTACTGATTTTTCTTTTTGTTCTCATGTCTCCAGTTCCACTGTTGACGGAAAAATGTAAATTTCTCATGACTTATCTCTGTCCCCTCTGGTTTGCGGCTGTCTGCACCCACCATGTGCCTCACCTCCTCCTTCTGCGAAGGTGTCTGTCCCTTGGCTGTGGGGAAGGGTCTGTGGTGTGTGCGCTGCCCTTGGGGCTCTCACTGCCTCTGGGCTCCTGCTCTGCCTGGTCCCCTGGTCCCCTGGTCCCCTGGTCCCCTGGTCCCCACAGATCGCATGCTGGCACCACAGCTGTGGAGTGGGCTCTGCAATTCCCCGTCTGTGGCCCTGTTGGGCCCCCACAGCCCAGGAACCAGTGAGCAACTTGGGGGTTGCATCAGCCCCTCCCCTCCCTGCTGGGCTGGCGGTTCATGCCCCCTGGGTGGGAGGAGGGGGAGAGGGAGGGCTCCATTGAATGGTCTCTGGTTTTTCCCCTCAGACTCCTCACTTTGGGCAAAGGACAAGAAGCAGTGAGGGCCCCTCCCTGGGGTCTGGGCCAAGCTGACCCCTCTTCTCCAGGATCTTCCCTCCCTGTGCCCTAGGGCATCCCTGGGCCCTGTGCAGCAAGGATGTCCCTTCCACACCGCGGCTCCAACTTACTATGCAGAAAAATCCTTTTTTCTCTCAATGAGGAGACTAGTTTTCAAGATTTTTGTCCAAATGTTCAATTTGAACCATAAACCAGGCACCTGGCTCTTCACAGAGTCTCCCCCTTTCCCCAAGGTGGTAGGTGTGACTGTCACGAGCCTGGGCAGCCTAGTACAAGGCTGAGCAGGGCACAGATCGCGACTGTCCCCTGGACTGTCATCCTGTTGCAGGCACCAGCCCTTCCCTAGAGAATCAGGGCACCTGCCAGGGGTTATTTAGACCCGCGGGTGGGGATCTGGTGCCGTAGGTTTGTCTCCAGGGAGCAGTGCAGTGACAGAGGGTGTGTTGTGTGTTTAGGGAGCAGTGCAGTGACGGAGGGTGTGTTGTGTGTTGTGCATGGGATGGAGGTTCCTGGTCTCACCAAGGGAACAGCTTCCTTTTGGAGGCGGGGGCCGCCTGTGGCCCCACAGAAGGATCCAGGTCTGCTCGCCTTAGCCCAGTGCTTTGAAAGTCACCAGTCCTGACAGCGACTTGTGTGTGTGTGTGTGTGTGTTTGTGTGTGTGTCTGTGTGTATGTCTGTGTGTCTGTGTGTGTTTATGTGTGTGTGTTTGTGTGTGTCTGTGTGTGTGTATGTCTGTGTGTCTGTGTGTTTATGTGTGTGTGTCTGTGTGTGTCTGTGTGTCTGTGTGTGTTTGTGTGTGTATGTGTGTGTCTGTGTGTATCTGTGTGTGTTTGTGTCTGTGTGTGTTCGTGTGTGTGTGTTTGTGTGTGTCTGTGTGTGTTTATGTCTGTGTGTGTTTGTGTGTGTGTGTCTGTGTGTGTGTGTGTGTGTGTGTTGGGAATGCCCAGTCTCTGCAGCTGCTGAAAGGCCCTGAGGCACATGCTGTCAGGAGCTGGCTCTGTCCTGGGCAGATATCACCATCTGTACCTCGGTTCAGGCTGCCGTGGGCACCAGGTCCTGTGCTGGGGGAGTGCTGAGAGGCCTGAAGGGACTCAGGGTCCCGTGATGAGGCTGGGCTGGCACATGGAGGAAAGACAGAATGTCCAAGACACAGGCGCTGCTTGGCCTCTGGGTGTGGACCTCAGGAGGGCTTCCTGGAGGAGGAGGGATGCTGGGCTTGCCAGAAAGGAGGCAGCTGCTCCCAGGATGAGTTCTGAACATGCTACCTGAGCCCTTCCCTCCTCCTGCACTCTGTTCCAGACTCGGATGGGGGGCCCACAGGGCCGGTGTGCTGCTGAGCCAGGACTGTGCTGGCACCCGACGAGGAGCCTTGGAGCCCTGCATCCAGGAGGCCACTGCACTGTTCACCTGTGGCCCAGCGGGTCCTTGGAAATCTGTGGGCCTGGAGGAGGAGCAGGAAGGCACTGGGACCTGAGCTCAGAGCATGTGCTGCCAGCAGGGTGTACAGAGTGGAGGGCACAGCCCCTTGCCTATCTGCCACAGGAGGACTTGGCCCCCACGTCCCCCACCAGGGCATGTTACTCCCTTCCGTCCTTAGCAAGGCTTGGTCCTGGATGTCCTGGGTCCCTGACTTGCCAGATGAATCATGTCCATTTTGGGAAAATGGACTTAAGTCTCCGGAGCCCTTGTCTGGGACTGAACCTCCTGAGAATGGGCCCCTAGCAGTGGTTGGAGGTCCTGTCTGGATGGAGGCTCAGGGGCAGCTTCAGGGAGAAAGGATCCCTCCGCTCAGTGCCTGTGGGGAGCAGCCTCTACCCTCAGCATCTGCCCACAGGTTCTTCCTTCCGCTGTCCCTTTTCTTTATCCCCGGCCTCTCTGAGAAGAGGGGTGTGGTCTCTCAGCTGTTCCACCATCATCCCCTTAAAGGGCCAGCCTGGGCCCAGTGTACACAGGTAAGGCACCATGACCACCTGGTGTGACCTCTCTGTGCCTTCCTGAGGCACCTTTCTAGAGATTAAAAGGGGCTTCATGGCTGTTCCAAAGTGCTGATGGCTGGGAAGAGGGGCCAGAGGAGGAGTGAGGGGTGAGGTTTGGCCAGCCCTAGGCTTTCTGGGCTCTAGGGACAGCCCGGTGGATGCTCAATGACAGTTTCGGGGACAGCAGGGTGGAGGCTCAGGGGCAACTCCAGGGACAGCAGGGTGTAGGCTCAGGGGAAGCTCCGGGGACAGCAGGGTGGAGCCTCAGGGGCAGCTCCGGGGACAGCAGGGTGGAGCCTCAGGGGCAGCTCCGGGGACAGCAGGGTGGAGGTTCAGGGACAGCTCTGGGCTAAGGTAAGGGTGGAGACTCAGGGGCAGCTCTGGGGACAGCAGTAGTGGAGGCTCAGGGACAGCTCTGGGCTGAGGTCAGGGTGGAGGTTCAGGGGCAGCTCTGGGGACAGCAGGGTGGAGGCTCAGGGACAGCACTGGGCTGAGGTCAGGGTGGAGGCTCAGGGGCAGCTTCATGGACAGCAGGGTGGAGGTTCAGGGACAGTTCCCGGGAGGCCAGAGCCCTCATTCCTCCTTGTCCTCATCCTCCCACTTGCTCCTAGAAACTGAGAGATGAGGCTGGAGCTCCCAGTCAGTGCTGGAAATGACCATCCAGCAGTGATGGTGGCCTGTGAAGGGTCCTGCTTCTGTCCTCAGCCTCTCATGGGGTGGGTTTGAGGGAGAGCTGTGGTCTGGAGAGAGCGGCAGATGGAGCAGAACGTGCCTGCGTTTGTTTCCTAGGGCTGCCGTAACAAAGTGCCACAAAATGGGTAGCTTAGAACCACAGAGATTTGTCTCAGTTCTGAAGTCCAGAAGTTGGAAATAAAGATGTTGGCAGCATTCCTGACTACATGTTCTTAGGCTCCCATGAAACAGAAGTTGATACAAGGCCAAGCAAGTTTCCCAGACAAGGCTTTATTAAGTCTTATGCCCTAAAGGTTGGCCAGGAGGAAGGATTCTTGGCTGGCTCACCAAGGGGAGTGCATTGTGGTGTCTTAAGGAGGGTGACATGCATAATTTATGAGTTAGGTGAGTGTCGTTACACCTACAGGGTGGAGTGAAGGGTGCTCAGATGCAGTAAAGAATCGTGCTAACACATACGTTGCGTGATCAGAAAATAGCAGATAAGCCTATACCGGGGTGGGGACTTTAGTATTATAATGAGGCCAGGGGTAAGGATCAGTCATTCTCCTGGCCTCGTGCACAAGTGGGTGATAGAGTCAACTCCCTTGAGTAAGACTTACGGCCAGATGCTGCTTATCTTAGTTTATTTCAGACAGTTGGCAAGGTCTGGCCAGCGAGTACAGCACCTGGAGGGTGGTGCGGCAAGGTCTGGTGGTCAGCGGGCATGTATGGAACAACACGTTAGTGGGGGTGGGCCGAGTCCTATTTCTACTCTGTCTCAGCAGGGCCATGCTCCCTCTGAAGGCACTAGGGAAGTATCCGTTTTGGGCCTCTCTTCAGCTTCTGTTAGTTTCTTGGCTTGTGACAGCAAAACTCCATTTTTTTTTTTTAAGATGGTGTCTTGGTCTGTCGCCCAGGCTGAAGTGCAGTGGCGTGATCTCAACTTTCTGCAACCTCTGCCTCCCTGGTTCAAGTGATTCTCCTGCCTCCACCTCCCAAGTAGCTGGGATTACAGGTGTGAGCCACCACTCCCAGCTAATTTTTGTATTTTTAGTAGATACAGGATTTTGCCATGTTGGCCAGGCTGGTCTCAAATTCCTGGCCTCAAGTGATTGCCAGCCTCCTCTTCCCAAAGTGCTGAGATTACAGACATGAGCCACTGCACCCGGGCATGTCATCTGTATATCTTTTTTGGTGAGGTGTCTATCTTTTAATTGGGTTGTTTTTCTTTTTGTTATTAGAATTTGTTTGTATATTTTACACACAAGTCTTTTTCAAGTTTGTTTTTTAAATATTTTCTCTCAGTCTGTGGCTTGTTTTTTGATTCTCTTAACGGGATATTTCATAGAATAGTCATTTTAAATTTTAATAAAGTCCACATTATCTTTTTTTATTTTATGAACTGGCTTTTGATATTGTATCTAAAGACTCATCACCAATCCAAAGTCATATGGATTTTCTTCTATAACTTTTACAATTTTATATTTGAAAATTTAAGTCTACAGACTATCTTGAGTGATTTTTTAGGGGTGAGCTATGAAGTTTGTATCTACGTTCATTTTTTTCCCTATGGTTTCCGATTGTTCTGTCACCATCTGTGGAACAGACTTTTCTTTCTTTCCCCATTGAATATTTTTGCCCCTTTGACAAAAGCAGTTGACTATATTTATTTGGGTCTTTTGGGTTCTGTATTCTATTCCGTTCATCTATTTGTCCATTCCTTCACCAATATCACTCTCTTCATTACTTTAGCTTTGTGGTAAAGCTAACAGTAATGAGTGTACTGCTCCTAAACAAGGAGTATCTGCATTTATTTATATATTTTTTATTCTTCCCAACCATGATCCAAGGTTTTCTGAATGCATATTTACATGTATTGTGTTACATTTATACTTAATAAATTCAATTTTGGGGGTGCTATTGTAAATGGTTTTTTTTTATTTCAAGTTCAAATTATTCCTATACATTATTGCTGATAGAAAGAAGGTCAGGCAGTGCATGGTGGCTCACGCATGTAATCCTAGCACTTTGGGAGGCTGAGTTGGGAGGATCACTTGAGCTTGGGAGTTCTAGACCAGCCTGGGCAATATAATGAGACCCACCCCCCCAATAAAAAATAAAATAAAATAATTAAAATAAATAAATAAAAGAAAATCAGGTGGGGCTGGGCACAGTGGTTCACACCTGTAATCTCAGTGCTTTGGGAGGCTGAGGTTGGACAATCTCTTGAAGCCGGGAGCTGGAAGCTGAACCCAGGAGCTGTGATTATGCCACTGTCCTCAAGCCTGGGTAACAGAACGAGACCCTGTCTCTTAAAAAGAAAAGAAAGAAAATCAATTTAGTTTTGTCTACTGGCCATCTTCTTTTTCTTTCTTTCTTTTTTTTTTTTTTTGAGAAGGAGTCTCGCTCTGTTGCCCAGGCTGGAGTGCAGTGGCACAATCTCAGCTCACTGCAACTTCCGCCTCCCGGGTTCAAGCGATTCTCCTGCCTCAGCCTCCAGAGTAGCTGGGATTACAGGCACGCGCCATCATGCCTGCTAATTTTTGTATTTTTAGTAGAGACGAGGGTTCACCACGTTGGCCAGGCTGGTCTCGAACGCCGGACCTCAAGTGATCCCCCCGCCTCAGCCTCTCAAAGTGCTGGGATTACAGGCGTGAACTGGCCATCTTCTTTGATTACTATCTCAATGAGTTCCCGTCAAGGCAGGGGATGGCGGGCTCCATTTCAGTCGAAATTTCCAAAATATCGGCCTGGAAAAATCCAGACGCTGATTTTGAGAGATTCTCCAGAGCTGCCGCGAGGGGGCGCCCGGCCCTGCCAAACCCGGAGGGCCGCGCGCGCGAACCGTGTCCGAACCGCACGGCGGCGTCGTGGGGCTTCCACTGTGAGGACGGAGCTTCCTCTCCTCAGCACCCACCCCGGAGGGGCCGGAGCTTTGGGACACCCGGGGACACCTGGGGCCGCGTCCACTGTGAGGACAGGGAGACGCTCCGGGACACCTGGGGCCGCCGAGGAGAAAGTGAGAAAAAGGCTTTCTGCCCCCGCTGTGAGTGCCGCGGAGCGAGCGCGGCGCGTTTCCCGTCTGGCCATTTGTACCCGGACTTCACTTTGTACCAGCGTCCCTTCATGGAGGTTTGGGCGGCTCACCCCCAGCACAGGACAAGATGCCGGTTACTGATGCGATTTTGTTTCTGGGGAGAGACCCTGGTCCCGGGAGAAGCGGAGGAACGTGGAGACGCCGTTGTGCCGTCGGGCGGTCTGGAGGTTGGGGACTGGCAGGGGCCACAGGCTGAGGCCGAGGTAACAGACGCCCCCTGATCAGTGCTCGTGTTTTTTTTTTTTTTTTTTTTTGAGACAGTTTCGCTTTGGTTTCCCAGGCTGGAGGGCAATGTCGCGATCTAGGCTCACTGCAACCTCCACCTCCCGGGTTCAAGCGATTCTCCTGCCTCAGCCTCCAGAGTAGCTGGAATTACAGGCGTGAGCCATCTCACCTGGCCAGTGCTTGGTGTTTTAAGGCTTATTTGTTAACGTAGTGGAAACAACACAGGAAAATGGAAAAGTAGCACATTATCATGCTCAGGGCACTGCACTCCATTCTGGGCGACAGAGCGAGACCCTTTTTAAGAGTAAAAAGAAAAGAAAGAAAATAAATAGAGTTTCGTCTACTGGCTATCTTTTTTTCTTTTTTCTTTTTCTTTTTTCTTTTTTTTTTTTTTTTTTTGAGACAGAGTCTTGCTCTGTCGCCCAGGCTGGAGTGCAGTGGTGCGATCTTGGCTCACTGCAACCTCCGCCTCCAGGGTTTAAGCAATTCTCCTGCCTCAGCCTCCTGAGTAGCTAGGATTACAGGTGCCCACCACCACATCTGGCTAATTTTTGTATTTTTAGTAGGGATGGGGTTTCCTCATGTGGGCCAGGCTGGTCTCGAACTCCTGACCTCAGGTGATCCACCCGTCTCTGCCTCCCAAAGTGCTGGGGTTACAGGCGTGAGCCACCACACCCAGCCTTTTTTCAGTTTGTTTTGTTTTAAGAGAGAAGGTCTTGCTCTATCACCCAGGCTGGAGTGCAGTGGTGTGATTACAGCTCACTGCAGCCTCGGTCTCCTGGGCTCCAGCAATCCTCCGGCCTCAGCCTCCCAAGTAGTTAGGAGTATAGGCACCAGCCACCATGCACAGCTAATTAAAAAAAAAAATTGGCCGGGCGCGGTGGTTCACGCCTGTAATCCCAGGCGTGAATGACTTTGGGAGGCCTTGGTGGGGGGATCACCTGAGGTCAGGAGTTTGAGACCAGCTTGGTCAACATGGCAAAACCCGGTCTCTACTAAAAATACCAAAATTAGCCATGCATGGTGGTGCGCGCCTGTAATCCCAGCTAGTCAGGAGGCTGAGGCAGGAGAACTGTTTGAACCCTGGAGGTGGAGGTTGCAGTGAGCCAAGATCGCGCCATTGCACTCCAGCCTGGGCAATAAGAGTGAAACTCCGTCTCAAAAAAAACAAAACAAAACAAAACAAAATGTTGGCACAGACAACAGGATCTTTACGTTGCTCAGATTTGTCTTGAACTCCTGGGCTCGAGTGATCCTTACACCTCAGTCTTCCGCAGTACTGGGATTACAGGCGTGAGCCACTGCACCTAGCCTGGAGTCTCTTCTTAACTTCCTTCTCCCTTCCCCTTCCCCTTCCTTTCTTCCTTCTTATTTCCTTCTTTCTTTTTATTTATTTTTTTCTTTTTCTTTTTCTTTTTTTTTTTTTTTATACTGAGTCTTGCTCTCTCGCCAGGCTGGAGTGCAGTGGCGCGATCTCTGCTCACTGCAACCTCCGCCTCCCGGGTTCAAGGGATTCTCCTGCCTCAGCCTCCAGAGTAGCTGGGACTACGGGCGTGTGCCACCACGCCCAGATAATTTTTGTATTTTTAGTAGAGATGCGGTTTTACCATGTTGGCCAGAATGGTCTCGATTTCCTGACCTCGAGTGATCCGCCCGACTCGGCCTCCCAAAGTGCTGGGATTACAGGCGTGAACTGGCCATCTTCTTCGATTGCTATCTCCATGCGTTCCGGTCAAGGCACGGGATGGTGGTCTCCAGTTCAGTTGAAATTTCCAAAATCACGGCCTGGAAAAAATCAAGGCGCTGATTTCCAGAGATTCCCCAGAGCTGCCGCGAGGGGGCGCCCGGCCCTGCCAAACCCGGAGGGCGGCGCGCGCGAACCGTGTCCGAACCGCACGGCGGCGTCCTGGGGGGTCCACTGTGAGGACGGGGGGTCCACCGTGAGGACGGAGCTCCCTCTCCTCAGCACCCACCCCGGAGGGGCCGGGGCTTGGGACACCTGGGGACACCTGGGGCCGCGTCCGGTGTGAAGACAGGGAGACGCTGCTGCAGCTCCGGGACACCTGGGGCCGCCGAGGCAAAGGTGAGGAAAAGGCTTCCTGTCTCCGCTGCGAGTGCAGCGGAGCGAGCGCGGCCGCGTTTCCCGTCGGGCTGTTTGTACCTGGGCTTCACTTTGTGCAAGCGTCCCTTCATGGCGGCTTGGGCGGGTCGGGCTGTTTGTACCTGGGCTTCACTTTGTGCAAGCGTCCCTTCATGGCGGCTTGGGCGGGTCACCCCCAGCGCAAGGCCAAGATGCCGGTTACGAATGCGAGTTTGTTTCTGGGGAGAGACCCTGGTACCGGGAGAGGAGGAGGAACGCGGAGACGCCGTCGGGCGGTGGGGATGTTGGGGACTGGCAGGCGCCACAGCCTGAGGTCGAGGAAACGGGCGCCCCCGGATCAGTGCTCATTTTGTGTTTTGTTTTGTTTTGGAGACGGACTTTCGCTCTTGTTTCCCAGGTTGGAGTGCAATGGCGCGATCTCGGCTCACTGCAACCTCCGCCTCCCGGGTTCAAGCGATTCTCCTGCCTCAGCCTCTCGAGTAGCTGGGGTTACAGGCATGCGCCAGCACGCCCGGGTAATTTTTTATTTTTAGTAGAGACGGGGTTTCTCCATGTTGGTCAGGCTGGTCTTGAACTCCCAGCCTCATCAGGTGATCCACCCACCTCGGCCTCCCAAAGTGCTGGGATTACAGGCGTGAGCCACCTGGCCTGGTCAGTGCTCCGTGTTTTCAGGCTCATTTGTTAACATAGTAGAAACAACACAGGAAAATGGAAAAGTAGGCACATTATCATGCTCACGCCACTGCACTCAAGCCCTGGGCAGCAGAGCGAGACCTTGTCTCAAAAAACAAAAACAAATGAAAACAAAACCAAAAACACCATTGTGTGCGTCTAATGGAAGTGAACTCGTCAACAACAGTTTTTCTTTTGTTGAGAAAGTCTGTTTAATTTGCAGTGTATTTGTAATGGTACAGAAAATGTCTGTTTTATAAACATTCTCATCCTAAGTTAGTTGAAATGTATTAACTATATCAAGCTTTGACATGATACCATAAAATTAATTGAAGAAAGTCACTAATCTTTTTTTTTCCCTTGGCCTTGAGCATTTTAAATAAAATCAGATTTCGTTAAGGTTACTTAATACTGAGCTGTAAACCCGTATGGCCCTGCGGTGTCTTTTCTTATCTTTTCTTTTTGCTTTTTTTTTTTTTTGAGATGGAGTGTCACTCTGTCTCCCAGGCTGGAGTGCAGTGGCGTGAGCTCAGCTCGCTGTAACCTCCACCTCCCAGGTTGAAGCAATGCTCTGTCTCAGCCTCCCCAAGAGCTGGGATTACAGGTTCCTGCCATAATGCCCTGCTAATTTTTTTGTGTTTTTAGTAGAGATGGGGTTTCACCATCTTGGCCAGGCTGGTCTTGAACTTCTGACCTCGTGGCCACCCACCTTGGCCTCTCAAAGTGTTGGGATTACATGCGTGAGCCACTGAGCCAAGCCTCTTTTCTTTTTTTGACATGGAGTCTCACTTTGTCGCCCAGGATGGACTGCAGTGGCACAATCTCAGCTCACTGCAACCTCCGCCTCCCGGGTTCAAGCACTTCTCCTGCATCAGCCTCCTGAGTAGCTGGGATTCCAGGCCTGCATCACCACGCCGGGCTAATTTTGTATTTTTAATAGAGGTGGGGTTTCACCATGTTGGCCAGGCTGGTCTCGAACTCCTGATCTCAAGTGATCCACCCACCTCGGCCTCCCAAAGTGCTGGGATTGCAGGCAGGCCTGAGCCACCAGGCCTGGCTGCTTTTTTTTTTTTTTTTAATTAAAAAAAATTTTTTTGTTTGTTTTTTGAGACAGAGTTTAGCTCCTGTTGCCCAGGCTAAAGTGCAATGTCCCTATCTTGGCTCACTGCAACCTCTGCCTCCTGGGTTCAAGCAATTCTCCTACCTCAGCCTCCTGAGCAGCTGGGAATACAGGTGTGCACCAGAATGCCTGGCTAATTTTGTATTTTTAATAGAGATGGGGTTTCACCATTTTGGTCAGGCTGATCTCTAACTCCTGACCTCAAGTGATCCACCTGCCTCTGCCTCCCAAATTATTGGGATTATAGGTGTGAGCCACTGTACCCAGCCTTCACATTTTTATTGATTGATTTTTTTTTTTTTTAAGAGAGAAGGTCTTGCTCTATCACCCAGGCTGGAGTGCAGTGGTGTGATCATGGCTTACTGCAGCCTTGACCTCCTGGGCTCCAACAATCCTCCTGCCTCAGCCTCCCAAGTAGCTTAGACTATAGGCACCAGCCACCATGCACTGCTAATTTAAGCAGGATCTTTACGTCCCTCAGGTTTGTCTTTAACTCCTGGGCTCAAGTGATCCTTACACGTCAGCCTCCGAAAGTGCTGGGATTACAGGCGTGAGCCACTGCACCCAGCCTAAGGTCTCCCCACTTTTTTTTTGAGACAGATTTTCACTCTTTTTTCTCAGGCTGGAGTGCAATGGTGAGATCTCGGCTCACTGCAACCTCTGACTCCTGGGTTCAGACGATTCTCCTGCCTCAGCCTCCCAAGTAGCTGGGATTACAGGCATGCGGCTAATTTTGTATTTTTAGTAGAGATGGGGTTTCACCATATTGGTCAGGCTTGTCTCGAACTCCTGACCTCAGGTGATCCCTCGCCTCGGCCTCCCCAAAGTGCTGGGGATTACAGGTGTGAGCTACTGCGCCCGGCCCTGCGGTATTTTTCTTTTTTCTTTTTCTTTTTTTTTTGAGATGCAGTCTCACTCAGTTGCCCAGGCTAGGGTGTAGTGGCGCAATCTCTGCTCGCTGCAACCTCCCTTTCCTGGACTCAAGCGATTCTCCTGCCTCAGCCTCCCAAGTAGCTGGGGCTACAAGTGTGCGCCATGATGCCTGGGTAATTTTTTGTGTGTTTTTAGTAGAGGTGGGGTTTCACCATGTTGGCAAGGCTGGTCTCAAACTCCTTACCTCAAGTGATCTGCCCGCCTTGTCCTCCCAAAGTGTTGGGATTACAGGCATGAGCCACCACGCCCTGCCCCTGGGGTCCTTTTTAAGTGGGGATCTCTAAGGGTCACTCCAAGCTTTTCTATGCTAATCAGTGTATTTAAATTTTCCTTATTTTAGAGTCCATTTTGTTGTGTATTTTTACTAGGAAATCATCCATTTTCTCTCAGTTTCCAGTTTGATTCAATAAGTTTCTCCTTTCTTTTATTTTTTATTTTTTTGAGACCGGGTTTTGCTCTGTCTCCCATGCTGGAGTGCAGTGGCGCAGTGGAGATCTCGGCTGACTGCAGCCTCCGCCTCCTGTGTTCAAGCAATTCGTCCTCAGCCTCTTGAGTAGCTGGGATTACAGGTCTGCGCCACCACGCCCGGCTGATTATTGTATTTTTAGTAGAGACTGGGTTTTGCCATGTTGGCCATGCCGTTCTCAAACTCCTGACCTCAGCTGATCCGCCCGCCCCGGCCTCCCAAAGTACTGTGATTACAGGCATGAGCCACTGTGCCTAGCCAATAAGTTTCTTATTTGACTTCTGATTTATCTCTTTCTAGTTTTTAACAGAATTCTTAATTCTATGTATTTCTGCTGTTTGTTTCCATCAATAATATTTTAAAAAATATCTGGGGACTGTTGTGGGGTGGGGAGAGTGGGGAGGGATAGCCTTAGGAGATATACCTAATGCTCAATGACGAGTTAACGGGTGCAGCACACCAGCATGGCACATGTATACATATGTAACTAACCTGCACATCGTGCACATGCACCCTAAAACTTAAAGTATAATAATAAAAAAAAAAACAAAACAAAACAACAACAACAAAATATACTTATTAGTTTATCTTGTTTTCAATTGAGGGAATTGTTATATTAAACAATTTCTTATGACCCAATGACAAGCTTTAATTATTTTAAAATAATTCCTGCCTAACGCAACACCTTTTGCAGGAATGAGCTGTCAGTGGTATTGTTACTGACCAGGGTTTCTTGGCTCTCCAGTAATAGAAATTGACATGAGGATGAGCAAGTTTCCCAGACAAAGCTTTTATTTAGGTGTTTTGTTTAGCTTGGTTAAATTTATTTCACAAAGCTTTCGTTTTTGTGTTTTATATTCAAACACAAAGGAGGCAGCAGAAGAGAGAGAATTCTGTCTGGCTCCCTGAAGAGTCAGGAGGAGAGTGTTTTTAGGGTCTGGCCCGATTGCCCAGGCTGGAGTCCTCTGGCACCGTCTCGGCTCACTGCATCCTCCTGGGCTCGAGCCATCCTCCCGCTTCAGCCTCCCGAGTAGCTGGGACTACAGGTGTATACAACCGTGCTCAGCTAATTTTTGTATTCTTTTTGTAGAGATGAGGTTTTGCCATGTTGCCCAGGCTGGCCTCAGATCCCCCCAAAGTGCTGGGATTACAAGCATGAGCCACCATGCCCGGCCCAGTGTGTTCTTATTAAATTTCAGTAATTAGTTACGCCATTTGCCTTTCGTTCAACACTGAGATTTCGTTTTTCTTTCCTAATTATCTCATACATGGACTTTGGTTCCATTAAACTATTATTTCCTTGATCTACAAATTGCGGGTGATTCTTGCAGATTATCTAAGAAATAATTACATTTTGTTTTTAGAAAAACCACATTATTAACTTTACAACTGTTAGATACCACACCTGCAGTGACTTTAGGGATTTTGCTGGACAATGTCTTAGACAATTTGCTAAGGGTGGACATTGGGTGAATGGCTTGAGGGAATATGCATTAAATACTCGAGACACCCAGGAGGCTGCTGTGTCCCGTAAGAGAGAGCATACGAGACTGCAGGCCACTGGGGTTGAATGCCTTGGAAAGGGCAGCATGCAGGAGCACACAGTGTGTGGAGGTCATGGTCAGTCCTGTGGTCCTTGTTCTAAGGTCAGTGGGAACCCATTGTAAAAGTTAAATCAGAGAGTGACATGATGAACCTTCGGTTTGAAAATGAGAATTTTGCCATTATAAAGTTGAGATCACCAGTTGTGGGCAGGGGGATTGTGCTCTTTCTGGTGGGTTGCACTGAGGAGAGCAAGCATTGGGCTGAGGTGTTTCTGCTTGGAACGCAGGGTCTGCATCTACTCAGGAGAAAACACGGGGTAGACCCAGCTGGGAGTTATCTGCCAACGTTGTGAAACTGAGGGACAGCTCAGGAACATTCCAGAAAAAGGAAAACCCAATCCAAATGGAAAGAGACCTTTTCTCCCAGTTGGGGCAGGCAGTGAAGTGAAATGGGTCTCTGGATTGGATTGTCAGGTAGAGACCTTGTATTTCCTGATTTGGGAGTTACGTGGTAGTTAGCTGGGAGGCTGTCTTTGTTTTGGTAAAATACACTGGAGTGTTTTGTGTGGAGTTGCTGTAACTGCTGAGGAATCTAAGAGAAGGGATAAGTTACACTTTACACTGCTATTGCAAGATTCCTAGAAGTATGAAATTACTGTAAAGTAAATTATAAACAACCACAGTAATACCATGTCAGTAAAGCAGAAACGACATCAAACTTCACTATAGAGGCCAAACCCAGTCCAAATTCAGGTCAGTGGAAGCTGTGTACCAAGCACCCCGGTGAGAGTCTGGATGCTATATCAGTATTGCAGCTGTCATATCAGTATTGAGGGTGTCACTTGAGTCTTAGGGGTGTCATAGCAGTACTGTGGGTGTCATATCACTATTTCGGATGTCATATCTGTATTGTGTGCATCATATCAGTATTGCAGGTGTCCCATCAGTCTTACGAGTGTCATATGAGCCTTACAGGTGTCATATCAGTATTATGGGTGTCATATGAGTCTTAGGAGTGCCATGAATCTTGTGGGCTTCACATCAGTCTTATGGGTGTCACAGCATCTTGTGGGTGTCATATCAGTATTACGATATGCCGTGATATGTTATACCAGTATGATACCTCTTCTGAAAACACCTTCACAGACATACCCACACATAGTGCTTTAACAGCTCTCCGTGTATTCCTTAATCTGGTAAAGTTGACACCTAAAATTAACCATCGCAGTATTTATGCCTGATTCATGGCTAAAATTTCAGAATTTTTAAAAATTTTAGAATGAAAGCTGGGCACCGTAGCCAGACACTGTCCCTACATAAATATTAAAAAGTTAACTGGTTGTACTTGCACACATATGTAGTTCCAGTTACTCTAGAGGCTGAGGTGGGAGGATCTTTTGAGCCCAAGAGATTCATGCTGAAGAGCTAGGATTGTGGCACTGCATTCCAGGCTGCGTGACAGGGTGAGACTCTCTCAAAAAACAATCAACAGTAATAATATTATTTGGAATAAATTTAACCAAGGTACAAGACTTGTACATGAGGCTGGGCATGGTGGCTCACGCCTGTAATCCCAGCACTTTTGGAGTTCAAGGCAGGTGGATCCACGAGGTCAGGAGATCGATACCATCCTGGCTAACACGGTGAAACCCCATCTGTACTAAAAATACAAAACATTAGCCAGGCATCGTGGCATGCGCATGTAATCCTAGCTACTTGGGAGGCTGAGGCAGGAGAATTGCTTGAACCCGGGAGGCAGGGGTTGCAGTGAGCCAAGATCTCGCCACTGCACTCCACCCTGGGTGACAGAGTGAGACCCCATCTCTGGAAAAAACAAAAAACAACAACAAAATAACTTGTACATGGAAAATTTCAAAACATTGCTGAAGTAAATTCAAGAAAGCTTACATAAATTTAAAGACACCTCATGTTCACGAACTGGAAGACTTAATAATTCTTAAGGTGGCAGTACTACACAAAGCCATCTACAGATTCTGTGTGATTCCTGTTACAATCCCAACGTCCTTTTGGCAGAAATCAACAGGCTGATCCTGTCATTTATACGAAATATCAAGGGATGCAGAATAGCCAAAATAGTGTCAAAAAAAAAAAAAAAAACAACTCAGAGGCTCACATTTCCAAATTTCAAATCCTACTACAAAGCAACAGTAATAAAATCAACATGATTTTGGTATAATCAATTGAATAGATCAATGGAACTGAATTTTGAGTTCAGAAATAAACCCATATTTCTATGAGCAATTGCTTTATTTTTATTTTTTTGAGACAGGATCTCACTCTGTCTCCCAGGCTGGAGTGCTGTGGCACAATCATGGCTCACTGCAACCTCTGTCTCCTGGGCTCAAGTGATCTTCCCGCCTCAGCCTCCCAAGTAGCTGCGACTACAGGTATGCACCACCACATCTGGCTAATTTTTTTATTTTTTTATACAGGTAGGGTCTTGCTGTCCTGCCCAAGTTGGCCTCAAACTCCTGTTCTCAAGTGATACTCCTCTCTTGGCCTCCCAAAGCATTGGGATTACAGGTGTCAGCTACCACGTCCAGCCTGTTGATTTTTAAAAATGTAATTTCTTTTTCTTTCTTTTTCAAGGCATGGTTTTGCCCTGTTGGCCAGGTTGGAGTGCAGTGGTGCGAACGTGGCTTATTGCAGCCTAAACCTCCTGGGCTCAAGCAATCCTCCCTCCTCTGTCACCCGAGTAACTAGGACTACAGATATGCACCGTCACACCTAGCTAATTTTTAAGTTATTTGTAGAGAGAGTGTTTTCCTGTGTTGGCCGGACTGGCCTGAAACTCCTGGGTTCAAAAGATCTTCCCACCTCAGCATCTCAACGTGCTGGTATTACAGGTGTGGGCCACCACCCCCAGCCTGGGATGGTTTTCATAATTACATTCTCATGTTGTTTGTTGCTAGTGTCTGGAAATACAACAGATTACTGTGTATTGACATTTTGTGTTGTAGTTTACTAGTTTTAATAATATTTTGGGGGTTTGTCGTGATATTTCTGTACATAAGATAGCTCCTGTGATCTGTGAGTAGCTGTTTTTACTGCTTCCTAACACATATAAGTTCTCTTTACTTCTTTTTCTCTCCTATTTGTTGTGGGTGGAACTTCCCGTACAGTGTTGAATACAGTGATGAAAATGAGCATTGGTGCCTTGGTCCTGATCTTAGGAGTAAAGCACTGGGCCCTGACAATGGAGATGGTGCTGAAGTCCGATTGTGGTGTTTAGAAAATTCCTATCCCTGGTTTGTTGGGTGTTTTTTATGGTGAAATGGTGTTGACTTTGTTTAAAGTACATGTGGGTTTCTTCTTTATTCTGTTTATTTCATGTTCCTTTGCAGTGATGGCTTTAGTATGCCAAACCAGCTTGATTTTCTGAGAAAAGGATGTAGTGATCATGTTGTGCAATCCTCAAAATACGTGCTAGTATGAAATGACAATTATTTTCTTGGGCATTATTATTATTATTATTTTTAATTTTTTTGAGACAGAGTCTCACTCTTGTCGCCCATGCTGGAGTGCAGTGGCGCGATCTTGGCTCACTGCAACATCTGGCTCCCAGGTTCAAGCAATTCTCCTGCCTTAGCCACCTGAGTAGCTAGGATTACAGGCTCCCGCCACCACGCCTGGCTAATTTTTGTATTTTTAGTAGAGAGAGGGTTTCACCATGTTAGCAAGACTGGTCTCAAACTCCTGACCTCAGGTGATCTGTCTGCCTTGGCCTCCCAAAGTGCTGGGATTTCAGGTGTGAGCCACTGCACCTGGCCTCTTGAGCATTATTAATTGAATAATTATACTAGACATTGATCTGTACCTTTCTGTTCTTGTGATGTGAAGTCCTAGTGTGGTTTAGTGTTAAATTGGGGATGGGATTGGGTATGGGTTGGTTTACTATGTAGCGTATTAAGTGTTAGAAGTTTAGGGGAAAAAAATTAGCAGAAAGAAAACATACCTGAGGAATTGTGGGGAAGAGTATGATGAGGTCTGGGTCAAGGTCAGGGTTTAGGGTTAGCAAGAGAGTGCCTGTAGCCTTTGCCAATAGTAAATATCAGTCCTTTTCTTGAGACAGGTTCTTGCTCTGTTGCCCAGGGTGGAGTGCAGTGGCACAGTCTTGGCTCATAGCAACCTCCGACTCCCGGGTTCAAATGATTTTTAGGCCTCAGCCTTCCAAGTAGCTGGGAACACAGGTGCGTGCCAACGTGCCCAACTATTTTTTTTTTTTTTTTTAGTGGAGATGGGGGTTTCCTCATGTTGACCAGGCTGGTCTCAAGCTTCTGGCCTCAAGGGATCCACTCACTTCTGCCTCCCAAAGTGCTGCGATTATAGGCAGGAGCCACCACGCCCAGCCTGCACACAGGCAGGCAAAGATATTTTAATATTCTTTTAATTGGCACTTCCTTCAGTATTAGTCAGTGTAAGCAACTTTTCATTTATTTCTTAGTTGAGAGTTCTTTGGGTCACAAATCAGATGACATTTCAGTATGTGTAGGGGTATGCATATGTGAGCGTGTTGATGTGTATGTGTGAGAGGAAGTGCAAACATAAGTATGACAGAATGAATATGCACACCTCTGTTCTTGTGTGCCTAGTGTGTTAGGGTTTGCTTAGAGTTTGATTTAGGGTTGGGGTAATGGTTAGGTTTAAGTTACAGAGAAGGGTTAGATGGTTAGTGTTAGGGTTAAGGGTTAGGGTGAGGGTGAGGGTGAGGGTTAGGGTTAGGGGTTAGTGTTGGGGTTGGGGTTAGGGTTTTAGAGTTAGGGTTAGGGTTAGGGTTAGGGTTAGGGCTAGGGTTGGGGTCAGTGGTTAGGGGTCATGGTTAAGGGTTAAGGGTTGGGGTTGGGGGTTAGGGTTAGGGGTTAGGGTAAGGGTTAAGGCTAAGGCTAGGACTAGGGTTAGGGTTTGGGTTAGGGTTTGGGGTTAGGGCTAGGGCTAGGGCTTTGAATAAACTTATATGGTAGCCAAGTTGTGGTTACAGTGGGCCTTGGGTGAGACCAAGTTCTATGCCTACTTCAAGTGTGTACCAGCATAGTCTCAGTGGTCGTGGCCTCAGGGGTGCTTATGTTACCCCAACTCCAGCTCCACATGCCTCAGCAGAGAAAGAGAGACTGCTGGTTTCAGAGAAAGAAAGGGAAGAGAACAAGATCTCTACTTGAAAAATCAAGAGAAGTTTTCTTGATGTTAATCCAAGGCCACCAAAGCAGTACCTCTACGTGTTTGCTACTACGTATTGGGCTTGGGACCTAAGTCTCTTTGAACACCTGGAAAGTGTTCCCAAAAATAATGGGCACCAACAAGCCCAGACTGTGAAGACTACAATAAAGACTGACCTCTTCAATGCCCACATATAGATGAACATCTATAAGTATCAAGGCCATCCAGGAAAACATGACCTCACCAAGCAAGCTAAATAAGGCACCAGGGGCAAATCCTGGAAAAATAGAGATATGTGACCTTTCATACAGGAAATCCAAAATAGCTGGTTGAGGTAATTCAAAGAAATTCAATGTAACACAGAGAAGGAATTCAAAATTCTATCAGATAAATTTAACGATAAGATTTAAATAAAAAGAATAAAGCAGAAATTCTGAAGTTAAAATGCAATTATCATACTGAAGAATGCATCAGAGTTACTTAAAAAAATTGATCAAGGAGAAGATAGATTTAGTGAACTTGAAGTCAGACTATTTAAAAGACAAAGTCAGAGGAGACAAAAAAGAATAAAAAATAAAGCATGCCTACAGAATCTAAAAAATAGCCTCAAAATAGGAATCTAAGAGTTATTGGCCTTAAAGAGGTGGTAGAAAAAGAGATAAGAGTTAAACATTTATTGGCCCGGTGCAGTGGCTCACGCCTGTAATCCCAGCACTTTGGGAGGCCGAGGTGGGCAGATCACAAGGTCAGGAGATCAAGACCATCCTGGCTAACACGGTGAAACCCCGTCTCTACTAAAAATACAAAAAGAAATTAGCTGGGCGTGGTGGTGGGTGCCTGTAGTCCCAGCTCCTTGGGAGGCTGAGGCAGGAGAATGGCATGAACCCAGGAGGCGGAGCTTGCAGTGAGCTGAGATTGCGCCATTGCACTCCAGCCTGGGCTACAGAGTGAGACTCCGTCAAAAAAAAAAAAAAATTAAACATTTATTTAAAGAAATAATATTAAATAATATTAAATAATTCCCCAACATTCGATATCAACATTCAAGTACAAGAAAGTTACAGAACATCAAGCAGATTTAACCCAAAGAAGACCACCTCAAGGCACTTAACTGAACTCCCAAAGGTTAAGGATAAAGAAATGATTCTAAAAGCAGCGAGAGAAGAGACACAAATAACATTCAGTGGAACTCCAATACATCTGACAGCAGACTTTTCAGGGGAAAATTTACAGGCTGAGAGTGGCATGACATATTAAAAAAGCTGAAGAAAAAAAAGACTTTTACCTTAGGATAATGTATTTGGCAAAAAGTCCTTTAAACTTGACAGAGAAATGAGAACTTTTTCCGACAAACAAAAACTGAGGTATTTCATTAACACCAGACCTGTCCTACAAGAAATGCTAAAGGGAGTTCTTAGCCTGAAAGAAAAAAAGTGAGTGAGCAATAAGAAGTCATCTGAAGGTACAGAACTCAACTAGTAATAGCACATGGAAAAACACAGAATATTATAACATGGTAATTATGGTGTGCAAAAATCTCAAATAGAGTAAACAATAAACCAGTAAAAAATAACTACAACATATTTCCAAGACATAGACAGTAAAATAGGGAAGGAAGAGAAACAACAAAAAGTTTAAAAGAATGGCAATGGAGTTAAAGTGTAGAGTTTTTATTAGTTGCTTTGCTTGTTTCTTTGTTTATGCAATCAATGTTAAATTGTCCACAGTCTAAAATGATGTGTTATATTATATTCAAGCCTCATGAAAATTTTAAATCAAAAAGCATACCACAGATGTACAAAAAGTAAAAAGCAATAAATTAGATAATATTAAAGGATAAATCACCTTCACTAAAAGGAAGACAGGAAGAAAGAAAAGAACGATGAGAGGACAAAAGTTAATCAGAAAACAAGTAACAAAATGGCAGGAGTAAGTGCTTATCAATAATAACATTGAATGTACATGAACAAAATACTCTAATCAAAAGACAAATAGTGGATGAATGGATAGAGAAGCAAGACAATAATCTGTGACCTGCAAAAAAAAAATACTTTACCTATAAAGATACATTTAGACTGAAAATAAAACGATGGAAAAAGTTATTCCATGCCAATAGAAACCAAAAAAGAGCAGAAATAGCTTTACTTATACCAGACAAAAATAGATTTCAACAAAAGACTGTAGGAAGATATTAAGAAGGTCATTATATAATAATAAAGAGATCAATTCTTCAAGAGGATATAATTGGAAATATATATGCACCCAACACTAAAGCACCTAGATAAACGGAGCAAATACTATAAGAGCTAAAGAAAGAGACATCAATACAATAATGGCTGAACACTTCGACACCCTACTTTAGTCATTGGATAGACCTTCCAGACAGAAAATCAACAAAGAAACATCAGACTTAATCTGCACTGTGTAACAAATGAACCTAATAGATATTTACAGAAAATTTCATCCAACAGCTGCAGAATACACATTCTTCTCTGCACATGGGTTATTTTCAAGGATAGACCATATGTTAAGTAACAAGTCTAAAAACATTAAAAAAATTTGAAGTAATTTCAAGCATTTTCTCTGACCACAATGGAACAAACTAGAAATCGATTAAAAAATGAATTTCAGAAACTATACAAACACTTGGACATTAAACAATATGCTCTTGAATGATCAGTAGGTCAATAAAAATGTTAAAAAGAAAATGGAAAAACTTCTTGAAACAAATAATAGAAACATAGCATAGCAAAACCTGTGGAATATGGTAAAAGAGGTACTATTATAAAAGGAAAATTTATTTTTTTTCTTTTATTATTATACTTTAAGTTTTAGGGTACATGTGCACATTGTGCAGGTTAGTTACCTATGTATACATGTGCCATGCTGGTGCGCTGCACCCACTAACTCATCATCTAGCATTAGGTATATCTCCCAGTGCTATCCCTCCCCCCTCCCCCCACCCCACAACAGTCCCCAGAGTGTGATGTTCCCCTTCCTGTGTCCATGTGATCTCATTGTTCAATTCCCACCTATGAGTGAGAATATGCGGTGTTTGGTTTTTTGTCCTTGCGATAGTTTACTGAGAATGATGATTTCCAATTTCATCCATGTCCCTACAAAGGACATGAACTCATCATTTTTTATGGCTGCATAGTATTCCATGGTGTATATGTGCCACATTTTCTTAATCCAGTCTATCATTGTTGGACATTTGGGTTGGTTCCAAGTCTTTGCTATTGTGAATAGAGCCGCAATAAACATACGTGTGCATGTGTCTTTATAGCAGCATGATTTATAGTCCTTTGGGTATATACCCAGTAATGGGATGGATGGGTCAAATGGTATTTCTAGTTCTAGATCCCTGAGGAATCGCCCCACTGACTTCCACAATGGTCGAACTAGTTTACAGTCCCACCAACAGTGTAAAAGTGTTCCTATTTCTCCACATCCTCTCCAGCACCTGTTGTTTCCTGACTTTTTAATGATTGCCATTCTAACTGGTGTGAGATGGTATCTCATTGTGGTTTTGATTTGCATTTCTCTGATGGCCAGTGATGATGAGCATTTTTTCATGTGTCTTTTGGCTGCATAAATGTCTTCTTTTGAGAAGTGTCTGTTCATGTCCTTTGCCCACTTTTTGATAGGGTTGTTTGTTTTTTTCTTGTAAATTTGTTTGAGTTCATTGTAGATTCTGGATATTAGCCCTTTGTCAGATGAGTAGGTTGCGAAAATTTTCTCCCATTTTGTAGGTTGCCTGTTCACTCTGATGGTAGTTTCTTTTGCTGTGCAAAATTTATAACTGTAAGTGCCTATATAAAAATCAGAAAAGCTGCAAATAAATAACCTAACAATACATCTTAATTCACTAGAATAAAAAGGCCAAACCAAACTCAAAATTAGAAGAAAAGAAATAATAAAAATTAGAGCAGAAATAAAATGAAGAAAACAATGCAAAAGATCAATGAAACAAAAAGTTGATTTTTTGAACAGTAAAACAATTGACAAATATTTAGACAGGCTAGCTAAAAAACAAAGATACAAATTAATAAAATCAAAGGTGAAAAAGGAGACTTTACAAGTAACGTTTCAGAAAATCAAAAGATCATTAGTGGCTACTATAAGTAATTGTATGCCAACAAATTAGAAAACCTAGAGGAAATTAATTCTTAGACACACACAACTTACCAAGAGTGAACTAGGAAAAAATCTAAAACCTGAACAGACCAATAACAAGTAACAAAATTAAAGCCATAATAAAAAAGTCTATAGGACCAGACTGAAAAATAGAGAAGGAAAGAACATTTCCAAACTCATTCTTTGAGGCTGGTATTACACTGATATGAAAACAAGACAAAGACACATTTAAAAAGCAAACTGCAGGCCCATATTTGAGAATATTGATGCAAAAATTTGCAAAAAACCTAGTAAATGCAATTAAACAATACATAAATAGGTAATTCATAATGACCAAGTGGAATTTATCCCAGAGATACAAGGATGGTTCAACATGCAAATCAGTCAATGTGATATATCATATAAACAGAATGAAGGGGCCAGGGGCAGTGGCTCACGCCTGTAATCCCAGCACTTTTGGAAGCCTAGGTAGGCAGATCACCTGAGTTCAGGAGTTCAAAACCAGCCTGGCCAACATGGCAAAACCCCATCTCTACTAAAAATACAAAAATTAGCCGGGTGCAGTGGTGGGCACCTGTAATCCCAGCTACTTGGAAGGCTGAGGCAGGAGAATCACTTGAACCCGGGAGGCAGAGGTTGCAGTGAGCTGAGATCATGCCATTGCACTCCAGCCTGGGTGACAGAGGAAGACTTCATCTCAAAAAAAAGAAGGACAAAATCCATGTAATCATTTCCATTATGCTAAAAAAGTATTTGATAAAATTTAATATTCTTTAATAATAAACCCTTTGAAAACTGGGTATGGAATGAACATATGTCAACATAATAAAAGTCATATATGACAGACCCACAGCTAGTATCATACTAAGTAGGGAAAAACTAAAAGCCTTTCCTCTAAACTCTGGAAGATGACAAGAATATCCACTTTTACCACTGTTATTCAACATAATTCTGAAAGTCCTATCTGGAGCAATCAGACAAGAGAAAGCAATAAAAGGCATCCCAATTGGAAAAGAAGTCAAATTATTGTTTTTGCCAGTGATGTAATCTTATATTTGGAAAAACATAAAGACTCCTCTGATAGGGTTTGAACGTGTGTCCCCTCCCAAATCTCATATTTAAATGTAATTCTCCATGTTGGAGGTGGGCCAGGTGATTTAACCATTGGGGTGGATTACTCATAAATGGCTTAGCACCATCCCACTTGGTACTATCTTCATGATAGTGAGTGAGTTCCCATAAGACCTGGTTATTTAAAAGTGTGTAACAACTCGCCCCTCTGTTTTTTGCTCCTGCTTTTTGCCCTGTGATGTGCAAGATTCTGCTTCAACTTTTGCCATGACTCTAAACTTCCAGGGGCCTTCCCAGAAGTGCATGCCAGTGCTGTGTCTTCTCTACAGCCTGTAGAATCATGAGCCACTTAAACCTCCTTTTTAAAAAATAAATTGCCCAGTCTCAGGTATTTATAGTGATGGGAAAAAAGCTTAATACAGAAAATTGGCACAAAGGAGTGGAAAATTGTTATAAGAATACCTGAAAATGTGGAATCAGCTTTGTAGTTGGGTAAACAGGCAGAGGTTGGAAGAGTTTGTAGGACTCAGAAGAAGACAGAAAAATGAGGGAAAGTTGAGATTTTCTTAACTTTGAATGGCTGTGACCAAAATGCTGATAGTGACCTGGACAGTGAAGGCTGAGCTGAGGAGGTCTCAGATGAAAATTAGAAAATTAGGACCGAAGCAAAGGTCATTCATGTTGTCTTAGCAAAGTGGTTGGCTGAATTTTTGTCATGCCCTAGGGATATATAAAAGTTTAAATTTGAAAGCGATGATTTAGGGCTTCTGTTGGAAAAATGTCTAAGCACCAAAGCGTTCAAGATGTGGCCTGGCTGCTTCTAACAACCTATGCTCACACGTTGGAGCAAAAAAAAGTAACTTGTAATTTATTTTTACTTGCAAGGGAAGCATAGCGTAAAAGCTTAAAAACTTTGCAGCCTAGTCATGTGGCAGAAAAATAAAAAGCTTTTACAAGAGAGGAACTCGAGCAGGCTGTGGAGCAATCACTTGTTAGAGATATTTGTATAACTTAAAAAAAAAAGCAAGTGTTGATAGCCAAGACAATGAGAAAGAGGAATTGAAGGCATTTTAGAAATCTAAAAGGCAGCCCCCCATCACAAACCCTGAGGCCTAAAAGAAGAGAATAGTTTCTGGGATCAGGCCCAGGAACTGCTGCCTTGGGTAGCCTTAGAACATGGCTCCCTGCATCCTGGCCACTGCTCCAGCTCCAGGTGTAGCACAAATTGGCCCAGTTACAACTCCAGTCACTGCTTCAGAGGGTGCAAGCCATAAGCCTTGGTAGCTTTCATATGGTGTTAGGCCTGTGAGTGTACAAAAATGCAAGAGTTGAGACTTGGGAGTCTCCACCTTTACTTCAAATAATGTATAAAAAAGCCAGGGTGTGCAGGCAGAAGCATGCTGCAGGGGTGGAGCCCTTATGAAGAACCTCTACTAAAACAATGCAGAGAAGAAATGTAGGGTTACAGTCCCCATGTGGGCTGCCTACTGGGGCATGGCCTAGTAGACCTGTGAGGAGAGGATCACTGTCCTCCAGACCCTGGAATGGTAGATCTAGCTACAGCTTGCACTTTGCACCTGGAAAAGCCAGAAGCACACAAAACCAGCCAGAGGCACACAATACCAGCCCATGAGAGCAGCTGTGGGGGCTGAACCATGAAAAGCCACAAGGTCTAAACGTCCCAAGGCATTACTGTGCCCTGGAAATGGGACATAGAGTCAAAAATAATTATTTTAGAGCCTTAAAATTCAATAACTCCCCTTCTGGGTTTCAGACTTGCATGGGTCCTGTGGCCTCTTTCTTTTGGCTGATTTCTTCCTTTTAGAATAGGAGTATTTACCCAATGCCTATGCCCCATTTTTATCTTGGAAGTACTTAATTTGTTTTTTATTTTACAGGCTTATAGGAGGAATAAACTAGCTTTGTCTTAGATGAGACTTTTGACTTTTGAGTTAAGGCTGAAATGAGTTAAGACTTTGGGGATTATTGGGATGTCATGATTGTATTTTGAAATATGAGAAGGATATGAGATTTGGAATGGCCAGGGGCAAAATGATATAGTTTAGGTGTGTGTTCCCACCAAAATCTTACATTGAAATGTAATCCTCAATGTTGGAAGTGGGCCTAGTGGGGAGGTGATTGAATCATGAGGGCAGGATTTCATGAACAGTTTGGCATCATTTCCTTTGGTGCCATTCTCACAATAGTAAGTTTTCATGAGAGCTGGTTATCTACAAGTGCGTAGCATTTCCCCCCTGCCCTTGCACTTACCATGTGATGTGCAAGCACCGGATTTATTTTTCACCTTGATTGTCAGTTGTCAGAGGCTTCACCAGAAGCAGAAGCCAGTGCTATGCTTTCTGTACAGCCTGTAGAACCATGAGCCAATGAAACCTATTTCCTTTATAAATTAACTAGTCACCGATTATTTTTACAGCAATGTGAGAATGGCCTAATATATCCATCAAAAAACTATTAGAAGTAATAACTTGAGTAAATTTGCATAATACAAAATCAACATGTACAAATCAGTAGGATTTCTATATGCCAACAGTCAACAAACTGGAAAAGAATTCAAAAAAGTAATCCTATTTGCAATAGCCACAAATAAAACAAAATGTGTGGGAATTTACCAAAGAAATAAAAGTTCTCAACAATTAAAAATGTAAAACACTGATAAAAGAAAGAGAAGACAAAAAAATGGAAAGTTATATCTATGTTCACAGATTGGAAGAATCAGTATTTTTAAAAATGTCCATGCGATCCAAAGCAGTCTATACTTTTCATGCCATCTCTGTCAAAATAACAATGACATTCCTCATAGAAATAGAAAAAAAATCTGAAATATATATGGAACCACAAAACACTATAATAGTCAAAGCTATTCTGAGTATATAAACCAAAACTGGAGGAATCCCATTACCTGGTTTTAAATTATACTATCAAGTTATAGTAATTAAAACAGCATGACACTAGAATACAAAGACAAAGACAAATGGAATGAAATAGAGAACTTAGAAACAAACTCATACAGCTAAACTAAACTTATTTTGAACAAAAGTGTTGATAACATACAAGAAAAAATAAGACAGTTTCTGTAATAAATAGGGCTGGGAAAACTGGCAAGCCATAGGCAGAAGAGTGAAACTAGAACCCTATTTCTTGCCACATACAAAAATCAAATTAAAATAAATTAAAAACTTAAACCTAACACCTCAAACTATCAAAATTTTACAAGAAAACACTGGGGAAACCCTTTAGGGCATGGTTTGAGCAAAAATTTCTTAAATAATGCCCCATAAGCACAGACAACCAAAGCAAACATGAACAAATGGAATTACAGCAAGTCAGAAAGCTTTTTTAAAGTGAAGGAAACAAAGTGAAGAGAAAACCCACAGAATGGGAGAAAATATTTGTGAATTACCCATCTGAAAAGCAATTAATAGCGATGTGATATGGTTAGGCTTTGTGTCCCCACCCAAATCTCATATTGAATTGTAATCCCCAGGTGTTGAGGGAGAGACCTGGTAGAAGATGATTGGATCATGGGGTTGGTTTCCTCCAGGTTGTTCTTCTGACAATGAGTGAGTTCTCATGAGATCTGATGTTTTTATAAGGGGCTCTTCCCCCTTTGCTTCACATATATGCTCTCTCACCTGCTGTCATGGAAGAGGTGCCTGCTTCCTCGTCTGCCATGACTGTAAGTTTCCTGAGGCCTCCCCAGCCACGTGGAACTGTGACTCAGTTAAACCTGTTTCCTTTATAAATTACCCAGTCTCGCCAGGCGCAGTGGCTTATGCTTGTAATCCCAGCACTTTGGGAGGCAGCGGTGGGTGGATCATGAGGTCAGGAGTTCAAGACCAGCCTGGCCAAGATGGTGAAACCCCATCTCTACTAAAAATACAAAACTTAGCTGGGCATCGTGTCAGGTGCCTGTAATCCCAGCTACTCAAGAGGCTGAGGCAGAGAATTGCTTGAACCCAGGAGGTGGAGGTTACAGTGAACTGAGATCATACCAATGCACTCCAGCCTGGGTGACAGAGCAAGACTTCATCTCAATACATAAATAGATAAATAAATAACCCAGTCTCAGTTTTTTTATAGCAGTGCAGAAACAGACTAATACACTACAATATATTGAGTTCAAAACATTCTATAGAAAAAAATATAATAAAGAGTAGACAAAAATTTAAATGGACATTTATGAAAAGAAGACATACAAATGGCAAACAGGCAAATGAAAAGGTGCTCCATATTACTGATCATCATAGAAATGCAAATCAAACCCAAAATGAGATATCATTTCACCTCAGTTAAGGTGGCTTTTATCCAGAAGTCAGTCAAAAACAAATGTTGCTAATAGCCAAGATTTGGAAGAAACCTAAATGTCCATCAACAGATGACTGGATAGAGAAAATGTGGTACATATACACAATGGAGTACTATTCAGCTATAAGAAAGAATGAGAGTCTGTCATTTGCAGTAACAGAAATGGAACTGAAAGTTTTTATGTTAAGTGAAATAAGTCAGGCACAGAAAGACAAATGTCACATGTTCTCACTCGTTTGTGGGCGCTAAAATTCAAAACAATTGATGTCATAGAGATAGAGAGTATAAGGTTGGTTACCAGAGGCTGGGAAGGGCAGTGGGGGAACGGGGTTAGTGGGGATGCGAAATGGGTACAAAAAATTGTTAGAAAGAATGAATAAGACAGTATTTGGTAGCACAACAGGGTGATTATGGTAAAAAAATAATTTATACATTTTATAAAAACTAAAATAGTATAATTGGATTGTTTATAAAACAAGCTATAAATGCTTGAGGGGATGGATACCCTGTTTTTTATTGTGTATTACTGATTGCATGCCTGTATCAAAGTATGTCATGTACCCCCATAAATATATACACCAACTATGTACCCACAAAAATTAATTAAAAATTACAATTAAAACCAAAAGGAGAGTCTAATGAGGCAGGTGTGACCCATGGCTTGAAGTAGCTTTTCAGGTTAACTTTGGAATGTCCTTATCCAAGAAGAGGGGTCCATTTAGTCAATAGGGGCTTAGAAATTAATTTTTAGTTTATAAGTGGAAAAAAGAAGAATTTTTAATCCTGAGCCATAGCTCTCAGTCAGTCAGTCCCTGCAGGGAACCCTGTTCTTTACTCTGGAGATAAACACTGTTTTTCTTTTCCACTGAATAACACCACATTTCAAAATGAGGGGAAACATCTTGAAACTAAGAGGTATGGCCTTATTAAATTTGATTTGCTTTCCATTGTAATTAATTTAATCACATGTGTTCTAGAGTTTGTCCTCAGTCTTCTCCTACTTTAGGCTCATGATCTGTTGAATTTGCTCGGCTCGCTGCTCAACAGCAGGAAATCAGAATTATTTAAAAACCTCATTGTGGCTGGGAGCAGTGGCTCATGCCTGTAATCCCAGCAATTTGGGAGGCCAAGGTGGGCAGATCACTTGTTGTCAGGGGTTTGAGACCAGCCTGGCCAACAGAGTGAAACCCCATTTCTACTAAAGATACAAAAATTATCTGAGTGTGGTGATTCATATCTGTAATCCCAGCTATTTGGGAGGCTGAGGCAGGAGAATCACTTGAACCCGGGAGGCAGACGTTTCAGTGAGGCAAGATGGTGCACTGCACTCCAGCCTGGGCAACAGACCAAGACTCTGTCTCAAAATGATAATAATAAATAAAAATAAAAATCTCGTGTTTCAAACAAAATTTCTTTTGCATATCAACTGTGTCAACTTGCATATTAACTATAATCATTTTGTTTACTTTATATCCAATCTTGAGAAATCTTTGAGGACTAATTTCACTCTTTTCTGCCATTTTGGTAAACATACCAAATGCCGTCAAACAAAATGCACAAAATTCCTGAGAAATACATTTTCTCCTTGAGGAGTATACTTGTTGTGTTAGAGGAACTCATGGTTATCAAGCTTCTAGTTTAATAAACATGACGAGAATTCTCTATCTTAATATGAGTAGCTAGGTACTCACAAGGCATCTAGAAGGTTAATACCTATAGTCTGGAAATAGCCACATTTTTTTACTGGCCACAAATTACAATTGCAGAATATTTATGGCCATACAAGACACTTCCACCAAGCCTGAAAAATGTATAAATGTCCTAGGAGTGCAGCATTTTTTCTTAAAAGATAATATTAATGAGCTAGCTTAGGTCAACGGGTTAATGGTCATTGTTAAAACGAATAGCCCCGACTTTAATGAGTACATCTGCACCTTCCAAGTTTAATTATAACTCTTTCTCTTTATAGTTAGAGTACAGACACTAACAAAAGACAATGCATTCCTGCTCTTGTTTTCTGAGGATGTCCAACTCTGTAATGGAGTCATTTCTAATAAACTTGCTTCTTTCACTTTGCCCTCTGACTCACCTCAAATTTTTTCCTGCACAAGATCTAAGAATCCTACTTTGTGGTCTGTGTCAGGACCCTCTTTTCCAGCAACATCTTTCAGCAACACCATGAAGGGACACCAAGACAAGACCCCCACTCCAAGGAAAACAATCCACATAGAATCAATCAGCTGGCAAGTGGGCTGTTAGAGTTGCGAAACCATTCAGGTTGGCAAGAATGATTACCCACTATTACTTAAGTGAGAGGCCCTAGGGTATAATATTAGGGTGAGAGACTCAGCCCAAAGTTAGAGACCTGGGGGTGTCATACTCAGATTAGAGGCCCTGGGGAATATTGAGAAGAATGGATTTGGCTAAACAAGATGTTTGCCACTTTCTCTTTTTGGACTGTCCACCTTGTGCTCTGTGTCCCTCACCTGAGTGCTGTGCATATTGTCGCCTTTCTGCCCACCGCCTCCGTTTTGCAGTAGCCTGGAGGCTGCTCCAGGAAAGAGGCCCCAAACCGTTTAGCTTTTACTTTCCTTAGCGATCCTCTGACTTTTAGCCTTGATGTCTTAGAGCTATTGCTGCTACCACTTTTCTAGTTGGCAAAGCTAATAAACTAACATTAGAACAGCACCTACAGGTTTTTGACCCCACACCAAGGGAAGGTGGTCCTAGAAGCTAAAGGGCAGCAGTGGATAATAGGAGAATATTTATGAAAGTGTGAGGCCTTATTGCTAGACCGACCCTCCAGACATAACCCTTAAAGCCTGCCAAACCATCAACCCAGCTACTTATCTGTCAGAGTCCACAGGTGCTCCCAGCCTTTCTGGCATACAGGCTGTATTAGTCTGTTCTCACGCTGCTAATAAAGACATATCTGAGGCTGGGTAATTTATAAAAAAAGAGGTTTAATTGACTCACAGTTCCACATGGTCGGAGAGGCCTCACACTCATGGCAGAAGGCAGGTGAGGAACAAAGTCACATCTCTTACGTGGCAGCAGGCAAAAGAGCTTGTGTAGGGAAACTCCCCTTTATAAAACCATCAGCTGTAATCCCAGCACTTTGGGAGGCCAAGGCAGTGGATGACCTGAGGTGAGGAGATTGAGGCCAGCCTGGCCGACATGGTGAAACCTCGTCTATACTAAAAGTACAAAAATTAGACAGTCATGGTGGTGGGCGCCTGTAATCCCAGCTACTCGGGAGGCTGAGACAGGAGAATCGCTTGAACCCGGGAATCAGAGGTTGCAGTGAGCCAAGATCATGATAATGCACTCCAGCCTGAGCAACAGAGCAAGACTCTGTCTCAAAAATAAATAAATAAATAAACCATCAGATCTCATGAGGCTTATTCACTGTCACGAGAACAGCATGGGAAAGACCCATCCCCCGATTCAATTACCTCCCA
Organism: Homo sapiens; assembly: GCF_000001405.40. NCBI lineage: Eukaryota > Metazoa > Chordata > Mammalia > Primates > Hominidae > Homo > Homo sapiens. Next base: position 138,173,235 of record NC_000009.12, read on the forward strand.
CTGGGCCCCTCCCACGATATATAGGAATTATGGGAGCTATAATTCAAGATAAGATTTGACTGGGGACACAGCCAAAGCATGTCACAGGTTATGAAACAAATTGATTCTAGCAGGCCAGACTTAAGAGAGATGAGCCCCTTGACCATCCCAAGGCAGAGTGGTTAACAGATGCAAGTTGTTTTATGCATCAGGAAAACAGGAGGGCTAGATATGCTATTATTAGCACAAGAGAATCAAGGCACAAGCCTTGCTGGCCTCGACCTCAGCTCAAAAAGCTGAGTTAATTGAACTTACTAGGTCCCTGCAGTTGGAAAGGATTTAAAAGTTAACATTTACACTGATTCCAAGTATGATTTTTTAGTGCTTCATGCTTATGCTGCAATTTGGAATGGGTGGGGACTCCTGACCCCCAAGGGCTTTTCCATACAACATCATTCAGATTTTGAGCTTGTTAGAGTGCTGCTTTGCTGCCAAAAAGTGACTATAATTAATTGCAGAGGACATCAAAAGAGAGACTGACCATGTAAAAGGAAATGCCCTTGTAGATGCCACAGCCAAGGCCCCTGCACTGAAAGGGCCAATGAAGCTTGTGGGCGTGCTGGTCAGCATACATAGAACTGGGCCGGAATACCCTGAAGAAGAACGAAAATGGGCCAGGGATTGCATTTCAGTCCAGGGCCCCTCGGGCTGAATGATGGTAATAAATTACTAACGCCAAGTACCAATCACAGGAGTATAACTCAGCACTTTCATGATTCTTTTCACCCTAGAAGGGATTCTTTGTTTCTGTTAATGTCTCATTTGTTTATAGGGGTAAATCTTTTCAAGACACTAAAACAGGTGACTCAGCCCTGTGAGCTCTGTGCCTGACATGACCCAAACGGCCAGCAATTTTCTCCTTCTCCAGTTAAACCTGTCCAACATTGAGGAACCAATCTACATGAGAACTGGCAACTCTAATTTACCCCGAAGCCTTTCTGCAGGAGATTCAAATATTTGCTAATGCTTACTGATACCTTCACTGGTTAGATTGAGGCATTCCCCACCCCATCTGAAAAATGTTTACCAGAAGAAATAACTCCTCAGTTTGGGTAATCTAAAAGCCTGCAAAGTGACAATGGCCCATCTTTCACAGCAGGCGTAACCCAACACCTATCTCAGCTTTAAGAATCCAATATTACCTTCACTCTGTGTGGAGACTGCAGTCCTCTGGAAAGGTGAAAGGGCTAATCCTACTCTACAGAAGACTCCAGCTAAATCAGACGCCTGACTATCTCCAACACCCATAGCTTACTGCGGGTTTGAACTGCTCCAAAGTAAAACGTATAATTAAGTCCTGTTGAGTTAACATGTGGAAGGCCTTTCCTAACGACAGATCTCCTAATAGATGAAAAGACTCATCAATTACAAAAATATGTCATCAATCTGGGACAGGTGCAAAGGCACTCCGTGCATATGGAAACAAGAGTCTTCCCCTCCCACATGGGAGGAAAATTCAGTTTCAGCTCAGCTAGGGATTTAGTCTTACTAAAGACGTGGGAGGAAGTTCTCCAGCTGAGCAGCTTTCCCCAACGTGGAAGGGACCACGCAAGGACACCTGAGTTCTCCAACAGACGTTCAACGCCAAGGGATTCACAGGTGGGTGCACCTGTGTGGAAGTAAAGCTGTTGCTTATTCTGGGAGCCCAATCGGAGGCTGAGGGAGGTGGGCGCGGGGCTGTTTAAGCGTTGGCGGAGGCCGGGCTGGGTCGCTGCGCGTCTGCTCCTCCTTCTCGCGCTTCTCCTGCCGCCCTAATCCTGCCTTGGCCACGAGGGAGCTTGTGCTCTCACGCAGATCGGGCAGTGCGGGAACCAGATCGGGGCCAAGGTTGGCAGCCAGGGCTCTGAGGGCCCAGCCCGGGCCTGCCGGGTGGCCGGGGAAGATGTTAGCAGTGGCGGGGCGGTGCCCCTGCATTGCGGCCCCTGGGCTCCCTGCCGGGGACGGTGGAACTGGGTGGCTGGCGAGGCGGCCGGGGTGGACCCCAGGGACAGGGCGGCCTAGGGATGGGGGTGCGGGTGGGGGTGGGAGAGTGGCTGGGGTGCCTCCGTGACTCAGCCCCGGCCTGTCTGGCCCCTCCCGTCTCTTGCAGTTCTGGGAGGTGATCTCTGATGAACATGCTATCGACTCCGCTGGCACCTACCACGGGGACAGCCACCTGCAGCTGGAGCGCATCAACGTGCACCACCACGAGGCCAGCGGTGCGACCCCCGTCCTTCCCCCACCCAATGTGCACCACCACGAGGCCAGCGGTGCGACCCCCGTCCTTCCCCCACCGCCCTCCTGGGAACGCGGCCCTCCCCTCGCTCATGCCCTCCCGCCCCACGCAGGTGGCAGGTACGTGCCCCGCGCTGTGCTCGTGGATCTGGAGCCGGGCACCATGGACTCTGTGCGCTCGGGGCCCTTCGGGCAGGTCCTCAGGCCAGACAACTTCATCTTCGGTGAGCTGCGGGCGAGGACTGGGGTGCGGCTCCTTAGCCAGGGCAGCTCAAAATCCAGGAACGCTCCAAGGTCATCCTGTGGGAACTGTGGCGCCAGGGCCCCTGAACACCCTCCTATCTGCCGAGTCGAGTCGCTCAATCTGCCTCTCTTAAACGGGCTTCGGGAGGAAGTCCCGGGTGTCTCCTCAAGGTGAGGAGCTACTGATGTCCCTGCCGGGAGCTGAGCTGGGGCCGTGGCTACTGCCTTTCCTGAGAATGGGCAGGAGCCACCTGCGGCGAGGTCTGTGAGCCCGTCTCAGGTTTGACTCCTGACTTAATTCCTAACAGGGGAAGCTGCTGTCCTGTTACTCTGGGGGAGCGGGTTTCATTTGCTCCACCTGCAGGGCGAACGGTGCTCTCACCTCACGTGTGACACTTGGCTCTTTCTGCATTATGGTGGTGACCACTGATGACCGTATACCTGGCCATCGAGTGACCGGCTGTGCTGTCTTACAGGTCAGTGTGGGGCCGGAAACAACTGGGCCAAGGGACGCTACACCGAAGGCGCGGAGCTGACGGAGTCAGTGATGGACGTTGTCAGAAAGGAGGCTGAGAGCTGTGACTGCCTGCAGGGTTTCCAGCTGACCCACTCCCTGGGTGGGGGGACTGGGTCTGGGATGGTTACCCTCCTCATCAGCAAGATCCGGGAGGAGTACCCAGACAGGATCATAAACACATTCAGCATCCTGCCCTCGCCCAAGGTGTCAGACACCGTGGTGGAGCCCTACAACGCCACCCTCTCAGTCCACCAGCTCATAGAAAACGCAGATGAGACCTTCTGCATAGATAACGAAGCGCTATATGACATATGTTCCAAGACCCTAAAACTGCCCACACCCACCTATGGTGACCTGAACCACCTGGTGTCTGCTACCATGAGTGGGGTCACCACGTGCCTGCGCTTCCCAGGCCAGCTGAATGCTGACCTGCGGAAGCTGGCCGTGAACATGGTCCCGTTTCCCCGGCTGCATTTCTTCATGCCTGGCTTTGCCCCACTGACCAGCCGGGGCAGCCAGCAGTACCGGGCCTTGACTGTGGCTGAGCTCACCCAGCAGATGTTTGATGCTAAGAACATGAGGGCTGCCCGTGACCCCCGTCACGGCCGCTACCTAACGGCGGCTGCCATTTTCCAGGGTCGCATGCCCATGAGGGAGGTGGATGAACAGATGTTCAACATTCAAGATAAGAACAGCAGCTACTTTGCTGACTGGTTCCCCGACAACGTAAAAACAGCCATCTGTGACATCCCACCCCGGGGGCTAAAAATGTCAGCCAGCTTCATTGGGAATAATGCGGCCATCCAGGAACTCTTCACGTGTGTCTCAGAGCAGTTTACAGCAATGTTCAGGCGCAAGGCCTTCCTCCACTGGTACACGGGCGAGGGCATGGATGAGATGGAATTCACCGAGGCCGAGAGCAACATGAATGACCTGGTGTCTGAATATCAGCAATATCAGGATGCCACGGCCAAGGAGGAGGAGGATGAGGAGTATGCTGAGGAGGAGGTGGCCTAGAACTCTCCTTTTCTAGGTAAAGCGGGGGAGGCAGTGTGTATTCTTCACTGTGTTGTGACAGCTATGTGTCACTACGCACTTGTTCATTTGTGTCTTCACATCTCCTGCTGCTGCATTTTAAAGCACTTTTATAGTGTGCAGTTTTGACTAATAAAGTATTCTCACAGCATCTGGTTTCACCTCCATCTTCTTTCCATGGGCCCTCCGGCTACTGCTGCCAGATGCACACAGTTGTCCTGCAAGGCAGAAGCTGTCTGGGTTCATCACATGCCCAGGAACAAGCATTCCAGTGGCTCCAGGAGGGCTCAGCATGGGCTGTGGACATGGCAGGCAGGCTTCACGTGAACTTGGGGATGCCCTGGGCCTTGGGCAGCGACGTGGTGGAAAACCTGTTCCTGAAGGCAAGCCTTGGCTTATCCCATGTACCAAACTTCTAGGGGACCAGCTGGCCATGTTTCTGGAACGTTAAAAGGGGTCAGCGACCCTGGTGGACAATGTCTCCAAAGTCCCATCTTGGAGTAGGAATGTGGTCAGACAGCTGGCTCTGAACCAGCAATGAAGGGTGGGCAAGTGGGACCCCAGGCACTCCATCACCATGACGGTCTGGGTGTGTTTGTGTGGCCTCATTCTCTTCACGAGGTGGGCATGGGGTATCTGGCAGGGACTAGGCAGGAATCGAGCCCAGTGTCTGCTAACATGCACTGAACCCCAAGTAGAAGGGGATTAGGTCCTGGGGGCCGTAGATGGTGGTTGCTGGACCTGTGACATGCACTGAACCCTATGTAGAAGGGGATTAGGTCCTGGGGGCCGTAGATGGTGGTTACTGGGCCTGTGTGCGCAGGGCAGTCCCTCCAAAGGCACAGATGGGGTTTCTGAACAGGACCTGGGGAGACAGGCAGGTGCTCACAAATGCTGCTTCCCCCAGCTGGCGGCAACCAGTGAGAAAAACGCCTGAGTGGAGGTCTGACCTGCCCCAGTCTGGAGGGCTGATGCTCTCTGGAAAGGTGGCTAATGAGTACTGTCTGCTGTCTCCCTGTCTCCCACTCCAAAACCTCAGGGCAAAAATAATCCAAGATTGCCAGGATGAGCCTGGTGAGGGTGGCACCTTTGGGTACAGGCCCTTCAGCCTGGGAGGGTCTCCTCCCCAGGCTTCTCGGGGAGCCTGGACTGTAAAGCCTGCTTTGGGGAAGCTGTCAAATTAGAGATGTGTGTGTGAGCTGGGTGCTGGGCAACACGCATGGACAGTGCTCTTCTCCCTGGCTCTTGTAGAACTTGTCCATGGCCCCTGTGAAGGTCTCTTGGTAATTCCCACCCTACCCCCATCACACAGATAACATGAAGCCAGCATAGCCCGGGGGTGGGGAGATGTATGGGTTCTACTCCAGGTCCCCTGGGAATGCCCACCTGCCTCTGACGTGTCAGGGAAAACAGGTGAGGCCCCTTCTTGTTCTCTGAATGTTGTCAATGGTCTATTGCAGCCAAATGGGAACAGGCAGGCAGGAGAGTGTCTCATCTCAAAAGAAGTGGCTCCTGGAAGCAGCTGGGAGGTGGGAGAGGTTCCCCATACTCCCCCATACTCCCCCATACTCCCCCATACTCCCCCACACTCGCCCACACTCGCCCACACTCGCCCACACTCGCCCACACTCCCCCAACCTCCCCCATACTCCCCCACACTCCCCCAGCCTGTTCTAGGAGCAGGAAAAGGGGCCTCTGTGACAGCCCTCCTCAGTGGCTCTCACTCTCTAAGGGGTGTCCTTGCCCAACCCAGGTGCACACCCATCTGAGATGGTCTTGCATGGACCTGGTTAGGAAGGTTCAGCTGCAGCAACCACTGGAACCTGCCCACACCTGGTGTCTCCACTCACGCGTGGGGCTAGATGTTCCTCCCTCCTGTAGTGGCACAGCCAGACAGGCAGAGGGGGCAAGCACCGCTGCAGTTCCCACCTGGGTCTGAGGGGGGGTCAGGCTTGGTGACCATGTGTTTCCCAATTACCTGGTTCCATATGGGGGCTTCATGGACAGGAGTGGTGCTTTTCCAGGCCTTTTTTCCACATGCCAGCTACAGGCCCAGGTTTCCCGAGTTTCTGGAGCCCCTCTTCCAGCCTGGCAAGCAAGGTGTGTTGTAGGGGAAGGACATCAAGCCTACAGGCAGCAGAGTATGTTCTCTACCTCTGGAGGCCCCTGGTTGTTTACCTCTTTGGGTGAGAGTCAGCTTAGGATCTCAACATTCTTGCAGGACTTCAGAACTGTACAGACAGGGGCCCAGGAGGGAACAGGGGCTGGGACTGGCAGCTAACCAGAGTGGTGGGGGTTGTAGGGCTCAGTTTGGTCTTGCAGGGAATTCAGGGAGGCTTGGATTTGCTGAAGCTCTAGAAGAGCTTGGGCTTGGATATGGAAACAGCATAGAGCAGGGGCCCTTCTGCATGCTTGACTCTGAGTAGTTGCACCCTGGTGCATCCATAGGTGTTCCCCACCTGGAGCACAGCTGTGGATAGAAGCAGGGAGAGCTGTGGAGGGAAGAGGAGGAGAAGGGAGTCTCAGGGCAGCCCCAGCATCCAGGCAGGGCCTCTGCAAGTGAGATGCAGATCCAGCCTGTTGGCCACTTAGCAGCTGCTCGGTCGGCTGCAGATCACCTGACCTCTGTTCACCAGTAAATGGGGGTTGCAGTAGCACTTACCTTCTGGGACTCCTGCAGCTTGAAGGGGCAGCACACACCACGTGCTGAGAAAACACCTAACTCAGGTAAGCTTCTCCAAGAGCACCACATCAGATTAACACCCAACCTGTACAGGACACCATCAAATCTCCCCACCCTTCATTCCAACGGAAGAAAAGGGAGTCTCTGTCCTAGGGGAGCAAGCACAGGCCTATCTATGCAGTGGGCACATGGCCCAGGTGGGGAAAAGGCCCTTGGATATGTGCTGGTTTCACCAACCATCTGTGGGTTGGGTTTGGCCTGGACACCTGTACCCCAGGAGGCCGGCAGCCCCCTGCATGGGAGAGGACTGGGAGGTGGGTGGGAGGGCTGAGCTTTGAGGGAAGCCATTATTTGGCCTCATGGGAAGTGGTGCAGGTGGTTGTTGGTGGCTCAGTTTTTCAGGACCTCGGTCATCAGCCAAGGAGTGAAAATTGCCTTTTTATGAGAAATTGCTAAAATTGATGCAAGCTCATAGTTGAAAAGGTGAGTAATGCTGACAGTTGGCTTCACCTGCCCCTTCCCCACAAGTAACTGGTGTTCAGAGGTGGATTTGGTTCCTTCCCAGCCTTTCCCGTTTGCATGTAGCTGTGTGCATGTACTTTTGTGTGTGTACACACACATGTTCCCTGGAGGGGTTACTTTTGTTTTTTTTGGGGGGGGGATAACTAGTGAGGCAGCCTGACACTTGCTGATCTTGTCTTTTAATTGTGGAGTCCTCTATGGAGTGGGCATCGGGTACTTCCTAGCTGGCCTCTGCCAGCTGTTTGGCTGCCCCGGTTTCTGCCCTTCACAGACATGCTGGCCACCTGGTGTGACATTCAGTGGCCTTGTTTGCAGCTAGTGTGATGAGACAAGTGGATCAGGTACATTATAAACTGAAAAAGCACACAACATGCAGAGGGAAAGGATAAATGACCATGTGTGTACTGCTCGGCTGAAGTCCACATCACATGACTGAGATGACATTTTTTCACCTAACATTTGGGCCCTGAGAAAAGGCATTTATGTTTTACTTTTTATTTATAACAGAGTTAGGAGAAATACTACCAGGCTTTCTTTTCCATTTTCCCCAACTCCCACTTTACCCCCTCAAGTTTACCTACCTCAGAGAGAAAGCGGAGCTCGCCTGATTAACGAGAGCCTGAAATTATTTGAGCCAGGTCACTGTGTAAAGGTCAGACTGCTTCCATCTCCTTGTGCATCACTTGCGCAGCTCGGATATTTCATGGCTCCCTGTATACAGGTAGCTGTGTTACCCTCCTAGCCGCTTTCTTGGTTTGATACATGCCTGGGAGCATGTGGGAGCAGTTAAGGTCTAGGCTCATGGGAGGACAGTTCTGCCCACCCCAGCTCATCTCTCCAGCTCAGCCTGCATGCGTGCCTTCCTCCAACTGATTCCAGAGTAGGGGATGGGAGGTCTCACACTGACCTCAAGTTTATGTGACTTTTTCCACCTCTGCTTTCCCAGACAGCCCTTGCTGTGGGACTTGTAAGGAGATTTGTGAAGTCAGTATCTACTTTTCTTGTGTGGGTGTTTATAAATTATTCCCCTGGAGGGGAATAAATGTTAGAGGTACTCCAAACCCCTAACATATAAACATCTAAGCCTGGCCCTTTTTTGGTGGTAAAATATATGCAACATAAAACTTACCATTTTAACCATGTTTAAACATACAGTTGAGTGGCATCCACTATAATGTGTTGTACAACCATCTCCTTTATCCATATCTACAACTTCTTTTTCATCCTAAACTGAAACACCAAACCCATAAATAAGTCTTCGAATAGAAGACTGATGCATTTGACTCTATAAAAATTAAAACTTTATAGGCGAGAAAAATGCCTCAAAGTCAAAAGTCAACAGACTGGGGAAACAGATCTGCAACATACATGACAGACAAAAAGCTAATTTGGGTAATATATGTGTATATATATAGCTATATAGCTATCCTAAATTATTAAAAGACCAACAGCCAAATTGAAAAATGGACAAGGGATGTAAAGAAACAGTTCAAGGAAACAAGTAGATTTTTAAATATTTGCTAATTTTTTTACTGTGGTAAAATATGTATAACAGAAAATTTAAGTACATTAAGTATAAATACATTGTTGTGCAACTATCACCACTATCCATTCCAAACCTGTGTTATCATCCCAAAGTGAAACTCTGTATCCACGGAACAATAGCTCCCCTCTCCCTTCCCCCCATCCCCTGGAAACCACATCCTACTTTCTGTGTCTATGAATTTAGCTGCTCTAGGTACACTATAAAAGTGGAAAGCATGGAGTATGCATTTTTTTTGTTTTAATGTTTTCAAGGTTTATGTTGTAGCATGTATTAGAATTTCTTTTCTTTTTAAGGCTGAATAATATATCATTGTGTGTATTGATCATATTTGCTTATCCATTCATCTGTAGATGGACATTTGGGCTTTTTCTACCCTCTGGCTCTTGTGAATGCTGCTATAAACAGGGATGTGCGAATTCCCACTTTCAGTTTTTTGGGATATATACCCAGATGTGGAATTACTAGATCATATGGTGATTACAGTTTTCCACAGTGGCTGTGCCATCTTACTTTCCCACCAGCAGTGTGCAGGAGTCCTGACTTCTCCACATCAGCATTTGCTGTTCTCTGAGGCTTTGTTGTTTTGCTTTGCTGGTGGTGGTGCTTTTGATGGCAGCTATGCTTACATGTGTTAGTTGGTATTGCATTGTGGTTTGGATTTACATTTTTCTCACGATTAGTGATGCTGAGCACCTTATCCTGTGCTTGCTGGTCATTTGCATATCTTCGTTAGAGAAATGTGTATTCTAAAACCTTTGCTCATGTTTAAATTTGATTGTTTTGTTGTTGTTGTTGCTGAGGTCTTTATATAGCCTGGATATTAATTACTTATCAAATACATAATGTGTGAATATTTACTTTCCCTCTGTGAATTGTATTTTCAATCTATTGATCATATCTTCAGATACATAACAGCTTGTCACTTTGATGAAGTTCTTTTTATGTATTTTTGTTGTTGTTGTTGTCTGTGCTTTCACTGTCATATCCAAGAAATTATTGCCAGATTCTATGTTAAGAAACATTTTTCCTATGTTTCTTCTAAGGGTTTTATAGTTTTAGCTCTTACAATTAGATGTTTAGTCCATTTTAAATTAAGTTTTTTATATGGTGTAAAGTAAGGGTCCAACTGTATTGTTTTCCATGTAAATATTCATTCTTAACACCATTTAAAAATATACTGTCCTTTCCCCATAGTTTTGACTCCCTTGTTAAAAATCATGACTGTGTTTTTTGGTTCTTTATTTCTATTGCATTGGTCTTTATGTCTGTCTCTATGGTGGTACAGCATTGTTTTGGGTACTGAAGCATTGCAGTAAGTTTGAAACCAGGAGGTGTTAGTCCTCTAACTTTGTTAGTTTTTAAGATTGATTTGGCTACTTGGGGTTTTTTGAAATTTCATCTGAATTTCAGAATAGGTTTTTCTATTTTTGCAAATATTGGAATTTTTATAGTGATTTTATTGAATCTGTAGATGACTATTGATAACAATGGCATCTTGATGAGGTTTTGTCTTCCAGTCCATAAACACATGATGTCTTTTCATTTATTTGTGTCATCTTTAATGCTTTCCTGCAATGTTTATAGTTCTGCTGTACAGGTTTTTCATTTCCTTGGTTAAGTTGGCTTCTAAGTATTTTATTCTTTTGATGCTGTCATAAATGATACTGTTGTCTTGATTTCTTCTTCAGATAGTTTGTTATTGTAGAAATACAACCGATTTTTGTGTCTTGATTTTGTATCCTGCAGTTTTGCTGAATGTTATTTATTGCATCTGATAGTTTATCTCACAGAAACTAAAAGATTTTTAATATATAAAGTCATGTCATCTGCAAACAGAAAATTTTACTTTTTTAAAAATTGGAATATCTTTTTTTATTTATTTTTTTTTTTATTTATTTTTTTTTATTATACTCTAAGTTTTAGGGTACATGTGCACATTGTGCAGGTTAGTTACATATGTATACATGTGCCATGCTGGTGCGCTGCACCCACTAATGTGTCATCTAGCATTAGGTATATCTCCCAGTGCTATCCCTCCCCCCTCCCCCGACCCCACCGCAGTCCCCAGAGTGTGATATTCCCCTTCCTGTGTCCATGTGATGTCATTGTTCAATTCCCACCTATGAGTGAGAATATGCGGTGTTTGGTTTTTTGTTCTTGCGATAGTTTACTGAGAATGATGGTTTCCAATTTCATCCATGTCCCTACAAAGGATATGAACTCATCATTTTTTATGGCTGCATAGTATTCCATGGTGTATATGTGCCACATTTTCTTAATCCAGTCTATCATTGTTGGACATTTGGGTTGGTTCCAAGTCTTTGCTATTGTGAATAGTGCCGCAATAAACATACGTGTGCATGTGTCTTTATAGCAGCATGATTTATACTCATTTGGGTATATACCCAGTAATGGGATGGCTGGGTCAAATGGTATTTCTAGTTCTAGATCCCTGAGGAATCGCCACACTGACTTCCACAATGGTTGAACTAGTTTACAGTCCCACCAACAGTGTAAAAGTGTTCCTATTTCTCCGCATCCTCTCCAGCACCTGTTGTTTCCTGACTTTTTAATGATTGCCATTCTAACTGGTGTGAGATGATATCTCATAGTGGTTTTGATTTGCATTTCTCTGATGGCCAGTGATGATGAGCATTTCTTCATGTGTTTTTTGGCTGCATAAATGTCTTCTTTTGAGAAGTGTCTGTTCATGTCCTTCGCCCACTTTTTGATGGGGTTGTTTGTTTTTTTCTTGTAAATTTGTTTGAGTTCATTGTAGATTCTGGATATTAGCCCTTTGTCAGATGAGTAGGTTGCGAAAATTTTCTCCCATGTTGTAGGTTGCCTGTTCACTCTGATGGTAGTTTCTTTTGCTGTGCAGAAGCTCTTTAGTTTAATTAGATCCCATTTGTCAATTTTGTCTTTTGTTGCCATTGCTTCTGGTGTTTTGGACATGAAGTCCTTGCCCACGCCTATGTCCTGAATGGTAATGCCTAGGTTTTCTTCTAGGGTTTTTATGGTTTTAGGTTTAACGTTTAAATCTTTAATCCATCTTGAATTGATTTTTGTATAAGGTGTAAGGAAGGGATCCAGTTTCAGCTTTCTACATATGGCTAGCCAGTTTTCCCAGCACCATTTATTAAATAGGGAATCCTTTCCCCATTGCTTGTTTTTCTCAGGTTTGTCAAATATCAGATAGTTGTAGATATGCGGCATTATTTCTGAGGGCTCTGTTCTGTTCCATTGATCTATATCTCTGTTTTGGTACCAGTAGCATGCTTTTTTGGTTACTGTAGCCTTGTAGTATAGTTTGAAGTCAGGTAGTGTGATGCCTCCAGCTTTGTTCTTTTGTCTTAGGATTGACTTGGCAATGCGGGCTCTTTTTTGGTTCCACATGAACTTTAAAGTAGTTTTTTCCAATTCTGTGAAGAAAGTCATTGGTAGCTTGATGGGGATGGCATTGAATCTGTAAATTACCTTGGGCAGTATGGCCATTTTCACGATATTGATTCTTCCTACCCATAAGCATGGAATGTTCTTCCATTTGTTTGTGTCCTCTTTTATTTCCTTGAGCAGTGGTTTGTAGTTCTCCTTGAAGAGGTCCTTCACATCCCTTGTAAGTTGGATTCCTAGGTATTTTATTCTCTTTGAAGCAATTGTGAATGGGAGTTCACCCATGATTTGGCTCTCTGTTTGTCTGTTGTTGGTGTATAAGAATGCTTGTGATTTTTGTACATTGATTTTGTATCCTGAGACTTTGCTGAAGTTGCTTATCAGCTTAAGGAGATTTTGGGCTGAGACGATGGGGTTTTCTAGATAAACAATCATGTTGTCTGCAAACAGGGACAATTTGACTTCCTCTTTTCCTAATTGAATACCCTTTATTTCCTTCTCCTGCCTGATTGCCCTGGCCAGAACTTCCAACACTATGTTGAATAGGAGCGGTGAGAGAGGGCATCCCTGTCTTGTGCCAGTTTTCAAAGGGAATGCTTCCAGTTTTTGCCCATTCAGTATGATATTGGCTGTGGGTTTGTCATAGATAGCTCTTATTATTTTGAAATACGTCCCATCAATACCTAATTTATTGAGAGTTTTTAGCATGAAGGGTTGTTGAATTTTGTCAAAGGCTTTTTCTGCATCTATTGAGATAATCATGTGGTTTTTGTCTTTGGCTCTGTTTATATGCTGGATTACATTTATTGATTTGCGTATATTGAACCAGCCTTGCATCCCAGGGATGAAGCCCACTTGATCATGGTGGATAAGCTTTTTGATGTGCTGCTGGATTCGGTTTGCCAGTATTTTATTGAGGATTTTTGCATCAATGTTCATCAAGGATATTGGTCTAAAATTCTCTTTTTTGGTTGTGTCTCTGCCCGGCTTTGGTATCAGAATGATGCTGGCCTCATAAAATGAGTTAGGGAGGATTCATTATTTTACTTGCCTTATTGTTTTAACTAACTAGAACCTTCAGTACTATATTAAATAGAAGTAGTAAAAGCAGGCATCCTTGATTTTGCTCTTAGGGTAAAAGCTTTCAGTCTTTCATTATAATGTTAGCTGTGTGTTTTTTTAAATATAACCTTATGTTAAGGTGTTTTATTCCTTTTTATAGCTTATTAAGTATATTTTATCATGAACGTGGGTTAAATTTTGACAAATGCTTTTTCTTTGATTAAGGTATCACGAGGTTTTTTCCTTCTTTATGTTAATGTGATATTATGCTGATTTACATGTGTTGGAACATACTTTTATTTCAGGAGTCAATTATACTCATTCATAGTGTATAATCCTTTTAATGTACTGCTAAATTTGAATTGCTGGTATTTTGTTGAGGATTTTTGCATCGGCATTTGTAAGGGATGTTTGTTTGTAGTTTTCTTATGGTGCCTTTGTCTGACTTGGTGTTGGGGTAATACTGTCCTCGTAGAATAAGTTAGAAAATGTTACCTCCTGTTCAACGTTTTGAAAAAGTTTGAGAAAAACTGGTGTTAATTCTGCTTTAAACATTGGGTAGAATTCAACAGTGAAGCCATCTGGTCCAGGCTTTTCTTTGTTGCTGGGTTTTTGATTACTGATGTCATCTTCTTGCTGAGTCTCCTTGCTGAATAGGTTTATTCAACTTTTCTGATTCAGTCTTAGTAGGTTTTTTGTTTCTAGGAATTTGTTCATTTTATTTAGGTTACTCAATTTTTTAGTGTATAGTTCCTTATGGTACTCTCGTGCATCCTTTTTTTACTCCAAAAATTTGTTAGTAATGTACCCATTTTATTTTTGAGTTTAGTAATTTGAGTATTCCCTTTTTTTCTTAGTCAATCTAGATAAAATTTTGTCAATTTTGATCTTTTTCAGAGAACAAACTTGGTTTTGTTGATTTTTGATATTGTTTTTCTGTTCTCTATTTCACTTATTTCCACTGCTATCTTTATCATTTTTAAAATTTTGCTAGCTTTTAGTTGTCCCTCTTTTAGTTGTCCCTCTTTTAGTTGTCCCCCTTTTTCCCTCTGTTTTTAGTTCCTTAGGAGTAAAGTTGTTGATTCGGTATCTTATTTTTTATTATCATTTATAGCTATAAATTTTTCCCTTATGGTACTGTTTTTGATGTATCTCTTAACTTTTGGTATTTCATATTTTTAATTTGTCTCTAGATATTTTCTGTTTTCTCTTGTGATTTCTTTTATCCATCCTTGAGTGTTTAATACCTATATTTTTAGACATAAAATGTGAAACCTACAAAATTTTCTTGATTTGTTACAGTTTTATTTGTTGTAAGTTTTTATTTAAGAATTAAATGTGTGTATCAACATTTGTTATGTTCTCATAAACTTTGTAATACATGGAGATTCCTGGTCCACATATATAAGCCTCTACATGAATATTATTTTGAAGCATTTAATTTTCTGTTTTAAGATTTCAAAGGTCTAAATGAAATTGAGATTTTGGTTTCTGAGATGAAATCATGGTAGGTGACTGATAAATGCTTAAAAATTAGCCAAAACTTAAGTTAAAGTTTACCTTCAAGATTCAACCTGAATGAGTTGCCCTGTATTGCTGGTAATAAAAAATAAGTCTTTAATGGTATAAAAGCAAACTTCAGAGAATGTCTTTTTTTCCCCCATTGACATCTAAATTAAAAGCTGTAAAAAATTTTGATGGCCTTATGCATTTTTTACTTTAGAATTCCAACTTTTTCTGGTTAAAATTTTTCCAAATAGATTCCTGTGTATTTGAAAGACAAATAATTTTTTAGTTGAAATGCTTAAGCAGTTAAATAAGGCCATGAAACTTTCTTGAACCTGTGGGAATCCATGAGAAAATCTGACATTATGTTCTATTCTCTTGGAAGGTAGAAATATCGTTTGACTTCTGTTTTGCTGACAAGAAATGTGGTCCTGAGCAAGGCTGCCTGGGACAATGACCTCACACATGGAAAACGCTGGAGCCCATCTGTCTCCAATCTGCTGTTTTCCAAAAATTAGGGAAGTTCAGTTTTCCCTTTGATACTCTCTGTTTCTACCAACCCCAACGCCAGGGCTGTCCTGCTTCTACAAGTGACAATGACAAATATAGGCCTGAAGGAAGATGAGCTGATGGCATTCCCAGCTTACTACCACTCCTTGGGGGCCTTATCTCACATACGTGGATTCAATTCATAGACTCAGGTGGGTGAGGATCTATTGTTCAGCTACATTAGAAGTGACTGCTTAAGACTCTGGTGTGTGGTGAAATGAGGCAGAATTTTCTCAATGCAGTGTTGGGAGAAGTTTCTCCTCATAATTACCATCTTACTATCACTAAATCATAGCTAAAATAAGGAAATTATTCAAGAAGAAATAGAAATGTAATCTTATGAAGACATAAATTTAGAGATTTGTGGAAAGCCCTTCATAATTTCATGGTGTTCTCTTTGAGCTGGGATTATAGTTGATATTTCATTATAATATATTAGCTGTTCTAGACTTTATGCATTTATGTAAAGTTTTCTTTGTTGTACTTTAAGTTCTGGGATACATGGGCAGAGCATGCAGGTTTGTTACATAGGTATACACGTGCCATGGTGGTGTGCTGCACCCGTCAACCTGTCATCTACATTAGGTATTTCTCCTAATGCTATTCCTCCCCCAGCCTCCCACCCCCCGACAGGCCCCAGTGTGTGATGTTCCCCTCCCTGTGTCCATGTGTTCTCATTGTTCAACTCCCACTTATGAGTGAGACCATGCAGTGTTTGGTTTTCTTTTCTTCTTTTTCTTTTTCTTTCTTTTTTTTTTTGAGACAAAATTTCACTCTTGTTGCCCAGGTTGGAGTGCAATGGCATGATCTTGGGTTACCGCAACCTCTGCCTCCTGGGTTCAAGCGACTCTCCTGCCTCAGCCTCCCAAGTAGCTAGGATTACAGGCATGTGCCAACATGCCTGGCTAATTGTGTCTATTTTTAGTAGAGATGGGGTTTCTCCATGTTGGTCAGGCTGGTCTCAAACTCCTCACCTCAGGTGATCTGCCCACTTCGGCCTCCCAAAGTTCTGAGACTACAGGCATGAGCCACTGCTCCTGGCCTGGTTTTCTTTTCTTGTGTTAGTTTGCTGAGAATGATGGTTTCCAGCTTCATCCATGTCCCTGGAAAGGACATAAATGTATAGTATTCCATGGTGTATATGTGCCACATTTTCTTTATCCACTTTATCATTGATGGGAATTTGGGTTGGTTCCAAGTCTTTGCTATTGTGAACAGTGCTGAAATAAACATACAGTGCATGTGTCTTTATAGTATAATAATTTATAATGCTTTGGGTATATACCCCGTAATGGGATTGCTGAACCTTGAAGAATTGTCACACTGTCTTCCATAATGACTGAACTAATTTACACTCCTACCAACAGTGAAAAAGCATTCCTATTTCTCCACAGCCTCATCAGCATCTGTTGTTTCCTGACTTTTTAATCGCCATTCTAACTGGTGTGAGATGGTATCTCACTGTGGTTTTGATTTGCATTTATCTAATGACCAGTGATGATGAGCTTTTTTTCATATGTTTGTTGGCCGCATAAATGTCTTCTTTTGAGAAGTGTCTGTTCGTTTCCTTTGCCCACTTTTTGATGGGGTTGTTTTTTTTCTTGTAAATTTGTTTAAGTTCTTTGTAGATTCTGGATATTAGCCCTTTGTCAGACATATTGCAAAAATTTTCTCCCAATCTATAGGTTGTCTGTTCACTCTGATGAGTTTATTTTGCTGTGCAGAAGCTCTTTAGTTTAATTAGATCCCATTTGTCAATTTTGGCTTTTGTTCCCATTGCTTTTGGTGTTTTAGTCATAAAGTCTTTGCCCATGCCTATGTCCTGAATGGTATTGCCTAGGTTTCTTCCAGGGTTTTTATGGTTTTAGGTCTTATGTTTAAGTCTTTATTCCATCTTGAGTTATTTTTTTGTATAAGGTATAAGGAAGATGTCCAGTTTCAGTTTTCTGCATATGGCTAGCCAGTTTTCCCAACATGATTTATTAAATAAGGAATCCTTTCCCCATTGCTTGTGTTTGTCAGGTTTGTCAAAGATCAGATGGTTGTATGTGTATGGTCTTATTTCAGAGTTCTCTATTCTGTTTCATTGGTCTATGTGTCTGTTTTTGTACCAGTACCATGCTGTTTTGGTTACTGTAGCCTTATAGTATAGTTCGAAGTTGGGTAGTGTGATGCCTCCAGCTTTGTTCTTTTTGCTTAGAATTGTCTTGGCTATTTGGGCTCTTTTTTGGTTCGTGAGAATTGTAAAATAGTTTCTTCTAATTCTGTGAAGAATGTCATTGGTAGTTTAATGGGAATAGCATTGAATTCTTTTATAAATTACTTTGGGCACTATGGCCATTTTCATGAATTAATTCTTCCGTATCCATGAGCATGGAATGCTTCTCCATTTGTTTGTGTCCTGTCTGATTTCTCTGGGCAGTGGTTTGTAGTCCTCCTTGAAGAGGTTCTTCACTTCGCTTGTTAGCTGTATTCCTATGTATTTTATTCTCTTTGTAGTAATTGTGAATGAAGTTCATTCATGATTTAGCTCTCTACTTGCCTGTTGTTGGTGTATAGGAATACTAGCGATTTTTGCACATTGATTTTGTATCCTGAGATTCTGTTGATGTGGTTCATCAGCTTAAGAAGCTTTTGGGCTGAGATGATGGGGTTTTCTAGATACAGGATCATGTCATCTGCAAACAAAGATAATTTGACTTCCTCTCTTCCTATTTAAATACCTTTATTTCTTTCTCCTGCCTGCTTGCCCTGGCCAGAAACTCCAGTACTATGTTGAATAGGAGTGGTGAGAGAGGCCATCCTTGTCTTGTGCCAGTTCTCAAGGGGAATGCTTCCAGGTTTTGCTCATTCAGTATGATATTGGCTGTGGGTTTGTCATATATGGCTCTTATTATTTTGAGGTGTGATCCTTCAATAGCTAGTTTATTGAGAGTTTTTGACATGAAGGGATGTTGAATTTTATTGAAGGCCTTTTCTGCATCTGTTGAGATAATCGTGTTGTTTTTGTGTTTAATTCTGTTTATGTGAGGAATTACATTTATAGATTTGCCTGTGTTGAACCAACCTTGTATCCCAGGGATGAAGCCATCTTGATCGTGGTGGGTCAAGGTACCCTTATCAGTCTTAGGTTCAGTCTTTTTACATAATCCCATATTTCTTGAAGGTTTTATTCATTCTTTTTTGGTCTTTTTTCTCTATTCTTCTCTGTTCTTTTTTCTCTATTCTTCTCTTCCTGTCTTAGACAGATGGCTTTGAAGCTCTGAGATTCTTTCCTCCACTTGGCCTATTCTGCTAGTGATACTTGTGGTTGCATTGCGAAGTTCTCGTGTTGTGTTTCTCACCTCCATCAGGTCAGTTATGTTCCTCTCTAAACTGAATATTCTGGTTATCACCTTCTGTAATTTCTTTTATGATTTTAGCTTCCTTGCATTAAGTTAGAATGTGCTCCTTTAGCTCAGTGTGGTTTGTTATTACCCACCTCCTAAAGCCTACTTTTGTCAATTCAGCCATCTCAGCCTGGGGTCAGTTCTGTGCCCTTGCTGGGGAGGTGTTGTTGTCATTTAGAGGAGAAGAGGCATTCTGCCTCTTTGAGTTTTCAGCGTTTTTGTGTTATGTTTTGTCATCTTTGTGGGCTTATCTACCTTTGATTTTTGACGTTGCTGACCTTTGAATGGGGTTTTCGTGGGGTCTTTTTTGTTGATGGTGTTGCTTTCTGTTTGTTTTTAACAGTCAGACCACTCTTCCCTAGGGCTGCTGTGGTTTTCTGGGGGTCCACTCTGGACCCTCATCACCTCAGTCTCTCCTGCCCCTGGAGGTATCACCAGTGAAGGCTGCGAAACAGCAAAGATGGCGGCCTGTTCCTTCCTCTGGGAGCACCAGTCCAAGGAGGTACCGACTTGATGCCAGCTGGAACGCTCCTGTAGGAGGTGTCTGGAGACCCCTGTTGGGAGGTCTTGCCCAGTCAGGAGAAACAGAATCAGGGACTGCTTAAAGAAGCAGTCTGGCTGCCCTTTGGCAGAGCAGGTGTGCTGTGGTGACTGCCAGGAGTCTCCAGAGCCAGCAGGCTGGAAAGGCTCAGTTGGCTGAACTGGGGAGACAGCAGCTACCCCTCTCCCTGGGGACTTCATCCCAGGGAGAAATCAGAGTTCTGTCCATAGAACTCTGGCTGGAGTTGCTAAAATTCCGATGGGCAGGCCCTGTTCGGTGAGGAGGGATGGATTTCGGTCTCACTTAAAGAAGCAGCCCGGCCAGGATCAGGCACAGCAGCTGTGCTGTGTTATGGGGGACTCCTCCTGGTCCCTGGTGCCAGCAGGCTAGAGCGGCCAACTCAAACCACAGATAGAGTGGCTGCCCTCCCCCGGGAACTCAGTCCATCTCCGGCTGTCTCCAGCCTGCTGCCACTGGCCAGCTGGAATTCAGTGGTTTGTAGTCCTCCTTGAAGAGGTTCTTCACTTCGCTTGTTAGCTGTATTCCTATGTATTTTATTCTCTTTGTAGTAATTGTGAATGAAGTTCATTCATGATTTGGCTCTCTACTTGCCTGTTGTTGGTGTATAGGAATACTAGCGATTTTTGCACATTGATTTTGTATCCTGAGATTCTGTTGATGTGGTTCATCAGCTTAAGAAGCTTTTGGGCTGAGATGATGGGGTTTTCTAGATACAGGATCATGTCATCTGCAAACAAAGATAATTTGATTTCCTCTCTTCCTATTTAAATACCTTTATTTCTTTCTCCTGCCTGCTTGCCCTGGCCAGAAACTCCAGTACTATGTTGAATAGGAGTGGTGAGAGAGGCCATCCTTGTCTTGTGCCAGTTCTCAAGGGGAATGCTTCCAGGTTTTGCTCATTCAGTATGATATTGGCTGTGGGTTTGTCATATATGGCTCTTATTATTTTGAGGTGTGATCCTTCAATAGCTAGTTTATTGAGAGTTTTTGACATGAAGGGATGTTGAATTTTATTGAAGGCCTTTTCTGCATCTGTTGAGATAATCGTGTTGTTTTTGTGTTTAATTCTGTTTATGTGAGGAATTACATTTATAGATTTGCCTGTGTTGAACCAACCTTGTATCCCAGGGATGAAGCCATCTTGATCGTGGTGGGTCAAGGTACCCTTATCAGTCTTAGGTTCAGTCTTTTTACATAATCCCATATTTCTTGAAGGTTTTATTCATTCTTTTTTGGTCTTTTTTCTCTATTCTTCTCTGTTCTTTTTTCTCTATTCTTCTCTTCCTGTCTTAGACAGATGGCTTTGAAGCTCTGAGATTCTTTCCTCCACTTGGCCTATTCTGCTAGTGATACTTGTGGTTGCATTGCGAAGTTCTCGTGTTGTGTTTCTCACCTCCATCAGGTCAGTTATGTTCCTCTCTAAACTGAATATTCTGGTTATCACCTTCTGTAATTTCTTTTATGATTTTTAGCTTCCTTGCATTAAGTTAGAATGTGCTCCTTTAGCTCAGTGTGGTTTGTTATTACCCACCTCCTAAAGCCTACTTTTGTCAATTCAGCCATCTCAGCCTGGGGTCAGTTCTGTGCCCTTGCTGGGGAGGTGTTGTTGTCATTTAGAGGAGAAGAGGCATTCTGCCTCTTTGAGTTTTCAGCGTTTTTGTGTTATGTTTTGTCATCTTTGTGGGCTTATCTACCTTTGATTTTTGACGTTGCTGACCTTTGAATGGGGTTTTCGTGGGGTCTTTTTTGTTGATGGTGTTGCTTTCTGTTTGTTTTTAACAGTCAGACCACTCTTCCCTAGGGCTGCTGTGGTTTTCTGGGGGTCCACTCTGGACCCTCATCACCTCAGTCTCTCCTGCCCCTGGAGGTATCACCAGTGAAGGCTGCGAAACAGCAAAGATGGCGGCCTGTTCCTTCCTCTGGGAGCACCAGTCCAAGGAGGTACCGACTTGATGCCAGCTGGAACGCTCCTGTAGGAGGTGTCTGGAGACCCCTGTTGGGAGGTCTTGCCCAGTCAGGAGAAACAGAATCAGGGACTGCTTAAAGAAGCAGTCTGGCTGCCCTTTGGCAGAGCAGGTGTGCTGTGGTGACTGCCAGGAGTCTCCAGAGCCAGCAGGCTGGAAAGGCTCAGTTGGCTGAACTGGGGAGACAGCAGCTACCCCTCTCCCTGGGGACTTCATCCCAGGGAGAAATCAGAGTTCTGTCCATAGAACTCTGGCTGGAGTTGCTAAAATTCCGATGGGCAGGCCCTGTTCGGTGAGGAGGGATGGATTTCGGTCTCACTTAAAGAAGCAGCCCGGCCACGATCAGGCACAGCAGCTGTGCTGTGTTATGGGGGACTCCTCCTGGTCCCTGGTGCCAGCAGGCTAGAGCGGCCAACTCAAACCACAGATAGAGTGGCTGCCCTCCCCCAGGAACTCGGTCCATCTCCGGCTGTCTCCAGCCTGCTGCCACTGGCCAGCTGGAATTCCGTGGTTTGTAGTCCTCCTTGAAGAGGTTCTTCACTTCGCTTGTTAGCTGTATTCCTATGTATTTTATTCTCTTTGTAGTAATTGTGAATGAAGTTCATTCATGATTTGGCTCTCTACTTGCCTGTTGTTGGTGTATAGGAATACTAGCGATTTTTGCACATTGATTTTGTATCCTGAGATTCTGTTGATGTGGTTCATCAGCTTAAGAAGCTTTTGGGCTGAGATGATGGGGTTTTCTAGATACAGGATCATGTCATCTGCAAACAAAGATAATTTGATTTCCTCTCTTCCTATTTAAATACCTTTATTTCTTTCTCCTGCCTGCTTGCCCTGGCCAGAAACTCCAGTACTATGTTGAATAGGAGTGGTGAGAGAGGCCATCCTTGTCTTGTGCCAGTTCTCAAGGGGAATGCTTCCAGGTTTTGCTCATTCAGTATGATATTGGCTGTGGGTTTGTCATATATGGCTCTTATTATTTTGAGGTGTGATCCTTCAATAGCTAGTTTATTGAGAGTTTTTGACATGAAGGGATGTTGAATTTTATTGAAGGCCTTTTCTGCATCTGTTGAGATAATCGTGTTGTTTTTGTGTTTAATTCTGTTTATGTGAGGAATTACATTTATAGATTTGCCTGTGTTGAACCAACCTTGTATCCCAGGGATGAAGCCATCTTGATCGTGGTGGGTCAAGGTACCCTTATCAGTCTTAGGTTCAGTCTTTTTACATAATCCCATATTTCTTGAAGGTTTTATTCATTCTTTTTTGGTCTTTTTTCTCTATTCTTCTCTGTTCTTTTTTCTCTATTCTTCTCTTCCTGTCTTAGACAGATGGCTTTGAAGCTCTGAGATTCTTTCCTCCACTTGGCCTATTCTGCTAGTGATACTTGTGGTTGCATTGCGAAGTTCTCGTGTTGTGTTTCTCACCTCCATCAGGTCAGTTATGTTCCTCTCTAAACTGAATATTCTGGTTATCACCTTCTGTAATTTCTTTTATGATTTTTAGCTTCCTTGCATTAAGTTAGAATGTGCTCCTTTAGCTCAGTGTGGTTTGTTATTACCCACCTCCTAAAGCCTACTTTTGTCAATTCAGCCATCTCAGCCTGGGGTCAGTTCTGTGCCCTTGCTGGGGAGGTGTTGTTGTCATTTAGAGGAGAAGAGGCATTCTGCCTCTTTGAGTTTTCAGCGTTTTTGTGTTATGTTTTGTCATCTTTGTGGGCTTATCTACCTTTGATTTTTGACGTTGCTGACCTTTGAATGGGGTTTTCGTGGGGTCTTTTTTGTTGATGGTGTTGCTTTCTGTTTGTTTTTAACAGTCAGACCACTCTTCCCTAGGGCTGCTGTGGTTTTCTGGGGGTCCACTCTGGACCCTCATCACCTCAGTCTCTCCTGCCCCTGGAGGTATCACCAGTGAAGGCTGCGAAACAGCAAAGATGGCGGCCTGTTCCTTCCTCTGGGAGCACCAGTCCAAGGAGGTACCGACTTGATGCCAGCTGGAACGCTCCTGTAGGAGGTGTCTGGAGACCCCTGTTGGGAGGTCTTGCCCAGTCAGGAGAAACAGAATCAGGGACTGCTTAAAGAAGCAGTCTGGCTGCCCTTTGGCAGAGCAGGTGTGCTGTGGTGACTGCCAGGAGTCTCCAGAGCCAGCAGGCTGGAAAGGCTCAGTTGGCTGAACTGGGGAGACAGCAGCTACCCCTCTCCCTGGGGACTTCATCCCAGGGAGAAATCAGAGTTCTGTCCATAGAACTCTGGCTGGAGTTGCTAAAATTCCGATGGGCAGGCCCTGTTCGGTGAGGAGGGATGGATTTCGGTCTCACTTAAAGAAGCAGCCCGGCCACGATCAGGCACAGCAGCTGTGCTGTGTTATGGGGGACTCCTCCTGGTCCCTGGTGCCAGCAGGCTAGAGCGGCCAACTCAAACCACAGATAGAGTGGCTGCCCTCCCCCAGGAACTCGGTCCATCTCCGGCTGTCTCCAGCCTGCTGCCACTGGCCAGCTGGAATTCCAAGCCAATGGGACTTGTGAGGTGCTGTGGGAGTGGGGCCTCAGAATGATGTCACTTGGCTCCCTGGATTCAGCCCCCTTCCTAGGGGAATGCACGGATGTATCTCCCGCTTTGCTGGAATTTTCGGGGCAGAGGATGCAAAACTCCTGGGCTTTCACGCATGCCCCAGTGAGCCAGCGAGCATTCCGCCCAGACTCCACACAGCTCTGTGCTTCAGACCCAAGGCCATGGCTGAGCTCACCAGGGGGCCTCCTGATCTGCAGGTT
The DNA here is from genome assembly GCF_000001405.40 of Homo sapiens. NCBI lineage: Eukaryota > Metazoa > Chordata > Mammalia > Primates > Hominidae > Homo > Homo sapiens. Next base: position 138,197,232 of record NC_000009.12, read on the forward strand.
GCAAAGATCCGTGGGAGAAGCATGGTTTCCCAGGCAGAGTCGCACAATCACTCACCGCCTCCCTTGGCTGTGAGTGGGGTCGCCCCTAGCTCCGTGCCACACCTGGGTGGGCCATCGCCCCACTTGCTTTTCCTTACTCCCTGTGGGTCGAGCTGTCTGGCTAGTCAGTCCCAATGCAAGAACCTGGATACCTCAACTGAAGGTGCAGAATTCACTTGCAGTTTTCACTGCTCTCCGTGAGAGCCGCAGGCCACAGCTGTTTCTAATAGGCCAGCTTGGCCCCATCTAAAGTATGATTTCTTAATACATGAGATGTTTTAAATATGTAACAATATTTATCACAAATAATATTTTGTCTCAATGTGATATAAAAATTGCTAATAAATCAATTCTTTTTTGGTTACCACAAAGCTATCTGGAAATGTAACATCTGCCATTTAGAAAATTTTTGTAGAGTTAATAGAACTTTACCTGAAGGGAGGCTGGCAATATGCATCATGATTTCAAATATTGTATTAATTGTTTTGTAATTTTGTGTTTTTTAAAACTAAACTTATTAAATTGGTTGTATATTACTTTAGGTAGCACTATTTGGTGATGAGAGAATAATAATTTGCAAAATATAAGAGTTCCTTTTTATAAAAATGTCCTCTGTTTTATATTACTACCACTTCCTCTGAAAGTTTAAAATTGTAATTTTGTAATTAAAATATATATTCACAAATGTGATTGTCAATGTGAATATTTATAATTTTAGGGTTTTTTTTTGCATTTGGTAGGGACAGGGTTTTCTGGTGTCTATTCTTCTTCAAAATAAAAGGTAGAGAGAATGGAATCAGGAAAGGTTAAAACACAAAGGAACACAATGATGATGATAGAGATTATTCATTTGCGGCTGGCCAGGGCCTAAAAATATCAAGAAGAAACATGATCAATAGAAAACCTGAATGTCCTTGAACTTTATAGAATTTTTAATTTCTCTTAAAATTATTCATGATAAAAATCTCTGTACTTTGCACATTTAAGAGAGATAAAATCAGAGGGCAGGGTCCTCCCTGATCCTGATAAGAGTGCCCAAAGCACAAAGGATGTGTCTTTATCTCCTCCCAACTCCACGGTGGAAACAGTTGCTCTGGTTATCTTATCGCAGTGATGCACAGAGACATGATGGTCAAAGAGCTTGCACACTTTAAAAAAGAAATGTTGGCTGGGCACGGTGGCTCACATCTGTAATCCCAGCACTTTGGGAGGCCGAGCCAGTGGATCACGAGGTCGGGAGTTTAAGACCAGCCTAGTCAAAATGGTGAAACCCCGTCTCTACTAAAAATACAAAAATTAGCCACGCACGGTGGCAGGAACCTGTAATCCCAGTTACTCGGGAGGCTGAGGCAGAGGAATCGCTTGAACCAGGGTGGTGGAGGTTGCAGTGAGCCAAGATCTAGCCACTGCATTCCAGCCTGGGCGACAGAGTGAGACTGTCTCAAAAAAAAAAGTTATATTATGTTGAGATTAAAAAAATAAATGACATGATTTGTCTACAGATCTTTATTACTCTACCTCATTTACATTAAATTTATGAACAACTTAATAACACACAGGGCTTTTATTATTATTATTGTGATAATTTCTTTGTCAACATCATTTTTACCATATTGTATAAACAGCATTGTAAGACCTGTGACTGGTCATTGACAATATATACAATATGTGTATATTTGTACGCAGGATCTAGCTCTGTCATTCTTGCTGGAGTGCAGTGGCACAATCACAGATGACTCCAGATTCAAACACCTAAGCTCAAGCCAGTCTCCCACCTCATCCTCCCTAGTGGCTGGGACTACAGGCATATGCCGCCACAGCCAGCTGGTTTAAAAAGAAATTGTAGAGACAGGGTCTTGCTATGTTGCCCAGGCTAGTCTTGAGCTCCTGGCCTCAAGCAATCCTCCAACACTGGCCTCCCAAAGTGCTGGGATTACAGGTTTGAGCCACCATGCCCTGCCTGCTCATATATTCTTCAATAATGAGATAAGAAAAACCTATCTCCAGGCAGGATTTTTAGAGGTTTCCAAAACTGGAACATATGACTTGTGATCAAGCCCTTCCACTGTTTTCTGTCTTTTATTTCTGCAATAACAGTTCTACTACTGTTTTCCTCAACCAGCTAAGAATTAACCGTCTTGAGATCATAAATGCCTATGTTTGTAAACATTGTGATTCTGCCTGCACCCCACGTTAAGTTAAATTGTCAGAGAAATCGAGATGCATTTTAGTTATTTGGTTATTATCTTATAATTATTCTTTTGGCATTTCTGCATTTCACAAGGTTCTTTTCATGGAAATATCTAGTTAGAAAGAATAATACTTTTCTAAAATTGTGAGCTCAGTTTCTCAGGTTGCCAACTATTGCCACTGCACTAACCAACCTTCCTTCATCTGTCACATGAAACTCTCATAATCACTTTATGTTGTTGATAACCAGTCACAGGTCTTACAGTGCCGTTTATAGAATATGATCAAAGTAGTGTTGACTAAGAAATTATCAATATAATAATAAAACAGCCCAGTATTTTATTATATAAGTTGTATATATATTTAAGCCAGACAGAGTACAAAGATCTGTAGACAAATCGTGCCATTTAAAAAAAATCTCAACAAATTTGACATTATTATGAAGATGAAGAAACAGATTTATCAAGCTCTATTTTCTTTAAATTATTTTTTTATTATACTCTCTTTTATTATATTATTTATACTCTTTTATTAGACTCATGTCCTCAGGTGCAGGTGCCGGGCCCTCCTCCAACAGTGATCTCCGGCTCCCTCCCCGCTCAGGGGCCACTCTGCTCTGATACGGGCTCTTATGCCGGCCTGCAGCTCCCCTGCTCTTGGTTTCTGCCTGGTGTCACCTTCTTCCACGACACCCAGTCCCAGGATGACTGACGCCCAGGGAGATCTGTCGCCTCTCCGCAGAGACCACGTGTGTTCACCCTCGGCAGCAACATGCTGCTCCTTCCTCAAGGCGTCCTGAGGCATTGTGCATTTTCACCATTTCTGGGATGTAAAGAAGGAGGAATATTTGTCAGATAGAGAGAATACCGGTTCAGATGGTTGGTGGCTCAGATAGAGGTGGGGTTTGTTCCAGCCAGCAGCCTGTCCTGAGAACCAGGCTGGAAGAAACACCCTTCCCTGTGGTACCACAACACCTACACCGAGGTGTCTGTGCTGCCTGGAAAGCACAGCGGGTCTCCCCAGTGCTGGGGTCATCCGGAGAGCCAAGCACCTTCCAGGGGGGCCTCGAAGTGGGGGCGTAGGCCCCCCAGGGTGCCCAGGCCAGACCGCCTCCTCTCAGGTGGTTCAGCAAGAGCTTCCTTCTGCCTCAGATCCTTCCAGGGTGTGGACTTTCTTTTCTTATGATTCTTTTCTGACTTCACCTTACGTTACTCCTCTCCATACCTAGATGGTAAGCCCGGTGAGGGCAGGGACCCAGCCTCCCTCATTTGCAAAGCAACCACAGTCCCTGCCTTTGAGCTGGGCTGTGGGTGCCAAGCTGGAGAGCATTTCACCCTCTCCCACTGCTGCTGAACAGAAACCACAAATTTAGTGGTTTAAAATAGCACAGATTCTTTCTCTTGCAGAGCTGGAGGTCAGAAGTCCGAAATGAGTTTCACTGAGCCAAAGCCAGGGAGTCAGCAGGGCTGGTCCCTCTGGAGGCTGCAGAATACCTGCTCTGCACCTCCTCCGACCTCTGCAGCTACTCGGCACCCAGGACAGCTGTGCGGCCTCTGCTGTGTCTGAGCTGCTGTTGTTCCATGGCCCTCTCTGTGAGCTTGCTGCCTCCCTCTCATAAGGGCCCTCTCATAAGTCATCTGGATGACCCAGAACAACCTCCCAATCTCTAGACACTTATCCCGACTCCATCCATAGAGTGCCTGTTGCATGTAAGGTAACGTGCCCACGGGTTCGTGGGATTAGGATGTGCACACCTTTGGGGGCCTGATGTAGCTGACCATGCCCACATCTGGTGGGAACCCACCTTCAGGGTTTCTTCTCCTTGGACACAGGCTACAGCCCAAGCCAAATGTCCCAGAGCCTGGAGCAGGGCCCCCCTCACCCACTTTCCCCAAAGAGGCTGGCACGGGAACAAAGCCCCTGTGTGGTCAGGAGCTGGGAGGGCAAGACAACAGAACAACAGGACAAGAGGACAACAGAACAACAGGGCAACAGGACAACAGGGCAACAGCCATCCCAGCTGGAGAAGATTCTCAGGGCTGAGGTGGAGGAGGTCGGGCCTCAGCCGGGCTCAGAGTGGAACTGCTGGTCCTCCTGTCACAGGAGGGAGGGGCGGTGGGACGAGAAGAGAGGGCCTTGAGATCAAGCCGTGCCCTGCTGAAGCCTGGCAGAGGGGCTGTGCCTCTGGGCAGCTAGTGTGAGCTGTCGTCTTGTGCAGCTGGTCTAGGATGGGGCAGAGGCTCTGCCTTGACCTCTCCCACCCCTGGTGCCGCCTCTGGGCAGCTGGTGTGAGCTGTCGTCTCGTGCAGCTGGTCTAGGATGGGGCAGAGGCTCTGCCTTGACCTCTCCCACCCCTGGTGCCGTTTGCCCCTCCACTCCAGGTGAGCACAGCTGGAGCAGCAGCTACCTCGAGGACTGGTGGCCTTTGAGGTTTTCCCGATGGACTATTCAGCTTCTACCAGCGGGGCCCCGTGACTGCACTGCCTCCTGGGAGCTGCTACTGGGAGAGGCAGCGGTACAATCTCCCCTGCCTAGAGTCGACAAGGGGCTTCCCCCACTGAGCTGAGACAAGGCCTTCTGTCTGCATCATGAAGCTGCGATCGCAGCTTCCTACAGCTATGAAACTCCCAGCTCAACCCACCCAGACTCAGTTCTGTTCCCTGAGACCTTCGGTCACAATGGCACACCTCGCCTGGTGTGGAACCTCCTGCTGTTTACAGTGATGAGCCCAGGGTGAGCAGAGACAAAGCGCCAAGACACGCTCGTCAGAGAAGGGCTGGGCAGGACAGACACAGGCAGACAGGGTGGCCAGAGAGGCCGTGAGAAACGGACAAAACAGAGGGTGTGCATTTATCATCCCTTCCTCAGCGCCTGACGCCAGGCAGGCCCTGTGCCTCCCCAGTCCAACTCTTCCAGGCATGGCAGATGCTTGATAATTCCTGCGACTGACCCAAAGGCTTCACAGGTCAGATTCCAGCCAGGCCGAGCCTGTGAAAAGACTTTCTTCAGAAAGTCCAGACCATGGCGATCATGGCCATTACGGCTGGAAATGTTGGAAGACCTGCAGGGCACTGGGCTTGTACCTTGGCCTCTTGGACATGCCCCCTCCTCCCTCGTCTCTCCCCAGGGAGAGTCAGTGATGGTTCACCTGGTGCCAGGCTGTTCCCCATCCAGCAGGAGCCATTAGGGAGGAGCAGGTGGGCTGGGCCCCACAGACTGAGAGAGTCAGGTCCCCAGCCCTGGAGAAGGGCACTTTAATGAGTGTATTTGGCCAATGGCCAGTCACTGAGGCCGTGGTCCTCCCCTGTCTCCAAGAAGCCCCAACATGGAAGGCTCAGGATAGAATATCCCCACGACTCTGCTCACCACCCTTCCCATGAGGCTCTGTCATGGGAGGCTGGATGCAGTGTGTCTTTAAAATGGTCTGCCCATCTCAGTCTCAAACTTTGGAAAGGGTTAACATAGCATTCCATGACCAGGATGCTGGGACTTTGAAGTTTCCTCTGCTAAACTGGACAGAGGCTCAAAAGAGCTCTTCCTCAAGCTGATTTAACCAGTCACTGGGTGGCACAGGCCATCAGCACTGAAGGCCGCAGCAGAGAGATAAAGGGATGCAGCATCACTTATGCAAAAGCAGAATAAGGTATTACCCCTTGCAGATGGCTTCTGGCATTTACCTTGTTGGATCTCATGTTAGCAACGACCGCCAACACTTCTGAACGGCAACACTTAACGAGAGTCTTTCCATTCTCCATGAAAAGAGTTGTCACAGAAAAATTTAAAGGGAAAGTGGCTTTAAACTGCCCATATCAAGTAGGAGTCTCCGGGGCTTGGCTGAGCCAGCGTTCCTCCTTTTAACTCTTCCATGTCGTTGGAGAGCCAGAGTTTGAAAGCCCTGGGACAGAAGAGGAGGAAGAAAAGGAAGACGAGGAGGACAAGGGGGAGGGAGAGGACAAGGAGGAGGCAGAGGAGGAGAATTAGGAAGAGGAGGAGGGGGATGAGGAGGCGGAGAGGGAGGAGGACAAGGAGGAGGTGAAGGAGGAGGAGTCGGGGAGAAGGAGGAGGAGTCGGGGAGAAGGAGGAGGAATCGGGGAGAAGGAGGAGAATGAGGAGGACAAGGAAGAGAATGAGGAGGGGGAGAAGGAGGAGGAGAAGGAGGACTAGGAGGAAGAGGAGAATGACAAGGAGGGGGATAAGGAGGACAAGGAGGACAATGGATGAGGAGGAGGAGGGAGAGGAGGAGGAGGGGTGGGAGAAGGAGAAGGGGGACAAGGGGGAGAAGGAGTGGGGGAGATGGAGGGGCCAGAGGAGGAGGCAGCCGTGGTGGCTTGGGCGAGGCGTTGGATCCAGGGCGTGCTTGGCTGTTGCCTCCCTCTAGACCTCAGTCTCCCGTCCTGTGAAATGGGCAGGCACTGAGGACCCTGTAGCATCCCCAGCCCATGAGTGCTCACCCCCTTGATGAGCAGCATCACTAGCATGTAGAAATACGTTGGATTTAAGATATTTCCAAGCCATGGTCCTAAGTGGTGGCCACATTCCAGGCTCTCCCCAGAGGCGATGAGGATCCGGTTGCTTGGCATAAGCCTCACTGTCGTGTTGCCAGCCTTTCCACCTGCACCCTGGCGGGCGTGCAGGGCGTCCCACTGAGATTTTCAGTTGCACTTCCTGATCACTACGAGGCTGAGCAGCTTTTCTCAAACTCATCAGCTATTTGTGTATCTTCCAAAGTGTGTGCTCAAGTCTTTGCCCGTTTTTTAGAATTGGGCAGTAGTCTGTTGATTGCTGGGTCTCCAGAGTTGCTTACACATTCTTCACGGAGGTCTTTCATCAGGTGTCCCTGTTGTGTGTATTTTCACCCAATGACTTCCATTTTCTTGAAGTCCAATTTATCAATCTCCCTCCTTCCCCTGTGGCTGGTTTTTTAAAATGAAGTTTTTTTATTTTAGAGCCATTTCGAGTTTACAGAATTGTTATAAAGATAGTGCCGGGTTCCCATATACTTCACACAGTTTGCTTATTATTAATGCCTTACATTATAATGGTACATTTGTCAGAATTAGCGAACAAACGTTGCTACATAATCATTGACTAAAGCCCACAGCTCATTTGGTTTGTTCTCGGGTGGCCGTTTTGTGGGCCGGGATCCCGTCCGGGATCCCGTGTGACATTTGCTTGTCACATCTCCCTAGGGTCCTCTGGGCCGTGACAGTTTCTCAGACCTTCCTTGTTTTCTGTGATCTTGAAAGTTCTGAGAAGCTGGGCTCAGGCATCTGGGGGAGTGTCTGTCTGCCGGGGTTCGTGTGAAGTCTTTTTTTCATGATCAGATTCCGGCTGTGGGCTCCTTGGAGGAAGAGCAGAGGTGAGGCGCTTCTCATGCCACCACATCAGGGGTCCTGCCTCGGCCCGGCTCACTGCTGATGTTGACCTCGGCTACCTCGCAGAGTGTGCTGGCCAGGTTTCTCCAGCATGAAGTCACTCTCGTTTCCCTCGTAAGTTATACTCTAGTTTTTCAATCTTCTAGTTTATGGCTTGTGTCTTCTCTATGAAACCCTTGCCTAACCTCTCAGTTTCGAAGGTATGAGAAGGAGGAGTCAAGATTCTTTTTTCTTTTCATGTGGATATCCAGTTTTGTTTTATTTATTTATATATTTTATATTTTAGAGACAGGATCTCACTCTATCGCCCAAGCTGCGATCACAGCTTACTGCAGCCTGAAACCCCTGGGCTCAAGGGATCCTCCTGCCTCAGTGTGCAACTCCGTGCCTGGCCTACATCTCTGTGTAGAGACACAGAGTCTTATGACGTTGCCCACGCTGGTCTCAAACTTCTGGGCCCAAGCAATCCTCCCACCTTGGCATCCCAAAGTCCTGGGACTACAGGCATGAGCCCCACTACGCCTGGCCTGATATCCAGTTATTTCAGTACCATGTTTCCCCCTGTGGTTTTGGCCTGCTTGTTGAAAATCATGGGATGGTGCCTGTCAGCCTATTTCTGTAATCTCTGCTCTATGCCAGTGAGCTATTTCTTTATGGCCTTACTGGTGCAAGATTTGACAACTCTTCTGATGGTGCCGTTCCTTTCCAGATGGCTGTGGCTGCCCTTAGACCTTCACTTCTCTATGAACTTCTAAATCATCCTGTTAATTTAGAGGAAAAGTCCACAGGGACTCCAATTGAGATTTCATTGAATGATTAGATCAATTTGTGAAGAATTAGACATGGTATATTTAGAGATATATCTCTCAGATAATTTTTGGTGTAGAGGTTTTCACATATATTGTGAAATTTATCCCTAAGTATTTGATTTTACTATTATAGATAGTATTTTTGACTTCATTTTAAATTAGTCATCAGCAGTATATAGAAATACAGCCTATCTTTATATGTTGACCTGGTGTCCTGTGATGTTTTAAATTAGTCATCAGTAGTATATAGAAATACAACTGATCTTTACACATTGACTTGGTGTCCTGTGATGTTGCAGAATTCACTTATTGGTTCAAGTTGATTTTTTGTGTATCCCTTAGGATTTGCCACCTCATTTCACCTGTAAATGAGGATAGTTTTACTTATTTCTTTCCAATATTTATACTTTTCTTTTCCTCATCTCTTTGCACTGGCTGGAACCTCCCAGCCCAATGCTCACTAGAAGAGATGAAAACAAAAACAGAAACCCTTCCCTTTCTCCCCGTTTTAGGGGGAGTTATTGAGTATTTCATCATTTGTTATGATGTTGGCTATAGAAAAAAAAAAGTCTGTTTTAACAGTGCTAGCCACTGGGAGAGGAGTAAGCACCTGCCCTTATCTGAAGGCAGGGACTTCTGAAGGCCTCTGTGCTGAGTTCCGAATGACTTCCAGGTCACAATTAGCTCCTGGATGTTTACAGACAGAGTTGCAGAGACATTCCTGGGTCCCATGACCCTCGTTGGACCCCAGGCATGCAGAGGAGAAAGCAGCATCCTCAGGCCCAGCCCAGGCGAGTGTCCTGCCTCTCTCACTGTCAGGGACACCAGGAGCTTGCAGCAATGGTCCTAACCTCTCCCTGCTCCTTCTCCACTTTATGGTCCTTACAACTAGGTGATCCCCTGCTCCAGGATCTCAATCATAAAGGGTAGAGAAGCATCTGCATGAGGCAAAGGTGGACCTGAAAGCCAGGCCAGTGTTCGTCCCCACTCGGCCTTTGTTGCTCTGTCTCGTCCAGGCTAGGACCTGCATGTGTCAGGGAAGCAGCTGGCTGAGCTCATGGGGGCAGAGAACCACCAATGAGGTGGGGGAAGAAGGGTCACGCTTCATTTAGAGGGGCACACAGTGCAGAGGAGGCCAAGCCTAGCCAGGCAAGACGTGCATCCTGAGTGAGGCGGGTAAGACCACCTGCATTCAATGTGCCCCCTGTGTCTCCCCACTTCTCAACTCTTGTCACACACTGGACAAGCAGAGACAGGAGAGAATCACTCCATGTCATTGAATAAACTGGTTTAGAGCTCTGTCTGATAAAACCACAGTGAACAGAGAAGAAAAGAGCCATCACGTTTTCACGTGTGGCCGGCCTGGGTGCAGCCTTCTGAGGGATCCCTGGAAGCCTCAAAGCTGTTTCATCTCGGGCGAGGTTTGGGGTCCTCTGATATTTGTGGATTCTCTACCATATGGGAGACCTAAAGGCTCAGAACATGAAAAGTGTTGGGAGCTTTAAACTACTATCTTCTTTTTTCCTTTGGTATAATGCACGAGAGCAAAATGTACAAACGGATCTCCTTATATTCAAGGTACAGACCGAGGAATGAAACCCAGGGAGCAAAAGGCACGGCAGACAGCAGCAGGGCCAGGGCTGTGTCCAGTCCTCTGAAGACTGCGGGGTCTGCATAAAGGAGGCCCTGTCTCTTCCCCCTGGGCTGCTCGAACCACACAAGCTGATGTCAGGAGTGACTAAATCTACCCTAATTAATAGACCATTTGACTCAAGTCTGAGCTAGGAAGCAAACACACAAAAGGGGTTCCTATAAAAACACCAGCAGAGGCGTGGAGCCGTTTCAGCGTGCCGTGGAGAGAGCTGACTCCTGGGTGCTGATCTCTTGAGGCCACGTGAGGGCTCCATCCCTGGCTTGGCCACCCACACCTCCCCTGGGCCGGCACCTTCTTATCTGGATGAAAACAATTCCCACCTCACGGGAAAGTTTTAGGCAACATTGTTTATTGCCTGCAAATCTCCCTGTGTGGTCTTGCTGAGGGACCAGCAAAAGCAAGTTGCTTCTGCTCTCTGTTGACTTTGGCCAGAGCATCTTTTGACCGAGATTTGACCGAGTCACCACCGTCTGACAATTATGAAGGATTTGATTTATTCTGGACACCGGCCTTCTCCAAGCTGGTGGCTAATAAGGTCCTATAAATGTTGTTAGCTGTTGACTGTGGACCACATAATTTCTCAGAGATTCTGCACCTCTTTGGAGCACTAGCTGGGCGCTGCCTGGAGGAACTTTCTGATGGTGGAAATGTCAACAGATGGTTTGATATTCAGGGGCACCCCATCCACCAGGCGAGCTCAAAGCAAATGTCCTTCTGGACTGAGTGCATGGGTCCAGGAAGGCCAGGCGTGTCGTTGTGTAGGGCCATGAGTCCATGAGGAAATGAGGTGCCAGTCCCCCTGCTCCTCACAGGGATAGACCGGGACTCACTTCCGACCAGTTAATTAATGGACTGGAGACTTGTGACCCACCTGAGGACCAAGTCCTCGCAGGACACTGGGTAGAATGGTAAAGACAAGCAGTGGCATGACCTCTAATGCCAGAGTAGGAACGTGTGCCCCATGCCCACCCGGGTCGCTAGGCCTTTACTGTAGCCGAGGCACTGCCTCTGTCTGGTCTTGGGTGCTGAGAGTCCGGGACCTGCTGCAGCCTGTTGGATGCAGCTCATGCTCCCTCCCGAGTCTGTGGCAGAGAGCAGTAGGGGCTCAGGGCAGCAGAAGGCCCAGGGAGAGGAGGGGGTCCTCCCTGTCCAGGTGAGAGCCTTTGACCATCCCAAGAGCCGGGGTGCCCAGTCATCCTTCAGCACTGGGCCTTCCAGCGGGCCAAGGGAGACACTATCAGAACCTCATCATAGGCTGTTTAAGGCTTAAGTGAGGTTGACAGGTGAAATGCTGAGAACAGTGGCCCCTTGCAAGCGTTTTATAGAGGTAGTGTATTCCCTGTGTGGATGCAGGTGGGGAGAAGTGGAAGGAAGGATGCACGAGAGCCAGCCTGCGACACCTAAGGACAGAAACACCTCCCTCAGCCCAGCCGGCTGCTGACTCCATGCGAAGAGGGACACCGACCCTTACAATCTCACAGTGTCCTGCCCCTGCCCCTGCCCCTGTGAGGTGGGAATCATTATGCTTATTTCACAGACGCAGAAACTCAGAGGGCTTAAGGGTGATTGAAGGTTGCTCCAGGCCTGGACTCGAATCTGTGTCTTTGCTTCCTAGGGCGATGCTCCTTCCATCAAAACCAGAGTGTCCCAGCTCTAGATTCCCCACCCAATCCCCATGGCCCCCACTCATCACCTCCTGTGGCTGTCTCAGCACCTCCATCGTGAATCCGTGCATCCCTTCAGACGACTGCCTTCCGATGCGGCCCCTGACCTGCCCCCCCTCCCATCACTGAATAGGACTCCTTTTCTCCTGGATTTCCTGTAGGAAGTTTCAAAATCCTCTCCAGGTTTTCTGTGGGTGGATTCTCTCTCTGGATCTTTCTAAGTGAGTCCTGTGTTTCACCACAGCTCCCCCCACATGGTTGAGCAGCTGTACCGTGGGGAGGCTTGGTCTTCTTGCCCCATTTGTGTGATGTCTATTGTAGTCATGCCAGGGTCCTGACGTCAGAGCTACACCCTGACATGTGCTCATGCCGGTTTACAAACCCTCCCAGGACCAGGTCCCCATCCCTCTTCCAGGACAGGCTCTGGAGCTCCAGCTATTAACAGAAACATTCCAGCCAGCATCCCCAGCGACCCTCAGCCTCCCACGCCGCTGTGTCTTCATGACCACAGCCTGGCCACCACACAGCTCCCCCTCGAGGACTGTGACCACTTCCAGCCATTGTCTCTTTGGGCCATGCGGGATATATTCCCATTTCCCCATTCAGCTGGGAGATTTTACCAAGGGATTTTTCTCTCCTGGCTCCAATGCCAGCAAGACCATGAACAGCTGTGTCATTTTCACTTTCAAGCCTCAGCTTCTGTACATAAAAGAATACAGTTAATAATGATTTCCTCCTCCTGAGTTGCTATCGAATGAAATGAGGTTATGCACACACACGGCAAGGACCTGCGTCTGGCAGGAACAACATCTCGTTCATCGTCACGAGTGCTTCCCCTTGTGTCTTCCCTCCTGTGTGTGAGATGGGGGCTCCCAGGCCTCCCCAACAAAATACACTTTTCCAGCTTTTAGAGGCCAGCATTCCTAAGTCCTTGCAATAAATCCCTATCATAGTACAAATGTAAACACATCACGGTATAACTCAAATCAACTGCCCCTGATTTTGCCATGTTTCAACCTTTTGTTGCCATCGGCCTCCTAAACAATGGCTTTAATGGAAACACAGGTATGTAAGTTTGGAAGCTGCTCAAACATCTCAGTCATTCAGAAATAAAATGCTTGTTGAGCAGCTAGTCTGTGCCAGTTGTATTAGGGTTCTCCATAGAAACAGAACCAATAGGATGTACACAGAGAGAGGGATGAGCAGGGATTTTTCATGTGACTTGGCTCATGTGATTATGGAGGATGAGAAGTCCTGCTGCCGTCTACAAGCTGGAGAACCAGGGAAGTTGCTGGTGTACGTCCCGGAGTCCAAAGGCCTGAGAACCCCGAGTTCTGATGTTTGGGGGCAGGAGAAGATGGATGTCTCAGATCCAGAATAAGGAAAGAATTCACCCTTCCTCTGCCTTTTTGTTCTATCTGGGCCCTCAGCCTTTGGGGAGCATGGATTTTCCCACTCACTCCCCTGATTCAAATGCTGATCTCTTCTGGAAATGCCCTCTCAGGCGCACTTAGCATGTTTTATCAGCTATCTGGGTTTCCCTCAGCCTAGTCAAGTTGACACCTAAAATTAACCAACCACTAGGCAATGCACTACCTAGGAATACAGAGCCAAGGAGGGCGGGATCTTCCCAGGCCTCAAGGTCTCTCATCTGCTGAGCAGACAGGCATGAGGCAGACTCTCACAAGTAATGAGGTTGGTGGCAAGGACTACAAAAGAGAAAGACCTCTGCCAAATGCAAAGTTGCACTAAGTGCTAAGGTAAACCCAAATCTGAACTGCAGAATTGTGCGCTGTGATGTTCACCCCCACCCAAGTGGCTATGTTGCCACATCGGCTGCAAACTCACGTGAATTTGGGCTGGGTGTCAGGAAATGAAGTCATTCTGGGAATGGAAATTTAAGTTTCTTTAGGGAACTGTGAAAATCTGCATTGGAAAACAGATACTGCGAGAGAACAGGTTCTGCAGACCAGCAAACAGTCCAGACACTGGATTTCTTCCCTGCTCCCTGTCTGGCCGCAGCAGGGGACAGACAGGCAGAGCGGGCGTGTGTCAGAAGGTGTTTTCTAGGGGGAAAGAAGGAATAAAAGAAGACCCAGAGGAGATGCAGTGACATTGGGAGGTTCAATAATTTCCCTGCAGTTGAGGGCCCCTGGACCACTGTTTCCCCAGCAGAGACAAGGTGGTGGCTGGCATGGAGGGAGCTTCCTTAGAAGAACCCAGAACCCATGTATTCCCCTGAGAAGCGTCATGAAACCTCTCAGATCTCTAATCCCTGCACTGCCCTGGAGCATCAAGGCCCAGCGCTGCTGTTGAATATTGTGAATGTGGTTTTTCCTGACTCACCATAGAGTCAATAATTTCCAGTTTAAACGAATTTGTTAAATATCCTTCCAGATTATGCCATTATCCAAGAAAGTCTTAGCTGGCTAAACTGGAGCAAGCAATTCTTTTAGGAATTTGGAGAGCAAGTTTATTGTGAGAATCTTGCAGCTGTGACAGACGAATGTCCACAGAGAGAAGAGACACCTTTGAGAGGTAGTGAGCCTGATAACTGAGCACCGGGAGGGCTGCAGAGCCCCTGGGGGTGGCACAGTCCAGGATCTCCCCACCTGGCATCCTCTGAGGTGGATGCTCCTGCCTCTGAGACAGGCAGCCCTCTGCTTGCTGGCTGCTCCCCAGCATCTGTTTCTGACTCTCTGCGCAAAACGGACAGGAAAGTTGGGGGTCCCTGCCCAGTGTCTGTCTCCAGGCACAGAGTCTCAGAACCAGCTCTCAAAACTCTGTCTGCTCACCTGGGCAGCTCCAGGAGGCGGGGGAGGAGTCAGGAGCACAGCAGCCCCTTGAAACTTCCCAGGATGGCTGGTTTGGGGGTTTATCACGTTATTTTTCTCCCTCTGGTTTTAGCCACTGTAGGCCAGTTTGTTCACAGATTTTTACCAACTTTGGCTCATTTCATTACCTTATCAGAGGTGGGAATTCTGAGGTCCCTAAGCCAGAGGCTTTCAGGGATGTGGCTCCCTCTGCCGCCCTGGCAGGGAGGGTGCAGGGGTCCCAGGTGGAGCCTCTGACCTAGAGCCTGTGGGTTTGGCGTCGGGAAACAACCCAGCCTGGAGCCCAGGCTGCTCCAGGAGCAGCCTGTTATCTGGAGACAGCCTCCCTGTAAGATTTCTCTGAGACAAGAAACAATTATGCAAATTATCCTAATTCTGTTTTAAAGAATAGAGAGATTGATTGCAGAGACAAACCATTTAGGCAGGCAATGTAGAAGGTGTTTCCATGGCTAATCTGCCTTCAAAGGAGAGGGATTTTGTTTGTAAACTTCAGACCCAGAAAATTGATTGTTCTGTCAACTTTAGATAATTATCTGTCCTCCCTGAGGCCCTAAGCTTAGCAGAAATGTTCTTTCTCTGAATCCGTACTCAGCTTTGGATCTCTGTTGGGTTCCCTGTGGAGTGCTAAATCAGAGATTCCCCCAAAGCAGTGGATCAGGAGCCTTCCTCCAGCCACAGTGCCCATCCTGCCTGCAGAAGAATGGACAGAGGGATGGGAGGGCTGCAGAGCTGGCACTGTGTCCCTGGAGGGGCTGGTGGGGACTCACTGTTCGGGGGACAGGGGAGGCAGAGTCCACACTCAACTGCTGCGTGGAGATGGGCATGAAGGGCAGGCAGGTCTGGCCTTGGCCTTGCGGTTTGTTTCCATTAAAGACCTTCAAGACCAGAAGGGACCAATAGGGCCGGACTATGCAGGGAGAGAAGAGGTTCTAGGGAACTGAGTTCCGAAGTCTTCGTCTTCTCACTGTGCAATGGGGTTCGCCTATAAAGCAGGCTGCTTGTCCTCGGGAGAGCTCATTGTGGAGAAACATCACTGGACAGAGCCCCTCCTTATCTGCATCAGACTCCTCTGGTCTCCCCGGTTGCCTTTTTCTCTGCCCCTAAGGGCATCTGTCCCTGGAGAGGCTCTCAGGACAGTATCCTGGACACCCCCTGCCTGGACACCCCTTGCCCGGCACCCCTCCTCTCCACAATGTCATCAGAGAGCTCCACCTGCCCTTCTAGCCCCCTGGTCCAGCACTGCTGGTCATGAGGTTTGGGCCCTGTGAGCTGCCCAGATCCAAGCTGTGGGGAAAGTTTGCTGAGACCAGTTTGGGGAACAGAGGGGCCTTGTTGTACCATTTGTTCTGGGCACAGGGGACCTCCTGCATCGTCTATCTCCTCCATGAGATGCTAGTTTCAGGGATTCCTTGGGGACACTGGAGAGCAGGGCTGGCTCAGGCAGGGGCCTGACCATAGTCCAGACAGTGCAGACCCTACCTGAGGTGCCACATGGGCCCTCATCAGTCTTCTCTTCACACAGTGGAGTCACTCCTGTGCCTCCCCTGTCTGCACTCCATTGAGCCGGGAAAGGCCTGCAGTAGCCAATGCCCACATTTGAGTTTCAAATGTGAATATACCCAGGGATTGCAATTTACCAAAAGATGAAGGAAAAGGCCTCTCCCAGTACTTGGTCAACATTATTCTGTGGTATTTTTCAGATGAAATTAGCATTTAAGCCAGTATACTTTTAGTAAAGCAGATTATGCTCCATAATGTGGGTGGGTCTCATCCAATCAGTTGAAGGCCTTAAAGGAAGAAATACTGACCTCCCAGGGGAAGAGGGAATTCTGCCCCTGGACTCAAGCCACTCTTCCTTGGATTCTAGCCTCTGTAATCACACGAGACAATTCTGGACATCTCCTCCTCTCTTTTCTGTTTCTCTGGAAAACCCTGACTAATGCAATTCTTGTTAAGCTGCTTTTAAGAAGTGTGAAGAAAATATTAAAAAGATGTAACTAAGAATTTTGAGTGGACGATCTAATTATTTCACACTGGCTGAGATCTCCCTGATGTTGACATTGCAATGACACCGTGCACTTCTTGGGGTAAGAAAAAGTGCAGTCTCAGTGTCCCTCCCACTAAATAGGAAGGCAAATTGCCATTTCCCGAAAAGTCCAGAATAGTAAGTAGGTTGACGAGTAACTCTTGAAGTTACATAAGACAAATCAGTTGCAACAGAGGATCATAAACCCCTCGTGTACGGAAGGAAAACAAGTTTGTCAATGTGCAAACTGTAAGTCTAAGTTCCTACTTCTGTAAAAAGTAGAGTTTCCTCTTCAAAGACTTTCCTTCCCATCTCATTAGAAATAAATAGTAACTTCTCTTAGAAGCAAAATTTATTCAAAGACCCGTGCTAACATTCTTAAATATCTGCTAGCCCTAATAAAGAAATCAATGTACTTTATGTTCTTAGCTCCCACAATTTAGCCTAAATATTTGCCCTGGCATGCTTATACTAGTCCAAGCAAGCTTTAGGTCATTGCCTGTTCCTCTTCTTTACTCGAAGGTGTTTTTACTTTTTTCAGCATTCCACAAGTTACTTCCTCCTTCCTTTGTTCTCCTCTGCCTTTTCCTCTTTAAAAAAGTTCTAAGTTGCTAGCCAATCGGGACAAATACAGAATGTGAGGTCCCGTTCCAGCCACTGGAAACTGGACACAGCAGTAGGGTGGATGCGTCAGGTTATAAATGACACTGTCTCCTTTGCTCAGTATACTGTTGTGGCAAAACTGCTGGCGAGTGTACATTTTCTGCAGAAATTAAAAAAAAATAAAAATGGCCTTGCTGAGGAAATTAAATTTACATTCAAGTGCTATTTCTTTACCGCACTGGGAACAAGCATTTCAAACAATTTCAACCCTGCTGGACCGCATCAAGTGAGGGCCGGCATGGAAAAGCGGCCATGCTGAGGTGCCCCGGAAGCAGCTTCCGGAGTGTGCGTCAGAGTTTCTGGCCATTTGAGCTAAGACTTTTCTTCTGACAGACTAGAAGTGAAAAAAAGAATTATTTACTTTGCTGGGAAATGTGACAAAAGGTTAAAATTCTACTAGTTCATAAAATATTTGAAGCTAACTTTGTTTTTATAAATAAAATTGTATTTACAATTTAAGTTTTAGTTCTCATCCTTGCTGTTATAAAAGTTATTCTAAGTTATGTCAGTCTTTGAGGGTAAATGTAGAGTATTTAAAATAGCTTATATTTGGAAAACTGAACAGTGTTTGTTGTCATGATTTTACTTTGTTCTTGACCACATTGGTCCCAGAGAAAGTCAAGGTCTTCACCCACGGATTCAAGATTCTTGTGGCAGCTGCTGAATTCTTTTCCAACAATGCTTGGGCCTCATCAGCGTCATGTTTATGCACTACCCCAGCCCCAACCACAGACATGGGCAGGAGGAACAGAGCTCTACCGTGTAGCGTCACTGCCAGTAAGAGTCTGGCTCTCCCATGAAGCATTACTCTTCCTCTGCATGTATTTTAGAATTTCAAAAGCCATTTGGCTTCCATTTCTTTAGATTGTGGATAAGATCCATAAACTTGTACTGGGGTCACTGTTCCTCCAGCCTCTTTAGCACGTATCTGCAGTCTCATTTCCAGGCTGTTTCCTCTATGGGCCACTGCCTGCAGAATTCCCAGATGAATCCACTGCCCATTCCCTGTAGCCACATCTCCAAATCCACAGCCGTTCTCGGCAGCTGCCTGCACACTCACATCCCAGAGGTCAAGTTGCCACAGCTGGTGTGTGTTTCCAGCCACTAGGCAACCCCAGGTCTTCATCTGAGCACCCAGGGCCAGAAGTCTCACCCTGTCCCCCGTACCATCCCTTCCCAGCCAGCCACAGTTTCCTTCCTTCTGTTGCCCACACAGTGCTCTCAGCCCCAGATGCCCTTCCTGACACTTCCTCCCAAGGAAACCCAAGTCCTCCGTCAGGGTCCACCCAAATGTCCACACCCTCTGGTAGCCTGCCCAGCCCCAGAGGCTCCCCTGAGCTCCCTTCCCCCATTAGAGCCTACAGAGGCAGTGCTGCCCAGCAGACATCTCAGCTGGGAGTCAAACAGAGCAAGGCTATTTTGGTCCCTCTCTCCACTCTATGTGACCCTGAAATGTGCCCTGGCCTTAGGAAACATTCAGCTACATCAGACAATGTGAGTATGCATGTGGTTTGTATAACACAGGCAAGACATGGTTTTTAGATACGTTCAGAATAGATAGTTACAGAGAACAGGTATGTTACATGTGGGAAGGAAGAGACACAAGGGCCAAGAGATACTTAATATGCATGAGGCTCCTGGGCACTAAATGTTCAATTCACAATGTGCCTTTATACAAGAGACACCTAAACATGCAGAACCATGGGGCCTTTGTTCACCACCATTCCTGGTGCCCATTCTGGTCCCATGCGTCCTCTGCCCAAGAAACACGTAGAACCCATGGCAGTGCGACAGCTGCTTCTTGGCAACTCCACCATGATCAGGCACACTTGTCCCATGTCTGTCCCGTTGAGCCGGTGTGTGTCATAAGCCCTTCAGCTGTGAGCACTCTTGCCCAGACCTCGGCTCTGGTCCTCGTGGTCACACCTGAGTGGGTGAGGTTGACTAGCAGAGAAAGAAGAGAACCGATGAATGTTGACAGCACAGGAATCAGGTCATACGGCCCTCCCATCTCCTTCCCTCAGCTTCTTGCTGTGTTTTACGAATGGATTTTATAAACCTGTGATTCGAGCATCCTCAGTTGCTTCTCGAGCCTTTCCGCTCCATGAACTCTGGGACAGCTTGCCTGGTACTGCAACTGGAGGACATCATTGCATCCAGAGAGCTTCCCACATGACAGTCTGTGAGCAAGGGACTTCGCCTCCCTGGATGCTGGTTTTCTTTTATGTAAAAGATGTGATCGTAGTCTCTATTTCTCAAGGGTGCTGTGAGAAACACACAGAATAAGGCCACGTGAAAGTGTGTGGCAGGTAGCGGATGCTCAGTAACGTGAAGCCTGCCCTTCCCGTAGCCTTTCTCTTCCTCCACTAGGTCTAGACTTCACATTGTCCCATGGTTCGAGATCCTTGGTTCATCCCAAGTCTTATCATCATCCCAGAAGGTTGGAGGGAGCTCCTGGGGAAATCCAGCTTCACGGTCCCACACTGATCACTTCCCCTGGGCATGGCCTGGTAAATGCAGCTCAGATCCGCTCCCCAGGCAAGTCAAGGAAGTTGCTGCCCAGAAACCAAGTGAGGACATTTACAAGAACCGGCAGCGGCGGCAGCAGCAGCAGCAGCAGCAGCAGCAGCAGCAGCAACTGGATTTGCTTTTTCACCAGAGGATCCAGATTTCCCTGTGGCCTCGCAAACAAAAAAGAAGGAAGACGGAGCAGCACAGTCATCCCTTTGTGAAAAAGGCATTCAGGTAACTGAGTGACTCAGCAAGCCTGGGTCTTGGGGAAATTACGAATACCTGGTTGAAGGGCAGTCCTCAGGCAGAGCCCCTGAGACCCGTTGAACTCTAGAGTGTGGGAGCAGAGGAGATTCAGGGCCTGCCCAGGGGCAGAGTGCCCCCAGGACTCGCCCTGGCTCAGTTAAGGACTCCCCTCAGGATCTGCAGAGGTGCAAGGCAGGGTGCACCTCTGCCTGGACTGAGCTGGAAATGCAGCCGTGTGGCTGAAGTGGCCACTTCCTGCTTTCTGTAAAGCAGCCACGGGGACCTGTGAACAGGTAAGACCATTGCTCTTGATTACTGAAGAACTAGAAGCCAGGACTCCAGCAGCCTTCATTGTGTGAGAGATGCCAGCACTGTGGCCACAGCCTGACAGCTGTGCAGGCCACATAATGTGTGGGGCTGAGTGGAAAATGTGGGGTTTTTTTTGTTGTTGTTGTTCAAAATCATGAGCTTCCAGGGGTGGCAGCAGAGCTTTAAACTACTCTGGGGCCCTTCTGAGCACAGGACTTGGTATGACTGCACAGGGATACCTGGCAGGCCAAGTGCAGGGACAGAGCGGTCTGCCCAGAGGCCAGCAGGTCCCCAGTCAGTGTCTGGCACCAGCTCCTTTCATGACCTGGGCTGGCTCAGTTCCACGGGACTCCCAAGGCTGGAGGCTTCCCTGGAACATCATCCTCAGGGATTTCCCAACAGGAGCAGCCTCTGGCTTCAGATCTGTCCTTGTTTGACTCATAAATTATCACTCAGACTGAGAAAATTAACACTCAGTGATTCCTGAAAGGGTGCCCAGTGCAATAGATAATTTTCAAAGTGAGTTCATCGGGGGATTTAATAGCCAGGCAATGTCCATTAAAACAGTGACAAACATGGGGAGAAAAGGAAAAGTTCCAACTGGAAACTCATGCTGGCTTGACAGTTGTTCTCAGGGAGCAGAACAGAAGTGGGCATTTTCATTCTGGTTACACCATCAGCGATACCTCCACGGAGCCTCTCAGCTGGTTCCTCCTGGGTCTGGGCCACAGGCCTCCCAGTATTGCCGGTCTCGGAAGACATCTGTGGGCAGGTTCTGTAGAGGGAATCTGAGGCTGTGTGGGATGAGCTGCAGGACCCCATGTGGGGAAAGGCAGGAGGCAGCACCAGCTCCTTCACCAGGACCTGAGGGTACTGTGGCTCATCAGGGGCCATCGAGGACATGGAGACCCTGCACAGTGTTTGAGGAGTCCTGCTACATCAGTTTATTCTGGTTTAGGTGGTTGAGGGGAGACTCAGTGAAGTCTTGGGGGTTCCGGGCTACACTGCCAGCCTCTGGGACAGCAGCCCCAGTGTCCCCCGACCCAGGCCTTGCTCCTCCCTGCTGATGAACGCCCACTCTGCTCCCAGATGCACACCTGTCCTGAAGACACCCGGTTCTCATGCTCTTCTCTGCAGCACCTGAATTGGGCATTCCTGGGTAAAGCTGTTTAAGTTACTTTCACTTTTATCCACTTGTTTCCGTTATTTCAACCATGCACGTCCCTTGTGTATGTAGGATAAAGGTGTCTAAGAATAAAGGTCCATGATTTAAAGTTTTTTCCTCTTCTTTCCCTGTCCTGACCACCTGATCATAAACTTGTAGAAATAAAGTGGATCTCATGTTGTGTATCTTTCGATGCATCTAGAGAGATGGTTACATTCATATAAATAAACGGGCACATCCAGCACACTATTTCTAGTTGTCGTCTGCTAATAAGTTTACATCTGGTAAATGCCAGTGTTTCATCAAATGGCTGCATTGCACATGAGTCAATCTGTGTGACAAAGAATATGGCAGGTTTTGTACAGCCTTTGTAAAGACATTCTTCAATGCTGCCTTTTAAAATAGAAATGTTAAATCCTGTAACTAATCAACCTATGCCTTGTTAGAGGGCTGACATTTTCAATAATTCCTTTACAAAGGGTAGTGAGATGCATCAGATCCCCCAGTGGCCCCCAAGTAGGGACAGTGACAGTCAGCAGTTCTTTACGGACACCTGCTCCGTGGCAGGTTCTCCGCCGGCCCTGGCTGCAGGCGGCCCTCATCTAACAAGATGCTTCGGTCCATGGGTGGAGGACAAAGGCCTATGGGCTTGGGGAGCGAGTTCTTTCGTCTCCTACATGACCTTCATCTGCTCGCGTTTGCCACGAAGCGCATCTGGGTTGGAAGGAGATGGTGGTTTCCCACGGAAGTCTGGTCCCTAAGTGACGCCTCTGCTGCCTACATCAGAATCTCCCAGGCTTGCTCCACAGTGGTCCCGTCACGTGGTGCAGACTCATGCGCTGTCTTGTGTGTGCAGAGGCAGGCTTGGTCTTGTGTGCTCTTGATCATGCACCTAGTCACATCTGTTCTACAGTGTTGCATTCTTCTAATTTCCATGCACATCTTTGTATAGGCGTGTTCCCATTGTTCCCATGCCAATAAGTGGTGTGCAAGGTTCCAGAGTGCACCAGTATTTCTTTAGTCGGTGTCATGCTGTTGGATATTCAGGTTTTTTAACCTAGTGTAAATAACATTCACATTTCTAAAAACCAGAAGAGTGTTTGTGATTAAGATATCATCTTAGTGGATATTAAATTGCTGCATCTGATTTCATTTCTCTTTCCCAAATAGTCAGTTGTGTGGGCTAGTCTCATTCTGAAACTGCACACTCCCATCCCAGAGGTAGAAAGCGAGATCTCCTGCCTGCATTTCATGGAGCATGTGATTATGGAGGTGTCCAGTCCCAGCAAACAGACCCCACATTCTTTTCCTTCAGTGACTCAGACGCAATATGTGGAGAGTCCCAGACAGTATCGCTCCCTCACGTTCATTAACCTCCAGAGATTAAACATCACCTGATACACAGAACTGTGGGTTCCCCGTTTGGCTAAGCATCAGGTGCAGCCAGGTTCTTACCTAGGTGCACGTGACAAGGTGCTGCCAGATGCCACCAGCGCAGACAGTCAGTGAGCCCACCTCATCAGAGGGCACATGAGATCCCCAAATGAGAAAGAACTCTAAGGAGCCAAAATCTGCCAAGATGGGTACATTAAAGCTTGCAACTTTGCACGTGAGTGCACCCTCAGACTCAGCCAGTTTATTCTCCTTTGCAGTCCATTCTGAAAAGTCCAGCCAGATGATGGCTAAAGAGTAGAGAATGGAAGGTGGAAGGCGGTTGCTGCTTGCAGAAGAGGCACGCTGGCAGCATTGGCAGGGAGGAGGAGACTGGAAACTGAGTAGCAGATCCGAGAAATCAAAATGCTCAGCAAATGAGGGCAGGTGGCATGGAGCTACTTCCCTGGGTCCAAGAGCCTAATTACCTTATTGTTCCATAAGTTCATGGCCTGCGGTCATAGGGAAAATAAAACACTGACTAGGGGTCGGTCTTTTCTGTTTAGAGGAGGCTCCTTGAAACCTCCCCCTCCCGGGTTCAAGCGATTCTCCTGCCTCAGCCTCCCGAGTAGCTGGAACTATAGGCGCCCGCCACCACTCCCGGCTAATTTTTTTTTGTTTTTTTTTTTTGTAGAGACGGGGTTTCACCGTGTTAGCCAGGATGGTCTCGATCTCCTGACCTCGCGATCCGCCCGCCTCGGCCTCCCAAAGTGCTGGGATTACAGGCGTGAGCCACCGCGCCCGGCCTTAGCTGGTTTTTCAAAAGTCATGGCGTGTAATTGTCCGAACAGTGAACTTCGGAGATCCACCGGAGGGGCGAGGCCACAGCTCGACCGCGAGCACCTGAGCATCCTGCACCGCCTGCGACGGCCGTCAGGGGGCGCGATGCCGCCTCACAGAACCTCAAGCGGCGCCCGGGTTCCGGCACAGACGGCCTGCGGCTCCAGGGGGCGGAGCCGAGCCGTCTCCTCAGGACCTACGCAGGAGGCGCCGTCATCCCTACAGGGACACCTGAGAGGGCCCAGCCTCCTCCTCCTCAGGACCCACTCGGGAGACGCCGCTGGCTCTCTAGGAACACCTGGGGACCGTGGCCAGGGACGACCCAGCCTCCTTCTCCTCAGCTCCTCAGGAACGACTGGGGAAGCTGTGGCTTCATGGTCCCCGAGGCTGCCCGAGGAAAGGTGAGGAAAAAGCTTTCTGTCCCGGCTCAGTGCTGAGGAGGCCGCGCTGCCTCGCGCTCCACTTTCTCAAGTTGTATTTATTTTATTTTACAAAGTGGCCCATCATTAAGTGGCTTTGTTATTCATTATTACAGCATACCTGAGTTGTTTCATTTTTTAATTTTTGACCAATTTGGGTTTGTTTGGGGTGGATCCGGGACAGAGAAGGGAGAAACCCTGAGGGCAACATGGAGAGCCCCAGGGAGACGCGCACCCCACGACTTGCTTTTATTTGCGTTCCAGTGGCTCGTTTTTCTTAGAGTGTTAAAGTACTTGAAAAATATTGAAGAGCAGATGTAGATGTGAGTTTTCACAACCGTATTTTAAGTGTAAATACTGGACTTTGTCTGTTAAAAGGATTTGAGGTAAAATAAATTTAAGCGGAGTTTATTTCAGCAAAGGAATGGTTCATGAATCACGCGGGAAGCACCAGAACGGAAATCGGCTTGGGGCTTCGAGCTCTTAGGGTGGCCCCTAAGTGAGGCTCCTCAGTGGCTCCAGCTAGGCCACCGCCTGTTGTGGGGATGGTTCCCTCAGCGTCCCTAGTCATACAGCCAGCTGGCTGCTGGGCTTTTTGGCATTGACTGTGGTTGGTTTGTTAATTTTTTTAAGTCAGTTCAAATGCCTCCAAGTTCGGTTTCTGTTTGCTTAGGGAAGGCCTCAGGCTAACCCCCGCCGTATTTGCTTTAACATGTCAAAACCATAATTTATTTTTCATTTTACTTTCCTGGCATTAATAGAAGTAAATTCACATTTGTGTGTTATTCAGAAAGTCGGTTTAATTGGCAACCTATTTGTGATGGTGCATAAAGTAATGTCTTTTAATCATTGGCATCTTAGATTAGATGAAATATGTTAACTCTCTTAAGCTTTGTTATTAACCCATAACAAGAGTTAAGTTTCTTTTTTTCTCCTAGGCTTTGACCATTTAAAATACACTCAGGCATCTCGTAACGATGTTATACTTTCTGAGAAATCTGTCCTTAGGTGATTTCATCTTTGTGTGAACACTGTAGAGTGTCCTTATAAAACTTAGATGGTGTAGCCCACTCCACACCTAAGTTACATAGTATAGCCTATTGCTCCCAGGCTACGAACCTGTACAGCATGTCTCTGTACTGAATGCTGTAGTCAACCATAACACCATGGTGATTGTAGATTGTGATCCCAGAATATCTGAGACAGGTCTCAGTCAATTTAGAAAGCTTATTTTGCCAAGATTAAGGACACGCCCATGACACAGCCTCAGGAGGTCCTGACGACGTGTGTCCAAGGTGGCCAGGGTAGAGCTTGCTTTTGTACATTTTAGGGATACATGAGACGTGTAAGATGTACAGTCATTTGGCCCAGTAAGGCGGGACAACTGGAAGCAGGAAGTGGGGGTGCTTCCAGGTCAGAAGTAGGTTAGAGACAAAAGGTTGCATTCTTTTGAATCCTTCATCAGCCTTCCACTGAATACACAATTTAGTCTGGCTCAATGAATCTGCATTTTTACATAAATAATAGGGCAGAGGAAGCAATCAGATATGCATCTGTCTCAGGTGAGGGATGACTTTGAGTGCTGTCTGTCCTTTGTCCAAAAGGAAATTCTTTGTGGGCAAATTGTGAGTGAGGTATGTAGCTTTTTATCTTTGTAGCTATCTTAGGAATAGAATGAGGGCAGGTTTGCCTGACATAGCTCCCAGCTTGACTTTTCCCTTGGCTTAGTGATTTGGGGGTCCTGAGATTTATTTTCCTTTCATGGTATCAGAACAGAGAAAAGGTAATGCGTTGAGCCATGAGCTTATGACAAGATGGCTAGGAAGGAATTTTTCAGCTCCATTTTTATCTCATGGGACCACCATCGTATGTATGCAATGCACGAGTGTAAAATCACATTTAGTTAAGTCAGCTTACACTAAGCTATGGACCCAGATGGTCCTGGGGCCTTTTTCCACTGGGAGATCTTTAAGGACCTTTCTTAGCTTTTCTATGCTAATTGGTATATTCATAGTTGCCTTATTTCAGTGCCCATTTTGTTAATGTGTATTTTTACTAGGAAATCACCCATTTTTTCTAGGTTTCCAGTTTGATGCAATTATTTGACTTTTAATTTCTCCTCTGTTTTTAGTTTTGTACATAATTTTCCTATCTACTTTTGCACTCTTTTTTCCATCAACAATGTTTTTAAAATATACTTTTTAGCTTTTTTTGAAGAATTGTTATGTTTGACAATTTTTTATGACCTAATCATGACCGTAAATGATTTTTAATTAATTTCAGCTTAATGTCTTTTGTAGGGCACAACTGTTAAAATACAAAATTACAACAAATGTGGGTTTGCAGATCTTAATTGGCTTTTTTTGTGGTTCTAGAATCAGGCAGCAGTCCAGACCAAAAATGGTTCAGAATGATCTGCCACACAACATGTGCGGGTTATATTTATAGCCAGAGAAAAAAAGTGACATACAGAAAACAGAAGTGAGGTATAGAGGTGGCTGGATTGGTTACAGACCTGGTTACAGCCCGGATTTGCCTTCTTGGAACTTGTTTTGAACAGCTGGCTGCCGGCCATTGACTGACACTCGGCTGATGTGATTGGCTGAACCGCCGCTATTTGTTACCATGATACATTCCCAAGTCAGATTTACAGTTTGTTTCTATACTAAATTAGGTTGCGATTCTTCTTGTTCTTCTTCTTTTTTCTTTTTTGAGGCGGAGTCTCGCTCTGTCGCCCAGGCTGGAGTGCAGTGGCGCGATCTCAGCTCACAGCAAGCTCCGCCTCCCGGGTTCATGCCATTCTCCTGTCCCGGCCTCCCGAGTAGCTGGGACTGCAGGCTGCCGCCACCAAGTCCGGCTAATTTTTTTGTATTTTTTTTTAGTAGAGACTGGGTTTCACCTTGTAAGCCATGATGGTCTCGATTTCCTGACCTCATGATCCACCCGTCTCGGCCTCCCAAAGTGCCGGGATTACAGGCGTGAGCCACGGCGCCCGGCCGCGACTCTTTACAAGGACTCCTTGGGAGGCTTCTAGAGCCCAAATGTTGTTTGATGTAAGAATTCCTCCCTTTTGGTCAGCCTCTCAATTTTGAGATATTGATCAAAACTTTGGGCATTGGTGTCACTCTTTGTTATCGTTGTAAATTGAGTTATTAGTACTTATTTGCTTTCAGTGTGGCATTTTCAAGTTTTATTTGGTCTCAGTGCCCTCTGGGCAATAGCAGAACACTGTGTTGTGTAAGGCGGAAATAGAGCAATAGAAAATAACAACTGATTTGTTAACATCAGATTACTTCAAGTTACTTGTTTTGGTAAGAATTAAAGCAGAGGGGACTTCTTTATGCTGACTCAGGTAGACTGGAATCTCTTCAGGGAAAAAGGGAGATCTTTTGGGATCTGTCTACTTCCTTAAAGTTTCAGCTTCGTTGTGTGTCATTCAGCGTGAGTGTCTCCATTCTGGTTTTGCCTGCTCAGTGTGGCCTAATGCGGGAGTGGTGACCGAAACAATGACCTCCCGTAGTTTGTTCCACAGTTCTCCCCTTTTGGTTGGGTTCCTGCCTAGGTGAGGGTGTGACTAAAACCTTAGGGCATTAGCAGTATTCTCAGTAACTATCATTTTAGGGTTCCGGTCTTAGGGCATTAGCACTATTCTCAGTAACTATCATTTTAGGTTTCCGGTCTTAGGGCATTAGCACTATTCTCAGTAACTATCATTTTAGGTTTCCGGTCTTAGGGCATTAGCACTATCCTCAGTAACTATCATTTTAGGGTTCCGGTCTCAACACGTCATTTAAGAAGTCAGTAAAGCTTTCTTCTATTGTGACAGCATATTTAATACTGAGAAGGAAAAGAAAATTTTTATCTTGCGAATGTGAGCTTCCTCTAAATTATCAGGTCCAGAGAGGCGTGGGAATGAGGCAGCAGTCACGTCCCATTTCCCGCTTAGCTAAGTAATCATATCTTGAAGCTGCTTGCTATGTAGACTAGACTGACTGTCATCAGCTATAGATTAACCTAAGAGTGTCTTTGAATATTTTTTCCAGTGGCAAATATTTGCTTCTTTTGTATCGTAGCTGAAAGGAATGCTGGGAAACAAAATAAAGGCAAGCATTCATTAGAATAAGTGATCCAGTCACAATGAATCAATTTGAACTTTTTTTTTTTCGCAAAGTCATACTTTGAAAACGTCCAGCCGTAAATTGAAATAGTCTCCAAAATGTGAATTTTTTTCCCTGGTTCTAAGATGACCAGCTTTCTTAGAGAGTGAACTACACCATAAGGAAAATGATATGACCATGTTTACACATATATGTTATCTTAACATAAAACATGTAAAAGGGGCATTTCTTTGAAAGTATATATTAGTCTGTATAATTTACTTTGCAGTATCATGAATGCTCTTATTTTTAAAAGTAGGAGTAGTTACTGTCAATTACTAATTTTTAGTACAAATAATTTAGCAGATATCTGAAAAAATTACAATTTTTAAATAGAGGTTTTATTTTAAATTAGTTTTAGATTCATACAGAAATTGGGAAGAAAATGCAGATTTCCCATGTAGACGCAACCTAGTTTCCCCGCTTTTTAACATACCAACATGTATCAGATAGGTTTAACATCTTTTTTTTTTTTTTTTTTTTTTTTCAGACAGAGTCTCAACCAGGCTGGAGTGCAGTGGCGTGATCTCGGCTCACTGCAACCTCCGCCTCCCAGGTTCAAGCGATTCTCCTGCCTCAGTCTCCTGAGTAGCTGGTATTACAGGTGCCTGCCATCATGCCCGGCTAATTTTTGTATTTTTAGTAGAGATGAGGTTTCACCACGTTGGCCAGGCTGGTCTTGAACTCCTGATCTCAGGTGATCCGCCTGCCTCAGCCTCCCAAAGTGCTGGGATTACAGGCATGAGCCACCACTCCTGACCAACATCTTACATCATTTCTTGTCATACTTAATGACTGGATATTACTATATTATTAAATAAGCTCACATCTTATTTGGTTTCCCTTAGTTCTGCCTTTTTCTCTCCCAGGATCCTATCTAGGATCCCATAGGACATTTAGTCATCATGTCAGGCTCTTCTTGGCTGTGACAATCTCTCAGACTTTACTTCTGAGGACCTGGAACAGTGTTAGGAGGATTGGTCAGGTATTGTGTAGAATGTCCTCCATTGTGGTTCACTTGGGGTTTTTCTCATAATCAGCCTGGGTTTAGGGGTTTGGGGGAAGCAGAGCAGATGTGTAGTGTGTCCACAAAAAGAGTCAAAGACTAAAATATTTTAAGAGATGTATTCTGAGCCAAATATGAGTGACCATGGCCCTTGACACAGCCCTCAGGAGACCCTGAGAACATGTGCCCAAGGTCGTTGGGGTGCAGGTTGGTTCTATACATTTTAGGGAGATAGGAGACATCAATCAAGTGTATTTAAGATATATATTGGTTCGGTCCAGGAAGGTGGGACAACCCAATGGATTAGGGTGGGGGGGGGGCTTCCAGGTTATAGGTACATTTAAAATTTTTCTGATTGGCAGTTTGTTGAAAGACTTACTATCAATAGAAAGGAGTGTCTGGGTTATGATAAGGGGTTATGGAGACCAAGGTTTTATCATGGAAATGAAGCTTCCAGGTAGCAGGCTTCAGAGAGAATAGATTGTAAATGTTTCTTATCAGATTTAAGGTTGTGTTGATGTTAAATGCTGATTGGCTTTTCCTGAATTCCAAAAGGGAGGAGGGCATAATGAGGCATGTCTGACCACCTCTTTCCCATCATAGCCTGAACCAGTCTTCCAGGTTAACTTTGGTGTCCCCTGGTGGAGAGGTGGTTGGGGGAAAGATCTTTGAATTTTATTTTTGGTTTGCAAGTGCTAGTCTAGTCACTTCATGCTCTCAAGATGTGTTATCACCATTAATGTTAACTTTTATCACTTGGTTGAGGCAGTGTTTTCAGGTTTTTCACTGTAAAGTTACTTTTTTCCCATGTCTATATTGTATGTATGCTTTTGGAGGAAGTCATCATGCAGAGCTCATACTTAAAGGAGTGGGGAGTTAGCCCCACCTCCTTGATGGCTGTCTGTATCAGGTATTTGGAATTCTTCTGTATAAGAGATTTCTATTCAGCCCATTTGCATATCTGTTTAATCATTTATTTATACCAGTATGGGTCCACAGATAGTTACTTTAATCTTTTGGTTGTTATCTAATTGTACAGTATTTTGTTGCTCTTTGTTCATACCTGTGGCCATTGGTAGCTCTTTCCACTGGCTCCTTTTACATAATTTCATGTTTTTTTTATAATTTATTTCTGTTACTTCAAAAGTACCCTGGCTCATATATTTTCTGTCCCAGTCCTAGTTTCAGCTATTTCTTCTAATAGCCCTGATTTCTTTTGTTAGAGAATGGTATGAAAAACTTACATCTGACCACTAAATGTGGTCATTGCATCATGACACTTACAGCTGACAGTGCAAAGAAATATATGTGTGTCTTCTAACTTATATGTACCCACTTAATTATAAAGGTTTCTATGTGGAACCATCTATGTATATGTTAAGCTAAATGTGAGTTTATACTTACGTTGTATATATATATTCTGACTCATTATGACAGAGATCATTCTAGGCTTCCCTATTTTTTATCTGTAACTTCTCGCTGTAATAGTGAGGAACCTGGCTCCTACTATCTGCCATTTATTTCATCCCTTGTACCATTGGGAACAAGGAATTCATTCTTGATCAAGATTCCAGGTTGGGACTTAATAAGAAATATATGTTTGGTCTGTGTCTGCAGTTCCTGGTACAGAGCTTCTAAAACTATTATAATTTCCTGAACAGTAGGGGTGCTAGGAGCATCTTGTGTTCTAATATTTGGTCTTTGGCCCTGGTTCCTGACGCAGAGTTCCTAAATCTCTTGGAATCTCCTGGATAATAGGAATGGCTTCTGTTCTAATAAGGACACTCTGTGGGTTCCTGGATGGTTTCAGGATGGGGATGGTCACCAGAAAGACCAAGCCATGATAAGAAGGTTGTAACTTTTAGCTTAACATGCAATCCTTTGAGGGTGTGAAGGGACTGGAAATTGAGTTAATAATCCGTCATGTCTACATGATGAAGCTTCCATAAAAATTCCTAAAATATGGAATTTGGAAAGTTCCAGATCAAGGCTGACAGATTTGATGTCTAGTGAGGGCTCATCTATCATAGATAGTGCCTTCTAGCATGTCGTGACATGGCAGAATGGGGAAACGGGCTCCTAGATGCTTTTATAAGGGCACTGGTTTCATTCATGAGGACAGCACTCTCATGATCCGATCACCTCTCGGTTACCTCTGAATACCATCCCTTTGGGGATTACATTTCAAAATAGGAATTTGGGGTGGGGGTGTACACACATTGAGACCATAATAACTAGTAAACATAAGTAAGTATTTCCTAGTTCCATAAGCCATCATAGCAAATTGTCAAACCTGAAGAGGGGGTGTAGGAATGCCTAGTTTCTAGCCAAGTCATATAGAAGTTTGGGTAAACTGGGGATTCACAACTTGTGATTGGCATCTGAGGTTGTGGACAGTCTGGTGTTACTAAGCCCTTAACCTGTAGGGTGTATACTAACTCCAGGTAATCAGTGTCACAGTTGAATTACAGGATACCCAATTGTTTTCCAGAGAGTTGGAATATTGGTTGGTATGGGAAACACCCCCCACCCCCCACAATTTGCTGTTAAAAGTGGAGTGTTGATAGTATAGAGGAAAATCATGGTTATTTTTCTTTTTACAGATATAGTAGTTTCAAAATTAACTATTATCCCTATGGGAAATAACTTTATAAAATAGAGTCCACTGTTCGTGTATATAGTACGTTTTGTTTTTAGTCTATGGATTCTACTCATTTCCAGCTCAGCACCTTTGGCCCACCACTTGCAACATACATTGGTAATACAGTTAGATTCTTGGTTGCACTCTGTATTTTGTCCTTAGATACTTCCACATCCTAAATAATTTAATTTGTGTAGCTTGTGATTTGTTCTTTGTGCATTAAAATTCTGTGGGTTTTATCAAATGCATAGTGTCAGATATCCACTACTGAAGTAGCATACAGAATACTTCAAATCCCCACCCCAGACAGTCACTGATCTGACTATCATCTCTTTGGTTGTGCTTTTTCCAGAATGTTATATGAATGGAGTCATATAATGTATAGCATCTTCATACTGCCACCCTTTACTTAGCAACATAGATGCAAGATTCATTCATTTGTTTTCATGGATTGACAGTTCATTCCTTTCTGTTGGTGAATGGTATTCCATTGCATGGTTGTACTTCAAATTGATTATGCATTCAGCTATTGAAGAACGTTCTGACTACTTCAAGTTTTGGCCATTATGAGTAGAGTGGCTCGTATATAATTACATGCTAGTTTTTGTTTGAACATAATTTTTCAAAGCAGCTGTCTAAACATACACAATTTAGGGGTGCATTTGTTGGATTGTAAGGTAAGACTTGTTTATCTTTGGGAAAAACTGTCAAACTATTTCCCAAAGTGGCTGTACCCATTCATGCATTCTGCCAGTAATGAATGGCCGTACCTATTGTTCTTCAACCTCCAATTGTTACTGTTGAGCTTTTTTAAGAGTCCCACAGTTGTACTAGGTGTGCAGTGATATCTCAGCATTATTTTAATTTGCAGTCTCCTAATGAGATATATTGAGCATCCTTTTGTGTGATTATGTGCTATCAGTATATTTTCTTTTTTTTTTTATTTTATTGAGATAGAGTCTCGTTCTGTCACTCAGGCTGGAGTGCAGTGGCGTGATCTTGGGTCACTGCAACCTCCACCTCCGATGTTCAAGCAATTCTCTTGCATCAGCCTCCCAAGTAGCTGGGATTACAGGCACCCACCACCATGCCTGGCTAATTTTTTTGTATTTTTAGTAGAGAGGGGGTATCACTATGTTGGCCAGGCTGATCTCAAATTCCTGACCTCAGGTGACTCACCCGCTTCAGCCTCCCAAAGTGCTGGGGTTATAGGCATGAGCCACCACACCTGGCCTGCTATCTATATATTTTCTTTGGCTGGATGTCTGTTCAGATATTTACCCAGTTTTATTTGGGTTTTTAGTTTTCTTAGTGTTCGTTTGAAGAGTTCTTTGTGTATTTTCAATACAGTTTTTAAAATCACGTTTGTATTTTGTAAATATCTTCTGACAGTGTGTCTTGTCTTTTTGTTCTCTGAATAGGGTTTTTCATAGTAGAAAATTTAGTTTTATAAAGTCTGTTCTCAGTATTTTCACGAATTGGCACTTGATGCTGTGTGTTAAAACTCAACACCAGATCCAATGTCTCTTAGGTTTTCTTTTAGATTATTTATAGTTTTGCATTTGAAGTTGTAGTCTCTGGACTATTTTGAGTAGGTTTTTGTGTTTTACTTTGTGTATAGAGTCATTTCATTCTATATGGCTTCCAAATAATTCTTCCATCACCATTTATGGGAAGGGTATGGATATACTGGCCTTTATTTCGGTTTGAATTTCCAAAATTATGACACTGAATAAACTGAATATTGAATTTTATAGGTATTTCAGGACAGCCAGGAGGGGGCGCACATCCGCCGCGAAACTGTGAGCAAGAGCGTCTGTGCTGAACCATGGCGCCACCAGAGGGCGCGCGATCCCGCCCCAACCAACTTCCCGCTGAAGTGCCAGAAGCAGCGAGGAGCTTCAACTTCCTCAGGGCAGCACGGGGGTCGTGTTAATTTGGTGTTCTTCATTGGTGAGTAAAAAGCTCCTGTCCACGGCCCTGAGTGCCAAGGAGTGAGTCTTTAGAGCACTCAGCAGAGGAAGAAATTCATCTAGAAAAATAAAGCCCCCAAATCTCACTATTTGGAGTACACCCTAATATCATTGTCAACGTCCAAGACACAGTGGCTGCTAATATATATTCTTACAGTGGCCTCTAATATAATAATCACACTGTGCTCTACATTACTATGATATCTACACCGTGCCCTAACACCTATATAATATTCACACCATGCGCTAACACTGATGTAATCCACAACATCGCTTCCAATACTAATGTAATAATATCCACACCATGCCCTATCACTGATCTAGTCCACACCATCGCTTCCAATACTAATGTAATAATATCCACACCATGCCCTATCACTGATCTAGTCCACACCATCGCTTCCAATACTAATGTAATAATATCCACACCATGCCCTATCACTGATCTAATCCACACCATCGCTTCCAATACTAATGTAATAATATCCACACCATGCCCTATCACTGATCTAGTAATATATATTCTTACAGTGGCCTCTAATATAATAATCACACTGTGCTCTACATTACTATGATATCTACACCGTGCCCTAACACCTATATAATATTCACACCATGCGCTAACACTGATGTAATCCACAACATCGCTTCCAATACTAATGTAATAATATCCACACCATGCCCTATCACTGATCTAGTCCACACCATCGCTTCCAATACTAATGTAATAATATCCACACCATGCCCTATCACTGATCTAGTCCACACCATCGCTTCCAATACTAATGTAATAATATCCACACCATGCCCTATCACTGATCTAATCCACACCATCGCTTCCAATACTAATGTAATAATATCCACACCATGCCCTATCACTGATCTAGTTGACAACATCGCTTCCAATACTAATGTAATAATATCCACACCATGCCCTATCACTGATCTAGTCCACACCATCGCTTCCAATACTAATGTAATAATATCCACACCATGCCCTATCACTGATCTAATCCACACCATCGCTTCCAATACTAATGTAATAATATCCACACCATGCCCTATCACTGATCTAATACACACCATCACTTCCAATACTAATGTAATAATATCCACACCATGCCCTATCACTGATCTAATCCACACCATCGCTTCCAATACTAATGTAATAATATCCACACCATGCCCTATCACTGATCTAGTCCACACCATCGCTTCCAATACTAATGTAATAATATCCACACCATGCCGTATCACTGATCTAATACACAACATCACTTCCAATACTAATGTAGTAATATCCACACCATGCCCTATCACTGATCTAGTCCACACCATCGCTTCCAATGCTAATGTAATAATATCCACACCATGCCCTATCACTGATGTAATCCACACCATCGCTTCCAATACTAATGTAATAATATGCACACCATGCCCTATCACTGATCTAGTCCACACCATCGCTTCCAATACTAATGTGATAATATCCACAGCATGCCGTATCACTGATCTAGTCCACACCATCGCTTCCAGTACTAATGTAATAATATCCACACCATGCCCTATCACTGATCTAATCCACACCATCGCTTCCAATACTAATGTAATAATATCCACACCATGCCCTATCACTGATCTAGTCCACACCATCGCTTCCAATGCTAATGTAATAATATCCACACCATGCCCTATCACTGATGTAATCCACACCATCGCTTCCAATACTAATGTAATAATATGCACACCATGCCCTATCACTGATCTAGTCCACACCATCGCTTCCAATACTAATGTGATAATATCCACACCATGCCCTATCACTGATCTAGTCCACACCATCGCTTCCAGTACTAATGTAATAATATCCACACCATGCCCTATCACTGATCTAATCCACACCATCGCTTCCAATACTAATGTAATAATATCCACACCATGCCCTATCACTGATCTAATCCACACCATCGCTTCCAGTGCTAATGTAATAATATCCACACCATGCCCTATCACTGATCTAGTCCACACCATCGCTTCCAATACCAATGTAATAATATCCACACCATGCCCTATCACTGATCTAATCCACACCATCGCTTCCAATACTAATGTAATAATATCCACACCATGCCCTATCACTGATCTAGTCCACACCATCGCTTCCAATACTAATGTAATAATATCCACACCATGCCCTATCACTGATCTAATCCACACCATCTCTTCTAATACTAATGCAATAATATCCACACCATGCCCTAACACTGATGTAATATCTGCACCATTCCCCAACACCAATACAATATCCACACCGTTCCCTAACACTAATCTAAATATCCATACCATGCCCTAACACTAATATATTGACACAATGGCCTCTAATACTAATAAATATAATAATATCTACTAAGTGGACTCTGTTGACATTGAGACTTTGTTAAGGGTTTTACAGCTTTGGCTGAACTATAGCCTCTGTAATGGATTTTGATGATGTGTCTGCTTTCCTGGCATGGTATTGACATGGTTGTTTTAAAAAGTAACTTATTTTCCAATAATGTCATATGTCTAGGCAACTTCCAGTAGTAGTACAAAGTACAGCTTGTTTCTTCCCTTAGATTCCCCAACAGTTATTGCTGTACCAGATTTGCAGTGTCCCACAAAATACTCCGGTATATTGTACTGAAAGCATGGACACTCTCCCAGGTAACTACCACATAACCCCTAGATCAGGAAATCAGCGTTGTTCCTACATGATAATTCAGTCCACAAACTCACTTCAGTTTTACCTCATGCCACACTTGGGAGTATAATGTGTTTTGTTTTTTTTTTATTAGGATCCAGTTTTCTTTTCCTGGAACTGTTCCCCAGACTTTCCTGCATATTTATGACCTTGACACATTTAAAGAGCATACAGGTTTTTGTTTGAACAGTTGTTTTCAGGTCTTTGGGGTATATACCTAGGAATGGAATCATTAACTCATATGGTAAATCTATTTGTAACTTTATGAGGAAACATCAAATTATTTTACACGTAGGCTGCACCATTTCATATTGTCACAAGCAGTGTTTAAGAGTTCAAGTTTCTGCACATCTTTGTCAACACTTGTTATTTTTTAGTATAACTATTCTTGTGTGAGTTAAGGGTTATCTCTTTATGGTTTTAATTATGGTAATGATGTTAAGCATCTTTTCATGTGCTTGTTGGTGAAGTGTGTCTTTTGTCAATTTTTAGATTGGGTTGTCTTTGCTATGGAGTTGTAAAAGTTCTTTATACATTCTGGATAACAGACACTGATGAAGTATCTAATGTGCAGACATTTTCTTCCATTTTATAGGTTGTTGGAACGTAATAAGAGTTAATGTGTGGTCTCTGCTGCAGTGTCCTGAAACAGAGCGCTAAGCCTTGGGAATGTACGAAGTAATGTGTCTTTCGTACGCTAATGAAATGATTGATGGCTGGGGGCACCTGGACAGCCTCAGTGGGGCTGGCTGCCAAGGGAAGCAACCTTGTCATGAGAGAATTTGAAATTTCTTCCCCCGTCCCGTCTCTGTGAAGGGGAGAGGTGCTGATGGTTGAGTTGATCACCTATGGCCACAGACGTAACCAATCTGCCTGTGTAATAAAGGACAGGGTTGGGAGAGCATCTGTGTTGCTCTCCCAACACAAGAGATACTGGGAGGATCATATCTGGCGAGGGCATGGGAGGCCTGCATTCCTTCCATATACCTCACCTTGTGCATCTCTTCATCTGGCTTTTCATTTGTAGTGTTTAAAAGATCCTTGGTAATGAGTCAGGAATAGTAAGTACACTGCTTTCATGGGTTGTGTAATGTGATGTAGCAAATTGCTGAACCCAATAAGGGTGTTGTGGGAGTCTCCAATCTGTAGGAAAGTCAGACAGAAGGTAACCTGGGAACCTACTGTTTGTGGTTGGCATCTTAAGTGGTTACAGTCTTGTAACTTAGTACCCATATTTTCTTAAAGAAGAAATGAATTAGTTTTACCATTTTGCTGTTCCTGCACTTAGCTCTTTAGGAATGCAATTATAAGCTTTACTGTCTCTCCACCAGACACTTCCTATACTGCAAACTTTTCCAACTGTGTGATTACTTATAAGTTCCAGGGACCAAACCTTGAAACAAACTGGCACTTCCATATCTCTCCCCCACCAGTAGATTGGCAGCAGACAACAGTCAATTTACAACCTGGCTCTGCCCGTGGTGGTGCTAGCAAGACCACCTAATGGAGAAAACATCAGAGCATGTCCCATAGACCCCGCACCTCCTCACCTCATCCCCTGCATGCCATTCTGGCAAGTCCGAAAGCCCAGCTTTCTGCCCAGAAAGTGGAAGCGCTTCCCTTAAGGCAAGAGCCTGTATGTTCCCTTCAGCTAAGCTCTGGCATAAAGTCACTTTCTTTTTACCATCCTTGTGTTTGTCATTTAAATTTGCAAGCGACAAGGGGCATGACGTGTATTCCTAGGACTGAGCCCTTAGCCTGTGGGGTCTGATGCTTTCTCCATTTACTGTCACAATTGGATTGCACTGTAGGACACGCAGCTGGTACCCAAGATTTGGTCTGTGTGGGGAAAAAAACCCATGTATCTGGTAACAGAAGTGTTCTGTGTTGAGTGTTGAGAGTATACTATAAGACAGTTGTTTTTCCTATTATAACATTTTGTCTTTCAACTTTTTTCTTCATGTCTTCTGAGACGTAAAAGTTGTGAATTTTGAGGAAATAAATTGATTTATTTTTCCTTTTGTGGTCTGTGCTTTTGGTGTCAGATGTAGGAAACTATTGCTACGTGTAAGGTCATGAATGCTTAACTGTACGTTTTCTTCCAGAGTTTTTAGTTTTCACCTGTTTTGGTCTTTGATCCATTGTAAGTTAATTTTTTATGTGGTATGAGGTAAGGATACAATTTCATTTCCCTTTATGTGGATAGCAAGTTGCCTTACATCACTTGTTGAGGACAGGATTCTTTCCCCAATTTACTGGTAATGGACCTTGTCTAAAATCAGTTGAGCATAGAGGTATTGTTTTCTGTCTGGACTCCCAATTCAATTCAGTTGATCTTTCTGTTTATTCCTGTGCAAGGATCCCACTGTTTTTATTACTGTTCCTTTGTAATAAAATTTGAAATTGGGATGTGATCAGGATCAGCTTATCCACTTCTGTCCCAAGGCCTTTGGGATTTTTGTAGGAATAACATCGAATCCATGGATTGCTTTGTGTACTTTGGGAAACTTAACAATGTGGTCTACAAATCCACAAATAAGATACATTTTTACATTTACTGGAAGTTTAATTTCCTTAAGTAATGTCTTATAATTTCCCTCATCTAAGTCTTGTCGTTTCATTCCATTTATTCCTAAGTATAATATTGCTATTGGTATTGTTTAAGGTAGAATTTTCATAATTTGGTGTAGAGATTATTCATTCCTAGCATATACATATAAAATGGAATGTTTGGCCAGGCACCCGGGCTCATACCTATAACCCAAGCAGGTTGAGAGGCTGAGGAAGGGTTAGGGTTAGGGTTAGGGTTGGGGTTGGGGTTGGGGTTAGGCTTAGGGCTTAGGGCTTAGGGCTAGGGCTAGGGCTAGGGCTAGAGTTAGGGTTGGGTTAGGGTTGGGTTAGGGTAGGGTTAGGGTTAGGGGTTAGGGGTTAGGGTTTGGGTTCGGGTTTGGGTTATGGTTAGGGTTCGGGTTCAGGTTTGGATTTAGGGTTCAGGTTTATGGTTCGGGTTAGGGTTCAGGTTAGGGTTTGGGTTGGGTTTAGGGTTAGGGTTTAGGGTTAGGGTTTGGGTTAGGGGTTAGGGGTTAGGGTTAGGGGTGAGGGTGAGGGTGAGGATGAGGGTTAAGGTTTAAGGGTTAAGGGTTAGGGGTTAGGGTTAAGGGTCAGGGTCAGGGGTTAGGGTCAAGGGTTAGGGTCAAGGGTTAGGGTTAGGGGTTAAGAGTTAGGGGTTAGGGATTATGGTTTGGGTGAGGGTGAGGTGTGAGGGTGAGGATGAGGGTTAGCGTTTTAGGGTTATGGTTAGGGTTAAGGGTTAGGGCTAGCGGTTAGGGGTTAAGGGTTAGGGGTAGGATAAGGGTAAGGATTAGGGTTAGGGTCAGGGTAAGGGTAAGGGTAAGGATTAGGGTTAGGATTAGGGTAAGGGTAAGGGTTATGGTTAGGGTTTTAGGGTTAGGGTTTTAGGGTTAGGGTTAGGGGTTAGGGGTTAGGGTTAGGG
Organism: Homo sapiens; assembly: GCF_000001405.40. Taxonomy (NCBI): domain Eukaryota; kingdom Metazoa; phylum Chordata; class Mammalia; order Primates; family Hominidae; genus Homo; species Homo sapiens. The sequence goes on from NC_000009.12 coordinate 138,237,357, forward strand.
TTAGGGTTAGGATTAGGGTTAGGATTAGGGGTTAGGGTTAGGGTTAGGGTACTGTAAATAATTTCACATTATTACTAATAATAAATTATTATTTGTATTACACTATTACATAATGTAAAGGCTATTAAGACATGTTTGTCTTCAAAGAATGGCCTTGGTTTCTGTGGGCAGTGCCTCCTCATGGAAGGGTAATGCATTCCTGCTAAATCATGGACAAAACGGGCTTCCAGGAGCTACAGGCTGCAGCAGCAGCTCCTCCTCTAAGTCCTTCACTGCCTCAAACTCTTGTTGACTTTGTAAGCTTCTTTCAGTCTAGTTTTTTCAACAGAGCTAGTATTTCATGAGGTTCTACTACATACCAGGTTCCAGAAATCTAAATGCCTTTTGTTTGTTATTTTTCACTAAATACAAATCACAACTCTCTCCTCATTACTCACACAACAAAATTTAGCTGAGGGAGATTGAGTGACTTTCCTAGGGTCACATAGCTACTAAGAGCAGAGCCGTGTTTAGATTCATGTGGGAATATTGAACACAGAAATGAACCAGTGGAAACATCCTGTGTTCCAAAAGCCTACTCAAGCCATTTGTTCTTATTTTAAGGAAAATCTTTATGCTAATTTTAAACTCCAAATACTTATGAATGGCAGAGATCTACAGATTTGATTCTGATGTAAGAAATGATGGTCACCAGCCGGTTACTGCTACCACCCCACAACCCCGAGCATACTGGACGAATGTCTAAGCCTTGTGGTTAGTGGGGACAATGCTGGTGGAGTCTGAAGTTGTCATGCAGTGACTCATGCAAGCTTAGGCAGATTTGGTGATATATGACACAGAGATGCAAAGAAATGTTGTAGCTGACACACACAGGCTGGCTCTGGGAGATGCAGAAGGAGCACGTCACCCAAAATAGAGCCAGACAGACATCCTTAAGGAAGGAGCAAAGGGGCTGCATCTTAAAGAATGTAGAAAGGATTTGTCATGAGAGATGGGGCAGGAAGTTCTTCAGAGGCAGAGGGAGAGCATGAGAATGTTGGGAAGGGAGGAGAGATTCTTGCACATCTGGGAAGCTGACAATCCATCAGCATGGCCAGAAGGAAAATAAGGAGGAGGAGCAGAAATAGATGAGGCTGGATATAGAAGCAGGGCTGAAGCTGTGTCGATTGTGGTAAAGAGTTGTGATTCTATCCAGAACGCAATAGGTAGCATTCTAAACAGAGATCTTTTAAAACAAGAGTCAGCAAGTATTTTCTGCAGGGGGCTAAATGTTAAATATTTTAAGTTTTCCAAGCCATATGGTCTCTCTCTCAATGACTCAGCTCTTCCATTATACCATGAAAGTAGCCAGAGACATTATGTAACACATGTATTGGCTGTGTCCCATTACAACTTTACTTACAAATGCAGACTGTGTCAGACATGGTCCATGCATGGTAGTTTGCCACACCCTGTTTTAGAAAGCTCAGGTTTATGATGTGATGGAGAATGCCTACAAGAGCTCTTGTTTTAAATGGTAGAGTGAACATACACTGGAATTCTATCCTGCTTGACCCAAGCTCTTGATAGCGAAAGGTAGAAAAGATAGATGGTAAATAGATAGATAGATGATAGATAAAGAAAATACATAGCTGTTCCAGAAAACAGAAATGGATAACTTCATGAACCAAAAGCAGAGTAATATGCTTTAGAAAGGAAGCAGGCCGGAAAACCCACAGTTGCAAAACAAATAGAATTTCCAACTGCCTCTTGTAGCCCCTTCCTGGAAGTAGTCACAGCCCAGGGTGTTCGACTACTTCCTCTGTTTTTTGTTTGTTTGTTGTTTGCTTTTCTGTGGGGTTTCTGTTGTTGTTGTTTGCTTTTAAAAAAAAATTCCCTTTCCCTGCTTTTTTGTCACAGCAGCCTTTGTCACTTCAAACACCGCAAGTGTTCTTTAAAAAAAATTATATCAACCTTTCAATTAAAATGCAACATGTCTGAAAGTTGGTATCTGGAGAGGTGAGTTGGACAAAGGAGCCCTTGTTACTGCACGTTTTCATTCTTCAAATTTCACCTTGCACGCAGTAACAGACAGTGCACAAAGCCACTTCCTTATGGACGGAAATTCTGAAATCCTTTTATGCCTGGCCTTTCCATCCTTCAACTTCCCCTCTCCCACGCTGTGAATGATTGTATTGGACATTTTTGTTTTAATGTCAGTGACAGGGGAACACAGGTAGCTCTAATATAGCTGTGACCCAGATGCTTCTGTTTCTAGCATGTATTTATTTTGTAGCAAACATTTACATCCATGATGTTTCACTGTCTTTTGAAAATAATTAGGCAATATCTCATCTGAGGTAGGATGTTTCTAGGGGTTGTGTTCTGAGGGAGGAAAACTAATCTGTTCTCTTTCCACTGCATTCTAGGAACAGTAAGAGGACCTTGTGCATGAATAATTTGTTTCCACACTACAGAGTGGGTAATAAGCAGACTAGTAAAAACAATTCTGCTTCACTTCAATAACAGCCTCCTCCAACTCATTTTTTCTCAACAAACTTATTTTTCCAGCAGAAGAATCCCAGACTTCTTAGAGAACCCAGTGACTTTTTGCACCTTAAATCTGTGAAATCCTCATGTTTTCTTCTGCCGTATCCATAGTTCAAACAAAGATGAGGCAAAGCTAGACGCATTCCTGAAGGAACCCAAGAAATTCCTCTCTTTCTTTCTCTGGAATGAAATGAATTCTCTAGACCACCAGTTCTAACCTTCAAAAACCAAACCTGTTTGTGAGATCTTCAAATACTACTGTAGACCCCAGTGTTTATTCATTAAATTTTTTAAATATTTGTTTTATTTGGAATCAAAGTATTTGTAATTTTAGTGTTTGTATTAATATCAGGGAGAAATGTTTAAATCTGTCTTATGCCATATGTGCCTCTGGCTTATTGCCCAATTAATTGTAGTCTCAGGCTAAACTTTGGTTTCTGTCTTTAATTTTTGTCAGAAGAAATATAACTGATCTCAAAACATCTGCTTTTATTGTAGGGGCTCGTGCTGCCGTCTCCATTCTTCTCTCTTTTCTTGCAATCTGGGTGGAAGTTCTTTAATATGAACATTTCAACCACCTTCATTCTACCATGTCCACTATCAGCACATTCAAACTGATCCAGCCAAGGCTGTCATCTTAGGCCAGGGATTTTTTAGGAATCTATTTTGCTGTGATGCGGCTGGCACCCCTTTGACTCACTGTATCACCCCAGGGTTCTTTTCATTTCAGAAGCCCAAGAGGGCAGAAAAAGAAGTAGGTGAGCAATTAAACACTCTGAGTCAGGAGCGTCTCCCCTTGCGTTAAGCAATGTTGTAGAACATCGATGTTCTACATCGATGTTGGTGACCTTGGTACCATTTTGTCCACTTGATTGGAAAAGCCAGTCAATAATTTCAGGTCACTGTTGGCCTTAGAAGAAGAGCCCAAAGGCAACAAGCAAAGGCGCTGGTGTCCAGTCGCCTTCTAGAAGCATTTTCACTTTCCCTTAAGGTTTCCCTTGATGAACATAGAAGTACTGTATGTAGAATTGACCCAGTGCTGCCCTGGCAACTTTGTATATTAGGCCAAATTTACATTTCTTACCTTTATGAGAGGCACCCTGGTAGGCTAGTGGAGTTACACACAAAGTCTGATCTCAGCTGCACTGTCCAGAAATGCAACACGGTCCAATCAAATAACATTCTCTGAGCCTGTTTCTTTAGCTGTGAAAGAAGAATAACATACCCATCTAAAAAGGCAGCTTATTGTATTTGATTGGTCTTTTATTTTCTATGAAACTGTGTTTAACACAGTAATTATTTTCATTTGTGTACTACATTTGTGTTGTGTTTTTGGTTTTAGTTTTGTTTTTGAAATGGAGTCTTTTTTTTAGTGGTTTTTTGTTTTGTTTTGTTTTGTTTTGTTTTTGAGATGGAGTCTTTCTATTGTCACCCAGGCTAGAGTGCAGTGGCGTGATCTCCGCTCACTGCAACCACCACCTCCCAGGTTCAAGTGGTTCTCCTGCCTCAGCCTCCTGAGAAGCTGGGATTACAGGTGCCCACCACCATGCCCAGCTAATTTTTAAAATATATTTTTAGTAGAGATGGGGTTACAACATGTTGCCCGGGCTGGTCTCAAACTACTGACGTCAAGTGATCCACCTGCCTTGGCTTCCCAAAGTGCTGGGATTATAGGCATGAGCCACCGCGCCTGGCTTGTTTTAAAATAAGGGTTTCTTGGCTAGGCATGGTGGCTCACACCTGTAATCCCAGCACTTTGGGAGGCCAAGGTCAGTGGATCACCTGAGGTCAGGAGTTCGAGACCAGCCTGACCAATATGGAGAAACCCTGTCTCAACTGAAAATACAAAATTAGCCAGGCGTGGTGGTGCATGCCTGTAATCCCAGCTACTCAGGAGGCTGAGGAAGGAGAATTGCTTGAACCCAGGGGGCAGAGATTGCAGTGAGCTGAGATCGCACCATTGCACTCCAGCCTGGGCAACGAGCAAAACTCTGTCTCAAAATAAAAAAAAGATTTCTTAAAATGATATTTTCAGTATTTTATAGATGATGTGTAAGCAGCAAGCTTAATAGGATGTTACCCGACACTTTGCGAGACTGGCAGCTGATTTGATCCAGATGTCTCTAATTCTTTTTTCTTTTTCTTTTTCTGTTTTTTTTTTTTGACAGAGCCTTGCTCCGTCCCCCATGCTGGAGTGCAGTGGCACGATCTCGGCTCACTGCAACCTCCACCTCCCGGGTTCAAGCGATTCTCCTGCCTCAGGCTCCCGAGTAGCTGGGATTACAGGCGCGCGCCACCATGCCCAGCTAATTTTTTGTATTTTTGGTAGAGACAGCATTTCACCATGTTGGCCAGGCTGGTCTCGAACTCCTGACCTTAGGTGATGTGCCTGCCTCGGCTTCCCAAAGTGTTAGGATTACAGGCGTCAGCCACTGTGCCTGGCCCAGATGTCTCTAATTCTAACATGAGATGTATTGCAGGATCATAGCAGAGTGAGTTGCTGATGTATCCAGAAGGAAACGAGCATGGAACACTCACGACAGCTGTCCTGAGAAGTGTGTGTGTGCTGTGCTTGAATATCTCACTGCTCATTTATACACAGGCTTTCTGGTGACTGAGTTAACAGTATCTGTTTCATAAATAATGTAGCCCTCTTTCTTTCTTTCTCTCTCTCTCTTTTTTTTTTTTTTTTTGAGACAGGGTCTTGCTCTGCTACCCAGGCTGGAGTGCAATGGTGCAGTCTCAGCTCACTGCAACTTCACCATGCCTGGCTAATTTTTTCTTTTTTTTTTTTTTTGAGACGGAGTTTCGCTGTTTTTGCCCAGGCTGGAGTGCAATGGCACAATCTCGGCTCACCACAATCTTTGCCTTTTGGGTTCAAGGGATTCTCCTGCCTCAGCCTCCCGAGTAGCTGGGATTACAGGCATGTGCCACCACACCCGGCTAATGTTGTAGTTTTAGTAGAGACGGGGTTTCCCTATGTTGGTTAGGCTGGTCTCAAACTCCTGACCTCAGGTGATCTACCCGCCTCGGCCTCTCAAAGTGCTGGGATCACAGGCGTGAGCCATCACTCCTGGCCTAATTTTTGTATTTTTAGTAGAGAGAGGGTTTCACTCTGTTGGCCAGGCTGGTCTCGAATTCCTGACCTCAAGTTATCTGCCTGCCTTGGCCTCCCAAACTGTTGGAATTACAGGCGTGAACCACCATGCCTGGCCAGCTCTATTTCTTTAAGCCTACATGTTTTGCACTTGTTAAAAGTATTTGAACATACAATTACTCAGCTTCCCTTGTTTACGCGTGAATTTTGTAGAATCTTAAATATTTTTTCCAATCTAAGCTTTATTTTATCCCGTTTCTTCTATATTTGTATAACTTTAGGCGGCTATCTTCATTGAAAGTTTTTTCTCAAAAGCCTTAAGATAGAACGTAGTTCTTGGCAGCAATTTGAAAGTTATTTGAGGAGAAGGGGAGACTTACAATGATGATTCAAATGAAGGAAACTAAAAAGTAATGAAGCAAGGCAGAGGAAAAAGCAGTACTCACTTGAGCACATCCCAAAAGAATAACATTTCAAATGTAACTAGAAAAAAGTATGCTGAAGTTCGCAATACAGAAATAATTATTAATAAGATAGCTTTAAAGCCCTGCTCAGCTTTTGAATGTTGGGAATTGACCCAGAGGTGGCTGTAACCTAAGATGTTTCCTTCAGTAATGACCATTTTTTCTTTTTCAAGATGATGATTATTCCCCACCTTCTAAGAGACAAAGACCAACGAGCCACCACAGCCACCAGTCCCAGAACCTGCCAATGCTGGGGAACGGAAAATGAGGGAGTTCAACTCTGGTAAGTTCTCAGCGAAATCCATGACCTTTTCCTTTATCTTCTGGACTCTCAGTGTGACTGATGAAAGTTACCACATGCTCTGCAGGGGGAAATGGTTTAGCATGTGTTACTACATCTTAATCACATCTTTGTAAAGCCAGGAGCATTTTACAAGTCACGTTACAGACATTGTTTAAACATAGTCTGTATTTACCAAAGTATAGGACATTGTATCATCTCATATTAATTAGTTAGTTGGCTCAAAATTAGTGCTAATGACTTAGTAATTCAGTGATTTCTGTTAGCTTTAAAACCTTTATTTCAGAACTATTTCACCTCTTGGTTTTCATTTTTGCGGTGTGTCACTGCCTGCTGGCTGCTAATTTATTAACTCCCAGTGAATCATGTCCTGTGAAGGGACTGAATATTAGTGGCAATGTATGTTGATGATTTGTATTTTGAATAAATAGTTTGAATACATAGAACATTAAGCTTGTATACATTTTGAAAATAGTATTTTAATATTCTACTGTGTCATAGTTACAATGATTGGATATATATTGAATTTATATGTACTTTAAGTTGTTATATGTTTATGGTCTTTAGCATTCTAACGTGCAATTGTATATCTGTTAAGTCTTTTTTTTTTTCGAGATTAGACTGATTTATTGAGGCGTCTGTTTGATGCCACATTAAGTGGCCCAGGCTTTGTGTAGGGGTTGAGGTTAAAGCAGGAAGAAGGGTGGTGAGAGGCGGGGCACCAGGGTTAGGTTGGAATACCTGGGGGTGCTCTGAGGCTCCCCAAGTTTCCCTGGTCTTGGCCGGCTGTGCTGCTGGCCTGGGCATCTGATGGGCCTGCAAGGGTGGTCCAGGGGCTAGGGCAGGGACTTTGGAGTCACGCCGTTGGCTTTGAATCCAGACTCCTACACTTGGTAGCTGTGAACTCTCCATGCCTCAGGGACCTGCAGAACTGAGCTCTGTCTGAGCCAGGTTCCATCCAGGCACTGCGCATCCATCCAGAGGGGCACTGCCTCAGGCTGCTCGCTGTTCACTGCCTTCTCAAGCAGACCCTTGTCTCCTTCTAGGCCCTCACAATCCAGTGGAGGAGACGAAACTCATCTGCCTCTGTCCCTCTGGGCACGCCTCATGCCAGGTGCATCTGTGGACAGGGGCCATGCTCCTGGGCTTCCAAAGTTGGAGAAAGCTGCCAGGCTCAGGTGGGTACATCACAGCAGCTGCTGCCCTCTGAACACAGTGACAAAAGAACACTCTGGGCCTGGAGCCCTGGTCTGGGGCATTGGGCAAGGCTGTTGCACTTCTCTGATCCCATTTCCCCATCTGGAAAGTGCGCTGATTGTATCTCCCTGTGGGCACTGAGGGCTCAGTGTTAGTTTGAGAGCCAGCATCTGGGGTTTGGGCTGTAATTCCCCGTCAGCCCCATAGCTGCGGGGAACCAGGGACTTTGTTGGGATTACCCTAGGCATCAGTTTAGCTTCCTGCCCCTGGCTTGGGCTCAGCACCTGAAGTAGTCTAGGGGGTAGGTGGTGCTGGTGGGGGCTGGGGCTTTTACCCAGACTGAGGTCACACCCAGAGCCAGAAGTCTTGGTGCCTGCTCTGGGCAAAGGTGCCAGCCTGTGTGACAAGAGCGAAACTCCGTCTCCAAAACAAAAACAAAAAACCTTGCATCATTTCAAGGGGCTCACACCTCCCTAAGGGCCTGGTAATTGGCTGGCTCTGGCCTGCATCTGGCCCCGAGGGTGTAGGTAACACCCCACCTTACCTGGTTTCTTCCTGCCAGGGCCAATCTTCAGACCTCAGGACTTTACAGCCTATCCCACCTCCCCTCTGGCCAGCCTTGAGCCCTTGTGGGTCCAGCACTTTTTCCAGGCTGTCTCCTGGTTGTCCTTCTGCCTCGAGGCCTGGCTCATGCTGCTCCCCCTCCCACTCTCCAAGACCCACAAGGACCACTCCACACCCAGCTCAGCCCCGTCCCCTCAGATAGTCCTTTCTCTTTCCTCAGGTGGCCAGGTGCATATCTTGGTGTGAGGACCTTCACTGTATCTGGGAATGCCTACTGGTTACCTTGGTAACAGAGAACAAGGCATTTACCTGATATGAGTGTCTTGGTTCACTGTCTACATGGCTAGGGAGGGAATCAATAATAGGCTTTTCACTTGCTGCAAGGGCCGGTTCTCCTGGCCCCATGGCTCTAGGGATGGAGGACGCTGCAGGAGATGCAGCGCTCACTTCCTAGCTGAGGACTGTGGGTCATCTCAGGGCGATTTCACAGTCCCCACATGCCCCACCCCCTCAGCTCTGCAAATACCAAGCAGTGCAGCCTGCCTAGGGGATGATGGGCTCGAGAGTGCCCAGGTAGTGCCCAGAGTGCCCTTGGCAGGCCCCTCACCTGGCTGCTTCCACAGCTCTGTAGCAAGAGTTCTAACCTTTTTTCACCGTGAAGCCTGCTGAGAATAAGAGCTGTGGACTGTTTTCCCAGAAAGGCATGTACATGCTCTCCACACAAAACCTTTCATTGTGGCCAAGCACAGTGGCTGATGTGATCCCAGAACTTTGGGAGGCGGAGCCAGTCGGATCACCTGAGGTCAGGAGTTCAAGACCAGCCTGGCCAACATGGCGAAACCCTGTCTCTACTAAAAATACAAAAAATTAGCCAGGCGTGGTGGCAGCCACCTGTAATCCCAGCTACTCCAGAGGCTGAGGCAGGAGAATCACTTGAACCTGGGAGGCGCAGGTTGTAGTGTGGTGAGATCACGCCACTGCACTCCAGCCTGGGCGACAGGAGCGAAACTCTGTCTCAAAAAACAAAACAAAACAAAACCTTGCATCCTTTCAGGGGGCTCACACCTCCCTAAGGGCCCAGTAATTAAACCCTTTGGGCCTGAGGGTGAGAAACTTTGTCTCAGTTCTTCCCCAAGTGATCAGCCCAGGGGTAAGGAAGGAGAAGCCAGAAAGCAGGACCCATGAGAAGGGCCCCCTCCTGGAGTTTGAGGCCCACTCCCTCCTGCCCCTGCCTCTCCTCTGTCCAGGACTCCTCCCTGCTCTGCCCCACTCCTGGGGCCATAACCATGGGGAGCTGTGGTTTTCTACAGGCCCCTGGGCACAAAGTGGGCAGGCTCACCTGGAGGCGATCAGAGTAACATGGCAGGAAGTGAGGGGGAAAGCCGCCCTGGAACTGCGCCTCTCTGCCCCCTGACGTCACTGGCGTGCACTCCTCCCTCCCCTCAGGCAGTGGCATGAGTTCCATGTGAGCGCTGTCCTGCTCCCTCTGCTGCCTCTTTTTTTTCTTGGGGCTGCCATAACACTTTCCCTTCCCCAGCCCTGCCAACCTGGTGGGACATTGGGCTTCCCTCTCACAGGGTCCTGGGGACAGGCCCATCCTTTATCATACCCACAGAGAGACCGTTTTTTTCTTCAGAACCTGGGGAGCAGCCAGGTTCCATGAGTTAAATGCAGATCTGAACCAAGCTGGGATTGGGGTACACACTCTCCTCTACTGAAAAGTAGCTAGGGATTCCAACTAGGTTAGAAGGAGAGTGGGGCAGAGCCAGACCAGACAAGGACTGATCACCTGGAAAAAGCCTGCCATCAAAGGTCTTGGCAAATGCTGGGTGCAGTGGCTCACTCCTATAATAGCAGCACTTTGCGGGGCTGAGACAGGTGGACTACTTGAGGCAAGGAGTTCGAGTCCAGCCTGGGCAACATGGCAAAACCGCATCTCTACTAGAAATACAAAAATTAGCTAGGCATGCTACACTCCTGTCATCCCAGCTACTCAGGAGACTGAGGCAGGAGAATCACTTGAACTGGGGAGGCAGAGGTCGAAGTGAGCCGAGATTGTGCCCCTGCACTCCAGTCTGGGAGACAGAGTGAAACTGGCCTCAAAAAAAAAAAGAATATGGCCTTGGCAGAGAGGGGCCAGCCCAGTAGTGCCTTCCCTTGGGTTTCTCCTGGGTAGGCCTCTGCCATGAGGAGGTGCTTCCTTCTGCCTGTCCGTGGCCCACAGCAATGGAATGTCTGTTTCTGGGGGTTGGGTGGGAGAGTGCTGGCAGAACTGGAAACCTTCAGGTGGGGTTTTTTTGTTTTGTTTTGTTTTCGAGATGGAGCGTCGCTCTGTCACCCAGGCTGGAGTGCAGTGGTGGAATCTCAGTTCACTGCAACCTCTGCCCCCCTGGGTTCAAACAATTCTCCTGTCTCAGCCTCCTGAGTAGCTGAGATTACAGGCATGTGCCACCATGCCCGGCTAGTTTTTGTATTTTTTGTATAGATGGCATTTCACCATGTTGGCTGGGCTGGTCTCGAACTCCTGACCTCAAGTGATCCACCCATCTCGGCCTCCCAAAGTGCTGGGATTACAGGCATGAGCCACTGAGCCCAGCCCCTTCAGGGGGGTTTTGAGGCTTCACTACAATACTAGTTTCCTGTGGCTGCTGCAACAAATTACCACAAACTTAGTGACTTAAAACAACCAAAATGTATTCCCTTACAGGTCTGAAGGCCAGAATTCTACAGTAAGTCCTACTGAGTCAAGGTGGGAGCAGGGTCGGTAGCTTCCGAGGCTCTGCGGGAGAATCCGTTTCCTGGCCGTAGAGGTGGCCTGCACTCCGCAGCTTGTGCTGCCCGTCTCGAATGACTGGAGTTTCCTGCTTCTGTCACTACACCTCCCACCCTCTCCATCACCTGCTCTGCTCTTACAAGGATCCGAGTGAGTACATCAACCCCAAAAGCCAAAGACCCTTAACTTCATTATATCTGCAAAGTTCCTTTTGCCATATAAGGTCATGTTCACCAGTTCCCGGGATTAGGATATGGGCATCTTGGGGGCATCAGCCTGCTACAGCTAGGCTGCAAAACTGTTACACCCTCCTGGTGTTTCAATGATTGGGAGAAAAAGGGTTGGCATTTTTTGCTTAGGGGTCCCTCTTAAACTTGTATCTGTAAGGTCGGGGGTCCCTCTTAACCTTGTGTTTTTGTTTTTGTTTTTTTTGAGGTGGAGTCTTGCTCTGTCATCCAGGCTGGCAGTGGCGTGATCTTGGCTCACTGCAATGTCTGCCTCCTGGGTTCAGGTGATTCTCCTGCCTCAGCCTCCTGAGTAGCTGGGACTACAGGCGCCCGCCACCATGCCCTGCTGTTTTGTATTTTTGGTAGGGACGGGGTGGGGGTGGGGCTAGGGAGGGGGGTTTTGGCTATGTTGCCCTGAGCTCAAAGTGATCCGCCTGCCTCTGCTGCCAAAGTGCTGGGATTACAGGCCTGCACCACTGCACCCGGCTGCTGTAAAGTCTTATTTCACACAGCTGAGACATGTTTTAGGAAGTTTGCTAAAAGACCCCTGGAGACCGCCTCATTGTGACCTCCCTGTTATTGTGTTTAATTTGATTGAACTTTTCTGCCCTCCTGCTTTTCAGCTTCTCTAATAGTCTCCCATTAAACCAATTCTAAGAACCACCAAGAAGGGGAAATTTTTTCTTGAAAGCAGTAAAATGATATGGACTGTTAGAATGTAAAATATATGAAATCAGTCATTATATGTTAGTGCTGCTCTGACATAGGGACGTGTTATTGAGAAGCAACTTTTGCTTGGTTTTCAGAGAAATGGAATCATCGTATCGCTGATCTACGTAAACAAACTGAAGAATTGTCTGAAAGAAAATATGGTATGTCTAAACTGGAAAAGTCTTGTAATCTTAGGTTCATGGGCGTTTACACAGTGGAGTTACTGTTCATCATGGGGGTACCGTGGACAATCCCAGGGCTGCCGGCGAGTCATGCCATCCTTATATGTTTCTCCTTGTAAGGTGCTTTGTAGTGTCTACACACTTTGTTTCTAGATTGCTGCAAAGCTGAGGAAAAGTTGTATTTCTTTAGTTATTAGTTAGCATTTCTTTTAAACTTTCAGTATGGAGATTGGAAATTTATTTACATATTTATTGCAAAGCCCTGGATCTTAGGAATTTCATTGAATTATTTATTTATTTTTTTTGAGACGGAGCCTCACTCTGTCGCCCAGGCTGGAGTGCAGTGGCACGATCTCGGCTCACTGCAACCTCCGCCTCCCGGGTTCAAGCAGTTCTCTGCCTCAGCCTCCCGAGCAGCTAGGATTACAGGCACCAGCCACCACGCCTGGCTGATTTTTGTATTTTTAGTAGAGACAGGGTTTCATGATCTTGGCTAGGCTGGTCTTGAACTGCTGACCTCCTGATCCACTCACCTCAGCCTCCCAAAGTGCTGGGATTATAGGTGTGAGCCACCATGCCTGGCCAAATATTATTTTTTTAAATGAATTGTTTCTCTTAGTCTGCTTTGTTAAATTTGGAATTCATCTGGGCGTGGTGGCTCACACCTGTAATCCCAGCACTTTGGGAGGCCAAGGCAGGCAGATATCTAGGTCGGGAGTTCGAGACCAGCCTAACCAACATGGAGAAACCCCGTCTCTACTAAAAATACAAAATTAGACGGGTGTGGTGGCGCATGTCTGTAATCCCAGCTATTCGGGAGGCCAAGGCAGGAGAATCGCTTGAACCCAGGAGGCAGAGGTTGCAGTGAGGCGAGGTTGGCACCATTGCACTGTAGCCTGGGCAAAAAGAGCAAAACTCCATCTCAAAATAAATAAATAAATAAAATGTTCAGTACTCACCAAGGTGCCCCTGTTGTCTCTACTTTTATCTTGATGCATCACTGAATTGATGTTAGATTTCAAATTCATCATTACACTGATACTATTCTATCCTGAAGCCACCTTTATATAGTGATGAAAGAAATTAGCGATTTGTTATTATCCTCTCTCTGTTGGTATATATCAAATACTCACCTAAAAAAGAGCAACAACCAGTGGAAAACATGATGTTTTTATTTGGGTGACTATTTACTTGTAACCTACTAGCAAACTATAAAATTGTATGATATGCAGAATTTTAACTGAATTGCTTTAAGTGAACATTTAAACATGATAAACAATATTGATGGTATTTATGTTAATATACTTAAAATGAACATTTTTCTTCATCATGAGTAATATAACCTACTCCTCAATGAAAACCTAGCACTAAATTTGCTAATGTATTCAATAACATTTCCATAATATTTTTAGTTACATGCTTAAGGTTCTCTTAGTGTTTCTCCCACTTTTTAATAGCTTATGCCTTTTTCACCTTTGGTTTTTTTTTGGTTCATTTTAAAGCAAAAATCTCACAACATGTGATATCTGGAAACACTGTAACCTAGTGGTAAGACCATAGGCCCTGGGGACACAGGCTGGCCACGTCTCTTCTCCTGTCTGAGCTTTAGTATCCTCTTTTGTGGTCATGAGAACTGAAGATCTGTCCCGAAGATTTGATAAGATAGTAAAGTGCTTCACATAATACCAGACATATAAATACACAGTAAATGCTTCCTTCTTATATTTTTATTGATTGATTGATGGAGACAGAATCTTGCTCTCTTGCCCAGGCTGGAATGCAGTGGCGTGATAATGGTTTCTGCAACCTCCACCTCCTGGGTTCAGGCAATTCTCCTGCCTCAGCCTCCCGAGTAGCTGGGATTACAGGTGCCTGCCACCATGCCCAGCTAATTATTGTACTTTTAGTACAGACGGGGTTTTACCATGTTGGCCAGGCTGGTCTCGAACTCCTGACCTCATGATCTGCCTGCCTCGGCCTCCCAAACTGCTGGGATTACAGGTGTGAGCCACTGTGCCCAGCCTGTCTTTTCTCTTCACACCCGCAGTTCATGATGAAATATTAAATATGTACTAGTGGATATTACTTTGCTGAATATTGCCTAATGAATATTAAGTATTTATTCTCACCTTTCAGACATGAACTTATGAATTCAACAGGTGAAGATTTACAACTTGATAAATCAACTTTGTCAGGTACGTCTTCAGTCAAGTCAGATTAGAAGATTATGTGAGGTAATTAACACTTAACATTGATTTAATGGTAGCTTCCACATGAAATAGTATGCCTCTAAGTATTAATTATGTCCTAGGACAGGAGAATTCATGTTGTCAAAATTCTCATACTCTCTAGAACAATAAACTCATTTTCTTTTTATTAGTAAATATTGCATTTATGGGTAGACAAAACTGAAAGAACAATATTTGTTCTACTTTTGAGATGCAAGATTCATCTGGCATAATGCATTGAACAGGTTATTATTGAAGTCTACACCAGTCAACTGAATAAGCATTCATCAAATGTCCATGATATGCAGGACATAAGTTTTCTTTTAGAGTATGGAACCATGCATATTATCTTTTAATTAGATGATTTAGTTAGATATGTTTTTAAAGAACTAGAAATATAATTGTTTTTCTTGTTTTGGCTCTGGAGTGGAGTGGGGATGAAACAGAATGGATTCACACTTGTTTAGATTTACTAAAATGGAAAGATTGCAGCAAGATCATATCCCTAGTCTCCCTATAGCAAATGTCACCTGCTAGCTGTTTTTTTTTTTTTTTTTTTTTTTGGAGGTTGAAGTTTTGTTCTGTCACGCACGCTGGAGTGCAGTGGTATGATCTCAGCTCATGGCAAGCTCACCTCCTGTGTTCAAGCAATTCTCCCTGCCTCAGCCTCCTAAGTAGCTGGGATTAAAGGCCTCTGCCACCACGCCTGCCTAATTTTTGTATTTGTAGTAGAGTTGGGGTTTCACCATGTTGGCCAGGCTGGCCTTGAACTCCTGACTTCAGGAGATTCACCCGCCTCAGCCTCCCAAAGTGCTTGGGATTATGGGTGTGTCACTGCACTTGGATTTAATGGGATATTTCACTACAGACTTCGGTAAACAGAATATTAGCATTTTTGGTGTTCTTTTTATTTTACTCATACTGTTTTTCTTTGGACTCAATCACAATAACAGAATTAAAGATCAAAGTGTAAAAGTTAAAGACCAGTACAGATTCAATAATTATTCTTTTCTACATACTGTGTTTAAATGATATCCCTTTTTCTTTTTTTTCTTATAGCTCGAGCTGTAAAAGCCAAAGGTCCGGTGATGATCCCATACCCTTTTTTCCAGTCTCATGTTGAAGATTTTTATGTAGAAGGCCTTCCCAAAGGAATTTTTTTTTTTTTTTTTTTTTTGAGATGGAGTTTTCACTCTTATCGCCCAGGCTGGGGTGCAATGGCGCAACCTTGCTGGTCACTGCAACCTCTGCCTCCTGGGTTCAAGAAATTCTCCTGCCTTAGCCTCCCAAGTCACTGGGATTACAGGTGCCCACCACCATACCAGGCTAATTTTTGTATTTTTAGTGGAGATGCGGTTTCACCATGTTGGCCGGGCCAGTCTCGAACTCCTGACGTCAAGTGATCTTCCCGCCTCGACTCCTGATATCAAGTGATCTTCCCGCCTCGGCCTCCCAGAGTGCTGAGATTACAGACGTGAACCCATGCCTGGCCAGGAATTTTGTTTTTTAGGAAGGCTTTCTACTAATGGAATTCCTGGCCTTGAGAGGATGTTACTTTAGAAGGAAAGGATTTTTTTGTTATTAAAAGGTAAGATTCCTGGATTCTTATTGGACTGTTGTCTCTGTTATGAGTAATCCATCTTTAGTCATTCACCACTAGGGTTGTATTTAATTAAGTCTGAGTTATTTTATGGTGGTTTTGTTTTGTTTTGCTTTGTTTTTACCGAATTTTGTTCTCATTGCCGTGGCTTGAGGGCAATGACGTGATCTCAGGTCACCACATTCTCTGCCTTCCAGGTTCAAGCAATTCTCCTGCCTCAGCCTCCTTAGTAGCTGGATTTACAGGCATGCGCCACCATGCCTGGCTAATTTTTTGTATTTTTAGTAGAGATGGTGTTTCACCATGTTGACCAGGCTGGTCTAGAACTCCTGACCTTGGGTGATCCACCCGCCTCGGCCTCCTAAAGTGCTGGGATTACAGGCATGAGCCACTGCGCCCAGCCTGGGCCTGCTTCTTTCTCTTTTTCTTTTTTTTTCATTAGCAGCTTAAAATTGGTGCCTTATTCAGACACAAGCAAAAGGACATTAGCCCAGCTTTGGAAATAGGTGAGAGCCCATATATGATTTTCCTAGTTTCTCCTCCCCCTTTGCTTTTTGCTCTCTTGTTAGTATATTAATTGTTTTCACTCTCTGAATCTTTTTTCCCCATTTCTTTGGCAGACATTTTTACTTGTCTTGGAAGAGTAGGTGAAGAGCTGTTTTTAGGACTCTTTGAAAGGGTACAGTATGGGTGACAGTCTTGGCTAATGGTAACATCCAGGGAGCTGGGTTCAGCGTGAGCTGGAATCAGTTCAAATTAGCAAAGCACTGGCACTCAGTAGCAGGAATACAAGTGACTGCAAAGTGTTAAACACATCTGGAAAGGGATACTGACATCATCCTCAGAATCTGTGGGGAGTTCACATAGCCAGTTAAGACCCATTCTTCTTTGACCCTGTAAAGATTCTTTAAAGAATAAATACCCTTAGTGGTTTTCTAGCCAGCTTGCCTGCTCATTTATCTTTGAGGACGACATGCCTTGTGGAGCTCCACAGGCCCCAGAGGGGTATGGATTCTGCATTTAAAAGTGCTGAAGCTGAGAGACTGGGTCTTGGTGGACCCCGAGAGGTCTGTTTCTCCTCTACTCATTGTTCCTTTTTTTCCCAACAGCTGGCAATGCTGTTTAAATGGGTTGTTCTTTGCTGTTTTAAGTTGTTTCATAGTGGTGTGTCAGGATTTGGGTTTTCTTAATACTTTCCAAGCTGGTGACTTGAGTGGTGGTTAGGGAGGAAATGTTTTAGGGCTGTTCTGGAGCTATTGAGGTCAGGTGTCTAGATACTCCCAGCTTGTCTGTTGAGGAGAATGCTGTTCTCATTGTGCTGCCTTTGGTGGTGCTGTGTGTGGCTCTTTAGATGTGCGTGGAGGTGAGCTGGGGGAGTTAATGAGATCTTTTTTAGGTGCTTTTCATAAAGTAGCCTGCACTACAGGATTCACTGTGACTTTTTTCCTTAACCTATGCATTTCTCTCTGCTAGCTTTTGCTGTCTTTCTCATGCCTTTGATTTTCCCAGCTCCTCTTAGTTGAATTAACCTAAGTGCTCTGCTATGGTTTAAATGTGTCCCCCAAAGTTTATGTGCTGGAAACTCAATCCTCAATGCAACAGTTGGGATGTGGGGCCTAATAAAATAGCCTTCATGAATGAGTTAATGTTGTTATTGTGGTAATAGATTAGTAATCACAGAGTGGGCTTATTATAAAACAGAGTTCAGCCCCTTTTGCCCTCTTGCTTTCTTGCACTCTCTTTTCCTTCTGCCTTCTGTAGTGGGATGATGCAGCAAGAAGACCCTTACCAGATGCAGGCCCCTCAACCTTGGACTTCCTAACATCCAGAACTGTTAAGAAATAAAATTTATTCCTTTCCTTTCCTTTTCTTCCTCCTTTCCCTTCTCTTCCCTTTTCTTCCCTTCCCCTCCCTCCCTCTCTCTCTCCCTCCCTCCCTCCTTCCCTCCCTTCCTCCTTCCCTCTTTCTCTCTTTCCCTTCCTTCCTTTCCTTCTTTCCCTTCCTTCCTTTCCTTCCCTCCTTCCCTTTTTCCCTCCTTCCCTCCTCCCTTCCTTTTTTCTTTCCTTCCTTTTTTCCTTTTTATAAATTATGCAGTCTGTGGTATTCTTTTATAGAAGCATGAAATGGACAAAGACTCCATTTTCAAGAGCAAGCACTTTTGTAGTTTCTGAGCGAACTATGACTGCAAAGGAAGTTCTATAGGTAGCCTCAGATCCACTACCTAGGAAGCATGCTACCAAGCAGACCTAGGATCTAGGATTTGATCAAGTGCTGGGCAACA
Source organism: Homo sapiens (assembly GCF_000001405.40). Taxonomy (NCBI): domain Eukaryota; kingdom Metazoa; phylum Chordata; class Mammalia; order Primates; family Hominidae; genus Homo; species Homo sapiens. The sequence continues at coordinate 138,255,511 of NC_000009.12, forward strand.
TGATACCTCTGCAATTTAGCACTTCCCTATATACCTCCAGTTGGCTCAGCCCATTAGGGCTAAAACTACCCCTCATATCCTAGTGTCTCTTGTAGGCAGAAGCCTTGCCTAAACCCTAAGCTGCTTGGCTCACATTCTCTCTTGTGCTTTTTTTGTAGGGGGTTCAAATATACACAAAAGAAATATGTTGAACCTCCATGCACCCAACCCGCAGATTAAGCAGTTACCTCCATTTTTCCAGATTTGTTTCATCTGCTTCAATCTCCCTAAAAATTTATGTTTGTACAGGAAAGACTGAATAAATAGCTAATTTTCCACCCTACCTCTCATCTTAAGTCACTTTTCAGAGTAGTAAGTTAGTGACCTAGTAACCTTCCCTCTAATGACCAGTAGTTTTTTTTTCTGAATACCATTATGAACTCATAGATTATTGTTTGCATTTGATGTATTTCAGGCCATTGCAGTCTTTATTGTTTTGGATACTTACATTGTCTCATCTAGGTTAATAATTATCTCTTCAAGTTGACTTTCACGTCTTTTTGAAGTGATCCTGTTGGACTTTGATGGCTTCCTTGCTTTCTGGCAAAACAGATGTTCCAGGATCAATATACTGCACCATACATGGAGTCAGCCATTTCTCTAGGGAACCTTGATTCCTTTTAGTAGAGAACACAGTTTGAGGTCTTGGACTGAATGACTTTTGTGAACCTCCTCTCCTGAGACTACAGCCTGCATCCCTGCATATAGCCCGTTTGGAGCTCTTGCTGGGCACCAACAGATCTCCTAAAACTGCTATATAGTTCTGCCTCACTCTTACAAAGATTCATCTCTTGAGAGTTTTGTGCTCTACCCCCAGATGTGGTCTTTCTGGTTATGAAGCTTTTGCTTCAGTCACCCTGAATTTTGCCAGCCCTATGCATGCTATACCTTGGATTGCCAACTTGCCCTCACTGAAGCCAGTTTCTCTGGTTAGAATAGTTGCCCAAACCCATGCCTAATACTCTAGTAAACAAGGTTCTACCTGGGCTTAGGTTAACTTTTGCTCCTTTGGGCCCTGTGTTCTACCAGCATTCCATTTATCTGAAACTCTCCCTCACCTTAAGAACTTATCTGTTCTTTAATGATTTACTGCTGCTTCCTGGGCTCGAAAGAACCCAGTTCAGGAGTTTCTGTTTTAGTTTGAGATCTTATAGGCCTGTCTCATCAGGTTGGTGTCAGCCCAGCTAGGATTAGGCAGAATTGGGTGGGGGCTGTAGTGCATTTTTGGCACAGCATGTACCTGTCTGACTAATTCTCTGTCTTTTCTTTCCTGTTGCAATTCATGGGTCTTAGCATCTTCTGAATGGTGTTTAGTAGGTCATCCTGTTGATTTCCTGCTAGGGAGTAGCATACTCTGGCTCTGTACCACTGGCCAAGGGACTTAAGGATAGATGAAGGGCTGCAGTTTTGTTAAATGGAACAATATGAAGAGATGGCATTGTTTAAAAAAAAAAAAAAAGGCTTGGCAGCAGGGCCCATTTGAATGGTTGGTCCTTGGCTCCTTTGTTGATATAGGCAGATCCTTGATGGGAATTTGGAATGATCCCAAATATTGTAGATCACTGGTACATCAAGTCATCCTCAAGGTTGTCTGTGTAACAGTCTTGAATGATATTTTGTCAGTCTTTGGAGATTCTCTGTATAGGGTTTAATCATTTAGTTATTTCAGTTGAGCCTGTTTAGTTTCTTTGCAAGGAGATAAGAAATGTGAAAGAGATGCAGACATTAGGGAAAAAAAGTCAGGAGCCTTGTTTCCCCATCCTCTACTTGGGTTCTGGAACTAGACTCATAGGTGAGTAGTGAGGAGCTGGGCCCAAGCACATTAATCCTAGATCTAGCTCTGCTTTGCCCTCGCTCCAGTTCTTGTATCAAATTCACTTCAAGCCACCCAGAGTAGTATGTAGAGGAGTCATTCAGGACCATGCTCATACTTCATTGTATCAAATGGGAGATCCAGTAATTTATAGCCTATTGTTTCTGGAGCCTGGAGATGGCTCTGCATAAGATTTGCCGAAGCAAATTTTATTACATTAGAAGAGAACCTAGCTGGCTGCATCCTACACTGGAAGCTTTTAGATGCTAATAAGGAGGTCATGTAAAGGTCACAGAATGACTCTGGAATCCATTCCCCACCAAGAAAGAATAATGACATTCTATGTTGGCCTCTTTTCATTTCCCTTTGGTTTTGAGTAATAAATTCTCTCCTCACTTCCCAGTCGAACTGTTTGGGAGTCTCTATTCCCTAGAAAGACTCTGGTCACATACCCATCAGATTAAATTAGGTGAAAACTCTTTGGCCTTCATGAATGTTGAAGGATTTCAAAGGGCTAATGGAAATTCTTCTAGAAGTAACTGCAACCTCCGCCTTCCGGGTTCAAGCGATTTTCCTGCCTCAGCCTCCCAAGTAGCTGGGATTACAGGTGTCCACCACCATGCCCAACTAATTTTTGTATTTTTAGTAGAGACGGGGTTTCACCATGTTGGCCAGGCTGATCTAGAACTTTTGACCTCAGGTGATCCGCCCGCCTCAGCCTCCCAAAGTGCTGGGATTACAGGCGTGATCCACCGCGCCCAGTTAAACTTCAGTTTTTCATGTTCCATGCATTGGTCAGGGTCTTAGGGAGTGATTCATTCTAGCAGAACTCCCTGGATTTTAAGGCAGATGTTCCATTTATTAATTGACAAAGGAGGCATATTTCTCCCCTGGTAACCCAAAGATTTAGGTCATTTTCCCAGAGACTCCATTTCCACTGTGAGGGTTCTTGGAAAACTAAGCAGAGGATGAGGAAAAGTCTGTGAACAAGCTTGCTGGTCTCTCCCTGTCCTACAAAAGAGCATACCTCTTCTGTAACCAGAAGGCCCTTTTGATTAGTCAAGGCTGGACAGAGTGAGATTGGGTGTGTGTGTGTGTGTGTGTGTGTGTGTTTGTGTGTGTCTTAAGACAGGGTCTCACTCTGTCACCAAGGCTAGAGTGCAGTGGTGAGATCAGAGCTCACTGCAGCTTCCACTTCCTGGGCTCAAGCGATCCTCCTATTTCAGCCTCCAGAGTAGCTGGGACTATACGAATGTTTTACCGCACCCAGTTCATTTTCTAATTTTTTGTAGAGATGAGGTTTCACTGTGTTGCTCAGGCTGGTCTTGAACTCCTGGCCTCACGGAATCCTCCTGCCTTAGTCTCCCAGTGGGCTGGGATTATAGGTATGAGCCACCTCACCTGACCTGCGACGATTTTTCAATGATGTAATTTCTCTTTTACAGAGCCACCTAAGCTGAAGATTCCCTTGAGAACAAGTACTGTCCCTAGTTTCCCAGTGCTGGAATATAGAAAATGGATGGACAAGTAAATCCCACTCAGCACCCATAGTCCAGGCATGGGGACCTCAACACACCTGAGCCCCAGACATCACCTTTCATTGCGAGTAGCTCTGAGATGACACTTCTGCTGTTCCCAATTCCAGCATTAATTGGATTAGATAGTTATTTTATGAAGAATTTTCATATGCCACAATCCTGACCATATCTTCAAGTGAACAGAAAAATTCTATTAAAAAGTCAACCTTCTGTCTCACTCTGTTGCCCAGACTGGAGTGTAGTGGTGCAATTATGGCTCACTGCAGCCTCAACCTCCTGGGCTCAAGCAATCCTCCTGCCTCAGCCTCACAAGTAGCTGGGACTACAGGTGCTTGTCACCACACCTCACTAATTTTCCCATTTGTGTTATATGTGGATTCCACAGGACTGACTTCGAAAACTTGAGTATGCGTGGATTTTGGTATACACAGAAATGGGAGAGCTGGAACTAATCCCCCCATATACCAAGGGACAAATTGTATCTGTTTCTACAATTATACAGTAGGAGACATTATGTTCCATGACAATGGTAATTTTTAACGACAGTTTTTAATTGAGTGAAATTACCATAAAAATAATAATAGTAGCAGCTAATATTTACTGAGCTGTTACTAGGTGCCTATAAATAGCATAGATTTTTAAATTCTCCATAATTCTTCCTTATTTCACTTAACCACCCTATCTTAAATTACTCATGCTTGCCTCAGTAGCACACATACTTAAGTTGGAACAATAGAGAGATTGGCACGGCCTCTGTGAAAGAATGACATGCAAATTTGTGAAGCATTCCATATTTTTTTAAAAAAAGAGAAAAAAATTACTCCCAGATTTTCACTGTGTTTGTGCATATGACCTTTTGTTTAGGTTGAATTATATCCAAAGGTGAAATTTCCAGAAGTGAGATTACTGTGAGTCACAGGGCATGAGCATTCTTATTACCCTCGATGTAAATTGCAAAGCTTTCAGGCATGGTGGCTGTCAGCCTGTAATTCCAGCACTTTGGGAGGCTGAGGTGGGAGGATTGCTTGAGGCCAGGAGTTGGAGGAGGCAGTATAATGAGTCACTGTCTGTATGATTTAAAAAAAATTTCCAAGCTTTATGCTGGAAGGCTTATATACATTTTAAACACCACTAATACTACAAGAAAATGGCCATTTCACTGCACCTTCGCCCACACAGGTATTATAATTTAACAAGTTATTTTCTGTGTGATAAATGAAAGACCTCCTATTAGCTGGGATTACAGGCATATGCCACCATGCCTGGTTAATTTTTGTATTTTTAGTAGAAACGTGGTTTCACCATGTTGATCAGGCTGGTCTCGAACTCCTGATCTCATGATCTACCCGCCTTGGCCTCCCAAAGTGCTTGATTACAGCTGTGAGCCATGTGCCCAGCCTATTTGTCACATATTTTATCTTTCCTTATGTTAGCTTATTAGCTTTATTTCTTTATTGTCCTTTTTTTTTTTTTTGAGATGAAGTCTCGCTCTGTCTCCTAGGCTTCAGTGTAGTGGCACAGTCTCAACTCACTGCAGCCTTGACCTCCTAGGCTCAGGTGATCCTTCCACCTCAGTAGTTGGGACTATAGGCACATGCCACTATGCCTGGCCAATTATTTTTATTTTTTTATTTTTACTAGAGAGGAGGTCTTGCTTTGTTTCTTAGGCTGGTCTGGAACTCCTGGCCTCAAGCAATCCCCCCACCACCCCCTCCCAAAGTACTGGTATTATAAGCATGAGCCACCATGCCTGGGGTATCTGTGTCTTTTCCATTTATTTATAGAGTTACTTTGTCTTTTACTAATTCAATGATCTGTTTAATCTTTTATTAAATTATAAAAATGATAAATACTTTTAAATAAGTGAAAAATGTCCTTCACTCTTTAGACCCATAATCTTATCTCAGGAAATAATTGCAGTTGAGAAAATGGGCCATATCCTTCAAGATACGTACATGGTGATTGAACATCACTTCATATTTTCATATTTCGTGGACATTTGTGCCAATACCTATTGATCTATCTTAATCCTTTTCATGGTTGCATAATATTTTATTATATGGATGTATCACAATTTACCAGTACCAGTCAACTGCTGGAGGCATTTAGGCTCCTTCTAATATTTGCTTTGAGCTCTTTATATAATTAAAAATTAACCCCCTCAGCCAGGTGTGGCAGCTCACACCTGTAATCCCAGCATTTTGGAAGGCTGAGGTGAGAGAACTGCCTGAGTGTAGGAGATCACCACCAACCTGGTCAACATAGTGACACTTTGTCTCTACTAAAAATTAAAAAAAAAAAATGAGCTACACGTTGCAGTGCACACCTGTAGTCCGAGCTACTGGGGAGGCTAAGACTGGAGGATCACTTGAGTCTAGAAGGTTGAGGCTGCAGTAAGCTATGATCACACCATTGCACTTTAGCTTTGCTAAGAGCAAGACTGCATTTCTTAAACAAAATAAAAATTAGATGGGAATATTGCTCAAGCCCTGGAGGTTGAGGCTGCAGTTAACTGTGATTGCACCACTGCAGTCCAGCCTAGGTGATAGAGCAAGACCCTTTCTCTAAAAATAAAATAAAATAAAAATTAACCTTCTATCATATTTCCCAGTAACACCTTCCCTCCTACATTTCTCCTAGAAGCCCTTAAATTTTGTTTTTCACATATCGTTTAAAACTTTTAAGTGCTGATGTCTGTCTGTGTCATCCCTCTTTTTTTTTTTTTTTAAATGTCTTTTTGTCACTTCTAGCTGGACCTACCATGAAAGACTTCTGAATCCAGGAAGAGAAACTGACTGGGCAACATGTTATTCAGGTACAAAAAGACTTGGACTGTAACTCAAAAATGATCAAATAATAGTGCATGCATCAAGTGCAATCGGAAGCTCTTCTGGAGAGGGAGAGAAGCTTCCAGTTAAGGTGACATTGAAGCCAAGTCCTGTAAGATAAGGAAGAGTTGTATGAGAGTGGGGAGGGAAGGGGGAGGTGGAGGGATGGGGATTGGGCTGGGATGGGATGGAGTGAGCTGCCCAGGCAGGGAAACCAGCACTATACAGACCTGAACAATGAAGATGGCACATTTTGTTCAGGGTATGGTGAATTAAGTGTGGCAGAAATGCTTTGTAGAGACAGTAATTTGCCTGTATGGAATTTTGCCCAAGAGACCTCATTACAGTTTCTAATTTTTTGATGTTATCATGCATCACTGCCCTTGTCAGATAGTATCATGATCACAATAACATCAAGCATAATATTTCATTGATTCTCACAAAAACAGGTGGGTGCCACAGTTATCCCCATTATATGCACAAAATGATGAAGACTTGGGGTTAATGAGCGATTTGCCCAAGCTCACCTGAATATTAGGACTGAGTCAAATGTTAGTCTGGTCTGACTTTAATGCTTGCCTTGTTCATGAGCACCATGCATTGCCTCTCCTATTAAGTTAAGCAGGTAGACAGGTGAGAGAAGAGCCAGTGTGATATCGGGGGAAATTCACCCCTGATATTTCATGTAGGTTCTTTTCTATTTTCCCTGAGTGTCAGCCAGTCTGAGAAATAAAGGGAAAGAGTACAAAAGAGAGAAATTTTAAAGCTGGATGTCCAGGGGAGACATCACACGTCGGCAGGTTCCGTGATGCCCCCCAAGCCGCAAAACCAACAAGTTTTTATTAGTGATTTTCAAAAGGTGAGGGAGTGTACGAATAGGGTGTGGGTCACAGAGATCACATGCTTCACAAGGTAATAAAATATCACAAGGCAAATGGAGGCAGGGCAAGATCACAGGACCACAGGACTGGGGCGAAATTAAAATTGCTAATGAAGTTTCGGGCGCGCATTGTCATTGATAACATCTTATCAGGAGAAAGGGTTTGAGAGCAGACAACCCATCTGACCAACATTTATTAGGCGGGAATTTCCTTGTCCTGATAAGCCTGGGAGCGCCACGCGAACCCAGGGCTTATTTCATCCCTTATCTATGACTGTAAAAGACAGCCGTCCCCAAAGCGGCCATTTCAGAGGCCTCCCCTTAGGGATGCATTCTCTTTCTCAGGGATGTTCTTTGCTGAGAAAAAGAATTCAGCAATACTTCTCCTATTTGCTTTTGAAAGAAGAGAAATATGGCTCTGTTCAACCCGGCCCACAGGCAGCCAGAGTTTAAGGTTATCTCCCTTGTTCCCTGAAATTGCTGTTATCCTGTTCTTTTTTCAAGGTGCCCAGGTTTCATATTGTTTAAACAACTTGTGCAGTTAACGCAATTATCACAGGGTCCTGCGGGGACATTCATCCTCAGCTTACGAAGATGAGCGGATTAAGAGATTAAAGACAGGCATAGAAAATCACAAGGGTATTGATTGGGGAAGTGATAAGTGTCCATGAAATCTTCACAATTTATGTTCAGAGATTGCAGTAATGACAGGCCTAAGAAATTATAGAAGTATTAATTTGGGGAACTAATAAATGTCCATGAAATCTTCACAATTTATATTCTTCTGCTGTGGCTTCAGCCAGTCCCTCCGTTTGGGGTCCCTGACTTCCTGCAACACGTTTCTCTCTACTCACAGACTTCTGACCAAATGTGTGTGCAGAGTTTCTACACCAGTTCTCCAACTCTCTGGATGCCAACCGCGTATCCCACAATTCCATTCTGACACTACCTAGAGTTAGCACAGAACCCACAGGTTAGGGGCTCAGTCCCACAAGACCACCCTCACTTCAGATGCCAGTTGCAAGTCCTAGGTTGTCACCTGTATTTTGACCAACCAGTTAGAAATCAGGGTTTCCCATGACCCTCTTGTTGAGTTTAATTATTTACTAGAACAACTCACAGAACTTAGAAAAACAAGTTTTTTTTCTTTTCTTTTTAAGAGACAGGGCCTCGCTCTGTTGTCCAAGCTGGTGTGCAGTGGTGCAATCATAGCTTATTGAAGCCTCAACATCCAGGGCTCAAGTGATTCTCCTGCTTCAGCCTCTCAAGTAGCTGGAATTACAGGGTTCCCACCACCACATTTGGCTAATTTCTTTTATTTTTTGTATAGATGGGGTCTTCTTATGTTGCCCAGGTTGGTCTCAAATTCCTAGGCTCAAGTGATTCCGCCCACCTCTGCCTCCCAAAGTGCTGGGATTACGGGCATGAGCCAGTGCATCTGGCCACCTTATTTTCTATTACTGGCTCAATGTAATGGCTCCATCTCAGGAACAGCCAATGAAAGAGATGCACAGGACAAGGTAAGTGGGGAGGGGCACAGAGCTTCCATGCCCTCTGTTGGGCACACTACCCTCCCAGGACCTCCTTGTGTTTAGCAACACAGAAGCTCTCCAAACCCTGCTGTTTGGGTGTTTATGGAGGCATGATTGATAAAATCACTGGCCATTGGTAGTTAAGTCAATCTCCAGTTCCTTTTGCCTCCTGGAGTTCAGCAGGTGAGGCTGAAAGTTCCAAGCCTCAAAAAATGTGGTTGGGGCCAGGTGCGGTGGCTCACTCCTGTAATCCTAGCAGTTTGGAAGGCTGAGGCACATGGACCACTTGAGGTCAAGAGTTTGAGACCAGCCTGACCAACATGGTGAAACCCCGTTTCTACTAAAAATAACAACAGTTAGCTAGGCATTGTGGCACACCCCTATAATTCCAGCTACTCGGGAGGCCGAGGCAGGAGAATTGCTTGAACCCGGGAGGTGGAGGTTGTAGCGAGCTGAGATTGTGCCATTGCACTCCAGCCTGGGCTACAAGAGCCAAACTCTGTTTTAAAAAAAAAATGTGGTTGCTTTCTCTGGCAGCTAGCCCTCCTCCTGAAGCAGTCTCGGAGCTTGCAGCCACCCCGTTAGCTCAACAGCATCCCACATGCATTCTTACCATGCTGCAGATCTGAAAGACCTTAGAGGCCCTTGTGTCAGGAACCTGGGACTAAGACTAAATATCAAAACAGAAAATGCTCCTATTACCTCTGTCACGAAGGGCTTTATAAGAGCTTTGGAAGCTCTATGCCAGGAACCAGGGGCAGAGACCAAATGTATATTTCTTTTCTTATATCGGAGACAGAGTCTCACTCTGCCACTGAGGCTGGAGTGCAGTGATGTGATCATAGCTCACTGCAGCCTTGACCTCCTAGGCTAAAGCAATCCTCCCACCTTAGCCTCTCCAGTAGCTGGAACTACAGGCATGCATCACCATGTCCAGCTGATTTTAATTTTGTAAAGGCAGGATCTTCCTATTTTCCCCAGGCTGATCTCTAACTCTTGGCCTCAAGCAATCCTTCCTCTTTGGCCTCCCAAAATGTTGGGATTACAGATGGGAGCCCCCATACCCACCAATCACAAGGATCTTTATAAGAGAATGAGGTAGGAGAGTCAGAATTAGAGAAAGTGATGTGGTAATGGAAGAAGAGGTCAGAGAGGGAGATTTGAAGATGCTGCACTTCTGGCCTTGAATATGGAGTCACGAGGTAAGTCAAGGAATGGGGGTGGCTTCTAGAAGCTGGAAAAGGCAAAGGAGCACATTCTGTCTAGAGCCTCCCCCAGAAGGAATGCAGCCTCTCTGACACCTTGACTTTAGCCTTAATAGACCTAGTTGGGCTTCTGGCCCCCAGAACTGTAAGATGGTAGATTTGTGGTGTTTGATGCCACTAAATGTAGGGTACTTTGTTGTAGCAACAACAAAAAATGAACACGAAGCTGGGACCTCATGTTACAGTTGCTCACGCCTGTAATCCCAGAACTTTAGGAGGCTGAGGTGGGAGGATCGCTTAAGCCCAGGAGCTTAAGACCAGCCTGGGCAACATAATGAGACCTCATGTCTAAAAAAAATATTTTTTTAAAGGCCAGGCGCAGTGGCTCACGCCTGTAATCCCAGCACTTTGGGAGGCCGAGGAGGGTGGATCACGAGGTCAGAAGTTCAAGACCAGCCTAGCCAAGATGGTGAAACCCCATCTCTACTAAAAATACAAACATTAGCCAGGTGTGGTGGTGGGTGCCTGTAATCCCAGCTACTTGGGAGGCAGAGAATCACTTGAACCCAAAAGGCAGACATTGCAGTGAGCCAAGATCGCACCCTTACACTTCAGCCTGGGCGACCGAGACTCCGTCTCAAAAAAAAAAAAATAAAAGCCATGTGTTGTGGCATGCAGCTGTAGTCTCAGTTCCTAGGGTGGCTGAGGCGGGAGGATTGTTTAAGCCTGGGAGGTTGAAGTTGCTGTGAGCTGTGATTGCACCAGTGTACTCCAGCCTGGGCAATAAAGCAAGATCTTGTTTCAAAAAGAAAGAAAGAAATGAGCATGGTGGGAATGGGGACAGATGGCAGTGTTAAGTAGAGTGGTCAGGGTTGGCCTCATAAGTGAATATTGAGCAAAAGTTTGAAGCAGGTGATGGAGCTGGCCAAGGTGCTGAGGGAAGAGCATTGTAGGCTGAGTCAACAGGATAAAGGCATTAGGAGGAAACTCTCTGGTGTGTCTGAGGCTCTGGAAGGAGGCCAGTGGAGCAAAGAGATGGAGCGAAGTCAGCGAGGAGGCCAGGGAGTTGCTGGGCTGGGATCGGTACAGATCGTGTAAGCCCTGGGACGCTATTGCTGGGGCTTTGGCTTTTGCTCTGACTAAAATGGGAACCACCGAGGGCTTCTGAGCAGAGAGGCGACATGATCCGTCTCCTGATTTAAAAGCACGACCTGGCTGCCGAGTTGAGAAAGACTATGGGAAGATTTGGGTAGAAGCATGGGAGCCAAGCTGTGGCAACATCCCGGTGGGAGATGATAGTGATCCTGACGGGGTTCATGGTGGTGGTGAGAGATGGTTAGAGCCTGGATACATGTTGAAGTCAGTCAGTAGGATTTCCTGACAGACTGGATGTGAGCTGTGAGAGAAGGCAGTGGTCAAGGTTGAGTTTGATTCTGATTGAATTATTAAGTAATTTTAAAAAACACTACTGCTTTTCCCAATCCTACCAAGTAAAGGATGCTAGATAAAAGAAATCCCAAGTCAGGCCAGGTACAGTGGCTCACACCTATAGTTCCAACAGTTTGAGAGGCAGAGATGGGAGTATGTTTTAAGGCCATGAGTTTGAGAGCAGCCTGGGCAACACAGCAAGACCTCCTCTCTACAAAAATAAAAAAAATAAATTTAATAAAAGAAAATAAATATAGCCAGGCATGATGGTATGTACCTATGGCCCCAGTTACTCATGTGGCTGAGATGGGCAGATCTCTTGATTCTAGGAGTTTGAGGCCAGCTTGGGCAACATAGCAAGTCTTCTCTCTCTACAAAAATGAAAAAAATGCCTGACATGGTGATACTTGCCTGTATTCCCAGGTATGGGGGCAGCTGAGGCAGGAGCATCTCTTGAGCCCAGTTGGTCAAGGTTGCAGTGAGCTATGATTATACCACTGCACTCCATCCTGGGTGACAGAGTGGGACCCTGTCTCAAAATACAAATACAAATGAAATCTCAAGTCAGACCAGTCCCTTCTAGGCTATGTAGGCCTTGTAACCATACAGCTGCATGATCGGGTTTGTGTGGCTGTGGATGAGGAGACCCCTGTCCAATTGTTGGCTATGTAATCAGTTTATTTTTCAATATAGTAATCAAATATATTTCATCATACTTGATGGTCTCAGATATGTGTGGATTTTGGAATTCCCCTTGGAACAGGTTGTAACATCTTATTGGCTCCATAATTCCATAATTTTTTAAATCGGATCAGTTTTTAATAAGATCGCAATTTATATTAGACTACTTAATCGGTTTTGTTAATGAGAAAATGAAATTGTGTTGTTTGCATTTTATCCAAGATGGGTGTCATATTGGGTAAATCTCATCAATACTTGAACAAATGCAAAATTAGAGCTTCTTTATCATGAAACACGATGTAATTCTTGAAGAAGATGCCATTTCTTTTTTTTCTTTTTTTTTTTAAGATAAGAGTCTTTCTCTTGTCACCCAGGCTGGAGTGCAATGGTGCGATTTTGGCTCACTGCAACCTTCACCTTCTGGGTTCAAGCAATTCTCCTGCCTCAGCCTCCCGAGTAGCTGGGATTACAGGTGCCCGCCACCATACCCAGCTAATTTTTGTATTTTTAGTAGAGATGGGATTTCACCATGTTGGCCAGGCTCCTCTGGAGCTCCTGACCTCAGGCAATCTGCCTGCCTCAGCCTCCCAAAATTCAAGGAGTACAGATGTGAACAACCACGCCCGGCCTCCATTTCTTTTTTGTAGTCTTTAATAAACAGCTGCTATCATTGCAGACTTGCTGTTTAGGCACTTAGGAATTTTTCACTAGAAGGCATGTAAATAAAGACCATGGGCAATTGTAATGAATTTCGCCTTCATTCTTTGACTACATGACTGTCCCCAGAGCTGTAACTTTATTGAATTTTTTAGAAGCCATTTAGCTAGCAACTGAGCCTAACCAGCCACTCACTGTCATTATTCAGTGCTCTTTTATTATTGTCTATTTCTCCTCCAACTTGGCTACACTCACAAAGTGATAAAAACTTGCATTTGTTTTCTTTCCTTTTCAGAGACAGCGTCTTGCTCTGTTGCTTAGGCTACAGTACAGTGACATGATCATGGTTCACTGTAGCCTCAAACTCCTGGGCTCAAGTGGTTCTCTCACTTCAGTCTCCCAAGTAGCTGGGACTACAGACATGTGCCACCATGTCCAGGTAATTTTTTATCATAGAGACGGGATCTTGCCATGTTGCTCCGACTGGGCTCAAAACTCCTGACCTCAAGTGATCCTCCTGCCTCAGCCTCCCAAAGTGCTGGGATTACAGGCAGGCATGACCACCTGTGCCCAGCCCCCTATTATTATTATTTTAAATAATAGCTTTATTAAAATATTCACATACCATTCACTTTATTTATTGAAATCTGCAATTCAGTAGGTTTTAGAATATTCACAGAGCTGTGCATCGATCACCACAGTCACTTTTAGAACCTTTCATTACCCTATAGAGAAATCCATACCCCTTAGCCACTACCTCCTACTCTCCCCACCTACCTTTGCCCCCAGCCTTAGGCAACCATTGATTAATTTTTTTGTCACTATAGATTTGCCTAATCTGGACAAATAGAATTGTACAATATGTGATCTTTTGTGGCTTTTTTTCCCTCTTAGCACAGTGTTTTCAAAGTTCCTTTATGTCATAGTGTGTATCAATATTTCATTCCTTCTATGGCAGTATTCCATGGTAGAGACACACTGCATTTTGTTTATCTGTTCATCAGTTGGTGGATATTTGGGTTGTTTCCATGTATTCCATGTATTGGTCATTATGAATAATGCTGCTATGAAGATTGTTGTACAAGTTTTTGTGTGGACATATATTTTTATTTTTCTGGGATATATGCCTAGGAGTGAAATTGTTGCATTATAGGATGACTGTACATTTAGCCTTTTGAGAAACTGCCAGAATGTTTTCTAACGTGGCTATACCAGTTGGGTGCAATGGCTCACACCTGTAATCCCAGCTACTCAGGAGGCTCAGCTAGGAGGATGGCTTGAGCCCGTGAATTCAAGACCAGCCTGGGCAAGATAGTGAAACCCCGTCTTGATTTTTTAAAAATCCAATTAAAATGACAAGAAAAGAAATACCCAAACAAAATGGTTACACAATTTTATGTTCCCACCAGTAATGTATGTGGGTTCCAATTCCTCCACATCTTCACTGACATTTTTTTTTTCTAGATAGGGGCTTGCTCTGTCTCTCAGGCCGCAGTGCAATGATGCCATCACAGTTCACTGCAGCCGTGACCTCCCAGGCACAAGTGATTCTCTCATCTCAGCCTCCTGGGTAGCTGAAAATTACAGGTGTACGCCACCATGCCTGGCTAATTTTTATATTTTTCTGTAGTGGTGGGATTTTACCATGTTGCCCAGGCTGGTCTCATACTCCTGGCCTCAAGTGATCTGCCCACCTCAGCCTCCCTAAGTTCTGGAATTACAGGCTGCCACCATGCCCGGCCTTCACCAACATTTGCCATTATCTGTTTTTTTTTTCTTCCTTTATACCTTAAAGCAGTATAAGAACAAGTGTCTTCAATTATAGGAAACAGTATAATCCCAGGGCTTTGGGAGGCTAAGACAGGAAGATGTCTTGATGCCAGGAGTTTTTTTTGTTGTTGTTGTTTTTGTTTTTGTTGTTGTTGTTGTTGTTGACAGTCTCGCTCTGTCACCCAGGGTGGAGTGCAGTGATGGGGTCCACTGCAACCTCCACCTCCCAGGTTCAAGTGATTCTCCTGCCTCAGCCTCCCGAGTAGGTGAGACTACAGGCACACGCCACTACTGCCCAGCTGATTTTTGTATTTTTGATAGAGTCAGAGTTTCACCGTGTTGGCCAGGCTGGTCTCGAACTCCAGACTTCAGGTGATTTGCCTGCCTTAGCTTCCCAAAGTGCTGCGATTACAAGCATGAGCCACCATGCCCAGCCTGATGCCAGGAGTTTTAGACTAGCCTGGGCAACCTAGCAAGACCTTGTCTCTACAGAATATTTAAAAATTAGCCAAATGTGGTGGTGCCTGTGTATAGTCTCTCTCCCTCTCTCTTTTTTTTTTCTAACTTTTTGTGACATGGTCTGGCTCTGTCACCCAGGCTGAAGTGCAGTGGTGTGATCATGGCTCACTGCAGCCTGAAACTCCTGGGATCAAGTGATCAATCCTCCCACCTCATCCTACCAAGTAGTAGGGACCACAGGTGTGTGCCACCCAGGTCTTGCTATGTTGTCCAGGCTGGTCTTGAGCTCCTGGCCTCAAGCAATCCTCTCACCTTGGCCCCCCACAGTGCAAGGATTACAGGTATGAGCCACCATGCCTGGCCCCTACCCTGCCTACTGAGAACCAAAGGAAGGATCCAAATTCTCCTTAGCTCAACTCGAGCCATTTCCTGATTGCTTCATCAGCGAGGAGCTGGTTATTGGGCTGTCCAGGCCTCCCAAGCAGCACAGAAATGAGGTGAAGGAGTTTTCCTGTTGCTCCACTCTGTAAGGAGTTGGAGGGTGATGTTTACTCGTTTGCAGAGAGAGATGCCTTGTAGGCACCTCAGGATGGAGAGGGCCCTGATTCCAATGTCCTTTTTTTCTTCAGAAACAGGACCTTGCCCTGTCACTCAGGATGGAGTTCAGTGGTCCTATCATGGCTCATTATAGCCTCAAACTCCCAGGCTCAAGCAATCCTACCATGTCAGCCTTCCCAGTAGCTGGGACTACAGGTAAGCATCGTGACACTCAGTGAATTTTGTTTTTATTTTGTTGTAGAGATGGGACCTCAGTATGTTGCCATGGCTGACCTTGAACTCCTGCACTCAAGGGATTTTCCTACCCTGGCCTCCCAAAGTATTGGTATTACAGGCATGAGCCATTGTGCCCACCGTCTCTGGTTCTTAACCTTCTGCCTCCCTCTTCCAGTTTTAAAGAATGCTTGTAATTACATGGGCTCTCCTAGATACTCCAGGATAATCTTGTTTTAAGGTCAGCTGATGAGCAACATTAATTTTATCTGCACTCTTAATTCCCCCTTCCTCTGTAACTGTGCTGTGTAACATAGGACATGAGCAATTGGTGGCGGTGGGGGTTATTACTTTGGCCACCACAGTAACTATTTTATGCCAGGTACTCAGCTAAGCACTGGTGAATTAAGCATGAATAACACACACTCCCTAATCTCCATCCATTCATGGGAGGAGCACTTCACCTGCCATGCTCCTGAGAATCTCGGGAGTCATAGAAGTCTTCTATGAGGAGGTGATGCCAAAGCGGACAAGTGACAGAGGAGTCAAAGCTAGCTAGGAAGAGAGTAGAGGTTTAAGGGGAAGCATATTATAAGCAGAGGATATTACCCACTTCAGAGACTCCCAGAGGAGAAAGAGTGTGCGTTCAAGGGGCAGATGAGGCTCAGTTGGACTCCATAGCAGATGAAATGGAGAGGGGCAAGCAGTGAGGCTGCCTTGCAAGGCAGGGCAGAGCAGGGGCTGTTAAGGAGTTTGGACTTAATCCCTGAGGCAAGGAGAAGTGATGTAAATGGGGGAGTAACATGATGAGATTCATAGATTAGAGACATGGCTCAGGCTGCTGTAGAGAAGGCACCGGGAAGAGCAGATGGCTCAATGTGTGTGCAGAAGACCTCTCCCTGAGTTTAGGGAGAGGTTTTTAAAACAGAAGAAGTTTGAGTAATTTAAATGATGATGGGAAGGAGCTAAAAGTGGGGGATAGGTTAAAGATACAGGAAAGTGGGAGGAAGAACTGACAAGTGAGGTTCCAGAGAGGGCAGGAGAAGAGGAGATTCCCATAGGGGGATTAACACTTTCTTTTCTTTTTTCTTTCTAAGACAGGGTCTCACTCTGTCGCCCAGGCTGGAGTGCAGTGGCACAATCTTGGCTCACTGTAGTGTAGACTTCCCAGGCTCAAGGGATTTCTCCCACCCCAGACTCCCAAGTAGCTGGAACTACGGGTGTGCACCACCACCACACCTGGCTAATGTCTCTTTTTTTTGGTAGACACAGAGTCTCACTATTTAGCACTGATTGGTCTCCAACTCCTGGCCTCAAGCGATCCTCCTGCCTAGGCTTCCCAAATTGCTGGGATTACAGGCATGAGCCACAATGCCTGGCCTCTGCTAGTTCCGTATTCTCTAGAGTTGTCTTTACTTTGTGCTAGTGTGTCCCTCATTGTGCTGATCCTCTGTAAAAATTAATACCTTTTTTTTTTTTTGAGATGGAGTTTCACTCTTGTTGCCCAGGCTGGAGTGCAATGGCGCTATCTCGGCTCAGCGCAACCTCCACCTTCTGGGTTCAAGCAATTCTCCTGCCTCAGCCTCCCGAGTAGTTGGGATTACAGGCATGTGCCACCATGCCCAGCTAATTTTGTATTTTTAGTAGAGATGGGGTTTCTCTGTGCTGGTCAGGCTGGTCTCGAACTCCTGACCTCAGGTGATCTGTCTGCCTTGGCCTCCCAAAGTGCTGGGATTACAGGCATGAGCCATTTTGCCTGGCCAAAATTAATACTTTTTATATTAAATTTACATATATATATACGTTTTTTCTTTTTGATACCGGGTCTCACACTGTCACCCAGGCTGGAGTACAGTGGCACAACCTCTGCTCACTGCAGCCTCCACCTGCCAGGCTCAAGCAATTCTCCTGCCTCAGCCTCCCGAGTAGCTGGGATTACAGGTAAGTGCCACCACACCCAGCTGATTTTTGTGTTTTTTGTAGAGACGAGGTTTCGCCATGTTTCCCAGACTGTTCTCAAACTCCTGAGCTCAAAGCAGTCCACCCACCTTGGCCTCCCAGAGTTCTGGGATTACAGGTGTGAGCCATCTTGCTCATTCTAGTTTAAACTTTTGAGTGGTTTGTGTCTCCTGATTGGACTCCTACAAATACAGAATTGATGCTAGGAAGGGTACCAGGAGATAGACGCACACAGATGGGATTTGGGAATAGGTTTGGTTATCCAAGGAGCAGTGCTGAGCTCCTTGCAATGGGATATGGGATGCTGGTGATTTCCAGGATGTGAGCTCACAATGACTCAAGCTGCCACATACTGTTGATTGTGAAATGCCAGTTGAAGCATATGTCCTGCGAGCTTAGGGGTGCTACAAGTTGACCACTGCAGCAGTAAAGATGACTCTGAAGAATGGCGTGGGTTGGTTCCTTTCAAATGCACTTGAGCAGCGGTCTCCAACCACAGGGCCACAGAGCTGGAGGTGAGCAGCAGGCGAGTGAAGGGAAACTTCATCTGTATTTCTAGCCCCTCCCATCGCTTGCATGACCACCTGAGCTCCATGTCCTGTCAGATCAGCAGCAGCATTAGATTCTCACAGGAGCACAAACTCTGTTGTGAAGTGTGCATGCGAGGGATCTAGGTTGTGTACTCCTTATGAGAATCTAATGCCTGATATTCTGTTACTGTCTCCCATCACCCCAGATGGACAGTCTAGTTGCAGGAAAACAAGCTCAGAGATCCCACTGAGTCTACGTTATAGTGAGTTGTAGAATCATTTCATTATATATTACTATGTAGTAATAATAGAAATAAAGTGCACAATATATGTAATGCACTTGAATCATCCTGAAATTATTCCCTCATTCCCAGTCTGTGGAAAAATTGTCTTCCACACATTCACTCTGTTTTTTGGTAGAGGCAGGGTCTTAATATATTGCCCAGTCTGATCTCAAACTCCTGGCCTCAAGTAATATACCTCTCTCAGCCTCCCAAAGTGCTGAGATTACAGGCATAAGCCACCACCCTCAACCAAGACTTTCTTAAACCAAATAAAAATTAAGTGAGATTACTTGAGCCCAGGTGGTCAAGGCTGCAGTGAGCCTGATTGCACCACTGCACTCCAGCCTAGGTGACAGAATGAGACTGTCTCAAAAAATAAAATAAAATACAAATTAACCCTTCATGACATTCCCAGTAACTTCCTAAGTGCTCCCCACAAGTCTTTGAATTCTGTTTAATTCTCACATAACATTTAAGACATTTAAGAACTTATGTCTGTCTGTGTCATCCCTTTATGTCAAAAGATGTCTTTTTGTCACTTCCAGCTGGATCTACCATGAAAGACTTGTGAATCCAGGAAGAGAGACTGACTGGGCAACATGTTATTCAGGTACAAAAAGATTTGGACTGTAACTTAAAAATGATCAAATTATGTTTCCCATGCATCAGGTGCAATGGGAAGCTCTTCTGGAGAGTGAGAGAAGCTTCCAGTTAAGGTGACATTGAAGCCAAGTCCTGAAAGATGAGGAAGAGTTGTATGAGAGTGGGGAGGGAAGGGGGAGGTGGAGGGATGGGGAATGGGCCGGGATGGGATAGCGCAAACTGTCCGGGAAGGGAAACCAGCACTGTACAGACCTGAACAACGAAGATGGCATATTCTGTTCAGGGAATGGTGAATTAAGTGTGGCAGGAATGCTTTGTAGACACAGTAATTTGCTTGTATGGAATTTTGCCTGAGAGACCTCATTGCAGTTTCTGATTTTTTGATGTCTTCATCCATCACTGTCCTTGTCAAATAGTTTGGAACAGGTATAATGATCACAATAACCCCAAGCATAATATTTCGTTAATTCTCACAGAATCACATGTAGGTGCCACAGTTATCCCCATTTTATGAATGGAGTGATGAAAACCTTAGGAATAATGAATGATTTGCGCAGGCTCACCTGGATATTAAGACTGAGTCAAATGTTGGGTCTGGTCTGACTTTAATGTTTGCTTTGTTCATGAGCACCACATATTGCCTCTCCTATGCAGTTAAGCAGGTAGGTGACAGAAAAGCCCATGTTTGTCTCTACTCACACACTTCCGACTGAATGTACGTATGGAGTTTCTACACCAGATTCTTCAGTGCTCTGGATATTAACTGGGTATCCCATGACTTTATTCTGACACTACCTGGAGTTAGCACAGACCCCACAAGTTAGGGGCTCAGTCCCACGAGGCCATCCTCACTTCAGATGACAATGGCAAGTCCTAAGTTGTCACCATACTTTTGACCAACCTGTTACCAATCGGGGGTTCCCGTAACTGTCTTCTTGGGTTTAATAATTTGCTAGAACAGTTTACGGAACTCAGAAAAACAGTTTATTTTCTTTTTTTCTGAGAGAGAGGGTCTTATTTTGTTGCCCAGGCTGGTGTGCAATGGTGCAGTCATAGCTCATTGCAGCCTTGATTGTCTGGGTTCCAGTGGTTCTCCCACCTCAGCCTCCCTAGTAGCTGAGACTACATGCCTGCACCACCACATCTGGCTAGTTTCTTTTATTTTTTGTATAGATGGGGTCTTGTTGTGTTGGCCAGGCTGGCCACAAATTCCTGGTCTCAAGTGATCCTCCCACCTCAGCCTCTGAAAGTGCTGGGATTACAGATGTGAGCCACCACATCTGGCCAGTTCATTTCCTATTACTGGTTCATTGTGAAGGATACATCTCAGAAACAGTCAATGAAAGAGACGTGCATGCTGGATGCAGTGGCTCATGCCTGTAATCTCAGCACTTTGGGAGGCCAAGGTGGGAGGATCGCTTAAACTCAGGAGTTTGAGACCAGCCTGGGCAACATGGTGAAAACCTGTCTCTATAAAAAATTAAAAAATAATAATAATAACTGGTGTGGTGTTGTGCACCTAGAGTTCCAACTACTAGGGAAGCTGAGATGAGAGGATACCTTGAGCTGGGGACTGGGGAGGCTTAGGTTACAGTAAGCTGAGATTGTGCCACTGCACTCCAGCTTGGACAAAAGAGCCTGATCCTGTCTCAAAAAAAAGAAAGATACCCAGGGCAAGTTAAGTTCGGAGAGGCACAGAGCTCCCATGCCCTCTGTTGAACATGCGACCCTCCCAGCATCTCCTGTGTCCAGCAACCCTGAAAGCTCTGCAAACCCCTTTCAGGGTGTTTATGGAGGCTTTATTATGCAAGCATGATTGATAAAACCTTTGGCTGTTGGTGATTAAGTCAGTCTCCAGCCCCTCTTCCCCCTGGAGTTCAGTGCATGAGGCTGAAAGTTCCAAGCCTCTTACCATGTGGTTGCATGGTAATCAGCCCTCCTCTTGAAGAAATTTAGGAGCTTGCAGTCACCCAGTCATCTCAACAACATCCCCAAATGCATTCTTACCATGCTGGAGATCCCAAAGTTCTTAGAGGCTCTTGTGTTAGAAACCTGGGACCAAGACCAAATATTAAAACAAAAGATGCTCCTGTCACATCTATCACTGAGGTCTTTGTAAGAGCTTTAGAAGCTCTGTGCCAGGAACCAGGGACAGAGATTAAATATATATTTCTTTTCTTTTTTTTGAGACAGAATCTTCCTGTGCCATCCAGGCTGGAGTGCAGTGATGTGATCATAGCTCACTATAGCTTTGGCCTTCTGAGATCAAGCAATCCTCCCATCTCAACCTCCCAAGTAGCTAGGACTACACACGCATGTCACCCATGCCCAGATCATTTTTGTAGAGTCAGAGTTTCACCGTGGTGGCCAGGTTGGCCATGTTGGCCAGATGGGGTCTTCTTTTGTTGCCCAGGCTGGCCACAAATTCCTGGGCTCAAGTGATCCTCCCACCTCGTCCTTGTAGAGATGAGATTTAGTTATGTCGTCCAGGCTGATCTCAAACTCCTGGGCTAAATCGATTGTCTCACCTCAGCCTCTCAAGTATGTTATGAAGGTTATATGTTAGGAAGGGTCCCAGGAGGTAAACCCACACAGATGGGATTTGGGCATAGGTTTGGTTTCCCAGGGGGCAGTGCTGAGCTCTTTGCCAGTGGGAAATGGGATGCTGGTGATTTCCAGTAGGTGACCTCACAGTGACTCAAGCTACCACTTACTGTTGATTGTGACGAAATGCCAGCTGAGGCACATGCCTTGGGAGCTAAGTGGTTGCTGCCCTTGACCACTGTGAAGACTGGTGTGGGAAGGGTCGTTTTGGATGCACTTGAGCAGGGGTCCCCAACCCCTGAGCCATGGAGCCGCAAGGAGCCACACAGCAGGAGGTGAGCGGTGTCGAGTGAGGGAGTGAGGGAAGCTTCGTCTGTATTTACAGCCACTCCCCTTTGCTCACATTCCCGCCTGAGCTCCACCTTCTCAGATGAGCAGCAGCATTAGATGCTCATAGGAGAACGCACCCTGTTGTGAACCGTGCATGTGAGGGATCGAGGTTGCGCTGTCCTTATGAGAGTCTAATACCTATTGATCTGTCACTTTCTCCCATCACGCTCAGGTGGGACCATCCAGTTGCAGGAAAACAAGCTTGACACGCCCACTGATTCTACATTATGGTGAGTTCTATAATTATTTTATTATATATTACAGTGTAATAATGGAAATAAAGTGCCTAATAAATGCAAATGTGCTTACATCTTTTGGCCCAGCTCCTACCTCCCGGCAGCCTCTCCAGGCCCAGAACTTTCTCCAGTCAGCCTCTACAGACCAAGCTCATGACTCACAATGGCCTATTTAGGCCCATACCCTACGTCACGGCAGCCTCCGCAGATGAGGCTACTGCCTCACAACAGCCTCCACAGGCACAGCTCCATCGTTACAATGGCCTCTTTAGACCCAGCTCCTGCCTCCCAGCCTTCTCTCCAGGCCCTGAACTTTCTCAAGTCGACCTCACCAGGCCCAGCTCATGCTTCTTTGCAGCCTCTCCAGGCCCAGCTCCTGCATCTTGGTGGCCCCTCCAGGCCCAGCCTCTGCCTCCCGTCAGCCTCTACAGTCCCAACGTCTGCCTCACAGCAGATTCTTCACGCCCAGCATCTACCTCACTGTGGACCCCCCAAGCCAAGCTCCCAACCTTTCAGCAGCTTCTACACACCCAGCTCCCGCCTGCCAGTGGCCTCTTCAGGCCCATGGGGCTCATTCCTGACAACGGCCTTTCCAGGCCCAGTTTTTCCCTTCCGGCGGCCTCTCCGGGCCCAGAACCTCCTCAAGTCAGCCTCTCCAGACCCACTTGCACCCTCCGGGCGTTCTCTCCGGGCCCAGCTCTTCTTCCTGGTTGGGTCTCCAGGCCCGATTCCTGCCTCTCAACAACCTCTTTGGACTCAGTGCCTACCCATCTCCTGGCGGCCTTGGTCGGCCCACAGCTTCCTCAAGCCAAGCTCCCCAGGCCCAGGTCAGGCCTCACGGTGGCCTCTCCAGGATGAGCTCCTGCCCTCCGATGGCATCTCCAGGCCCCAAATGGTCTCCGGTCGGTGGGCTCCTCCACGCCAAGGTTGGGCCTCCCGGCGACTGCCGCAGGCCCAAGTTGTCCTGAAGTCGGGCTCTCCCAGCCCTGCCTCCCAGCAAGTAAGCAAGCTCTTTTGGCTCAACTCCTGCCCAGCTCCCAACCGCCTTTGTAGGCCCCGAACTTTCTCCAGCCAAGCTCTGAGGGCCCACCTCCTGCCTCCTGGTGGCCTGTACAGTTCTAGCACTGGTTGGAGAACAGCCTCTGCAGGCCCCGCCCTTGCCTCCCAGGGGCCTCTCCAGGCCCAGCTCTTGCCCCCACGGCGGCCTCCCGGGGCCAAGTCCCTGCCTGCCTCCCAGCAGCCCGCGTGCGGCCCAGCTCCTCCCTCACGGTGGCCTGTTGATGCCCAACTCATGCCTCTGGCACCCTGCCCAGAGGCGTGAGCCCCTGCCTCACACTGGCCCCTCCCACGCGGACAGAGGTCAGCGTGAGCCCCTTGCCTCACACCGGCCCCTCCCACGCTGAGAGAGGTCAGTGTGAGCCCCTTGCCTCACACCGGCCCCTCCCACGCGGACAGAGGTCAGCGTGAGCCCCTTGCCTCACACCGGCCCCTCCCACGCTGAGAGAGGTCAGCGTGAGCCCCTTGCCTCACACCGGCCCCTCCCACGCTGAGAGAGGTCAGTGTGAGCCCTTGCCTCACACCGGCCCCTCCCACGCGGACAGAGGTCAGCGTGACCCCCTGCCTCAACAGGCCACCGTGAGGGAGGAACAGGATCGCACTCGGGCTGCTGGGAGGTAGGCAGGGACTTGGGCCTGGGAGGTCGCGGTGGGGCGAGAGCTGGGCCTGGAGACTCCCCTGGGAGGCAACAGCGGGGTCTGCAGACGCCCTTCTCCAGCCGGAGCTGGGACTGTTCAGTCACTGGGAGAAGGGATGTGGGTCTGAAGAGCTTGGTTGCAGAAACTTCGGGGTCTACAAACGCAGGCGGGAGCTGAGCCAAAAGAGCTTGTTTGCTGGGAGGTGGGAGATGCAGCCAGGAGGAACAGCTGGGCAATGCGGGAGGCAGAGGCCAGGCCTCCTCAAGTTGGCCTCTCAGACCCACTTGCAGCCTCCCGGCGCCCCCTCCGGGCCCAGCTCTTCCTCCCGGCTGCATCTCCAGGCCGGACTCTGGCCCGACTCCAGGTCCCAACAACGTCTTTGGACTCAGCTCCTGCCCAGCTCCCAGCGGCCCTGGTAGGCCCACAACTTCCCTAAGCCAAGCTCCCCAGGCCCAGCTCAGGCCTCGCGGTGGCCTCTCCAGGCTCAGCTCCTGGCCCTCCGATGACATCTGCAGGCCCCAAATGGCCTCCGGTCGGTGGGCTCCTCTAGGCCCAGCTTGGGCCTCCCGGCGGCCTCCGCAGGCCCAAATCGTCCCGAAGTCAGTCTCTCCAGGCTTAGCTCCAGCCTCCCGGCGGCCTCTGCAGGCCCAAGTCGTCCTCAAGTCGGCCTGGAAGTGGGCCTGGAAGAGCAGCAAGTCGGCCTCCCTGGGCCCAGCTCCGTCCTCTCGACGGCCTCTCCAGGTGCAAAACTTCCTCGAGTCAGCCTCTCCAGGCCCAGCTCCTCCTGCCTCCCAGTGGCCTCTTTCAGCCCAGCCCAGCTCATGGCTCTCGGCGGCCTTCGCAGGCCCTGCTTTTGACTTTTGGCAGCCTCTTCAGGCGCAGAACTTGATCTCCAGTCGGCCTTTGCAGGCCCGGCCTCCTGCCTCTCGAAGGCCTGCACGGGCCCGGCCTCGGCCTCGGCCTCACAGCGGACTCTCCACGCCCAGCTAGCTCTCGCCTCACTGCGGCCTCCCCAGTCCAAAGCTCCTGCCTTTCGGCCACTTCGGCAGGTCCAGCTCCTGCCTGCCAGTGGCCTCTTTAGGCCCAGCTCATTCCTCACGTCGGCCATTCCAGGCCCCGTTTTTCCCTTCCGGCAGCCTCTTGGCCTCTAATTTGTTTATCTTTTGTGTATAAATCCCAAAATATTGAATTTTGGAATATTTCCACCATTATGTAAATGTTTTGGTAGGTAATTTATTTGGAGTGAGTTTCTGCGTCAAGCCCGAGTTTTTTATTTTATTTTCCTTATTATTTGGTGTTAAACAGGTTTAATGACGGTCATGGCAACTTTTTGGCACAATGAAAAATGTCGCCCACGATCAACGTGTTCTGTTCTGGGGAAGGGGGCAAAGGCAGGGTGAATCACTTTCTTAAAAAGTATAGCTCAAGTTGGGAGTGCAGAGGGAATGGGGAGAAAACCCTCCCGCTGCCTGTGTCGAAGTGCAGGAGCCCCCACCCCCATACTCACCTGAGTCCAGCCCCTCTGGGGAAAGAAGGGGTGCATGAACTCCCCCTAGTCCACAGGCGCCTCCCTGTGGCCCAAGGCCCTCTTCACACTCCATCTTGTAGCCCCAGCAGGAGCTATTTTCCGAAAAGTGAAAAGCTCTGAAGGTCCCACAATTCATGGTATGTACAGGGGCTCGGAGGAGGGAAACTGCCCAGCTTTCCCCCGGCACAGCTGCAGGGGTAGGGGGTATAGATAAGAGGAGCAGGCCTTGGCCAGGCGTGGTGGCTCACGCCTGTAATCCCAGCACTTTGGGAGGGGGAGGCAGGCAGATCACAATGTCAGGAGATCGAAATCAGCCTGGCCAAGATGATGAAGCCCCGTCTGTACTAAAAATACAAAAATTAGCCGGACGTGGTAGCGTCTACCTGTAATCCTAGCTACCCGGAAGGCTGAGGCAGGAGAATGGCGTGAACCCGGCGGGAAGAGGTTGCAGTGAGCCAAGATCGCACCACTGCACTCCAGCCTGGGCGACAGAGCAAGACTCGGTCTCAAAAAAAAAAAAAAAAAAAGAGGAAGGCCTTACTCCGTCCCAAACTGAAAGGATTAAATGGCTTCACCTGGGAGAAGATAACCATCCTGCCCTCCATTGCTACCCCCACATACTGTCCATGTTCTCAGGGGGTACTGTGAGTCCTGGGATCTTTGGGGTTGCCCACCTGCCTGTGCTAGTTATGGAGACCCCCAGGTGTTGAGGCAGGGCTGGGGTGTCCCCTTCCAACCAGGCTGTCAAGGCCCCAACTCTGGGGCAGAGGCAGTGGCAGGGCAGCCAGGGTTGTGCCAGAGCCTGAGCAGGTTGAGGTGGGGTCAGGCAGGGCTGGGAGTCAGGGCAGGGGCAGCAGCAGTGGACCTGCTATGCACACATCTTCTTCTCCAAGGTTTGTGTGCAGAACATCCTGCCCATGCTGCCCCAGCAGCTTCAGTTGGCACCTGCCTCAGTCCAGCCTCTGGGAACCATGCAGCAGCTCCCAGCGGCCCTGCACCCACCACCAGCATCCGTTTCACCTGCAGTTGAAGATCCGTGAGGTGCCCAGAAGATCATGCAGTCATCAGTCCCACGGAGCAGCCTGCGAGGCTGAGGCTCCTCCCACTGGACCGCCCCCCAACTGGCACCACTGCTGCCCCTGCCCCTACTCTCAGCCTCACGTGACTCTCGGGCAGAAGCAGTGGTGGGGCAGCCAGGGCAGCGTCAAGAGTCTGAGCCAGGTGAGGTGCGGTCAGGACCCCCACAGGGCTGGGAGTCAGGGCAGGGGCAGAACAAACCTTGGAGGGGAAGATGTGTGCATAGTGGGCCTGGAGGGCGGCTGTGGCCTAGTGGACAGGAAGAAGCAGTGGGCCTGGAAGAGCTGCATGATCAGGGCCGGCACTGGTCCAGGGTACGTGCAGTGAAGAGGACAGCGCCTTCTCGGTCTCCGGTTCCCTGAGCCTGTCCTCGGCTTCTCCACCTGTACAGGCAAAGGGGAAGCTGTCCCCATCACACGTGGCACACTTGGGAGTGTTGGGCTTTGGACTGCAGCTGGAGCATCTTCTCATCTTGCATTTGGGCGCGGTGGGGTCCTCCAGTGTGGGATCCATGTCCGTGGGGTTCCCTCTGCCCCGACCCCGAAAGCCCAGTCAGTTTCTCTTCAGGCTCTGCCCCCCGGGTGGCTCAGCCCAGCTCCTGCCTAGGAAAGCCTTAGTATTGGGAGGGACCCTGATGACTGAGGAGCCTGGTAGCTCCAGGTCGCCCACACTTTCAGGTCTCTTGCACCAGAAGGTGGCAGGATCCATTGGGAGGAAACAGGCCACCTTGGAAGGCGTCCCTGGGCCCCCATCCCCAGGGGTTGGGGCCGTAGGGGGCCCGCTCTGCTGCGTTGACCAGACTCCTGGGCTTTGAAGGCTCCTGGGCCCAGTAAGAAGGAGGTGGGTGCCAAGGTTGAGGAGGAAGCATCCGAGTATGTGTAGGAGGAGGACAGGGTGTGACCATAGACTGCCAAAAGCTGCAGGTGGATCGGGGGACCCTGGGGGCTCAGGATCCAGCAAGGGGCGGCAGGAGTAAAGGAGGAAGGAATGACAGGTGCAAATACCTTCCCACCAAAGCCCTTGTTGCCCTCTGGCTCCTCCCCAGAGTTGTCCCCACTCTCAGTCGGTCACCCACTCCTTGAACTTGAGATCGGTGTCGGTGGTGCTAAAGCCATCATCAGCAATGACATCATCACCCCCTCCTCATGGATGACCGTGTGCTCTTCGTCACTCGCTATGACCTCGCTGGCCATGTGCTGGGAATGAGCAGCTCACGTGGGCGGCAGCAGGGCTGCCCACGGGTCACCTCCCTCACCAGGGGCTGCAAAGTGGCCTGGAGCTCCATGCTGAGTAGAAGGCTTTGGGCCAGAGTATGATGCAGTGCCAGACACCACCTGTGTCAGTTCCCGTAGTGCCTGACGGTCTATTTCCCTGCCGTCCAGGCTGTGTACCCCGCTGTGGGAGAAGGCTTGGGCCAGGCTGAGCCAGGTTCCCTGACTGTGTGCAGCCGTTCTGCCCCACAGAAGCTGCTCCTTGGTATCCGAGCTCTGGAGTGTTTGGGCTGCAACTGACAGGAGTTCAGAGGACACCCCAGGGGCAGTGGCAGTGCCCATCTCTGATATGCTCCGCTCCCACGAGCCCTTGTTACACTCCTGCTAGCCCCTGGCTTGTGGGCTTGGCCTCTGAGCTGGACTTCTTTCGGTCCTTGTTGCAAGTGGGCCACCTTCACCTGGAAGGCCAGGTTGTATTTCTGCATCTCATTGGGCCCCAGGGTGTACCACCGCTCGCTCAGCATCTGGCTGACGGTCCGGTTATCCTGGTTGGGATGACCCTGGTGCGCCCCGCCAGGGCCTGGTGCCGCCTGCTGAAGATCATGAGCGCCACTCATGGGCCACCGGATGTGGTCCTTGTCTGATTTGTTGGGGCTGCGTCCATCCTTCTCAGAAGATGAGTCCTGTTCCTTGCGCAGGGCACTGAGGGACTGGGCCTGACATCATCTGAGTGGTAGAGGCAACTGGGTGTCAGGAGACATGATGGAGAGGAAAGCATCATCATGGTCATTCTCTGTCTCACTGTCCAGCAGGGACTCCCCTGAGGGGCCCAGGGCTCCTCCTCCATGGTGGGAGGTGAGCTTTTACCAGGTTCCACCACCCCCAAAGTGTGTGGGGTTGCGGGCCCTGGGCTTTCAGGGCAGGTGGCTCCAGGGGGCTGCCCAGGGTCAACACTCCCTGTCCCACCTGGTGGACGCTCATGAGCAACGGCTGCCAACTTGGCAGGTTGTTTTCTCTGGTTGGAGGCCACTGAGTGACTGGCAGGTTGCTGGGCCTCGTGTGGCTGCAGGGAGGGGTCAGGAAGGGGATGGAGTACCAGGAGAACACGGCCGCAGAGTGACCTTCCACATTCCTCCACACGAACATGCTGACGCCACGGGAGGCCTCACTGAACGCAGGCCTGGGGGCCGAGCACTTGGTCCGGGCAGGGGGTTCCTGGCAGGGGCTCACACCTCCTCGCCCCCTCCTCAGCCAAGGTGGCTTGGGCCCAGAGAAGGGGAGGTTGGAGAGGAGCAGAAGGCCAGGCCTCAAGTTTTGTTTTTTTTGTTTGTTTTGTTTTTTGTTTTTGAAATGTAGTTTGACTCTTGTCACCCAGGCTGGAGTGCAGTGGCACGATCTCAGTGGCCTTCATACCTGGCTAATTTTTTGTATTTTTACTGGAGGTGGGGTTTTGCCATGTTGGCCAGGCTGGTCTTGACCTCCCGACCTCAGGTGATCCACCCACCTCAGCCTCCCAAAATGGGATTACAGGCATGAGCCACCGCTCCCAACTTCATTCATTTTTACTTGAAAAACTCCGTTAAGCATTTTTTTAAGGTAGACCTAGTGGTCCTGAATGCCCTCAGCTTTGTTTGTCGAGGAAACACATTATTTCTTTTTCCTTTCTGAAGGACAGCTTTGTCAGACATAGTATTAGTTGCTGGCAGTTTTTTTCTTTCAGCACTTTGAATGTATTATTCGATTCTGTCCTGACCTGCAAAGTTTCTTTAACTTTTGACTATTTGATTATATTGTGACTTGGTGAGTATCTATTTGGTTTGAACCTCTTTAGGAATCTTTAAGCTTCATGGATTTAGATGTCTAAATCTTTCCCATGATTTAGGCAGTTGTCAGCCATTCTTTAAATAAGCTTTATTCTCCTTTCTCTACTTTCCTTCTCAAACTCCCATAACCTGACAATGGTTTGCTTAATGGTGTCTTGTTGGCTTTCTTTTCTCTGTCTCTTTTTTTTTTCTTTTTGAGACAGAGTCATGCTCTGTCACCCAGGCTGGAGTGTAATGTGTGGTCTCGGCTCACATTGCACTCCAACCTCCGCCTCCTGGGTTCAAGCGATTCTCCTGCCTCAGCCTCCCAAGTAGCTGGGACTACAGGTGTGTGCCACCACACCCGGCTAATTTTTGTATTTTTAGTAGAGATGGGGCTTTGTCATGTTGGACAGGCTGGTCTTGAACTCCTGACCTCTTAATCTGCCTGCCTCGGCCTCCCAAAGTGTTGGGATTACAGGCTTGAGCCACCACACCCAGCCTTCTTTTCTCTCTTTTATTCTTTTTTTCTCTGTCCTCTGACTGGATAATTTCGGAAGATCTATATTCAAGTTTACAGATTCTCTCTCCTGTTGAAGTTGACTATTGTGTTATATCACCCAGTCTGGTCTTGAACTCCTGGGCTCAAGCGATCCTCCCACCTTGGCCTCCCAAAGTGCTGAGTTTACAAGCATGAGCCACTGCATCCAGTCAGTCCCAGCACTTTGGGAAGCTGAGGTGGGAGGATCACTTGAGCTCAGGAGTTTGAGACCAGCCTGGGCAACGTACTGAGAACTTGTCTCTATATTAAAAAAAAAAAAAAAGTCTTTGGGAGGCCAAAGCGGGAGGATCACCTGAGGTCAGGAGTTCGAGACCAGCCTGGCCATCATGGCAAAACCCCATCTCTACTAAAAACACAAAAATTAGCCAGGTGTGGTGGCACACGCCTGTAGTGGTGATGCATGCCTATAGTCCCAGCTACTCAAGAGGCTGAGGCAGGAGAATCACTTGAACTGGGAGATGGAGGTTGCAGTGAGCTGAGATCGCACCAGTGCACTCCAGCCTGGGCAACAGAGTGAGACTCCATCTTATAAAAGGAAAAAAGAAAGAAAAGAAAAATTCCATATCTGAGTGTTTACTCCTGAGTTTTTGAGATTGTTATTAAGATTGTGCTCTACTGTGATGATTTGGGTTTGTTTGATAATCAGAAAAAAAGCGTATTCTTTTAGGTGTTCAGCCACACTGCTTTGGTGTCACAACTGCACATTGGTTTCACAGCTGCAGGACAAGTTCGAGCATCTTAAAATGATTCAACAGGAGGAGATAAGGAAGCTCGAGGAAGAGAAAAAACAACTGGAAGGAGAAATCATAGATTTTTATAAAATGAAAGCTGCCTCTGAAGCACTGCAGACTCAGCTGAGCACCGATACAAAGAAAGACAAACATCGTAAGAAGCAATAGTTTCTCTTACTATTCTGAGAGCCTTATCATTCTACATCCCATCTTCCTGTGAGTTTGTCTTTGTAGCATTTAACTCTAATTGCAGTTCTCATTTTAAAAACTGGCTTGCTTATTGTATATTTTCCCCAACTAAAGCGTGAACTCCTAGCAGGGCGTGGTGGCTCATGCCTGTAATCTCAGCACTGTGGGAGGCCGAGGTGGGTCGACTACCTGAGGTTAGGAGTTCGAGACCAGCCTGACCAACATGATGAAACGCTGTCTCTACTAAAAATACAAAAATTAGCTAGGCGTGGTGGCTGGGACCTGTAATCCCAGCTACTTGGGAGGCTGAGGCAGGAGAATCACTTGAACCCTGGAGGTGGAGGTTGCAGTGAGCAGAGATCTCACCATTACACTCCAGCCTGGGTGACAAGAGCAAAACTGCATCTCAAAAAAAAAAAAAAAAGGGGGTGAACTTGAAGGCAGGTCCTGTGTCCATCTTTTCAGATTCTGTATCCCAGCACTTAGGACATAGACAAACACGAAGATGACAATCAATATTTGCCAAAATGAAAAAACAAAAGAAACATGTAACATCATGTAAAAGAAGCTGGTTAGGTGGAGAAATTTATTTACCATAGTCTTGCTTGTGGATCCAGTAGTGACTTTTACAGTTTATATCTAAATAGAAGCTGGAGGCTTTGTTGGGGACTCATAGGCATAAAATATTATTTATTATAGAGTTAAATGCTACAAAGACAAATCTAATTAATAGGCCTATTTTCCTTTTTAAATTCTACTCATAATTTCTTCATAGTTTTTATGATAAAAGGTTGGATTTTGATTAGAACTCCCATGATTTTGTGTCAGAATTAAAACTGGTATTAGAATAAATAATTCAAAAGCTAGAGAAAGAGTACAAAGAGAAGCCATGCATTGCATTTGAATTATAATATTATGTCTTACAGATTTGGGGTATATGCTAAAGTTACCAAAGTTGTAGAAAATAAGGCCGGGCATTGTGGCTCACATCTGTAATTCCAGCACTTTGGGAGGCCGAGGTGGGCAGATCATTTGAGGTCAGGAGTTTGAGACCAGCCTGGCCAACATGGTGAAACTCCGTCTGTACTAATAGTACAAAAATTAGCCAGGCGTGATGGTGTGCACCTGTAGTCCTTGCTACTCAGAAAGCTGAGGCAGGAGAATCGCTTGTACCCAGGAGGCAGAGGTTGCAGTGAGCAGAGATTGTGCCACTGCACTCCAGCCTGGGTGACAGAGTGCTATGAGTCACCACACCTGGTATGAGCCACCGTGCCTGGCCCACAATGACTTTTACACATGTTGTTAAACCATCTTACAGATTTTATAATTTGGGGGAAGAAAAGTTTTACTAAATTGTCTTTTAATGGAACCTCTACAAGAACCAGAATCTTTGCTTTGTTCACTTATGTATCCATTCCTAGGCCTAGAAAAATGTCTGACACATAGCGGCAATTATTCATTGAATAAATGGACCCAGCGATAGTACATTAGCTATGCTATATGCATACATTAAAGATGTAGATTATCGACTTTCAAAAGATAATTAATGTAACTTCTTACTGCTTCTGAACATGTTTGTGAGTTATATTGCTGAGGGACCTTTATCTTCTCATTCTTTCATCTTAACCCAGTGTTATAAAATTGAAATCACCAATATTATTCCATATCTAAAATTAATATCTACCTTGTAAAAAATATCACTCTGCTGCATTTGAGAATAGACTTTTTAGGTAATAATGATGCAATCCATAGGGTTTTTTGGGGGCACAGAGGGATTCATGCTAACAGAACATTTTATTTTCTATTTTCCCAGAGCTGTAAAACATGAAATTACGGTAGTATAAGGCATATTTTTACTCTTTTTATAATTTTTTCTAAAAAAAAATTAGTGTTTGTTCCCTATATAACTTTTAACTTTATAGGTAAATATTTGTTTCTTTCAGCTCCAGTTTTATGTGAAATAGAGTTTTCAGATTTATGTAGCATGGAAAGTTTTAATACGTCAGAGTTACTGATTTTTGCCAATCATTTTCTCAATTATTTCTTTTTTATCTTTAGTTGATTTTTTTGTAGTGACACATTTTGTTTCTAGTCTCATTTCCTTTTGTTTATATTCTATATATATTTCATTTTTGGTTACTATGAGAATTACATATAACATCCTAGAGTTATAACATTTTAATTTGAATTTATTTCAACTTAAGTTCAATCACATACCAAAATTCTACTGCTATATATATAGCTCTACTCTTTTTATGTTATTGATGTGACAAATTATATCTTTATTCATTGTATACCAGCTAACAGATTTACAATTACATTTTATGCATTTGCCTTTTAAATTATGTAGAAAATAAAAAGCAGAGTTACAAACCAAAATTACAATAGGACTGTTTTTATGTTTGTTTATGTATTTACCTTTACCAGAGAGCTTTGTATATTCATACAGCTTGCTTATTTACTTACATAGTTATTGCCTAGAGTTCATTTATTTCAACCTGAAGGACTTAACACTTCCTGAATGTCAAATTCAGGGATAAATGGATTTTTTTCAGTTTTAAAAAAAAATCCGGAAATGTCTTAATTTCTCCTTCATTTTTGAAGGATAAGTTTTCCAGCTATATATTTCTCAATTGACAGGTTTCTTCATTATTTTAAATATATAATCCACTGCCTACTGGCCTTCAAGGTTTCTGCCGAGAAATCAGCTGCTAATGTTATCTGGATCCCTATCTGTGAGAGTTGCTCTTCTCTCTGAGTTTTCAACATTCTCCCATTATCTTTTTTTTGTTTGTTTTTGAGACAAATAATTGTACATATTCATGGGATACAGAGTGATATTTTGATACATGTATACAATGCCCAATGATCAAATAAGGATAATTAGCATATCCATCACCTCAAATATTTGTCATTTATTTGTATTGTGAACAGTCAACATTCTTTCTTCTAGTTTTTTAAATTTATAAACATTTAAATTTTATTACAGAAATTTAAATTTTTTGATTCTGAAAAAGTCATATATGTATGCAACATTTTTTATCATTTATTTATATATTTATGCATCTTTCCTTTTAGTTTTGACAGAGATTTTCTATTTTATCATTATTTCAAAAGAACTCTTACCTGTATTTATTTATCAAGTATATTTCCCTTGTTTTTTCCTAGTATATTAATTTATTTACTTATCTTCTAAAAATCCTCCATATAATCTGTTTATTTTGTTTCCTTTCTATAATTTCTTCAATAATTAGTTCTGTTCTATTTTCCATTAAAATATTTAAATCTTGTATGAATTTTTGTCAGATTAGAAATTTAGGGCGTTTCTTAATTTCTCTATACTCTAGCTTTTGACTTTTTTTTTCTGACCTAAGAGGTATTTAGAGCACATTTTAGATTTTTTATTTTGACTAATCATTTAAAATGTATACTAATCTTCAATTTAAATAAAAAACTGGTCTATAGTGACAAAAATTACAAATGAGCCTAACTAATAAATTATCAGCTGTGTTTATATGTATAAGCATGCACAGATTTTGGTAAATATGTACATAGTATATTGGTGAGCTTATTTTTATCATTCTTAACTCATTGTGTAGTCTAAACGTTGGGGAAAAAATAAAATACAATAATCAGATGGTGTGAATAAGAAAATTGTTCTAATGTTTGTAAACCAAGCAACTGTTTTAACTGCTCCCCTCTTCCTGATTGACTTCTAAAAGGGATTGATCCATATTGGGTCCTATCATATACGTCACGGTATAACATCTCCAGCTATAAAATGGAAATTTGAGAATAACTTTGCTGCTACTCAGATACATTTTATTTCAAAAACATACACTAAGGTGTTGCTGTTGGATCTTTCCAAAAACATATTCACACAGAACTTTCAATCACACTGAGCCATATTTGAACAATCTTTCAAGGTCAGCTCTGGCATAAGCTAACATTATACCATTTAACTCAGAAATTTCTTTAGTATTTGATTAATGGGTTTATGTTTGATATGTAATGTAATTTTCTAATGCTAAATCAAGTGGTAATTTTGTTAGTCAAGTTGATTTAGTGGCTTGGGAAGAAAGCTTTTAATGTTCCCCTAATTTTTCTTACCTTTGACATGATCCTTCACATGTCTTATTTTGCTTAGTGATTTTTCTTTTTTTTTTTTTTTTTTGAGACAGGGTCTTACTCTAC
The DNA here is from genome assembly GCF_000001405.40 of Homo sapiens. Classification (NCBI taxonomy): domain Eukaryota; kingdom Metazoa; phylum Chordata; class Mammalia; order Primates; family Hominidae; genus Homo; species Homo sapiens. The sequence continues at coordinate 138,290,646 of NC_000009.12, forward strand.
CACCCAGGCTTGAGTGCAGTGGTGCAATCACAGCTCATTGCAGCCTTGACCTCCCAGACTCAAGCTATTCTTCCACCTCAGCCTCCCAAGTAGCTGGTACTACAGGCACATGCCACCAAACTTGGCTAATTTTTGTAATTTTTGTAGAGACAGAGTTTTGCCAAATTCTCAGGCTGGTCTGGAATTTCTGGGCTCAAGTAATCCTGCCTTGGCCTCCCAACATGCTGATATTACAGACATAAGCCACAGTACCTGGCCAGTTTTCTTTTTAAAAAAATCTATTGGTTATTAATTTGAAGCCTTCCTTTTCATAGCTGTGCTCCTTAATTGGGAGCAAACATGAATGGACCACAACTTAGCCAATTTTCTATATACGATCTTTGCCATCCTAATTTAAAGGAATATTAATTCTTTCTTTTCCTCTTTCATTCCACAAACCTCTATTGACTACATCTAAGTTCTAAATGGTGCACTGGATGTTGAAAAAGTTGATGATGAGCAAGAACAAAATTCCTGCTTTCAGGAGACTTACAGTTCAATATGGGAAATATAATTTGTTAAAATATAAAAGTGCAATTGTGTTACATGCTGTACGAAGTACATGTTGACATGTGAGCATATAATAAATGGGCTGGAGGCCAGAGGATTGCCAAAGAGAATGGGCCTCCTGCTGAGATGAAAAGTTGAGCAGGGATTAGTTGGCGAAAGTGGAGGGACGATCCTTTCTAGGCAGGAGGAAGAACATGTACAGAATCTCTGAGGTGTGATGCGACAAAGTCTATATAAAAAACTGAAGAAAGGTCTAATGTGGCTTAAATACAGAAGCTAGTAGGAGAGGAGTTGAAAAGAGGCTGGAGAAGTAGAAAGTGTCTGCATTCTGCAGGAACTTATATTGTATAAAAAGAATTTCTCTTTATTCTAAGTGCAATGTGAAGCCAATGAAGTGCTTTAAACAGGTGATGTGATTTGATTGAATTTATTACTTCACTTAACAAATATTCATTACATGCCCACTGTTTGTCAGATATTGCTGTAGCCCCTGGTGATACAGTAGGGAATAAAACAGGCAAAAATCCCTGTCCTCTTGCAGCTTATAATGGACTGCAATGTTTAATATGTCAGAGGAGGTCCACGGAGGAGTGACTTCTAAGCAAGAATCTGAAAAAAATGAGGATATCTAAGGAGGGAACAAATGGTTCAAAAGCCCTATAATTGCAAGCAGGCATGATGAAGCAATTGCAGTTGTCCTGACTCTCAACACCGTGGAACTCAAAGGAGATGGAAAGATTCCTTCTCTCCCTCATATATTTTCTCTCTTTCTGTCTATATATATAGAATATGAGACATTTCCCTAATCATTATGTGTAATTACAATTACATATATATATGTAATTGTAATTACACATAATGATTAGGGAAATGTCTCATATTCTTCTACTCAGAAATAAGCAATATAGCAATTACTGTTTTTTACATTTTACAGTTACAGTTTCAGAGAAAGTTTGATATTTATCTAAAATTTTTCAATGTATGAACTTTTTCATTTGACAAACCATAATTGTACATATTCTTGGGATACAGAGTGATATTTTCTTTACATGTATAGAATGTGTAGTGATCAAATCAGGGTAATTTCCACTAATTTAAAATGCCACCTTTATGTTATTGTAATTTATATATATACTATATATATACACACACACATATATATATATACATGTCCACATACAGTGTGTGTGTGCACATGTACACACATGCATATGTGTATATAATGCCCAGTATAAGCAATGTGCACAAATAAAATTAGCTAACAGAGATAGTATAGAGTGAGAGGAGAGGCAGATTAATCTTTGAGGAAAAGCACAATTTTATAGCTGAATGGAGAAAGCTGAGGTGGTTTCTAAGATGGAGAATAAGACAAAAAATGTAAGTACGTTGTTTGACTGAATTCAAGAAAGAAGGGTAAAAGAGAAGAAAGTAGTGGTCTTATCATTAAATGCCACAGAGAGGTAAAGATAAAGACAACATATTGTTTTGGGTTTAGTAATTTAAGGGTGACCAAATTCCGTTTTGGAGGAGGAACAGATTCCATGTCCACTAGAATGGAATGAACAAGAAATGGAGGAGGAAAATAGGTAGTTTTTCAAAAGTTTTCAAAAATATGAAAAGAAGAAATGAAGTGGTACTTGGAAGAGATTGTTGAAATGGGAGAGACTATGGTGGCTTGTTTAGAAGCAGTTGAGATAGATCCAATTGAGATAGAGATATTGACTATATAAACAAAAGAATGACAAATTAATAGTGTAATGGATAACTTGACTTTGGCAAATATTGTGAATTTTTGTGAAAGTACAACTAAAAGGCAATGTCACTCCAATAATCACCAGAGTAATCAATTTGCTTATTGCTGTCCCTTTAAATATAGTTCTCTGGTATCAACTAACATGTTTTTAACTAATGATGCTTCTTAAAGAAAAGGGAAAAGACCTTTTTCTTTCTTTCAGTCTTCAATGATTCACTGCTTCATCTCGCTCCACCAAAGATAAATGAAATCTACATCTCTTATACATTAACAATGCATGACAATTTACAAATAGCTAAATTTTTGGAGCTAACTTTAAGTACCTGAATGGAATTTAATCAACCCACTAATCTCCTTCTCACTTCTCAGTTATTTATCAAGTTTATGTCAAGGGACAAGGAAAAATTATCCAAACATTGTTTAAAACAATCATCATTAATTAGTAACACTTATCCAGGGGGGTTTTTAACCTTTCCCCCACTCAAGGATTATTCTAATGTCAGAGTAGAATAAAAAATAAGTGCAGCGATGCTGACTCTTCCAAGCTTAACATTTCTCACAAGTCAATTAGCTTTGTACTGGGAGGAGGGCGTGAAGGGCTGCTTGCGGTAGTTGTGTAGCAGCAGCACAATGGCCGCAGACAAGGAAAACAGTTTCTAGGAATTCCTCGTATATAATTTTATATTTTTGACAAGATTAATGACCCATGCTCCCTTCCTCTCCATTTCTTTTTTTGGAATTCTGTTGGTATGTAGTTACTATATTTTATTAAAGGAAATTAGCCTTATCTCTTATTATATTTTATTAAAGAAAATTATTATATTATTCCTTTATATTTTTATTAAAGGATTTTATTATTATTAAAGGAAATTAGCCTTATCTCTTATTATATTTTTTATGACCTTCAAAGTAGTGTCTCTGCTTAAAAGTGTACCCTGGCTGGGCGTGGTGACTCACACCTGTAATTCCAGCACTTTGGGAGGCCGAGGCGGGTGGATCACGAGGTCAGGAGATGGAGACCATCCTGGCTAACACGGTGAAACCCCGTCTGTACTAAAAATACAAAAAATTAGCAGGGCATAGTGGCGGGCGCCTGTAGTCCCAGCTACTCAGGAGGCTCAGGCAGGAGAATGGCGTGAACCCGGGAGACGGAGCTTGCGGTGAGCTGAGATCGCACCGCTGCACTCCAGCCTGGGCGACAGAGCAAGACTCCGTCTCAAAAAAAAAAAAAAAGTGTACCCTGAAGCACACATCAAGCGACATGTAGAGTTCATAAATTCTGGCCAAATGGTCATACCTCAAACCTCATCAGCAGTAAGGCTCTTTACTTGCACTGACAAATATGAACGCTGGGGAATTTGGAAATGATATATAATATATAATATTTTTTTCTAGCTGATCCATATGAATTCCTCTTATTAAGAAAAATAAAACATCCAGGATTCAATGAAGAACTGACTATCACCTTGTTAATCATTCAGAAACATGTTGCAGGCTTAAGCCATTTTTGATATAGATACTGAAACAATTACTTGCTAAGAGCAAACTTCAAGGTATGGATAAGGCCCTGAGTCATCTTCCTGAGCTGAATGATAGTTAAGCTGAATGTACGTATAAAATATGATTTTCTAACCACTTGCTCGCCAACAAGGAAAACTTTTAAGTAGAGCAGAACCTGAATAGACAAGACATTTCTTTCTTTTGGTAGAAAATGATTTACCATCACTGTGTAGTTAATTGTAGACTAGGTAATTTTAACTTTGTGATTTATTGCCGGAGACATTTTCTTCTGTACTGTAAAGTGTGTGTCAAAAAAAAAATAGCGATTTTGGAGGATTAGGGGACTTTGATAAATTGCCTGCAATTCTGGCAGTATGAACTGCATATTAATTTCTCTCTTTCAAGAACATTTTTATTTATTAATTCCTTACAAAAACTCCCTAAACTTTGGAACAGCTCTCAATTGCCTGTATTCTTTTTTTTCTTATTATGGTACTCTTCTAGAGATTTGGCTTGCATCTGTGAATAAGCCAGGACATCTTCAGAAATTGTCTGATTAAAAACACCACCAATGGAGTTTCATTAAATTTGTATTGCTCTGACTAGTGAAACACACACATCTATGTTGCTGAGGATATTTTACTGCAGTTCGAGTTGTAATAATAGCTCTGTTTAAGATCCGTCAGTCACTTGAATCTTCTCTAAGGCTTTGTATGTTAGAAGTTAATTTGCTTTCTTACAAGGCCACATTCTATCTTGTAACTAAACAACTGAATTTTATGTCTTAGCGTAGATGGTTTATTACTTTCTGGTTTTTCTTTAGTAAGAATCCTATAAAAACACTAGTATTTTTCTCTGAGTTTAAAATTCAATACATGCCTACTGATATGGTTAGGCTTTGTATCCCCACCTGAATCTCGTCTTGAATTGTAATCCCCATAGCCCCCATAATCCCCACAGGTCAAGGGAGAGACCAGGTGGAGGTAATTGAATCATGGGGGCAGTTTCCCCTGTGCTGTTCTTGCGATAGTGAGTTCTCACGAGATTTGATGGTTTTATAAGGGATTCTTTCCCCTTTGCTCGGCACTTCTTCATGCTGCCTTGCGAAGAAGCTGGCTTGCTTCCTCTTTGTCTTCCGCCATGATTGTAGATTTCCTGAGGCCTCCCAAGCTGTGCTGAACTGTGAGCCAATTAAACTTCTTTCCTTTATAAATTACCCAGTCTTGGGCAGTTCTTTATAGCAGTATGAAAACAGAAAAATACACCTACTATGTAAAACTTAAAATACAAAAAAACAAAACATTATCTCACTAACATAGGAGCTAATATTTTGGTGTACTTTGTTTAGTATTTTATATTAAAAATATGTACATATATATTTATATATAATTAAGAACATGTATGTACAATCGTGCATACATCATGTACATACATCTACTTAAGAAAATAGCTGTGTAATATACCATTACTCAACTAGATTATAATTTTTTCTCCATTTCTTTATTGTAATTTATCATTTTCTACTTTTTTGTTTTCTCATTTTTATTGCATAATATTTAATTATGCAAAAAATACATTAAATACATTGAAAATATATAGTGTAGCTATAAGAATAAAGAACGATGGTAAAACAAATGCTAATACCCACTACCTGACTTAAAGAATATGATATTATTTTTTTCCAATTGAAATTCCCTCAACTACTCAGAATTACTGCTATCCCTCTTATCCTTTCATTAATTTTCTTCTAGTTTTCTCACATGTGAATCTATTTCTAAATACATTTCTTTATTTTGCAAGTTTTTGGACTTCATATAAATGTAACCATATTGTATATATTCTTCTTCAGCTTCTTAGTTTTTCACTAAACAATATGTTTTGCTGATACTTACATTCATATGTACAGTAATAGTTGATTTATTTTAATGGCTATATATTATTCCATTGTTAGAATACACCAGGATTTATTTTTACTTATTTTTTTTGCTGGAAAATTGGGTGTCTTTTTTATTTTTTGATATAACAAACAATGTTGTAATCATTTTGTATTTACTTCCTAGTCCACTCCTGTAAGTTTCTCTTGAGTACATACTAGCAATGAATATGCTGAGTCACTGCATATACATACTCACAACTTTATTCTATAATGTAATATTCTATAAAGTAGCTGTATCAGTTTATACTTTAACCAGTAATGGACAAGATTTTCTGTTACTTCCCATCTTTGTTAATTATTACTTTTAGACTCTAACTTTTATCAGGCTCATGGATGTAAAAAGCATCTCAGGGTGGTTTTAATTTGCATTTATCTGCTCATCTATGAAGATGAGCTTCTTTTCATATAATTATGAGTCATTATTTTTGTTTTGCCTTCTTTTGTTTATGCATTTTGCTTGTTCTATGTCTTATTTTTCCTGTTGATTTTTGGGAGTTCATATATATTCTAAATGTATATTTATTCACTTATATATATGTTGTAAATATTACAGTTTATGATTTGTCACCTTATGATATCATCCAAATAGAGAAGCTTTATATTTTGATGTAGTCATATGTTCATTTTTCCTCCTTAATGTTTGTTTTTCTTGGTTCTATGACCTACAAAAAGTAACAAAAATTCTCATTTATTTTTAATCTAAATGTTTTAAGTATTTTCCTGGAATTCACCTTGAATTGATTTCTATTGGAGATAGGTATCCAATCTAATTTGCCTCATATGGATAACCACTTGTTCTATTACTGCTGTAACAAATTTCTACAAACTAAGTGACCTAAAATAACACAAACTTGTCATCTTACAGTGTACACAAGTCAGAAATCAGGCATGAATTTTAGTGAACTAAAATCAAGTTGTCGACAGGCATGTTTCTTTATGGCGGCTAGGGTAGAATCCATATCCTGGCCTTTTCTATCTTCTAGAGAACATCAGCATTCCTTTTCTCATTGCCTCTCCTCTCTCTTTTTAAAGCTGGCAATGTCACATTTCTCTGACCATTCTTTCATTGTCACATCTCTCTCTGGACTCAGCTAAGAAAGGTTCTCCATTTTTAAGAACTCATGTGATTAGACTGGGCCCATCTGGGTAACCCAGGAAGATCTCTCCATCTCGGTTTGCATCCTTAATCACATCTGATAAGCCTTTATTGCATTCAGTGTAACATATTCACAGGTTCCAGGGTTAGGCATGGGCATCTTTGAGGGCCATTATTCTCCCTACCACATTATTTGCCTAGCATCTTTCATTACATTGTCCATCTATTTACTTACTGATTTCTAATGACATCCAAATCAGTTACAACATTTTATGTAAGCATTGTTTTTATTTTTATGTTATTCCACTAGTCTATTTTTCTACTCATCAATTATGGTACATGAGTTTATTTTTGCAACTTTAAGCTCAATAACATGTTTTAAGATTTCCTCAACTTTCTTTTTGCGCTTCTTCAGAAGTTGACTCTTTTGGCCCTTTGGTCTTCTATACACATTTTAGAAATGCTTTGTTGAGGACTAAGAGGAATGCTAAAATTTTGATAGGAATTTCATTGAATTTTGAGTATATTGGCATGCTACAATGGTTAGTGCTTTATACATGAAAATAATATATCCCTTCCTCTTTTCCTAGTATCATGAGATGTTTGTTAGGCAGACATGAATATTGAGTTGTATCAAATGTGGTTTTCTGCATTATTGTGGTGGTGATGTGATTTAGCTCCTTTAATTAGTTAATGTAATGAATTACATTTGTAGATTGCTCTAACTATTGAAACAAGCTTGAATTTCTGGAATAAGCCCAATGTGATATTTATTCAACAAATATTCATTGAGTATACCTAGTATGTAACATGCTTTAAGAATACACCAGTGAACCAAACAGAAATATCTGACATTACAGAACTTAACATTCCAGTATTTGGAGACAGACGATAAAAAAGTGAACATGTATATTTACAGTTTGTCAAGGAATGATAAATGAAGACTCTTAAAGTAGATGGGGAATTGGGAGTGAAGTCTGTAATTTAAATAGGGTGGGCAGGAAAGCTTCACAGAGAATGGGACATTTAAGAATAGACTTGAAGGACAGGCAAGAGCAATCTCTATGTTTATATGGGAGAAAAGGTTCCAGGCAGATGCAGTAACAATGGCAAATATCCTGAAGTAGGATCATGCTGGAGTTTTTGTGGAGCAGCAAGGAGGCTAGTGTGACTGCCACAGAATCACCCAAGGGAAGATGAGAAGATCAGACCAGACCAGCACTTGGGCATCTAATGGGAAAAGTTTCTCAAGCCATCATAAAAATTTCACTTTTACTATAAATACTATGAGAAACCATGGGATGTTTTACGGTAAGAAAGGTGGCATAATATGTTACATGTTTTAAACTCTATAGCTTCTGAGTTGATTGTAGGGGCTCCTGGCAGAAGCAGAGGGAACATTTAGGAGACTACTGTAAAGAATATCATGAAAAGAACAAACAACGCTATGTAACATGCTTAAATGGACTGAAGAAGATGTATAAAATCAAAATGATGTTACCTTCACACCTTGAATCAGTACGATAAACCCCCCTCCCCAATCACAAAAGAAAAACTAAACACAAAAACCAGGCTTTGGTTGCTCAGACAATTTTACAGGTGAGTTCTAGCAAACATGCAAAGAACGTTTAATTGCACTGTTACAGAAATTCTTCTGGAGACAAGAAAATAAGACACATCACCCAACCAATTTCATGATAACAATGTCAATGTATAATAACAGAAAAAGTGGATCTCCAAAGAAATAAATTTATTTGGAAATAAACAAGGATTATAATCTGAGATATTTGTGCTATGATCAATCATAGGTGCATCCCAAGAGGTTGAGGTAAGGAAAATATATAAAGACAAAAAGAAGTCCATGCAAGCTGTTTTGAAACAAACATCATTGGTCACAGGGTCTGATGCAGGAGCTGGTGTTAACTTACTGGCAGAAACAGCCATTGCTAGGCAAGTGTTCTTGTGAGGGTGGCTTATCTGAAATGCTGCAGTCTTGAGGAATTTTTTATGATAGGTCCTATTATAGAGACACCTACAGGATGAGCTGGACAAACAGAGTGTGCTGGGTGGGCAGAAATTTCTTGTGAGTTTATAGAAAGTCCTTGTGATAGTGCTTATCGTGGACACACACACAAGATCCCCTTTTTCATGACCCGGCTCCACTTTGCTTTGGGTCTGATGTAAGTGACTTTGCCTTGTCATTGGCAACTTTCACTGTAGTATAATCTGCACATTAAAGTTACCTAACAATAGTACAAAGAAAGAAAATTAAAGGTATATCTCTTTCAAAAATATAAACCCCAAAATTGTTAGGAAATTGTAGTGAGTATAAAAGATAATTCATTATAATAAACATCTCAAGCTTCACAGAATTCTGACCTTTGCTACACTCTCATCCACAATCTTTTCTCCTAGTAAATGGCAGCTCCTTCTGTTAAGTTGCTGAGGCTTCTTATTGCTTTTTTCTTCAAATAACAGTCAGAACTGAACAACTGTAATCATCCTAGTCCATACAATTGTTATATTTTCATTTAAAGAAGATCAATGTGTGATTCTTTTTTTATATATTTCTGGACAATTCTTTATATTTTAATAGTAGTCAGAATTTGATCAGGAAAACAGAAGACATCCTATGTATTATAATGATAAAAGTTTAATATTAATTAGGGCCTTATGCTATTATTGGAAGAGCTTGGTGAATAGATATTAGAAAAGCAGCTAGACAAAATCAGAAGAGGTCTGTTTTATATCAGAGATCTTAGCCTGACAGTCTAGAGAGTGGGCACAGAACCCAAGCTTATAGGAATTTCTGAAAGGTCTGTAAATCTTATCCAGATGGACAGTGGGAGCTCATAAAGGATTCTGCAAGCCATCACATCTGTCAAACCTGCTATGTCTAATCCTTAAGCCTGCTTTATGTGAAGACCTCCTCTTCACTCCTCATTTCCAGCTCTCATGAGTTTCTTTCATAGGCAAACCCAAACCTGGAACAATGTGCCTGAAGACTTCGGGTGACACAGTACCCAGACTTAAATAGGAGGGGAGCCATGGTGGAAGTGGCCATCCAGCACAATTTTCTTGGTCTTTACTCATAGTTTTGATTCCTTAAAAAAATTAACCACATTAAAATATGTGTTTCATAATCTACATCTAATAATACAAATATTTAAAGTCTTTTCAAGTTTGAATACGCTACCCATGTTGCTGCTACCCCCATTTTGTGTGTGTGATTTTTGTGTGTGTGTTAGAAGCTCATGACCTTTGAAACCTGCTCTTATGAGCTTGCTTTGATGATTTATTTGTCCAGAGAGGATTTTTTTTCCTACCTAGCATTTTGGACTGCTATCAACCTGAGACCACTTTGAATTAAATTCTCAGCTTGCAAATTTGGAAGCCACACAGATTGTGTGAGTTCAGGCTGAAACCTGTTTGAGAGCTGGATTCTGGCTATAAACTCCACAGGGAACATTTTCTCTCTCCACTCAGAGCTGAGACCATAGGGAAATTTATTTGCTAGCTCACTTTGAAGGTTTATTTTATTTATTTTTTAAATTTCTAGTACACGTGCTCACTGAAGGTGTAATACTTATGTGAGAATCTCAAAATCAGTTGTGTTCTTTGTATGACCCTGGTTTTGTTTCCTCCTGCTCTCTTACTTTCAGTGTGTCTCAGTATGTCTGCTCAATATGTCATCTTAAATTTCAACTGAGGGTGGATCTTCTTCCCAGCTCACTCACATGGTTCTTAGCTAGATTCAGTTTCTCTCCATTTGTAGGACTGAGGACCTCAGTTCTTCACTTAGGGTTGGCTACAGGTAATCATCAATTTCTTGTAACAGGACTTACACTGGGCCACTGACAGCATGCCGGTTGGCTTCATTCAAATGAGAGGGCAAGAGAAAGAGAGAGAGGGAGAGGGCACAAGATGAAATTCACAGTATCTTATAATCTAATCTCAGAAGTGGCATCTCATTTCTTTTGTTCTATTCTATTCAATAGAAACAAGTACCTGGGACCAGCTTACACTATAGGAAAGAGATTATATAAGGGTATAAATACCAAGAGGTAGAGATCATCAAGAGCCATTCTGGTAGCAGCCACAATATCTTATCCAGAATATTTCTTATTCAGGCCTTCAAATGTGCTGTCTTTTCTGGTCTAATGGAAATGAACCTTCCTTCCATACAATTTCTTCTCCTAAATTGTACTCTGGCTCTCTTATCATATACAAACTTCTATGTTAGGTATTTGTGTCTGTCTTGATTCTTGGTAGGCTTTTAAACTCTGTGAATGTTGGACTGTGATGTAGACATCATTTCACCGCACACTCTGTAACCACCAAACCTTAGCAGCTTATTCAGTAAGCACATACTTGGCTCTTAATGAGTATTGCTTAAATTGATGAATTGAATTAGTATTTTACCTTCTCTGTTGCTTAGCTAAGCAGAAGAATTTGTCATTTTTTTAATTTAGTGACTGGTTCTATTAAAAGTTACCTTTGTCTATATCATTTTGTTATACTAAAGCACAAATGTATAAGGTCAAAAAACATTCTCAAGATTTTGTTTAAACCACAGCCCTCAGTTGTGTATATTTATCTCTTGTTTTCATATGCAAGATTTCTCCTGAAATGGGCAACAATTACAAGAGTTTTTTTCCTCTTCTGAACTAAGAAAATAAATATTTAATTCACAAGTTTAGAAAAGTGAACCTGAAAAATCACAGGGCTAGGTGGGTTATGAGGCCCACTGGTACATGATAGTGTTGAATGTGGATTAGAATGAACTCCGTGGATTAGAATCTCAGACCATAGGCAAACATTTACTTGTTTTAGAATAAGCACATTTGAGTCTGCAATAAGTATTACTGTTTTTAAGTTGAAAATGTAATTGGTTTCTAATAATAACCATATTGGCTAGCATTATTTCAATCGTGTTTAATGTTTTCCAATGTCATTTCATGTCAGATATCTCTCTTGATTCTTAGTAACAATTTGGACAAGACAGCAAATGCTATTGTCCAAGTTTTCTAAAGAAGAATCTGAAGTGAAATGACATCAAGAGACCTATCAAGACCTGTATCCAGGAAAAGGTAAATCTGAGCTGAAATTGTAGCCCTTGTAAATTACCTACGTGACATACCAGATAGTGTTCATGATCCATTCAGTACTCTGTTCTAAAAATGAGACAATATCCATTTATTCACTTGTTCATTTATTTAGTGTTTGTTCAGCCCTTACTGCATATTCCAGGCACTATTCTGACTGTGGCAGGAGTGAACAAACAGGCATGGTTCTTACTTGCATGTAATTACAGTCTTATAGTGAAAACAAGTGTTAAACAACAAAATCTCCCAATTATTTTAAAATTATAAACTTGATTCGATACTATGTGGCCATATAATTGTTCCTAATTTGGTTGGAGAAGGGAGGCAGTTAGGGAAGCCTTCCCTGAGTTAGTGCCATTTAACCTGAATTATGATAGATGATAAGTAATTTGTCAGGGGAAAAATACTCCAGGAATAAAGAACAGGTACAAAGGTCAGGTTCTGGGAAGAGCTTGTCTTGGTCCAGGAGCTAAAAAATGTTAGAGTGGCTGGATCTGGGAAAGAGACAAAGAGTTATTAAATGAGGCAGCAGGCTTCAGCAGGTGCCACATTGCTCAGGGCCTTGTAGGCCATGCTAAGGATTTGGGATGTTAATGTCAGTACAAACAATTGAGTCATAAGCAGAAAGTAAAAGCATGATTCCATCAAATGTTATTCTCTAAACAGTAATTTTATAAATACAGGTTAAATGTGTGTGGTCCCAGCTACTCAGGAGGTCCCAGCTACTCAGTATTCCTTTTCAACAAATATTAGGTGCCTACTATTGGCCAGGTACAGCCCTTAGCTACTTTGAATGAAGCATATATTACAAACTGGCAGAATTTCTTAAACAAAGAATCTAAAGTTGTTTATACACCATAATCTCGGTATTTTATAAATTTCTTGAAATTATTTTTATGTACACTGCTTTGCAGAATTTTAACTGGCTTTGAAATAAACAATGACAATAGTCCTCCATGTTACTAGTTTCAAATTTTCCCAATACCTACTAAGACATTACTTAATCCACAGATTTACTGTCAATAGTTTGTATCAAATTGTGATAACATATTTGAAATTAATATTTCAAATTAAAGCAAAATCACAAATTTATACTTTATATTATGAATGAGATTCACAAAAGGAGCATGATAATATATTCTGTTGTCATCACATACAAAATAATAACATAGAGTATGAATCAATAATTTTTCAAATACAAAGCTATTACAATTAGGAATACAAAGAAATCATAATTAGGAATACTTCTACAATATTAACACACAATAGTGGTAACACTTGCAAAATGATGGTGGTGGTTTTTTTTTTTTTTTTTTCCCCGACAGAGTCTTGCTCTTGTTGCCCAGGCTGGAGTGCAATGGCGTGATTTTGGCTCACTGTAAACTCCACCTCCTGGGTTCAAGCGATTCTCCTGCCTCAGCCTCCCTAGTAGCTGGTATTACAGGTGCCTGCCACCACACCCAGCTAATTTTTGTATTTTTAGTAGAGATGGGGGTTTCACCATGTTGGCCAGCCTGGTCCCGAACTCCTGACCTTAGGTGTTCCACCAGCATCGGCCTCCCAAAGTGCTGGGATTACAGGTGTGAGCCACTGCGTCCAGCCAGTCGTGGGTCTCATATCTCAATGTGGACTTTTACTAACTCCCGATGCCTCATTTTCCTCATCAGTTGAAAGGAATGAATGAAAGATTTGTGTTTTTCATATTACCAGGTAGATGATAAGGAGATTTTAATTTTCTTTTTTTTTAACTTTTATTTTAAGTTTAGGGGCATTTGTTACATAGGTAAACTGGTGTCACAGGGGGTTATTGTACAGATTATTTCATCACCCAGGTATTAAACCTAGTACCCAATAGTTATCTTTTCTGCTTCTCTTCCTTTTCTCACCCTCCACCCTCAAGTAGACCCCAGGGTCTGTTTTATTCTTTGTGTTCATTAGTTCTCATCATTTAGCTCCCACTTATAACTGAGAGTATGCTGTATTTGGTTTTCTGTTCCTGCATTAGTTTGCTAAGGATAATAGAAGGTCCATCCACATTCCAGCAAAAGACATGATATCATTTTTTAATGGCGGCATAGTATTCCATGGTGTATATGTACAGCCTGCATATAAACTGTGGGCTAAAGACCTTCACCAGAGCAGTCTGACAGAACCTCTCTGAAAGACTTCTCCTAGGCTGTAATCCTCAGTCTCTTGTTCTCAGACCCCTAAATAAATCTAACTTTAATTTCTTAAAAGCTTAATTTTTTTCTTTAGTTGACACCAAAAATCTCCCCAGCCAGATCCACAAACTTTTTCGGTATTTTTCCTATATTTTATATCATTCCAGGCAAGCGTTTTCTAACTCTCCCATCAGAATACGACTTTGGTGCGTTTTCCTCAGCCTCCACTGATGATTTTTTCTCATTATCCTTAAAGCCCTTTCCAGTAGACTTCTTAAGCTCTTTCAAGTTTTCAGTCTCCTTAAGGACCATTCAGTGTTTACTGTCAGTTCCCAGAATGCTTTTACAGGTTTTGCTATCATTTTCCTTGAAGTCTGTTCACTTTTCACTAACAGTCTTTGTGAAATCCTTCTGGCTTCTATCCATTGTCTGATTCCAAAGCCAATGCCACATAGTTTAAGTTTATATTATATTAGAGTGACATCTTATTCCACGTACCACAAACCACCTCAAAACTTCGCAGCTTAAAACAACAAACTTAAAAAAAATTGTGGACTTGTATTAGTGCAAGCAGGGCTTAGCTACATGATTCTGCTCCATGTGGTATTAACTGTAGCCATCTGTGGTATTCAGCTGGCAGCTGGGTAGTCTGGAGAGTTGAAGGTGGCTTCAGTGATGTGCCTGTTTTATTAGTGGATTGGATGAAATGTTGTGGTAAGGTGGGCCTCTCTTGCTCTCCGTGTAGTTTGAGAGCCTGTCTACATGATCTATTCAGCAGCAATATGGTTTGGCTGTGTCCCCACCCAAATCTCATCTTGAATTGTAGCTCCCATAATTTCCGTGTCTTGTGGGAGGGATCCAACGGGAGATAACTGAATCACAGGAGTATTTCCCCCACACTGTTCTCGTGGTCTTGAATAAGTCTCACAAGAGCTGATGATTTTATAAGGGGGTTCCCCTTTCACTTAGCTCTCATTCTGTCTTGTCTGCCATCATGTAGAGACGTGCCTTTTGCCTTCCACCATGGTTGTGAGGCCTCCCCATCCACCTGGAAATGTGAGTCCATTAAGTGTCTTTTTCTTTATAAATCACTCAGTCTCAGGTATGTCTTTATCAGCAGCATGAAAACAGACTAATACAGTACATTGGTACTGGTAGAGTGGGGTGCTGTTGTAAAGATAACCCAAAAATGTGGAAGCGACTTTGGAACTGGGTAACAGGCAGGGGTTGAAACAGTTTGGAGGGCTCAGAAAACGACAGGAAAATGTGGGAAAGTTTGGAACTTCCTAGAGACTTGTTGAATGGCTTTGACTAAAATGTCAAATAATGATATAGACAATGAAATCCAGGCTGAGATGGTCTCAGATGGAGATGAGGAACTCACTGGGAACTGCAGTAAAGGTGTCTCTTGCTATCGAGAGAGACTGGCAGCATTTTGTCCCTGCCCTAGAGATTTGTGGAACTTTGAACTTGAGGGAGATGAGTTAGGGTATCTGGCAGAAGAAATTTCTAAGCAGCAAAGCATTCAAGAGTGACTTGGGTGTGTTAAAAGCACTCAGTTTTAACAGGAAAACAGAGCATAAACGTTCAGAAAATTTGTAGCATGACACTGTGATAGAAAAGAAAAATCCATTTTCTGAGGAGAAATTCAAGCTGGCTGCAGAAATTTGCATAAGTAACAAGGAGCCAAATGTTAATCGCTAAGTCTTCAGGCCATGTCAGAGATCTTTGTGGCAGCCCCTTCCATCACACACCCAGAGGCCTAGGAGGAAAAAATGGTTTCATAGGCTGGGCCCAGGGCCCCTCTGCTGTTTGCCTGTGTACAGCCTAGGGACTTGGTGCTCTGTGTCCCAGCTGCTCCAGCCACAGCTAAAAGGGGTCAAGGTACAGCTCAGGCCATGGCTTCAGAGGGTGCAAGCCTCAAGCTTTGGCAGCTTCCATGTGGTGTTGAGCCTGTGGATTCACGGAAGTCCAGAATCGAGGTATGGGAACCTCCACCTAGATTTCAGAGAATGTATGGAAATGCCTGGATCTCCAGACAGAAGTTTGCTGCAGGGGTGAGGTCTTCATGGAGAACCTCTGCTAAGGCAGTGGGGAATGGAAATGTGGGGTTGAAGCCCCCAACACAGAGTCCCCACTAGGGTACTGCCTAGTGGAGCTATGAGAAGAGGGCTGCTGTCCTCCAGACCCCGGAATGGTAGATCCACTGACAGCTTGCACTGTGTGCCTGGAAAAGCTGCATACAATGCCAGCCTGTGAAAGCAACCGGGAGGAAGGCTCTCCCCTGCAAAACCACAGGGGTGGAGCTGCCTGAGACCATGGGAACCCACCACTTGCATGAGTATGACCTGGATGTGAGACATAGAGTCAAAGGAGATCATTTTGGAGCTTTAAGATTTGACTGTCCCACTGGATTTCGGACTTGCTTGGAGCCTTTAGTCCCTTTGTTTTGGGTAAATTTTACCATTTGGAACGGCTGCATTTACCCAATGCCTGTACTCCTATCTTATCTAGAAAATAACTAAATTGCTTTTGATTTTACAGGTTTATATGTGGAAGAGACTTGCCCTGTCTCAGGTGAGACTTTGGACTGCCAACTTTTGAGTTAATGCTGAAGTGAGTTAAGACTTTTGGGGACTATTGGGAAGGCATGATTGGTTTTGAAATGTGAGGACATGAGATTTGGGAGGTGCCAGAGGCAGAATGAGGTGGTTTGGCTGTGTCCTTTCCCAAATCTCATCTTGAATTGTAGCTCCCATAATTCCCATGTGTTGTGGAGGGACCTGGTGAGAGATAATTGAATGATGGGGTGGCTCCCCCATACTGTTCTTATGGTCGTGAATAAGTCTCATGAGAGCTGATGACTTTACAAGGGGCTTCCCCTTTCACTCAGCTCTCATTGTCTCTTGTCTGCTCCCATGTAATGCATACTTTTCACCTTCTGCCATGATTGTGAGGCCTCCCCATCCACATGGAACTGTGATTCCATGAAACTCTTTTTATTCATAAATTACCCGGTCTTGGATATGTCTTTATCAGCAGCATGAAAATGGACTAATGCAAGCAGAATAAGCAGAATTCTTCGATACTGACTCAGCACCCCACACACGTTGGTTCCAAGATGTAGAAACGGAAGCTTCAAGGCTTTTAACATCTGGACATCAAAACTGGAAGTTTTACTTTCACTGTATTTTATTGGTCAAAGCAGTCAAAGAGCCCACCCAGGTTCAAGGAGAAAGAATATGTCCCCACGTTTTCAACAGGATGGTGCCACAAAATTTCTAGTCATCTTAATTCACCACAGATAGAAATATGAAGAGCTCATTTGTTATGTTATTTGTGAATGCAGACTAAAGATATTTGTTGGTTTATATAGTAGTGGGAAAATGAGAACTTTTAAAATATTCAACTTTTAGCCCTTGACATGCAAAATGAGTTCATTACATGGTAAGGATGAGGGAGAAAGAAAAGATCTGAAAAAGTAGAAGAGTGATGGATTCAGAAAGCATAGGATGATTGTCAGTGTGATTGTTTTATCTAGCCACATATAGCTGTGTGGTATCAAGATGTAGAAGGCAGAGAGTAGGATTTATCAGGATTGTTGTTTGGAAGAGTGAGTACAATCATTACGAGGGAGCAAGGTATTGATCATGGAATATAAAGTGGGAAAAGAGGTAAGGTAAGAAGGATATCAGTAAAGTGAATGACAGCATAAATATGGTAGAACCATTGGATTGGTGGCTCTGGAGGAATTGAATAATTATTAGACTTGAAGCATTAGATGGTGCACTAGTGAGGGCATCTCCAACTAAGTCTACCATCAAGTCATGGTGATTTATTATCTCAAATATATGACAAATTTATCTACTTATTTCCAAAACTCCCATATCTAGTTTAAGTAATCAAATTTCTTGCCTTGGCAAGCATGTTGCTTTGTAATTGACTCACCTGTATCCAATTTGAATTCCTTAAAATCCATTCTATACATTGTAACCATAGTGATATTTACAAATGTGAAATCTGGTCAAATCATTCTTCTGCTTAGTAGTCTTGGATTTCTCATTCTCTTAGGAAGCATCTTCCACTACTTATTTCAGCATTATCTGCACAATGCTTCCCCTCACTTCCTCACAATGTGGTTTCAGGCACAACTCCCAAGGCCCCACTCTGGCCTCGGGGAGCAGATTGTTCCCCCTGCAGGAAAACCTTTGTTCTCCACTCAGTTAACTGCTGTTTACCCTTTAGATCTCAGCTTCAGTGTTGCTTTCTTAGGGGAAACTTCTCTGACTCACATCAAATCCCTCTCTTATAGTAATTTTCATTGTATTTCAGAGTAATTTTTATGGTTGCAATTTTACATTTGTGTGATTGTTTGATTAATCTCTGTCTCCTCCACGAAAACTCCAAGATGCAGGAACTATATCTTACTGGCATTCAGCACAATACCTGGCACATAGGTGTTCAAAAAATACTAATAGGGTAAATAAATGAATTAATTTTATGCTTTTATTTTAATATTTTCATGGTATTAATATCTCTCTATGTGATATTTTGTATGTACCTATTTTCTTTTAATTTGAAGATTTATAGTTTAGTTATGTGCTGTATAAATTATAT
Source organism: Homo sapiens (assembly GCF_000001405.40). NCBI lineage: Eukaryota > Metazoa > Chordata > Mammalia > Primates > Hominidae > Homo > Homo sapiens. Next base: position 138,309,364 of record NC_000009.12, read on the forward strand.
TTAGTTCTTTAATTTTTGTGTTATTTCCAAGGGTGCTCTCCATTGACTCTTTTAATATAGTTCCACTTTACCCCTTAAACCCACTTTCCTCTCCCACCTTCGTCATTCAACTTTATTTGATTTTGTTATTTTTAATTTTTCTAATAATGACCTTTATCTTTTAAAATAATATTTAATCACCCATAACATAATTTGTTGATTCTCTCCCACTGTGAAAGTTGAATGGACCAGAATATATTTCTACTATCTTTCTCTTCTTATTTTTGTTATGAATATAATTAGTCTTTATACAGTTATGGTTTGTAACATTTGCATTCTGTTCTTTAACCGCAAACCCCAGAACATTTTGATATTAGGCTTCAGAATGCTCACTTGTATCATGTTATCTCTATTCATTTTTAGTGGATAGTTTTCTTTTTTAAGTTTTTCTGATAGAGATGGGGTCTTGCTATGTTGCCCAGGCTGGTCTTATCTTGAACTCCTGGGCTCAAGTGATTCTCCTGCCTTGGCCTTTCAAAGTGTTGGGACTGTAGGTGTTAGCCCCTGCGCCTGGCCTCTAATAGTTGTCTTCATTAAAGCCTCATGGGGACTCTATTTTTTTTTTTTTTTTGTGGGTTGTTTATTTTGTGTTTGTGAAGTCCGGTAAATTCAGTTGCATCTGCCTTGATGTGGTCATACTATAACACATTTTTTCTGGATAAAGATAAGCCCTTTAACCATTAGATTCAATGTTTTCTTCATTTCAGAAAAGTTTTCTTTTATCTTTGAATTTTTTAACCAGATATTGTGAGCTCTTTCACACTAATTTCTCATTTGTTGGACCTGACTTTAATGTTACATTTCACCTTCTTGTGTTTTCTATTTCGTTTTGCTCAGGATATATTTAAGCCTGTCATTTATATTCTTATCTGTGTTTTTAGCAGCATTATTCTCTCCACTTCCCACTTTTTTTCCTGCTTTTATTGATCTTCATTTCTTTCATGGTTGTCTTTACTCATTACATCCTGAATTTTGCCAGATTATTTTTTATCACTTTATTTTGTATTTATTTTCAATTATGTCTTCTAAATATCATTTCAGAGAGAAAACATTTTAGAGAAGGCATATTTTTAAAAAACATAGAAAATTTGATCCTGTTTTTTACTGCTTCATGGTATAATTTGTATGTTCTGTACCTTATGTAATTTTCCCTTTTTCTTCTAGTATTTTTATAAAGGTCATCAAGTTTTATTTTTGTAATACAATTATTATAAATAATTATATAATATTATTAGTCTTTGAATATTCTAGATACTTGTGAAAGGATATTGTGGAGGAGGAGCTGGGGGTAGTAAGTATGATGGAAGGCAGACGAGTTTTGGAATCTTGTCTCCAAAACACTCTCATCTGTTAGAATGACTCCTAGGCTATAGGATTGACTATGGCTTAGAGTGGATTCATAGTTGTTAATTTCGTCATGTGACTTGTGACTTATCCTTTTCTTTTCATAATAGAATGAAAATTGCCATCTGTCTGGCTTCTTCCCCATCTTTTTGCCTTCTTTCATTACACCACACACGTGTCCTAATTATTCCAAAGGTGATACATTTGCATGTTTCCCTTTAAACTCCTTTCCCTCTGTCACTCTGTGGAGGGTTCACATGCTGCAATATTTCTGTTCCAAGTAAAGATCACAGGTTTTGATCCTCAGTCCTCAGTATACACACCTCTTTTAGGGATTTCTGGGCTTCTTGACTAGCTCAAGCTCTTCAGAGGCATGCACTTTATCTTGGTGTTCAGTCTTGACTGGTTTAAACTTTTGATGTCCAGAAGGTTTTCTTCATGTGTTGTTGTGTGGAATTGTAAATATTTTCTAGCTTTTGTAAGGTTGTGGCTCATATTTATATTTCTCCTGGTTTGAAAGAAGAGAGAGAAAGAAGTATGTCAAATTGAGACTCTTAGATTGGAAATCTGAATTTATTTACACGATTGAGATTGATCTAGAGTTTTATTTTTTCTGCTGTAACTGAAATTTGGATTCAAGATTATATGTGTTTTGTGAATTTGTTTGGTAACATTGTGACTTTTCTATAATTTAGGGAAGTTTGATGTAGGAGAAAGAGAAAAAATTTTTGAGAGAATCCTAAATTCATATATGGCCTAACCTTTTAATATCTATGTAATTTTAGATAATAAATAATTTGTTTGAGATTATGTGGCTCTAACAACACCTGCTTCACAGTGTAATTATGAGGATTTCATAGAATTTGTATAGTGAGCGTTAGTTTTGATGTTACTTTAAACCTCTTTGCCTTATACATTCTATTTTTTCCATGGAACATTATATGATTTCATGTCCACATATTAATCTCATACTTTCAATTACATTTTATGTTTAAATTGAATATTATGGTAATCGTTATGCAAATGATTAAAAATTTAAAGGGACAACATTTAATGTTGCTCTGGAATTCACCTTTAGTCATAAAATAAAGATTTAAAGTATCATCTGTAGACAATGGCAAAAGCCCTTTTTTGTCATAAGAAAATCAAATATGCTTTATTTCACCCAATTAACATGGCTATCCCGGGAAAACCAAAATGACCATAGGCGGTAATTCCCCAGGCCGTGTGATCTCAGTCTGGCATTCTCGGATCTCCAAGGCATCACTTTGGCCACTACCCTCTGGGGCTGTGATTAGCAGCTCTCTTCCTGTTTTATGCAGCTCTGTGTGTATGTCTGCAGTGATGCCGTACTGGATCTGGTTCATCTTGTGAGAACTATACCTATCTGAATTTTTGATGATGCTCTTTTCTTAGTTCCCTTGGCAAAACAGGTAGGTGAGGGATAGAAATAAAATCTATACTTAGTAAATCGGTGAGCCAAGGTCTGTGACTGGCAATGAGTGAATTACATTCTCCTCAGTTGGGTGCAATGTCTGCCTTCTGTGTGGCCATTTGCTGTTGCCACTAGAGAAGGAGGATGCAGCAGGGATCAGGCGCCGTGGAGAAAAGTCGCCGTGTGTAGGCAGCTAAGAATGTAGGAAAATGAACATCTCGGCTCCCAAAGGACGAGAATAAAGCTGTAGAAGAATGTCAGGGAGGAATCTGAGTTGATCGTATGACTATTCATCCTTCTTCCCACATTTTCCCGACTGTTTAGCCCTACTTTTCTTCGCGTTGGGTCTCATTTTCCTTCCTGTGTGGCCTGTGCCTTATGGTCAGCGCGGACGTCCATCAGTCTATCAAATGCCTAGAAACCTTTCGCCCTTTGTCACCTTCTGTGTCACCCAGCATTCCCCTTCTCAGCCCTTTTCATTCTCATGGTGGAATCCTTTTGGTTTGATTTCAAGGGTCCAGCACTGTTGATGTCACAACAGAGTGGCATGGAAAGTTTCTGAAAATTTTGTCATCTAACCTCTCGTGGGGACTTTTAATTAATTCAGCTTTTGACAACTCCATCACATTCATTATATTATCCATTCATTCATTCATTAATACATTTGACATTTATAATGTGTGCCAACAATGTGCCAGGTCAAAACTGCCCACTTACAATGTAGAACATTTCTGTAAATTTTATTTCAATTTTCTTGTATTTCTTCTCCTTTATTCTACCATCCCACTTGATCTTCTGCCACAGAAGTTCTCTTCTCTCTCTCTTTGTTCTCTCTTCTCCTCCTTTATTCTTGATACCTGCTTCTGTGTTGGCTCCTTGAGGCCAGCACTTGTCCTCCTACCTCTGTGATGTTCTGTCTAGTTTATTGATTCCTTTTCCTACTTTACATAATCAATGTGGATAGTTTCTATAGTTGGGTCTTTGCTTTTTAATCTTTTTTTCCTGTGTATTATTTCCTTCAGGGACCTTATGCACTCTTACACATCCGTCTATTATTTTTATATGGATTACTATACAATTACATGTTGAATTTGTACTTTTCCCCCATATATCCTGTCATATGTTTTCACCTGAGCATCTCAATATCTAATACTCTTATTTGCTTAAAATACACGTGATTATTTTCTCCACCCTGACATATTTTATGTTCAACTTTCTAATTTCTAAAAATGGACCTACCATTGTCCTATTTATTCTTGCTTAAATCTTGATATTTTCTTTGAGTTCATGCTCCTTCGTATTCACTCCAGCTGTGATAAGTCACCAATCCTTTGGGTTTTTACTTACCAGTATTTCTATTTCTGTTTCTATAGCCTTAAAGCTGGAACTGTGGGCCGGGCGCGGTGGCTCACGCCTGTAATCCCAGCACTTTGGGAGGCCGAGGCAGGTGGATCATGAGGTCAGGAGATCGAGACCATCCTGGCTAACAAGGTGAAACCCCGTCTCTACTAAAAATACAAAAAATTAGCCGGGCGCAGTGGCGGGCGCCTGTAGTCCCAGCTACTCGGGAGGCTGAGGCAGGAGAATGGCGTGAACCCGGGAGGCAGAGCTTGCAGTGAGCTGAGATTGCGCCACTGCACTCCAGCCTGGGCGACAGAGCGAGACTCCGTCTCAAAAAAAAAAAAAAGCTGGAACTGTGTAGTCCCAGTTCCTCTGTGTAGCCCCCCAAGTCTGCTCTATTTCAATCTTCTCTTAAGGGAACTCCTTCCCTCCGTTTTTCTTTTCCTCCATTTGATACATCACACTTATAGATAGGGCATCTTCCCTAATTATTGGCTTCATCCTCAATTCCCGGGACCCATACCTTCACTGGCTTCCTAAATTTATTTAATAATTCTCATATACCTTTGAGAAGTTTCTAATGATAGGCAACAAATGAATATTGACTACCTTTCTTATTTTCCTTTATTCACCAAAATGATTTTTAGGATGTAGACAATCTGTATGCTTCAACATACACCAAACTTACCATTTTTGAAATATTTTACAATCTACTTGAAAAGACTTCTTTAGACCCTATATTCATGTATTGTAATATTTATCCTCTTTTATGGCTATACTCAAATGCCACATCACTATAGTGCCTTCCCTCATCACTGTAGCTATCTCTTTTCACTCTACTTATATTGTAGAGGATTTGTTACACTTCTTGAACTGCTGATCTCAAGCGATTTGCTTGCTTTGGCCTCCCAAAGTGCTGGGCTGACAGGCGTGAGCCACTGCACCTGGCCTGATTTGTTCCACTTCTACTATATGCATCACACATGCCTGATGCATATTTTAATGCACGTTGGATAAGGATCGGCTTTGTACAACTTCAGTCTTTCTTGATGTGTGACACCCACTTCTATTTTGGCTCCACTTTAACAAAATGAATAAGTGAGAAGGTAATACTGGAAACAGAACATAACTGTGACTAGGAATTTGGTCTTGACTCGCCATTTAATTTTCTGATGTGCATGACTGTTTTCTTCACATGTGAAATTTAACATGAGGTTGAAACTGGAGAATTTTATATTTTTCATGAAAAAGGCAATTTGGGAGAAAAGTCCATTTTCCTGAGGATAAGGTATTGTATGGTTTGACTGCTTTGCCTTGGCTGGTCAACACATTTGTACACCTGGATAGGCACAGTTTTCAGAAATCCTTTCAAGCATCTACCAATTCTCCTGTCTACAAGTTTACCTTCCTCCCATTTCTCATTCCTAATGACAAGGGAAATATCCAGTGTTATCTGAAGTGGTCATAAAAGACATTTTTTTTCTTTTTATGTGAGGAATTGAAACTTATGGCTTTAGATTATGGGGCTTACCATCAAGGAAAGGGTGTAGCGTGGTCAGAGGACAAAACTTCTTCCTGCATTTCTCAGGAAGTCTTTGATTAGTGTGTCCACCTAGGAGCAATTTTTTTTGGGGGGGGCACTGGGAAATATACTTAAGTGATTAAATCCAAGTGTAGACATGAGAGCTTTACCTAAAGCCAGGTCTAATTACCATACCTGAGAATCAGGGAGTATTTAAAATTTGAGAAATAATTTTCTATACTTGAAAGTCACTTATGTAGGTAGGCCTCAGATTATAATAAATAACGTTTATTGTGCTATACTGTGTGGTAGGTATGAGGTTAAGTATTTTTACCTATATTATATCACTTATTTCTTACAAATGGAGCAAGGGAGCAAGCAAGCAAGGGAGGTATTATTATCCCTATTTTATGTATTTATGTATTTATTTTTGATTTCTATTCTTTTGGTTTTTTTGTTGTTTTTTATTGATGTATCATAGTTGTACATGTTTTGGGGTACATGTGATATTTTTGATACATGTATACAATGTGTAATGATCAAATCAGAGTAATTTGGATATTCATCACCTCGAATATTTATCTTTTCTTTGTGTTGGGAACATTATAATTTTTCTCTGCTAGCTATTTTAGAATATATAATAAATTATTGTTCCCTATGATTTCTCCATTGTATAATTGAATACTAAAATTTATTATGTCTATCTACATATCCCCAGTTCAATAACTATAATTTCTCTGCTGTGCAATCAAATACTAGAACTTCTTCCTTCGAACGCTATATCCCTAATTCAATAACAAGTAAACTGAAGCTCAGCATGGTCTAGGAACTTTGTTACATTAACACAGCAAGTGAGTGTTGCAGCCTGGATCCAAAAATCAGGCCTGGTCGACCTCAAAGTCCAGATTATTGACCTTTCTACCATAATGTATGGAGGTAAGTTTGTGAATTTATTCAAAAATCAGGCCTGGTCAAACTCAAAGTCCAAATTATTAACCTTTCTACCATAATGTATGGAGCTAAGTTTGTGAATTTTCATAGTTTTAGGATTTGAAGATAAAAGAGGTGAAAATTTGGAAATGGTTTCTGGACTTTTGAATTTTGGCAAACAGCTATGTGATAAGTCCACCCTGCAGACCCACAACTTTTGGAAATAACTCTACTGTGATCTTCAGTAGCAGAAGCTGCTCCTGGGGTGGTAGAACACAAGGAAAACACACACTAGTAAAAATTTCATGTGCCTTCTTTGTTCTGTACATGTGTTTCTCTTGATTAGTATATGGTAGTATCCTCAAATCATAGTAACAAGTATACTTTTTCCAGTGAATTGCATGTGTATATTATTGTATAGTATAAAAGGCAATATTTCCATTTATTATCATCTGTGCTTTTCAAAGAAACTCTGTGAGTCCAACAGGGCGATAATAGAAGCAACTGCCCTTTCTCTCCCCCTTTAAATGCAACCCAATGTCAAAGTCCGTAGCATCCCCAAATGAGTGTATTAAAGGTGAGAAATTCCCAAAGTCAAACTCAGTAGCATCCTTGAATGAGTGTATTAAAGGTGATAAATTTATTTTATTTATGTTCTTTTTAACCTGTGTTCTCAGAAACAGAGACTACTGTATTTCATCCTACCTTAGTCTTGCTTAGCAGTTTCTCTTCTCCTTTGAGGCTCTTTTATTTTTAAATCATTGTTCATATCTTCTAATCTCCCCTTTCTCCCATTCTTCCCATATTTTTAATCTTTTTTTAACTTTATCTCTGTTCTACTTTTTCTGTATTTCAAATTGATCCATAGACTTTAGAAAAATGAGTTGAATGCTGGCTGTAGGCTGTCTTATCCCCAGCAAGAAACATGTTGTAAAGTCTTAGTACCTTCCCACTGGAAGATCATTAGTCATGGCTACTATGTTTTTAAATGAGAATTGTTTTAATTATGCATTTTAAAATTATTGGAAAACATGAGGGAGAGGAATGAACCATAAGTAATAAAGATTATTGACTTGAAGTTAAGACCTTACTATGATCTGGGATTATTAGTCTTACTTGTCAATCAAGAACTATCCACTTTCTATTCGTTTGTGGGTATCTAATATGGTTATATACACAGAAGTAATGATAATTGATATGAAAAGGTCTCCTCCTGTTATATCAATTTAGGTATTTTTCACACATTGTATACCTCATTCTTCTCCTATTCAATTTTCACTAATTCCTAAAGGGTCAGGTCAATGTCCTTGGCATAACCTCCTCCACCTGTTCTTAATGGCAATCGTCTCTTCTGCCCTCCAATATCTATAACACTTTTTTCTTTAAAACTCTTTGAATGTTTATCTTAATACTCATTTGATATATATTGTATACCACATATGATTGTTTGTTATATGTACAATACATGTTTTTTCAACTTTTTTTGGTTCTTTCTATTTACAGGAATTAGAGAAAGAACAAATCAGTGTGAAGGAGAATTGTCAGTAAAATTACAAGAAAAGATTGAGATCATAATTGACCTTTGAGGATAATAAAATTTAAAGACCAAAAGGATGGACTTCACAGAAACATGACCTTAGGTTGTTTTTGCAGTTGTAGTAACTGGTTATATGACCAACAAAATATGAAGAATGGGTACAAATTCTGATAGTAATGATCAGTCACTTTGCAAATATAAAGTTACTATTTACTACTGTATTGTACAGGTTCAATAATCTTTGTGTACACATTTTATGTATTTATTGTCAGGCTGCTATATAATTCAGTATTTATAATAGATACTATGTATAGCAATCTATGGTTAGTTTTGGTCTTAACCAGGAAAAATCACTCTTTTGAGTTTTGCTGTTTTTACTAGATTATTTTTACTGGATGATTGCTCATATTATTTGATTATTATTGCAATTTGTCTTTCTGGAATAGGAAGCAAGAGGCCTGAATTCTGGTTCCTATTCTATCAATTGTGTGAATTCTGGAAACTCAGTTTACTTTTCTGGGCCTCATGGTTTTCATCTGAATGATGACCAACTTGGATAAAATGGTCTTTATATAATTTCGTAGGCATTTCCCTTCCCAAGGGCTTGAGTCTTTTTCAACAATTATAGAGTTTTCCGGTCCCTCTTCCCAGTGCCTCAGCACCTTGCTATTCATGTTCATCTGATCAGTTGTTTGCATGCTGACTTACATTACCCTGATGGGCAGTACCTGTGGCTGTTTCTGCTCCCTCACCCAGTCCATAGGCTTCTGGTTGTAAAAGTGTGCATCTTGAGACTGTGGACAGTTAGCTCCAGAGGTGACAGTATAATCACTTCACGTAGAAGAGGATAGAGAGAGACTCATGCCAGTGGTGGTGAGCAAGTATTAGAGATATGATGTGTGCCTCTGTGAGTTTTGGGGTCTAAGATAAATTATGGCACTAGGAAGATGGTCCTTTGTGTCAGAAGAACTGGAGTTGTTGGTGCAAAAAAGTATGATGTCAGCATAGCAGTTTTATTTGTACCTCAGCAACTTCTAAAATAATCTCTATTAAGTGTTTTCAGGAACTACTTTCTACTATAGGAAAATGATTGAGGTGAGTATCCATCTGGACACAGAGAAATATAACACTGTTTTCTGCTCACCCTCCACTTCACATATAAATACAACATGTGTTAAAGGACTAAATTTCTAGTGTCACAGTTTGTACTTTATAGTTTGAAGTCAATAAGAAAGCTCATATACCTTCCTAAAAGTCACTTGTTAATGTTTGATATTAATCTAATTTTATCATAAATTAAAAGTATAAAACTACAAATTTCTTAAAGATAAAATATCCAAATGGATTCAGTCAAATTAAGCATGATAATATCAAATATCAGAATAGGTTACCATGCAGGAGGTACTGAGTACTTAAAAGGATGGGGAATGCAATGAACATAAAAGCTGGTACCAAGGGGAGGAGGAGACAGTGATGAATTAAAACATTATCTTAACTAATCCAAGTGCTGGTCTTCAATACTTTCATGTGTATAGACAAAGAGAAACTGCAGAGATTTCTCACAACCTCTGTGGCCATTTTATGCATCTTAGCAAAAACTCTGGTGAAATCCCTCCAAAACATATTTATTAGGCATGGAAAAAGCCTTACATGACAGGTGGCATAGGCTCCTTATGAAATCACTGCAGGATGGGAAGCCATTTAGGGCTTCGTAATTGTGAAAGATTGTATAGAAACTGAGGCACTTAAATAGCAGTGAGCAGGAGAAAATGTGGTAGATAATGGTGGTGATTCTATTTCTTGTGAAAGTCCACTTACTCTGTTCTGCTACAGTTGTGGGCTTTCCGATTTCACATACCCCAGTCTCTATATTCTGTCTCAATCCACAGCCTACCTCAACTAAGTCCGTCCCAGGCACCTCTTACTGCAGGTGATAATCCATCTGTTAATCATGTTTTCCTCTTATGTCTACTTTCTGTCAGAGAATTGTGGCTGCAAACTGGGAAGGGAAGGAAATTATAAGAATATGTATAAGTACAAATGGAATATGTTGGAAATGAGGAATAGTTAATATCGCAGGTCATTTAAACACCTGATGAATTTCATGGATAGTCAGGAATCTTGTTCTTACCTAATCTGTTAATTTTAGATCAGACATTACACTGAAAGTATTGATGATGGGTTTAAATCAGGTTGCAGCTCACATGTTGTGATAATATTATGTTGATTTTTTGTTTTTAATATGTGAGGAACAGAATAACTGTATACTATTTATTCATAGTGACATTGCAATATTGATTTTAGTACATATTATCTTCATAATCACAATTTCCTCCCCATTTTCTTAGTTCTCATAATTTTAGCCACAGCCCAGTTGGCTGGACCAATGGATGGAGAGAATCACTCAGTGGTATCTGAGTTTTTGTTTCTGGGACTCACTCATTCATGGGAGATCCAGCTCCTCCTCCTAGTGTTTTCCTCTGTGCTCTATGTGGCAAGCATTACTGGAAACATCCTCATTGTGTTTTCTGTGACCACTGACCCTCACTTACACTCCCCCATGTACTTTCTACTGGTCAGTCTCTCCTTCATTGACTTAGGAGCCTGCTCTGTCACTTCTCCCAAGATGATTTATGACCTGTTCAGAAAGCGCAAAGTCATCTCCTTTGGAGGCTGCATCGCTCAAATCTTCTTCATCCACGTCATTGGTGGTGTGGAGATGGTGCTGCTCATAGCCATGGCCTTTGACAGTTATGTGGCCCTATTAAGCCCCTCCACTATCTGACCATTATGAGCCCAAGAATGTGCCTTTCATTTCTGGCTGTTGCCTGGACCCTTGTTGTCAGTCACTCCCTGTTCCAACTGGCATTTCTTGTTAATTTACCCTTCTGTGGCCCTAATGTGTTGGACAGCTTCTACTGTGACCTTCCTCAGCTTCTCAGACTAGCCTGTACCGACACCTACAGATTGCAGTTCATGGTCACTGTTAACAGTGGGTTTATCTGTGTGGGTACTTTCTTCATACTTCTAATCTCCTACGTCTTCATCCTGTTTACTGTTTGGAAACATTCCTCAGGTGGTTCATCCAAGGCCCTTTCCACTCTTTCAGCTCACAGCACAGCGGTCCTTTTGTTCTTTGGTCCACCCATGTTTGTGTATACATGGCCACACCCTAATTCACAGATGGACAAGTTTCTGGCTATTTTTGATGCAGTTCTCACTCCTTTTCTGAATCCAGTTGTCTATACATTCAGGAATAAGGAGATGAAGGCAGCAATAAAGAGAGTATGCAAACAGCTAGTGATTTACAAGAAGATCTCATAAATGATACAATAAGCCCTTCTCGTTAAACATGATATGGCTTTATGTTTCTTTCTTTGATATTTTAGATTCAGGAACTATGAGACATTATGTATTGATTTGAATGTTATTAGACCTGTAACATAATTCTTATCTGATGAATATATGATGAATATATTCCTTGTTCAAAATGAGTCATAAATTCAACACATCTCTACATCTATATTATGCCCATTTAATTTCTTTCAGCAATGTTTTGTAGTTTTTGGTGAACAGGTACTTTATGCATATGTACTTTATATTTATCTCTAAGTTTTATATTTCTGATGCCCTTTTAAGTGACATTTTTATTTCAATTTACAATTGTTTATTCTTAGCTTATGGGCACATAATAGATCTTTGTTTGACATTATATCCTGTAAACTTGCAAAACTTATTAGTTCCATCAGTTTTTTATAGGTTATGTAGGATTTTCTTTATAGATGATTATGTTGTCAGTGAATAAAGACATTTGCTTTTAAAATTCTAGTATGAATTCACTATATTCATTTTGTTGAATGCTGAGTAGAATTAGTTAGAGCAGACATCTTTGACTTGTTCCTGTTATGAAATATATTAAATATTTCATCATTAAGTATAATGTTAGCTATAATTTTTTTCATAGGTACTCTTTAACAGGCTGAGAAAGTTTTCTGTATTCACAGTTTGCTGAAAATTTCTTTTATCTTTAGTCAGGAATGGATCTTGGATTTTGTAAAGCTTTTTCATTTCAGAATCAGGGTAATGCTGGCCCTTTAGAATGAGTTGGGAAGCATCTGCTCTTCTTAAATTTTCTGCCATAATTTTGTAGAATTCATATAATTTTTTTCTTTAAAAAGGGAAGTACTTAAGTATTTTTTCCCATAAGTTACCCATAAGTAAATCTAAAGGAAAGTGGGAAACTTTGATACGCATTGGTTGCCCCCTGGTGGAGATTTCTGGGTTCTTGATTATTTTAACACTGGAGATAGAATCTGGTGGAATGATGTCAATGCTACCGTGATTAAGAGGTGTGTAGGAAATGCTTCATGTAAGAGAGAAAATAGTCTTTATGAGAATCTGCCTGGTGGAAAGGAGTTGGTGCAACAATAACAATATAAATTAGTGAAAAATTTTAAATTGACAAATAATAATTGTATCTATGGGGTACAATGTAATGTTTTGATACATGTTTAAATTGTGGAAAGATTAGGTCTATCTTATTGACATACATATCTTTTTTGTGGTGAAAACATTTAAAATCTACTCTGTTAGTCATTTTGAAACATACAATACCTTGTTATTTATTACAGTCACCATTCTGTGCAATAGTTCACTGAAACTTTGTCTAACTGAAACTTTGAACCCTTTTATCAACATCTACCTTTTCCATGTCTACCCCCAACTCCTAGCCTCTGATAATCACCATTCCATTCTCTACTTCTATGAATTCAACTTTTTCAGATTCCACATATCAGTGAGATCATGTGATATTTGTCTTTTCGTGCCTGGCTTATTTCACTTAGCGTGATATCTTCTGGGTTAATTCATGTTGTCACATATATCAGGTTTTCCTTCCTATTAAGGCTGAGTAGTATTCCATTGTATATATACACTACATTTTCTTCATCCATTTGTCAGTTGATAGACACCTGTGTTGATTTCATATTTGGGTATTGTGAATAATGCTGCAATGAACATGAGCCTGGAGATATCTCTTCAGCATATTGACTTAAATTCCTTTGGATATATACAAGGAAGTGGGATTGCTGGATCATATAGTAATTCTAGTTTTAGTTTTTTGAGTAACTTTTATCTATTTTTCATAATAGTATTAATTTACATTTCCACCAACAGTGTACGAGGGTTCCCTTTTCTCTGTATCCTCTTCAACACTTGTTATCTTTTATCATTTTGATAGTAGCCATTCTAACAGGTATGAAGTGGCATCTCACTGTCATTTTAATTTGCATTTCCCTGATAATTAGGATGACAAACTTTTTTTATGTTAGTCATTTGTATTTTTTTTGAGAAATGTCTATTTAGGACCTTGCCCATTTTTTGACTTGGTTATTTGTTTTCTTGATATTGAGTTGAGTCCCTTATATATTTGGAGATTAGCCTTTCATCAGATGTATGCTCTGCAAATATTTTCTCACAACTTGTAGGTTGTCTCTTCACCATATTGTTTCCTTTGCTGTGCAGAAGCTTTTTAGTTTGATGCAATCCCATATATTTTTGCTTTTGTTGCCTGTGCTTTGGGGGTTATATCCAAGAAATCTTTGACCAAACCAACATTGTGGAACTTTTCCCCTATGTTTTCATCTAGTAGTTTTACAGTTTTATGTTTAAACCTTTAATCCATTTTGAATTGATTTTTGTGTATGGTGTGAGATAAGGATACACACCATACACATTCGTGTTCTTCTGCATGTGGATATCTAGTTTTCTTAACACCATTTATTGAAACAAATGTCTATTCTTCATTACGTTTTCTGGGCACCTTTGTCAAAAATTTATTGGTCATAAATGCATGAGTTTATTTCTGGGCTCCTTATTCTGTTCCCCTGGTCAATGTGTCTGTTTTTGTGCAAGTGTCATGTTGTTTTGATTACTATGGTTTTGTGATACGTATTTGTTTTGGGGGGGGATCGATTTTTATTTGGGTTTCTCACAGTGGTTAGAGAACAACCACAGCACAGGAAATGCATCGCCAAGATTGCCCAGAAAACTGACCAGCTGCATCTTATTGCTTAAAAATACACATATTCACAATAACTGACAAATGTTGATGTGCCTCACACAGGAATGTGTTCACATTTGCAATGCTGTGTACAGACTTCACTTCGTTCAACATAGATTTTGGTTTAATGGAATTCAAATGCGGATGCTTGTTCACAGCCTTGGATTTGTCTGTTTTTGGAGAGATACAACCTCCATGAGTATATCTGCATGAAAACCACAGACAATGAAGGTATTTCTTCATTGATTTATTTATTCTTTTGACTGTAGCAACAAACCCTGGATGACACCCTTCCTTTTAATTCACCTGGAAACCAGACTCAATCAAATCTCCCTGGTCCCCTCACTATTCCTTCAAATTCCCTATTTCTATCTCTTCCTGAGGAGGGTAACCTCCTGTAGCAGGGGTCAGACTGTGACTTGGGAATCAAGCCTAGGTCTGCAGGTTGCCTTTTCATCTTCTTGTAAAATATTGTAGGACACTGCAGTGAATCCAACAGTTAACACTCAGAGCAGTTCCCTGCTCTAACTCAGGAAAGAGACTTCAGAGGGTCAGGATTCATCCATTTGATCAGTTAACTGAGAAGGATTCATTTTGGTAAAACTTGTTCAGCTTTGAGACACTTCAGTGAGTTGTTTGAGATTTTTTTTTAAATTATATTTTAAGTTCTGGGGTACATGTGCAGAACATGCAGGATTGTTACATAGGTATACACGTGCCATGGTGGTTTGCTGCACCCATCAACCCATCATCTACATTAGGTATTTAACCCAATGCTAACCTTCCCCTAGCCCCTACCCCCAGACAGGCCCCGGTGTGTTGTGTTCCCCTCCCTCTGTCCATGTGTTCTCATTGTTCAACTCCCATTTATGAGTGAGAACATCGGGTGTTTGGTTTTCTGTTCTTGGATTAGTTTGCTGAGAATGATGGTTTCCAGCTTCATCCATGTCCCTGAAAAGGATATGAACTCATCCTTCTTTATGGCTGCATAGTATTCCATGGTGTATATGTGCCACATTTTCTTTATGCAGTCTATCATTGAATGGGCATTTTGGTTGGTTCCAAGTCTTTGCTATTGTGAACAGTGCCACAATAAACATATGTATGCATGTGTCTTTATGGTAGAATGATTTATAATCCTTTGGATATATACCCAGTAATGCGATTGCTGGGTCAAATCATATTTCTAGTTCTAGAACCTTGAGGAATCACCACACTGTCTTCCACAATGGTTGAACTAATTTACACTCCCACCAACAGTGTAAAAGCATTCTTATTTCTCCACATCCTTTCCAGCATCTGTTGTTTCCTGACTTTTTAATGATCGCCATTCTATCTGGCGTGAGATGGTATCTCATTGTGGTATTGATATGCATTTCTCTGATGACCAGTGATGATGAGCTTTTTTTCATATGTTTGTTGGCTGCATAAATGTCTTCTTTAGAGAAATGTCAGTTCATATCCTTCACCCATTGATGGGTTTGTTTGTTATTTTCTTGTAAATTGTTTAAGTTCTTTGTAGATTCTGGATATTAGCCCTTTGTCAGATGGATAGATTGCAAAAATTTTCACCCATTCTGTAGGTTGCCTGTTCACTCTGATGACAGTTTCTTTTGCTGTGCAGAAGCTCTTTAGTTTAATTAGATCCCATTTGTCTATTTTGGTTTTTGTTGCAATTGCTTTTGGTGTTTTAGTCATGAAGTTTTTGTCCATGCCTATGTACTGAATGGTATTGCCTAGGTTTTCTTCTAGGGTTTTTTATGGTTTTAGATCTTATGTTTAAGTCTTTAATACATCGTGAGCTAATTTTTGTGTAAGGTGTAAGGAAGGGATCCAGTTTCAGTTTTCTGCATATGGCTAGCCAGTTTTCCCAACACCATTTATTAAAAAGGGAATCGTTTCCCCATTGCTTGTTTTTGTCAGGTTTGTCAAAGATCAGATAGTTGTAGATGTGTGGCGTTATTTCTGAGGCCTCTGTTCTGTTCCATTGGTCTACATATCTGTTTTGGTACCAGTACCATGCTGTTTTGGTTACTGAAGGCTTGTAGTATAGTTTGAAGTCAGACAGCGTGATGCCTCCAGATTTGTTCTACTTGCTTAGGACTGTCCTAGCTCTGCGGGCTCATTTTTGGTTCCATATGAAATTTAAAGTAGTTTTTTCCAATTCTGTGAACAAAGTCAGTGGTAGCTTGATGGGGATAGCATTGAGTCTATAAAAACTTTGGGCAGTATGTCCATTTTCATGATATTGATTCTTCCTATCCATGAGCATGGAATGTTTTTCCATTTGTTTGTGTCCTCTCTTATTTCCTTGAGCAGTGGTTTGTAGTTCTCCTTGAAGAGGTCCTTCACATCCCTTGTAAGTTGGATTCCTAGGTATTTTATTCTCATAGTAGCAATTGTGAATGGGAGAGTTCACTCATGATTTGGCTCTCTGTTTGTCTGTTTTTTGCATATAGGAATGCTTGATTTTTGCACATTGATTTTGTATCCTGAGACTTTTCTGAAGTTGCTTATTAGCTTAAGAAGATTTTGGGCTGAGACCATGGGGTTTTCTAAATACACAATCATGTCATCTGCAAACAGAGACAATTTCTTTCTCTTGCCTGATTGCCCTGGCCAGAACTTCCAATACTACGTTGAATAGGAGTGGTGAGATAGGGCATCCTTGTCTTGTGCTGGTTTTCAAAGGGAATGCTTCCAGTTTTTCACCATTCAGTATTGGCTGTGGGTTTTTCATAAATAGGTATTATTATTTTGAGATATGTTCCATCAGTACCTAGTTTATTGAGAGTTTTTAGCATGAAGGGCTGCTGAATTTTGTCGAAGGCCTTTTCTGCATCTATTGAGAGAAGCATGTGGTTTTTGCCATTGGTTCTATTTATATGATGAATTATGTTTATTGATTTGCGTATGTTGAACTAGCCTTGTATCCCAGGGATGAAGCCGACTTGATTGTGGTGGACAAGCTTTTGATGTGCTGCTGGATTTGGTTTGCCAGTATTTTATTGAGGATTTTTGCATCGATGTTCATCAGGGATATTGGCTTGAAATTTTCTTTTTTTTGTGTGTGTCTCTGCCAAATTTTGGTACCAGAATTATTCTGGCCTCATAAAATGAGTTAGGGAGGATTCTCTCTTTTTCTGTTGTTTGGAATAGTTTCAGAAGGAATGGTACCAACTCCTCTTTGTACCTCTGGTAGAATTCGGCTGTGAATCCATCTGGTCCTGGACTGTTTTTTGGTTGGTAGGCTATTAATTACTGCCACAATTTCAGACCTTGTTATTGGTCTATTCAGGGATTCAACTTCTTCCTGGTTTAGTCTTGGGAGGGCGTATGTGTCCAGGAATTTGTCCATTTCTTCTAGATTTTCTAGTTTGTGTAGAGGTGTTTATAGTATTCTCTGATAGTAGTTTGTATTTCTGTGGGATCAGTGGTGGTATCTCCTTTATCATTTTTTATTGCATCTGTTTGATTCTTCTCTGTTTTCTTCTTTATGAGTCTGGCTAGTGGTCTATCTATTTTATTGATATTTTCAAAAAACCAGCTCCTGGATTCATTGATTTTTTTTTGAAGGTTTTTTTGTGTCTCTATCTCCTTCAGTTCTGCTCTGATCTTAGTTATTTATTGTCCTCTGCTAGCTTTTTGTATGCTCCTGCCTCTTGAGTTCTTTTAATTGAGATGTTAGGGTGTCAATTTTAGATCTTTCCTGCTTTCTCTTGTGGGCATTTAGTGCTATAAATTTCCCTCTACACACTACTATAATTGTGTACCAGAGATTCTGGTATGTTATGTCTTTGTTCTCATTGGTTTCAAATAACTTATTTATTTCTGCCTTAATATCTTTATTTACCCAGTAGTTGTTCAGGAGCAGGTTGTTCAGTTTACATGTAGTTGTGTGGGTTTGAGTCAGTTTCTTAATCCTGAGTTCTAATTTAATTGCACTGCGATCTGAGAGACTGTTATGATTCCCATTTTTTTTTGCATTTGCTGAGGAGTGTTTTACTTCCAAATATGTGGTCAATTTTAGAATAAGTGCAATGTGGTGCTGAGAAGAATGTATATTCCGTTGATTTGGGGTGGAGAGTTCTGTAGCTGCCTATTGGATCCACTTGGTCCAGAGCTGAGTTCAAGTCCTGGATATCCTTGTTAACTTTCTGTTTCGTTGATCTGTCTAGTATTGACAGTGGGGTGTTAAAGTCTCCCACTATTATTGTGTGAGGGTCTAAGTCTCTTTTTAAGTCTCTAAGAGCTTACTTTATGCATCTGGGTGCTCCTGTGTTGGGTGCATATATATTTAGGATAATTAGCTCTTCTTGTTGCATTGATCCTTTTACCATTATGCAATGCCCTTATTTGTCTCTTTTGATCTTTGTTGGTTTAAAGTCTGTTTTATCAGAGACTAGGATTGCAACCCCTGCTTTTTTTTGCCTTCCATTTGCTTGGTAAGTATTCCTCCATCCCTTTATTTTGAGCCTATTTGTGTCTTTGCACGTGAGATGGGTCTCCTGAATACAGAACACTGATGGGTCTTGACTCTTTAGCCAATTTGCCAGTCTGTGTTTTTTAATTGGAGCATTTAGCCCATTTACATTTAAGGTTGATATTGTTATGTGTGAATTTGATCCTGTCATTACGATGCTAGCTGGTTATTTTGCTGTTAGTTAATGCAGTTTCTTCATAGTGTCAACGGTCTTTACAATTTGGTATGTTTTTGCAGTGGCTGATACCAGTTGTTCCTTTCCATGTTTAGTGCTTCCTTCAGGAGCTCCTTTAAGGCAGGCCTGGTGGTGACAAAATCTCTCAGCATTTGCTTGTCTGTAAAGGATTTTATTTCTCCTTCACTTATGAAGCTTAGTTTGGCTGGATATGAAATCCTGGGTGGAAAATTCTTTTCTTTAAGAATGTTGAATATTGGCCCCCATTCTCTTCTGGCTTGTAGAGTTTCTGCTGATAGATCTGCTGTTAGTCTGATGGGCTTCCCTTTGTGGGTAACCTGACCTTTCTCTCTGGCTGCCCTTAACATTTTTTCCTTCATTTCAACCTTGCTCAATCTGATGACTATGTGTCTTGGGGTTGCTTTTCTTGAGGAGTGTCTTTGTGATGTTCTCCATATTTCTGAATTTGAATATTGGCCTGCCTTGCTAGGTTAGGGAAGTTCTCCTGGATAATATCCCGAAGAGTGTTTTCTAACTTGGTTCCATTCTCCCCATCACTTTCAGGTACAGCAATCAAACGTAGATTTGGTCGTTTCACATAGTCCCATATTTCTTGGAGGCTTTGTTCATTTCTTTTCATTCTTTTTTCTCTAATCTTGTCTTCTTGATTTATTTCATTAAGTTGATATTCAGTCTCTGATATCTTTCTTCCGCTTGACCGAATCAGTGCTTGATCCTTGTGCATGCTGCATGAAGTTCTCATGGCGTGTTTTTCAGCTCCATCAGGTCATTTATGTTCTTCTCTAAACTGGTTATTCTAGTTAGCAAGTGGTCTAGCCTTTTTTCCAGGTCCTTAGCTTCCTTACATTGGGTTAGGACATGCTCCTTTAGCTTGGAGGAGTTTGTTATTACCTACCTTCTGAAACCTACTTCTCTCAATTCGTCAAACTCATTCTCTGTCCAGTTTTCTTTTGTTCCCTTGCTGGTGAGGAGTTGTGATCCTTTGGAGGAGAAGAGGCGTTCTGGTTTTTGGAATTTTCAGCCTTTTTGCTCTGGTTTCTCTCCATCTTCATGGATTTATCTACCTGTGGTTTCTGATGTTGGTGACCTTCTGATGGGGTCACTGAGTGGCTGTCCTTTTTGTTGATGTTGATGCTATTCCTTTTTGTTTGTTAGTTTTCCTTCTAACAGTCAGGCCCCTCTGCTGCAGGTCTGTTGGGGTTTGCCCTAGGTCTACTCTAGACCCTGTTTGCCTGGGTATCACCAGCAGAGGCTGGAGAACAGCCAAGATTGCTGCCTGTTTCTTCCTCTGGAAGTTTTGTCCCAGAGGGGCACCCACCAGATGCCAGCCAGAGCTCTCCTGTATGAGGTGCCTGTTGGCACCTACTGGGAGGTGTCTCCCAGTCAGGATACACGGGGGTCAGGGACCCACTTGAGGAGGCAGTCTGACCCTTATCAGAGCTCGAATACTGTGCAGGGAGATCTGCTGCTCTCTTCAGAGCCATCAGGCTTTTCAAAGATGCTTTAAGTCTGCTGAAGCTGTGCCCACAGCCGCCCTTTCCCCTAGGTGCTCTGTTCCAGGGAGATGGGGGTTTTATCTATAGGTCTCTGACTGGGGCTGCTGCCCTTTTTTCAGAGATGCCTTGCCCAGAGAGGAGAAATCTAGAGAGGCAGTCTGGCTGCTGTGGCCTTGCTGAGTTGTGGTGGGCTCCACCCAGTTCAAACTTTCTGGTGGCTTTGTTTACACAGTGGGGGTAAAACTGCCTACTCAAGCCTTGGCAATGTGGAAGCCCCTCCCCCCACCAAGCTCTAGTGTCCTAGGTCAACCTCAGACTGCTGTGCAAGAATTTCAAGCCAGTGGATCTTAGCTTGCTGGGCTCTGTAGGGGTGGGACCCGCCGAGCCAGACCACTTGGCTCCCTGGCTTCAGCCCCCTTTCCAGGAGAGAGAATGGTTCTGTCTTGTTGGCATTCCAGTTGCCACTGTGGCATGAAAAAAAAAAAACCTCCTGCAGCTAGCTCGGTGTCTGCCCAAACAGCTGCCTAGTTTTGTGCTTGAAACCTAGGGCCTTGGTGGCAGAGGCACTGGAGGGAATCTCCTGGTCTGTGGATTGTGAAGACCATGAGAAAAGCATAGTTTCTGGGTGGAGTGCACCGTTCCTCATGGTACAGTCCCTCGGGGCTTCCCTTGGCTAGGGGAGGGAATTCCCCCAACCCCTTGCACTTCCTGGGTGAGGCAACACCCCATTCTGCTTTGGCTCACCCTCCGTGGGCTGCACCCACTGTCCAACCAGTCCCAGTGAGATGAACCAGGTACCTCAGTTGGAAATGCAGAAATCACCTGCATTCTGCATTGATCTCACTGGGAGCTGCAGACTGGAGCTGTTCCTATTTGGCCATGTTGCCAGCAAATTCTGAGATTTTTTTCAAAAGTGCAAAGAAAGACATCTGAGGGGTGCTGACATATTCGGGTCACCTCAAGCCACATGCCAGCTTGCTTGCCCCTGTTGGATTCAGCAGAGGGAGATAGGCCTTGCCATACCTGTGGTGTCTGCCAAAGCTTCCTCCTGGCAATTCTTGGGAGTGCTGATACCTGGGCCACAGTTAGTCCAAGTTTATCACTGAAGATCCTATCAAAGTTTTGTCTGAAATTCCACTTTTGCCTTTTGTCCTAAGTGGTTGTGGACATCTCCAGGGGCTGATACCAAGGACTAGGAACAGCTGAGGGAGGCAGAAAGGTTCAGAGTACATCTCTATTTACAGGGAACAGAACACCGGCCTCCGAGAGTCCATGGAGCAATGGGAAAATTGCAGTGATTACTCATCACTGTGAAACTTCTACTTTGAATACAGTATCTTCTGGCAAGCATAGGGGACTGCAGTCGACAATGCTGCTGAATATACCTGAGTACATAGTAAGACATTTGTTTGGTAAACAGTCAATGCATACAATAAATTACCTTGAGAGGGCCATCTGTGCTCCAGATGTGAGAGTTCATGTGAATAGAATGGCTGCAATTCAAAGAATCTTCACAGGAAAACAGGGCTCAGAGCTCATCCACAATGGACAGACAGGGAGGGAAACAGGTGGAGGTTAGTTCACCACTTCCTCATAAGAAGGTAATAAATAGTTTGGTGAAATAAAATGGTAGCACTGAGTAATTGCGGGCTTCTGGATAGGCAGTCAGGTTGATTTCATGTTGCTACTGCTGGACTTGAGGGCTGGCTTGGCTGTGGTGGCAGACACAGCAGCAGCTCAGGATGATGGTGATGGTCCACGCCAGCCAGAACCACCAATGTTCATAGTAGTAGTTACAACACTGAGACTGCCCATAGCAGTGTCCTGTTGTGTCACAGATGTAGCTTTGATTGTTGGTACACACACAGGCTTCCTTATCCTGTGGGGGTTCAGCCCTGGCTGACACAGGGCTGGGCAGTGCCTAGAGGTGCAAGAGCTCCATGCCACCCAGGAGTCTTCCCTCCATACTCCTCCTGCTCCTCCGACCCAGCGTGGGCACCTCCCTCCACCCTTGCTGCACTTCTCCTCTACCCTCTTCTTCCTTCTTTTGTTCTTTTCCTGTAATATGTTTTGAAGTCAGATTGTGAGGCCTTCAGCTTTGTTCTTATTGCTCAAGAGTCCTTTAGTTATTCAGGATCCTTTGTGGTTCCATATAAATTTTCAAATTGTTTTTTCTATTTCTGTGAAGAATGACATTGAAATTTTGATAAATATTGCATTAAACCTATAAATCGCTTTGGGCAGTAAGGACATTTTAAGAATATTAATTCTTCCTACCCATGAACATAAAATATCTTTCCATGTATTTGTGTCATCTACAATTTTTCATCAATGTTTTATAGTGTTCAGAATACAGATCTTTCACCTCCTTGGTTAAATGTACTCCTAAGTACAATCCTAAATGTGCTCCTAAACAAAAAAAATACGTTTTTTTTGATGCTACTGTGAATGAGATTGATTTCTTTATTTTTGTCATATAGTTTGTTGTGAGTGTAAAGAAACTACTGAGTTTTGTACATTGATTTTGAATTCTGAAATTTTATTGAATTCATTTATCATTTCTAATAGCTTTTTGGTGGAGTTTTTAGGGTTTCCTATATATAATATGTCATCAAACAGAGACAATTTTACTTCTTCCTTTTCAATTTGAATCTTTTATTTCTTTATTTGGCTTAATTGCTCTGGCTAGGACTTCCAGAAATAAGTTGAATAGAAGTAGTGAGAATAAATATCCTTGTCTTGTTTTTGATCTTAGCAGAAAAGATTTCACTTTTTCATTGTTGGGTATGATGTGAGCTGTGAGCTTGTTATATATGTCCTGTTTTGTGTTAAGGTACATGCCTTCTATGCCCAATTTGTTGAGAGGTTTAGTCATGAGAGGATTTTGAATTTAGTCAAATGCTTTTTCTGCATATATAGAGATAGCTATTTTTTTATCCTTCATTCTGTTAATGTGGTTTATCACATTTGATTTGTGTTTGCTGAAACATCTGGAGGATAAATCCACTTTATCATGGTAAATGTTCTCCTAATATGTTGTTAAATTCTGCTTGCTAGTACTTTTTTTTGAGGACTTTTGTATCTGTGTTCATCAGGGATATTGGTTGGCCCATACTTTTCTTATAGTGTCCTTGTTTGCCTTTTTATTTTTATTTTTATTTATTTATTTTTTAAATTATACTTTAAGTTTTAGGATACATGTGCACAACGTACAGGTTAGTTACATATGTATACATGTGCCATACTGGTGTGCTGCACCCATTAACTCATCATTTAACATTAGGTATATCTCCTAATGCTATCCCTCCCCCCTCCCCCCACCCCACAACAGGCCCCAGTGCTAATATCCGGAATCTACAATGAACCCAAACAAATTTACAAGAAAAAAACAAACAACCCCATCAAAAAGTGGGCAAAGGATATGAACAGACACTTCTCAAAAGAAGACATTTATGCAGCCAAAAAACACATGAAAAAATGCTCACTATCACTGGCCATCAGAGAAATGCAAATCAAAACCACAATGAGATACCATCTTACACCAGTTAGAATGGCCATCATTAAAAAGTCAGGAAACAACAGGTGCTGGAGAGGATGTGGAGAAATAGGAACATTTTTACACTGTTGGTGGGACTGTAAACTAGTTCAACCATTGTGGAAGACAGTGTGGCGATTCCGCAGGGATCTAGAACTAGAAATACCATTTGACCCAGCCATCCCATTACTGGGTATATACCCAAAGGACTATAAATCATGCTGCTATAAAGACACATGCACACGTATGTTTACTGTGGCACTATTCACAATAGCAAAGACTTGGAACCAATCCAAATGTCCAACAATGATAGACTGGATTAAGAAAATGTGGCACATATACACCATGGAATACTATGCAGCCATAAAAAATGATGAGTTCATGTCCTTTGTAGGGACATGGGTGAAGCTGGAAACCATCATTCTCAGCAAACAATCACAAGGACAAAAAACCAAACACCGCATGTTCTCACTCATAGGTGGGAATTGGACAATGAGAACACATGGACACAGGAAGGGGAACATCACTTTAAAAAAAAACAATAATGCTGATCTTTTAAAATGAGTTTGGAAATACTCTTTCTCCTTCAAGTTTTTGGAAGAATTTCAGAAGGATTGTATTATTATTTTTTAAAATGTTAGAATTCAGCAATGAAGTTTTCTGGTCCTGGGATGTTCTTTGATGGGAGATGTTTTATTATTGATATACTCTCCATACTCAGTATTGTTCTGTTCAGATTTTATCTTTCTTCTTGACTTTCTCTAGGTAAGTTGCATTTTTCTAGAAATTTATCTGCTTTTTCTAGGTTATCCAATTTGTTGGCTTGTAATTGTTTATAGTGGCCTCTTATGATCCTCTGTATTTCTGTGGTATTAGTTGCAATATTTCCTCTTTCATTTCTGATTTTATTGCTTTGAGTATTCTCTCATTTTTCTAGTCTAGCTAATGGTTTGTCAGTTTTATCTTTTCAAAGAACAAATTCTTAGTCTCATTGATCTGTTCTATTTTCTTTCACAGTCTTTTTTGTATTTGAAGGACTTGTATTTGTTAACTGGCTCAAGCCTGGACATTTGTTGAGGTGCTATGAGTCTCTATTGCTCTCATTTCTCTTCACTAGACATAGAAATTTTCTGATTACACGAATCAAATAAGACTAATAAGCTTCCCAGGGATGAATCCCACTTAAGCATGGTGAATTTTTTTGCTGTTTTTTTTTAAAAATAATATTTGCTAATATTTGGCTGAAGGTTTTTCCATCCAAGTTCATCAGGAGTATTGGTCTGCAATTTATTTTTATTATAGTGTCCTTCTCTGGTTTTGGTATCAGGGTAATGCTGGTTTTGAAAAATGAATTTGAAAGTATTCCTCTTCTTCATTTTTTTTGGAAGAGTTTGGGAAGGATTGGTGTTAGTCATCTAAGTGTTTGTTGGAATTC